>NC_000014.9:46486713-47111713 GCF_000001405.40 Homo sapiens | reverse complement strand
CCTCAAGAAGTCTTTCCATTTTAAATTTCTCCTCGTTACCTCTTAGATTCTGAGAATTTAAATCACTGAGCCAATTAAAAAGTTTTGTATGTGTGAGATGTGAACATATCCAGAGCAATGGCTTAAGAACCTCTTCCACGGACACTTCAGGATTTAGGCTTTGTAATTATGACTTATGTGGTTCACAAATCCTTTTCAACTTCTATTTTGGATGGTGAATATTTCTGCAATTCTGACTAGCAAATCAAGTTTGTTTTTACTCTATCCAATTTTTTCATAATATACTAGATGGCATCAATGCTATTCCTTCTTTCTGTTAGAGAGGCAGCACTAATTCTTCTCCTGGCCTAAATATCATCCAATATTCAATCAAACTTGGAAATTATGAATTTTGTTTATTTTGCATTGGAGTTTACCTACAGCCTTTTACATTCATCTTAAGCCAGATTCCCTAGAATAGAATCCCAGCTTCACTTTTCACTAGCTGTGTGACTTAGGGGTTATCAAAAGTGTTTCTAAATGGTTTCTCAGTTTGGTAAAAAATAAAATAAAGTAATAATAGTACCTACCTCCTATAATTAAATGAGTTAATGTATGCAAAGCTTTTGGAGAATGTCTAGGACATTTTAAGGGCTATAATTGTCTCCTAATTACAAACTCCACAAGGGCAGGATTTTGGCCTGTTTTTTTTCTAACATCTCCAATGCCTGGTATGCAATTGGTACTTAATAAATATATGTTGAATTAGGATTTTTTCTTAAAATAGAACATACGTACATCTCTAAATTTACAATGAGTTTATTTGGTAGTAATTGTTGGCCTAGCTAATTAATCCCCTGATGTGATTTTTAATCTTTGCTATATCATGGAACCAATGTAGACATTTGAGTAGCCAAACATAGATATATCATAGATTAAGAGGCTATATGTGCAGATGTTTTCCTAATCATGATAAAAACTTGCTCTAAGCAATCCTTTAGAAATTATGTAACAGAATTTTCTCACTTTTTAGAAGAGCAAACAGAGGCCCAGCAGAGTTAAATTTATTCAACATTATCCTTTAAGATTGGCTATAAATAAATGTTAGCCAAAATTTCTATAAAATAAAGTTACAGAGTCATAAAGGTGTTCAAAATATTACACTGTGATAAAGTGTCCCCAGAATGGATTATGAAAAAGAAAACTAATCTTTTTCAGACAAAATATTTTTCCCAGTAGGAGAGTACCTTTCCATATGGTACAAAATGAAAAAGTAAAAACTATAGCTATGAAATCAACACCAGATGGTCTTAGAGGTGATGTCTTTATCTCTTCTGCTGTTGCTATTTTACACTCAGAAAAGAGCTTTAAATCTTGACTAATTTGCTAAATCCCCATTAAAGTATGTACATACTAGCCCTCTTGTGAAAAAAGCCACGTAGCCTTTATTTTGGTTTCAGAGTCAACATTCGGCTGAGTTACATGGTTTATTAAAAATAATGTTCAATGGTATAAATGAACAAATAAGTACAAAGGAGTGCAAACAGTACACTGTATTTTTTTTTTTTGGGAGTGGTGCATTACATTTTGATAGATAAATGCTTTGCCATCTCCTTGTTAGTAATATAAAACATAGGTAAGTTTAAATGGGTAGAACAATGAAATAACTTGCAAGTTGTCATAACTAGAATTTGTCAATAAATGGCTCATGAAATTCTTATCATCTGTCACACTATTTCACAGTGTTTGTAGGTTTTTTTGATTATTTTATTTTACTTTCTGTAGTTTTTGAAACAAAGTCTCGCTGTCTCCCTAGGCTGGAGTGCAGTGGCACAATCTCGGCTCACTGCAGCCTCTATCTCCCGGATCCTAACAATTATCTTGCCTCAGCCTCCCAAGTAGCTGGGACTACAGGTCTGTGCCACCACACCTGGCTAATTTTTGTATTTTTGGTAGAGGCATATTTTTGCCATGTTGGCCAGGTTGGTCTTGAACTCCCGACCTCAAGTGTTACTCCTGCCTTGGCCTCCCAAATTGTGGGATTACAAGTGTGAGCCATCATGCCTGGCCTTTTGATCATTTTAAATTAAGTTTGATGAATACTCAGAGCTTAGATGGAGTTTTGGTTTAATAATTTTTAAATTCAACTTTCTTTTATTCAGTAAAATTTTATTGAGCACCTATTCTTTGTCAAATACTCTTCTGGGTGCTGGTGGTACAAAGATGAAAAACACTACCCTTTTTACTCTGATGTCCTACTCCTAAATATCTCACAGTGAAAGCATAGGGGCAAATGTCCTAATGAGGGGGTATTATAAAGAGCTATTCTCACACAAAGAAAGAAGCAACTCAGTTGGTCTGGACAAAAGCTGGAAATTTTGGTGAAGAATTGTTATTGTTATTTGAGCATGATAAATTGCCTGATGACTGGTTTAATGAGTGGACAAGCACTGGAAGAGAATTCCAGGTAGAAGAAATAGAAAGTTCATGCTCTGCTGATTTTGTGGTGAAAGTGTCTTTACAGTCTAGTACTGTGCTTAAAATTCTGGTGTTTTCCATTAATAACAAGAAAATTTTATGGACAACAAACACTTCAGTTGGAAATGCTTAGCTTGGATTTTTCTCTCTATGGGAGCTGACCCTCTGGGATTCTGCAGCAAGTGAATGCTCAGCTTCCTGTAAACTTGAATGAGACCAAGTTTGCCAGGACCTCACCTGTTGGAAAGAACAGTAAAGGATTGTTGATCAAGGGAAGGAGATATGTGTAGTGCTAATTTTTTTCTTCATCATACCTTGTCAATGTTTATAAAGACCTTTCACGCTGCTAGGTATTAGTACCCCAACTATTGGTATAGCTTATACACGGGGATCATCTTTTTTGCTTCACTGACTTTTGCTCACCTTAGAACACAAGTTCTGTTTCTCTAGCTTTTCTATTTATATTGTTCAGTGAATAGATTTCAGCATTTTCTTGCGCATCCGTGTGAAGAGAGCACCAAACAGACTTTGTGTGAGCAACATGGCTGTTTATTTCACCTGGGTGCAGGCGGGCTGAGTCCGAAAAGAGAGTCAGCGAAGGGAGATAAGGGTGGGGCCGTTTTATAGGATTTGGGTAGGTAAAGGAAAATTACAGTCAAAGGGGGTTTGTTCTCTGGCGGGTAGGAGTGGGGGTCGCAAGGTGCTCAGTGGGGGTGCTTTTTGAGCCAGGATGAGCCAGGAAAAGGACTTTCACAAGGTAATGTCATCAGTTAAGGCAAGGACCGGCCATTTACACTTCTTTTGTGGTGGAATGTCATCAGTTAAGGTGGGGCAAGGCATATTCACTTCTTCTGTGATTCTTCAGTTACTTCAGGCCATCTGGGCGTATACGTGCAAGTCACAGGGGATGCGATGGCTTGGCTTGGGCTCAGAGGCCTGATATTCCTGCCTTCTTATATTAATAAGAAAAATAAAACAAAATAGTGTTGAAGTGTTGGGGCGGCGAAAATTTTTTGGGGGGTGTTATGGACCTTAAATGGGCTGTACCCTGTAGCATTCCGAGGACAGGCCTGAATTCTGAGAAGGGAATGTGGTAAAAGTATTGTCCAGTCCTTTTTAAGTTGGTGGCTGAGCTTGGTGAGGTGTGTTTTTAAAAGACCTTTAGTCCATTCTACTTTTCTTGAAGATGGAGGACCATAAGGGATATAAAGGTTTCACTGAATACCAAGAGCCTGAAAAACTGCTTGGCTGATTTGACTAATAAAGGCTGGTCTGTTATCAGACTGTATAGAGGTGGGAAGGCTAAACTGAGGAATTATGTCTGACAGAACGGAAGAGATGACTGCGGTGGCCTTCTCAGACCCTGTAGGAAAGGCCTCTACTTATTTTGAGGGCCTCTAAAAGTATTAAAGCAGCGGCAGCCACTGCACGCAGACATGAGGGCTAGGCTAAAACAGTAAGGTCAAGTTGTTTGGAGAGAAAGGCTACAGGGTGTGGTCCTGGCTCTTGTGTAAAAATTCTGACCGCGCTAACCATGCCTAGGAAGGAAAGGAGTTGTTTTGTAGAAGGTGCTTGGGTTTGAGAGATCAGTCGGACACGATCGGCAGGGAGAGCACGTGTGTTTTTATGAGAATTATGCCGAGATAGGTAACAGATGAGGAAGAAATTTGGGCTTGATTGAAGTAATGGGGGCTGTCTGTGAAGCTTTGCGGCAGTACAGCCTAGGTAATTTGCTGAGCTTGATGGATGTCAGGGTCAGTCCAAGGGAAAGCGAAGAGAGCCTGGGATTAAGGGTGCAAAGGAATAGTAAAGAAAGCATGTTTGAGATCTAGAACAGAATAATGGGTTGTAGAGGCAGGTATTGAGGATAGGAGAGTATATGGGTTTGGCACCACGGGGTTTATAGGCACAACAATTTGGTTGATAAGGTGCAGATCCTGAACTAACTTGTAAGACTTGTCTGGTTTTAGGACAGGTAAAATGGGGGAACTGTAAGGAGAGTTTATAGGCTTTAAAAGGCCATGCTGTAGCAGGTGAGTGATAACAGGCTTTAATCTTTTTAAAGTGTGCTGCGGGATGGGATATTGGCCTTGAGTGGGGTAAGGGTGATTAGGTTTTAATGAGATGGTAAGGGGTGCATGATCGGTCGCCAAGGAGGGAGTAGAGGTGTCTTATACTTGTGGGTTAAGGTGGGGGGATAGAAGAGGTGGACGCAAAGGAGGCTTTGGCTTGGGAAGAAGGGTGGCAATGAGATATAGCTGTAGTCCAGGAATAGTCAGGGAAGCAGATAATTTAGTTAAAGTGTCTCGGCCTAATAAGGGAACTGGGCAGGTGGGGATAACTAAAAAGGAGTGCTTAAAAGAGTATTGTCTAAGTTGGCACCAGAGTTGGGGAGTTTTAAGAGGTTTAGAAGCCTGGCCGTCAATACCCACAACAGTTATGGAAGCAAGGGAAACGGGCCCTTGAAAAGAGGGTAATGTGGAGTGAGTAGCCTCTGTATTGATTAAGAAGGGGACGGGCTTACCTTCCACTGTGAGAGTTACCGGAAGCTCGGCGTCTGTGATGGTCTAGGGGGCTTCCGAGGCGATCGGGCAGTGTCAGTCTTCAGCTGCTAAGCCGAGAAGATCTGGGAAGGAGTCAGTCAGAGAGCCTTGAGCCAAAGTTCCAGGGGCTCTGGGAGTGGCTGCCAGGTGAGTTGAACAGTCCGATTTTCAGTGGGGTCCCGCACAGATGGGACGCGGCTTAGGAGGAATCCCAGGCTGCGGGCATTCCTTGGCCCAGTGGCCAGATTTCCGGCACATGTAGCAAGCTCCTGTGGGAGGAGGTTCTGGAGGAACGCCTGGCTGCTGCGGTTCAGGCCTTTGGAAGTTCTTGTGTGCTGGAGATGTGGCTGGGGTTTGTCTCACAATGGAGGCAAGGAATTGCAACTTTTTTCTATTATGGTACACCTTGAAGGCGAGGTTAATTAAATCCTGTTGTGGGGTTTGAGGGCCGAAATTTAATTTTTGGAGTTTTATTTAATGTCGGGAGCAGATTGGGTAATAAAATGTATTTTGAGAATAAGACGGCCTTTTGACCTTTTAGGGTCTAGGGCTGTAAAGTGTCTCAGGGTTGCTGCCAAATGAGCCATGAACTGGGCTGGATTTTTATATTTGATGAAAAAAAGCCTAAACGCTATCCGATTTGGGATAAAGAAAAAGGAGCATTAACTTTGACTATTCCTTTAGCTCCAGCCACCTTTTTAAGAGTAAATTGCTGGGCAGGAGGGGGAGGGCTAGTCGGCTAGTCACGGAACGAAACTGTAAGCCGGACCAGGTGTGAGGAGGGGAGGTGATAAAAAGATTATAGGGTGGAGGAGCAGAGGCTGAGAAAGAATTGGGACCTAGCTCAGCCTGGCGAGGAGCAGCCTGGGGAGGAGGGGAGAGGTCAGATGGGTCTGTAGAAAAGGAAGATTAGAAAGACTCAGCGATGCTTGGGGTTGGTACTGAGGGGACAGGCGGGAGGGAAAGAAGGAAGATTTGGGACGAGTTGCACTGGTCACAGAGATTAGGAAGGGACTGATGTGTAAAAGAATGCCTGGACGTCAGGCACCTCAGACCGTTTGCCTATTTTACGACAAGAATTATTTCGATTTTGCAGGATGGAAAAATTCAAAGTGCCATTTTCTGGCTATTTGGAACTACTGTCGAGTTTGTATTGGGGTCAAGCAGCATTGCAGAAGAAAATAAGGCATTTAGGTTTTAGGTCAGGTGTGAGTTGAAGAGGTTTTAAGTTTTTGAGAACACAGGCTAAGGGAGAAGAAGGAGGAATGGAAGGTGGAAGCTTACCCATAGTGAAGGAGGCAAGCCCAGAGAAAAGAGTAGAGACACGGAGAAGGGGTGGGGGGTTCTTGCCCTCCAGAAAAGCAGAGAAGGGGTTGGGGCACAGAAATAAGGGATTGGGGCACAGAGATAAGAGGTCAGGGTGCAGAAATAAGGGATTGGGGCACAGAGATAAGAGGTTGGGGTGCGGAAATAAGCAATTGGGGGCTTCTTGCCCCCTAGGAAAGCAGGACTTGCCACTAAGGGTGAAGGAGAAGGGGCTGAGGGGTACTTGCCCCTGCCCCAGGAAAGCGGGACTTGCCGCTAAGGGTGAAGGACCAAGGCGGCGTCCCTGCGTGGTCTGACACCCTTGAAACGTGAGTGTATAATCAGAGAGGCGTCCCTGCAATGATTAAACACCAAGGGAAGGCTGCCTTCCAAGTCCGTGACCGGTGCCGGAGTTTTGGGTTCACAGATAAAACATGTCTCTTTTGTCTCCACCAGAAAATGAAAGGAATTGAAATTAAGAGAAGGGAGAGATTGAAGTGTGGCACCAAGATTGAAAGGAGAAAGAGGTTGAGGGATAGTGAGGGAGGTTGGAGAAGAGAGTAAAAAGAGGCCGCTTACCGGATTTGAAATTGGTGAGATGTTTGTTTCTTGGGCTGGTCGGTCTGAGGACCTGAGGTCGTAGGTGGATCTTTCTCACGGAGCAAAGAGCAGGAGGACAGGGGATTGATCTCCCAAGGGAGGTCCCCCGATCTGAGTCACGGCACCAAATTTCATGCACGTCCGTGTGAAGAGACCACCAAACAGGCTTTGTGTGAGCAACATGGCTGTTTATTTCACCTGGGTGCAGGCAGGCTGAGTCCGAAAAGAGAGTCAGCGAAGGGAGATAAGGGTGGGGCCGTTTTATAGGATTTGGGTAGGTAAAGGAAAATTACAGTCAAAGGGGGTTTGTTCTCTGGCGGGTAGGAGTGGGGGTCGCAAGGTGCTCAGTGGGCAGGAGTGGGGGGTCACAAGGTGCTCAGTGGGGGTGCTTTTTGAGCCAGGATGAGCCAGGAAAAGGACTTTCACAAGGTAATGTCATCAGTTAAGGCAAGGACCGGCCATTTACACTTCTTTTGTGGTGGAATGTCATCAGTTAAGGTGGGGCAAGGCATATTCACTTGTTTTGTGATTCTTCAGTTACTTCAGGCCATCTGGGCATATACGTGCAAGTCACAGGGGATGCGATGGCTTGGCTTGGGCTCAGAGGCCTGAGAAGCATAAGTGTCACTTACTATATTTTGCAAAGTCTTAGTTTACTGAAGAATGTAACTTTTGGCAGTTTTCTTTGCTCACCGTGCTCTAATGACATAAATATCCCAGTCAAGCCTGGTAAATGCATATGACTTCAGAGAACAGGCAGGTGAAGTAAACATACAAAGTCAGTTAAGACAAGGAGAGTCATGCAGAGTGTGCTGTTTCTCTTCTTGTTAAGTTGTAAACTTCTGACAGCAGGGATTCTTTGACTCTTTTGTTCGCTGATATATCACAGCTTACTGTCACAGGGCCTGATATCTAGTAGATGCTGTAGAAATACTTATGAATGAATGGGTAGGGAACCTATTGCACTAGGGAGAACAAGCAATGCCTAAAGGCATTCATCACTGTTGATAACAACAACAACAGATACTGTGCCAGGCAAACAAAGCCCATCTAGGGAATCTCTCATTTAGGATCCATGGTCATATGAATCGCATCTCTTCCTAAAAGTTATGCAATTTTTCAAAAAGGAACAGTATTCTGCCTTTGCAATCATTTCCATAAATGTCTGTCCTGTGAATATCAATGAGAAATGCATGTTGGCTTCAATATCTGTAGCAAAAGTTTACTCCTACATTAAAAACTGTTTATGAATACAATTTCAAATATTGTTATTTCCTAGAGCATCATTTTAAATAGAATTTCCCAGCATGATACCAATCTTGGGCTTCATGAGAGTCAATCAATATGTGAAGGATAGTATTTGAATAATAACTCCACATAAATGGGTAGATTATTTTGAGTTTTCACATCAACTTCTAATATATTATCTCATCTTTATTTTGTGAAATATTCACTGCTACTTATATTTCAATGAAATACCTGTTGAAAATGAATTTCAATGAAATATATGAAAGTACAGTGATATCTTCATCACAGTGAAGTGACTAGTTCTTCCAAGAGAAATATTTTTCTATTCCTTGAATCTGTAAGCACAGTTTAAGCATGTTTCTCTACATACAAGCTGGATTTAATTTGTTTAGCATATGTATGTGTTCTATGGTTTAAATAATGTAGAGTCACGGAACAGAAGCGGAAACTTAATTGTGTATTTTTACCTCGTCTCTCTTAAATTCATACTGTGCTCTCATTATTTCATTTTTCACCCATATCTTGATTGATAGGGGTGCTTTCACTTACCGCCTACCCCTTCCTTGTTCTTTCTTTACTCTTTACACATTGTCTCCATGTAGCCACTCGTTGATCACTGGATTTACATGGAAACAAAGTCATAGCAGACACAGTGGGTGTCTTGCCTTTCCTCCTGTCCTGGCCTGGAGGTTGCTGCAGTTTCTTTGGACAGATTGCATATTTATTCTTCGATCTGAGAACTTTCACTGAATGCAGGAATGTGTTCGACCAGGGCATGAGATGGGAAAGTTAAGGCCCAGAGAATAATTCCCAATTAATGAGGGACAGGAGTTGATAGATAAGCACCTGAGCCAGGCTCCTTGTTCTTTAGATAGAGAGCTTTGCGGTGCCCTTGACTTGGTCTCTCAGAGGGTTCCTAGCAGCTGGGAGCCAAGTTTCCCACAGTGATAACCTGCTCATCAGTGACCCTTTACTGGCTTTTCTTCCTTCCTTGTTTTGCCCTTTTCTGCTTCTTCAATATGTTTCCTGTGATCCCAGCCCAAATCAACTGCTGTGCCAGGACCTGCTTTCAAACTAAAGCAGATATTTCCTACCTGAGCATTTTAAAATTGGCGTTTATTCTGTTTTATTATTTATTTAGTTAGTTTGTGTGTGTGTGTGTGTGTTTGTGTGTGTGTGTGTGTGTGTGTGTGTTTCTCCTTCCTCACAATCTTCTCTGTGAATTAGGTTACTTTATAATACTCAGATTATTTCCATTCAAAAAAAAAAAAGTCTTGAGCTTAAATTAGAATATCTCTAATTCAAGGCAATTGGCAGGTTTATACAATTGTTAACTGCTTTATACTAAGTTGCTTAGAGTCTGGATGGAAAGCTGGGTTCCTTTTTCATAATTAAATGCTCCAGATGTACAGAGAGCCAAAGTCTGTAAGGATGTAAAGATGATTAACACTGTATCCTGCTTTCAGATTTTAAAAAGGATGCTTATCTTCATATTTACCTATTATGTTAGGTAGCGGCAAAAACAAAGCACCTAAGAAGTCAATGACCTGCTAAAATAGTGTTTTCTTTCTACATAATGTATTATTACTTAACCCCAAATTAAATATTTGTGTCACACACCAAGAAGACATCATGAGGAACTGAATCACTATAATTTTTAGTGGGCATGAACCCCAGTATACATACTTGGGTTTGAAAAATATGTATCTGTCTCTACTATGTCATAATTCAGTATTATTTTTTCTTTCAACTCTTTATTCTGCCATAACCTCAGAAAACTTTATCAATTTGGAATTCCCACTTAATTTAAATTCTAGGAGATGCTGTTGTACCAAGGCCTGGAGCATGATGTCTGAATCCTTTGACAGGCATATATTTCCTGAGACTTCTCTCATTCCTATTGTTTTTGGCACTTTTCAGTGCTAGCTGGTCTCTCTGCTCCCTCCATTCCACCATTGTGGGACTGGGAGCTGTCTCCCTGGAACATGGAGTATTTTCCATGAGATGACTATGTCCTTGTCTATATAGGCAGCCACACTCAGTGACCTCAAATAGGAAGGGACAAACTGATCTCCTATGATCTTGAATATCCAGATGTTTGGGATTTGGTGTGGGTGTCAAGAGGCCAGTTATTCCTCTCTTGGACCCACTGAAGTGTCTGTTGCTCAGTCCAAGAAAACTTTGTTTGCCAGGAGAAGAGGTGCTTATGGGGAAATAGGAAGAATTCCTTTTTCTCAAAGATATTTTCTAAAATATACTTTCTATGTTGCAGTTATTGAAATTCTATTGAGAGTTCATGATTTTGGAAAATAGAAACCACAGACTTTTTGTTCCCCTTTCCCTTCCTTTCTTTCCTTTTCTTTCTCTCTTCTCTTATTTTCTTGTCATTCGAAATCACTATGCCTCTCCAGGACCAATTTCTTTCTATCTATCTGTCTATCTATCTATCTATCTATCTATCTATCTATCTATCTATCTATCTATCGTCCCTCCATTCATCAAGTATCCCCACTACAGAGCACCTCAGGCATGCTAGAACATTGGCATCCTGATCTTTATGAGGAGACTCAAATCTCTGTGGCAATGTCTATCATGACCTGTGCCTTCCATTATTACATGTTGGAAGACTACCAGCCTGGTATTCTGACTGGCACCATAGTCATTTTTAAGCACTGCTTACAGAGAGAATGTTTACAGCTGGTGGTGTAGTTGGAATTATTTTAATGTAATTGGAGCCACAATTTGACACTAATTATAAAACATTTAAAATAATCTATAATTTAGAATATAAATGCTCTGCTTAATCAGAAAGTTTCCCTCTTTTTTACTTTACGTATTTCACCTTTTTCATTTTTCATTTTGGTTTGATGAAGATCTCAAATAAATATTTCATACTGTCTCATCCAGTGTTTCCTTATCCCATTTCAGTTTTCATGTTTGATTTTTTATTGCTTATCAATGAGAATAAACTAATAATCTATCTCACATGTTGCTGCGATGAATCAATGGACATTTACATTCTGTAATTGTTTTTTAGAACAGTGAACTTTTTTCATGGTAATAAGGGAATTTATGACCTCTATGACCTTCCATGTTTAACCTTATATAGTAATGAGATAATTCAATTAACACATGCTGTAGACGTATGCTAAACATGTACATGATTTAGTAAAATGAACTTTATCTTTCTTCATGTCTTATATACCCATATAAGTGCAGAAGAAGAAGCTTGTAATGGATAGAATGAGGGTGGTTGGGCAGTTTCAGGACATTGTGAAAAAGTATCACTTACCTACACAAGTGCTAACATAGATATAGTACCTTTTGCCCATGAGCTTTTAAAGGTCCTGGGAAAATGTTGAATCTTGAAAAACAATAGTTTCAATTTCCAAATAAAAATATTATAAAACAAAATTAATAATTATTTATTTGAAATGTAGAGATGTATTTAAATATGTTTTATATATATGGTATAGGACTTTCAAAAGTCAAAATGGTAGAGATATTTCTGCAGTATGCAATCAGAATAACTGTATTCTATAGTGACCACATATTTTATAGTAGTTACTCACTTATTCATTTTCCCATTTACTGCCTCGTGTTACTAATATTTATTAAGCACCCACTGAGTTCCAAGCACTGGACTAGGCTGTGAGGGTAAATAAATGATAAAAGAAAACACTTTGTGCATCCTTTGTACTAGCTATTATCAAAAGGACTTCAGATTACGCATGTTAAATTATCTAAATACTTCAAGATAGTTACAAGTATTTTCCCCCATTTCAACAATGGGAAATTGAGGCCCTCAACTGAAAACAAAGAACTTGCTCAAGTTCACACAGGTATTAAATGGCAGAGTCAAGACTTGAACCCAGGTACCTTACTCTAGAATTTGTACTCTTACCACTTAACTATCACATTATATAATACTTCAGAGAATGCAATCATGACACTTTTCATCTGGCTGAAGAGTCATATTGGTAGCCTGGCTAATATACAAGGTAATATGAAGAAAAAACTGGCAGGGGTAGCTATGGAAACCTATAAGAAGAGAATGACTAACCTATAATGTTTTATGTTACTCTTTGTATACCCCCAAATTAGCAAATGATTCATCCAATATGAAATATTTTCCTTAAAATATTTTAATGGACAAAAATATTTTTATGTTTTTCCTATATCAGTTTTTACTCAACGACATGATTTACACTGAAGCTTGCTTGATAAATCTGAATGTCTCTGGTTCTTAAGCAAAGCCTTATAGTTTTAAAAAGCTGATATTTATGAAATAAAAAGTAAAATACTAGAACAAAATGACAATGATTTCAACTTTTTTTTCTATTTTGAAATTTAAAGCTAGCAAATTTTGGTATTAAAATATATACAAATATTTTTAAAGTCTTGAAATTGTTAGCTGTTTTGTGGTCTATCTGGGCTATTTTTAGTTTCAGGTATAAACAGATAAAATAAGTGCCACCATCAATAAACGTAACTTGAGCAATACTGTGTTTCCAAGTCAAATTTGGAAGAAAACATTTTTAACAATGTTGTGAAGGTAGTTCTAAAATGTATTATAGTTAGAACAGTGATCTTGTTATATATGCATTATTTTTTGAGCTTTGAAATTATCTTAAGCTTTTTTGCATTAAATAATATCTAATAGAAAACAACTCATCCTATACAAATCAATTTCAGGGGCAAATATTCCCGGACTTAATGTCACCATTGGGTATGTCCATAGTCCAAATATATGCTGTTAATGGCCTTTAGGCCTTGGGCCTTTTAATTTGACTAAAATGTGATGTAAAAGAAATTAATCTGTTAATATGATATAAATGTTGAGATCTCTATATTTTAATCAAATACTTGTGTATGATTATGCTATTTACCTTAAGTCAGGGTATAGAGATTTTCTTTACCTCTTCATGATGATATATTAATAATTAAGTATAATATCTATTTTCAGAATATTTAATTAGTACTGTCCTCCATCAGTTTAACATTAAATAACTCTTTGAGGTTTTTTTCACCAAAATATGGCAACTTTTGCATACTTTTTTCATGATGTGCATTTCCCAACAGGTTTGTAATCATAAATATTTAGAATTTCATATTAACTCCTCAGAAGGGCTAATAGTATGACATTTTAAAAATTCCCATATTATTTAAAGTGATGTTAGAAGACTCAACATGAAACATTGATGCTTAAAAAGGTCATACAGGCACTTCATGTCTTTCCCATAGAACTGTAATGTGAAATTATTTTCTTGCCTTTTCTGGCTTTTTTTTTTTTTTTTTTCAAACACGGCAGACAGTTTTGAACTTCACAAGTAGTCTAGCTTTTATTCTGAGTAAAACACTCCTCAACTCTAAGCTGAAGTTAATATATTAAAAAAAACACAGTACAATTGAACAGTTTAAATATTTCCGATGTAGATTGATTTCATATAATACAGCTCTAACTTTGACAAAATATTTCTGAATGTGTCACTTGAAATGTCATTATAATGTATTTCTCCTGTTTTTATTTAGGGATGCATTATTTAGGCTAGCACGGCAGTGTAAGCAGAAAAAAAATGTGCTATATGTGAAGAAAGTTTTTGTACAGTTTCTATTTGGAGTGTTTGATGAAAAGGCTGCACACAGCTTTTTCTACTGAATGAATGTTTATCTTTGTATTTTTTAACCTAAAAGATTACAAAAGACTTGTTTTCAGTAAGGGATTTTTATAACCCAAACAGTAGTGGCAAGCATGGTTTGGTGGCTGTTTGAGCTCTTGAATGTTTGTTTCTAAGTTTTAAAGCTGTGTTGATAGGAGCTCACTGCCTAGACCTTTGTAAGTGAAGAGGTTAGAGATGAAGTATGGACACTGCATTAGAATTAGATGATTTTATTTTTTTCTTTCGAGAACAAAAATCAGGCTCACTGAATGGTAAAAGCCTGGGTGATCTATGACTTTATCTGTCACTTGGTTGTATTCAGATTGCAAAAATTTATCATTTCATCTCAGAATGATCCAAAAAATAAATAATTAACCATCTTCACCATGAAAATACAAGGACTGAATATCTGCAGTATCTGTACTGGGAATGACAAAAACAGAAGATGATTGTCAGCATTAAAAAAGAAAGGGATATTTTGTTTTAAAACCTTAATCATGCTTATTATTCCAATTTCAGAACAATAATCCAGGAAACATAAATTTTATTTCCCCTTTCTATGTGTAAGATTCTTAATACAGTTCTACATGTTTATACCATTTAATTAAAATATGAAACCATTAAATCTTGTTTAAATTTGAGTAATACAGTATGATTTTGGCAAAAGAGGACTATATTTCATTTTAATTTTTTGAATGAACCAATATAATGCATGCTGTTGAATTCTAGTTGTAGCATATCTAAATAGGTGCACGTTCTTCTGTTTATGTCTTTTAGCATCACCGTCAATTAAACTCTTGGTGGATGATCCTATAGTTGTAAATCCTGGAGAGGCCATAACATTAGTATGTGTTACAACAGGAGGAGAGCCTGCACCTTCTCTCACCTGGGTCAGGTCCTTTGGGACTCTGCCTGAAAAGACTGTTTTGAATGGAGGAACTTTGACCATACCTGCCATCACCTCAGATGATGCTGGTACTTACAGCTGCATTGCCAATAATAATGTGGGAAACCCTGCAAAAAAGTCCACCAACATCATTGTGAGAGGTAAGTTTGCTGAAAGAATGTTACAACGTAGATTCCTAGGTTAGGCTCTCAAAAAGCAAATAATGGTTGATATAAAATTACCTCCTCAAATATTGCATGTATCTGTAAAATACAGATAAAATCATGTATAAATAATAATGGTGGGTAATTATAAGTGGAACTTAAACAGGTTAAAGATTAATAACAGTGCTTTATATATGCGTTGAATAGCTTTCATAACATATTCTTAGTGATACCATCAAATGCTTTTTATAATATGTTGTTAGCTAAAAAAAGATTGAAAGAAAAAATGTGGCTTGCAGCATAAAACATTCACTGTGTAAAATATACACTGATTGTATAATAGTTTAGGAATTCAGTAAATTTATCAATTTAATAAACTTTTATTGAGCCCCTATTACAATCATGGCTTTAAATTGTGAGGTTATATAGAGATCTATCAAACATTACCCTGTACTCAGGATTCCACTGTCAGATAGTGAAAATAATATATATCAATAGTCATATGATACGGTGTTCTAAAAGAATAAACAAAAGATATAGAAATTAAAAAATGTATAGCCACTTCTGGCTGAGGTTATTAGGGAATATCTAATAACATTCATACTAGGTCTTATAGGTCGAGTAGTGTTTTGACAGATTGAAATTGAGAAAAGACAGAAAAGTCAGAGATAGAAGACGCAATGCTTATTTGAGGAACTGAAGCAAAATGTAAGTCACTAAGTCAAAGTAGCAATGCTGTTCTAATGTGGTCATTACCAGCTAGTATGCTGGCACCATTTAGGCATGTTTTCTCTCCATTTTGGAAGATGGAAAGAAGTTCTGAGGCAGATGTACAAAGAGACCATATGCTTCTTCATATCTCACTTCACCTGGTATGGTCCTGGGTTGGAAGTGGAGGGTGCACACTGAGGCCTCTGAAGTTAAAAGGGACATCCATATGCTGAAGATGACCTTTTGAACACGCAAATGAAAATTACTTATGATGGAAGCAAAACATAATCAAATGTATAGAGATAAACACTTGTGATTTTGTGAATGTAGATTGTGGTGGTTTTAGTTATCTGTTATTTTGCAAATTATTAGGAATATGCTATTTGACAAAAGTATACTCTATTCAAAACATTTCAAGGTACAGTGTAAATCAAAACACTATGAATAGCGTACCATCTGCCACAAAATTGTATACCATACAATATTTATTATATGTACATATGTACATGTATAACATGTATGATTATTTTATATATCAAAACAAAATAAAACATACTGCCAGTTAAACTACCATAATGTCTTATGAGATAGAAGATTATTGAAAAAGCTCTTCTAAATTTGTTTATACTTTGATTTTTTTTAAAATATGTCATTTATTGGCCTGCATAAAAAGGCCAATAAAAGCAAAATAATTTAATTTTTTATAATAGTTCACACTCAGAACTCGACTTCTAAATTAGTTTTTATTACAGGGTCATTGATGATCATGGTTTTCTATACGATATTGTTCTTGTGTCATTAAGAGCATTAATAATTCCAAATTATGGAGAAATACTGCCTCTGAGATTTTATTTTAAGTCAGGTCATGATTACTAATAGCAACCATGACAGACTATTGAATGTAAGAGGCATTCTGATCTCAGAATTGTTAAAATGTAAAAATAAAGATGGATTTTAGAATCAATGAAATGTGCTCTTTATTTCAATTGTTTAATGAACTTCTACTGCACAACTACCATGGGCTAAGGACTCAGCAAATGTAAGGAATGCATGAGTGTGACTGCAAAGATCAGTGACTAAATGTCTGCCCTCAAAGGAGTTACAGTTCTTTATGGAATACAGAAATACAAAGTAATCGTATATGGAAATATATAGAAAACAAAGAATTCACAATGGAAGTATCCAACTTTTATTTTTAAAATATTAGTATTGAGAAATGGGGCTCATTTTAAGCCTTGTGTCAGTGAGCAACCAGATTCTGTTCTCTCTCTACCCCATTTTTTTAAAAGAGAAATAGAAAAATTGTATTGTAATCGGTGTTTGTTTCATTTCTATTTTTTGTTTGCTTTAAAAATACTTGCTTTTCTAAGTAGGCATAAAATAATCTACCAAATCTTGCTGTAATTATTAAAGTATTGAAGTATGATGATTAAAGCATTGAAGTATTGAAGTATAATGATTAAAGTGTAATATTAAAGTACTGCAACATCTATCCTTAAGTGCCATGAATACAATGCAGAATCTTTTATTCCATTAGTTTATCAAGAACAGTAACTTGTTAGAGAAAAATGATGCATTGAATTTAATTTTCATAATGGGATCATTTGCAACTATATTGAATCCATGTACAACTGGCAAAATGTCCAATATAAAATATCTGTGTTGCTTATGCACCCTTTGTAAGGGACTAACCCAGTGAACAACAAATATGTGCCTAGGGTATGATTTTCTCCTCTCTACCCTACCTAACAGTTTTCACCTGTATCCTTACAAAAGAAAGTTTCCAACTTTGACATGAAAGACCTGAAATAAACAAAGCCTTAAAAATTTATTTCTTCAATTTTATGATTTCTTTTTATGCCTTTAATTTATCTGATGTGTACATTTGCATAATCATATTATATTGCCAGTGAGACTTCTCAGCAGTGGCATTCACATAATTCATAAAATCAAGTTTGTATATAATCTTACTGAATTTAGAAGTAGCCTTGGTTTTAAAGGATCCTAGATTAAACTGTGGGGAGAAAAACCACTACAATAATATGAGGCATCTGATTTCTGGTCTACAGAAGTCAAGAAATTCAGTTAAGGAAAACAGTTTTCTCTTTATTACATCAAAGAAATTATTTTCAAGGCTTCTGAATGTGTAGACCTCTGTGAGTCTTAGATTAATTGTGTCATGGATACAGTAGATATAGAAATCTAGGTTTATCTCCTCTCATTCTTCTCTGTAATTAAATCAGGATCCATGGACCAGGTTTCTGAGTAAGCATAAAGATATTTTGTGCATCGAATTCCCATCCTCATTTAAGAATGTCCATGCACAGCATAAGAGTGTAGAGTGCTGATAGAAATAAAATTCAAGAAACATTTCAGAATTCTTTATTCTACTTTTTTAAAAATAGAGAAGAGTGTAAAGTAAATAATGGAGATAACACTCTATGTAGATAAGAAGTAGAAAACTGAATACAAATCTCACATGGTTTACTACTTTGGGAGAACATTTATTAATGTAGCATCAATGCCTTTTCTTATAGTTTTTTAAGAAATTGCAGTGTCTGAGCTACATTTCTCATAAGTTAGGAGAGAAGCAGTTGCCTAATACACCTGAAGGGAATGTTACATTGATTTCCTAGCCACGTGTTGTACACCCTGAGCTCAATGCTTTCCAAACTCCTGTTAGATATGTCACTTCCATGTAAAGGTCTCTGTTTTCATGATTCGTTCTATTTAGAAATGCCTACATCTCTCTTCTCTCATGAATTAAATCACTGTGTTGAACATGTATGGTTCAAAATACCAAGACATTACTGTATTTTAGTGTATAGTGGCCTCTTTGAATGTTCTGTAGTATATTCAAAATCACAAACCCACATTTAGTTCAGTGTTTTGGATGCATGGTCCAAAATAGTAATAACTCTAAACCTGATTTAATGCAAAAATTTCTCCCCTCCCCAGCTTGGGTCCACTTTGGCTGGAGAGCTGAAGTAAGAAAGGGAGATGGAGCACAGGTGGCTTTTTTGTCTGTTACCTCTCCACCTACCTCTCCACTTAACCCAACCCCAGCCTGATAGATAGGTTCTGACCACCGTAGCTCAGAGTGAGCTATGAAGATCTTCTCTATATAAAGCTTCCCCAATTCCTTGGTGACATGTTAATGGACCCTTAGAAAGTTTCTCTACCTAGACGATATATACATCTATGTAGATCAAAGAGAGGTGTCCAGTGATGGGCGTTTCCCTGAGTCCATGAATATGCCACATTTCCTGAACATCTTGTGCTATACCCCTACCCCTTTTCTGCTGACGGCTTCTCCCTTTTTCCTCTAAGCAGCCAACTAAACAGAGCCCAAGACATGGTCATGTCCCTTCCCTGTGAGACTCACATCTGTCTGTTGGAAATGCTTACCAATAGACTATGAGAGCACATAAATTTCAGTGTACTACCTCTGTTCTCTTGCCACACAGGTTTTAGTTTCTTCAGATATGAGTCAGGCAACATTGGAGGGAAAATATTTCAAAGCTGACAGGTCCCATGGAAAGCTCCTCAGTATGATTGAGATGAAACAGACAGGTTCTCCTTTCTCCACCTTGGGTTTGGAAGAAGTTGCATCTCACAGTTTTCTCTAAAGATATCCTTCTAATTAAATTTG
Organism: Homo sapiens; assembly: GCF_000001405.40. Lineage (NCBI taxonomy): Eukaryota > Metazoa > Chordata > Mammalia > Primates > Hominidae > Homo > Homo sapiens. Next base: position 47,092,487 of record NC_000014.9, on the reverse strand, counting down.
GTTTCTTACTCTTCTTTTACCTTTAATTGTCTATGAAGTCTAAGAATCATGGCTTGAGATTTCTTCCACTTTCTCCAAAAATTCTGCATAAGAAAGAGGTCTGTTTTGCACTTACTATGGAATTCTGTGTGTTCTATTTTCAGGTAAAAGTGAGCCAGGAAAATTCTATCATCTAGTTTTACAAAAATGTAGAAGGATTAGAGGAATTTTCAAATTTTCTTACTGCATTCTTGAAGGTGATTTATCAGCCAGTCCTTCTGGTTCTATCTTCAAAATATACTTTTAATCAGATCCTATCTTTCCATGTTCACTGCTACCACACATGTCCAAATCATCGATGTATCACTCCTGGTTGATTAAAATAGTCTTTCTATTGTTATTCTTTCCACTGTAGCCCCTCTTTTAGAAATTCACCTGCTATATTAGATAAAGTAGCCTGGGCTAAGTTAATAAATATACCCATACATGTAATTACTCAAAAGAACTTCAGATTTTGTTCATGAAAGAGTACAGAGTATTTACTAGTTGATAATGCTGCTGAGTGTACTTGTGTGTGTGTGGTGGGGAGGTTGTTCCATGTGGTCATTCAGGTATCAGGGCTGATCATGTCTCTGCCATCTTCAATTTGTGGCTGCTAAGGTTACTATGGATGTTGCCTCCATCCCTGTCATCGGGAAATGGGACGGAGCTTGAATGGGCATACATGGGAGATTTTTATGGGCAGATATACATTAGTTCCAGTCAGTCTATTGACTAGAACTCAGACACATGCCTATACCCAATGGCTTGAAGGCTGGAAAATTCTTACTGTGCACTCAGAAATAACAAAAAAAAATCTCATTATCCTGATCAGATTCCTCCCATGGCTTTTCATCTCACCCAAAATGGAATTAAAATTCCTCATCATCATTTCATATGACTCCCATTTTTACTTGCTCTACTTTAGACGCATTGGTCTTTCTGCTTTGAATGTTAGTTTTCAAATACTACCCTCTAGTAAACACCTTCTCTGATTCCCCTATCTTAAGATAGCATATCTCTAATTTCCATACCATGATTTATTGCTTCTTATCACATCACTACCTGGAATTATTTTATCCATATTTCCTTACTTATTGTCTGCTTTTTAATAGGACTATAGGGGTAAAGAATTTGTCTGTTTATTGTCTTATTTAGTGATGTAGTCTTGGAGCCTAGAATATTACCCAGCATATAGTAGATGCTCAATAAACATGTGTTTAGTGAGAGAATCTCTTTTTTAAGTTCATCAGCTCATATTAGATTTCTTTTCTGGATATGACTCTTTGATAACCTAAGTAAGTATTAAATGATGTTAAGCAAAATTAGAAAATTCCATGTCCATACTCAATCATTAAATAATTTGTGTGATGTGACCAACTTGTCTGAAAGGTCACATTGTTCTGATTATTCATTGCTATGTAACAAACCATCCCAAAAGAGTAGCTTATAACAATAATAATCATTTGTTTTGTTCACAAATCTGGGAGTTGAGAGGCTCAGCTAAAAAATTCAGGGTATCCCATATAATTGCAGCTAGAGGGTGGCTAGGTCTGCAGTAATCTTCAATGCTTCTTTATTCAAATAACTAGTGCCTGGACTAAGAAGCTCCTACAGCTGGACTCCTCAGGGCTGTCTGTCTCTTCTCTTTGTCTCTCTCTCATTCTTGTCTCTTTACATGATTTCTTCTCATGGCAGCTTCAAGGTAGCCAGACTTCTATAAGACTGCCAGGCCAAGTGTTCCAAGAACTGCATGGGTTTTTCTAATGTAGCTTCTGAAGAACTACAGTATCATTATTGTATTCCATTCTTCAGTGCAGTGACACAATCTGGCCCACTCCCTGGAAGGGTCAAATATCTCTACCCTGTTATGGAACAGACACATTTTAAAGCCACTGTAGTATGCAGTATACCTCATAAACTATATTCTTCACATCATGCTCCCATGACGCCTTGATACCCATTTAGGCCTTTACTTTTTCCATTTTTGAACCCATGGCCTCTGCAAAATGACACTGTAAATGATTTTAGAATCAATGAAATGTGCTCTTTATTAATTTTAGAATTATTTCAGCATTTTTTTTTTGTGGATAGGATCTAAGAGTCCTAATATAAAGAAGTAAAGAAGTATGTCAATATTGAAATAGAGTTAACCTTTGTGGAAGAAGTCAATATGTATTCAATGAGGCATGAATTTCACTTTCATAACTGCACAGAAATATGCTGTAACCTCCAGGAACATTATAACTCTCTTCCAAAAAGTGATGATTTAACTAATTCTAGTTTATCAACATGAAAGGACTGTAGTCTTTAAATATGAATTTTAATATTAAATAATTTGTTCTGAACTTATTTGACTGAAACATGCCAAATATTAGCACTGCTAATATTTCTAAATTATCTTTATGCTTATTACAAAAAGACTTATAATTCCAAAGTTTTATGATTAAAAGTTCTTAACATTTGAGTGTACCAGTATGTTTAGAGAATAGTAATAACTAACACTGATTGAGCACTTATTGTGTACCAGGCTACCAGTAATGCTATATGCATTAACTTTTTAACCATCTCAATACAGTTATCAGGTAAAAAATTATTATTCCCTTTTTTTTTCAGAAGTAAAACAGAAGGCCGGGCACAGTGCTTCATGCCTGTAATCCCAGCACTTTGGGAGGCTGAGGCAGGTGGATCACAAGATCAGGAGATTAAGACCATCCTGCTTCCTCCATGTCCCTACAAAGGACATGAACTCATCCTTTTTTATGGCTGCATAGTATTCCATGGTATATATGTGCTATACATATGTAACAAACCTGCAGGTTGTGCACATGTACCTTAGAACTTAAAGTATAATAAAAAAAATACAAAAACATAAGACCATCCTGGCCAACATGGGGAAACCCTGTCTCTACTAAAAACTGCAGAAATTAGCCTGGTGTGGCAGCTCGCACCTATAATCCCAACTACTCAGGGGGCTGAGGCAGGAGAATTGCTTGAACCCAGGAGGTGGAGGCTGCAGTGAGCTGAGATCACCCTACTGCACTCCAGCCTGGGAGACAGAGTGAGACTACATCTACAAACAAACAAACAAAAAAGAAACCTAAAACAGAAGAGAGAGCATTAAGTAACTTCCCAAAAGCAAGCTTTATTTAAATAATAGAGCTGGGATTCAAAGACCACACAATAAGTTTCCAGGGCCATTTTCTTAGCCAAGGAGCGATTCAAATTTTAGCCAAATTTTTACAAATATTTAATTTTCTCCCAAATATTTGAACTGATAATAGTCCTTTTCTATTTCCTCTATTCTTGCATTGCCAAAGATGTACTAGGGATTCTTTCCAGATTCGGAATCCCTTCTTTTTATACTCAGGAAAAAAAAATCTCAACAATACTCAGTCTTCAGACATTTTTCTTAGTAACATTGTTTTCTTTCCCAAATATACAGCCTCTTTTAATTGAAGGAAATTCTGTTTTTGTTAATCAGTATTTTTCCTCCAGTAATGGTGGACATAATCTTACTTAATGTCAAGTTCTAACTAACATAGTGTTTACAGTTTATGATTTTCTAAATATCATTATATTTTGAAGGACTTGATAGAACTGACTGTCACTGGCTTTCTTACAAATGACTGTACAAAACTTTTAAAGAATTTGTAGTTACTGGAAGATATCAGTGGGAATCACTAAAGACAAAGATACAAAATATCCCCATAACTAAAACATTCAGCATAAGCAAGAAAATACAATGTATACTTACAACTGGGCACTCACTGTTTTTGTTGAAAGGTATATATCTTAAGCTATTAATCAGAATGCCAATCAGAATTAATTGGCAATTTCCCAGAATGATTTGATCAAATATAGCCCATATGCATTTCTGAATATAAATTAGTGGTGAATTTCCAGTTACTGGGCCAGTGTAGTTCTTCCCAAGCATTTAGATTCATCAAATTTAATTTTTACTCATCAATAGCTTTGTTACATAATCTTTCATTATTAAAACTATAATGATGATGGCTAAAATTGTAGAAAACCAATGCCTTCACATTCCCCAAAAGCAGAACTGTCTGCTGTGTGCAGGTGTCCCAATTATTCATGCAGATTAAGTGCTTATTTCTCTTTTCCCAATTTAATATTCTGTAGTAATTACACCTCCCCAAAACACCAGAGAGAATGTTATTATATTACTTTGTAGCTCAAAAATGCATTATTATCTTTTAAAAATTAGTCAAGGCCATATAAAATCTAAAAATTATCATTCAGTAGTTCTCATGTGAATTTAGGTAGCTGAGTTTCCTTTTGTAAATAAAACTAACTTATCCTTGTTCATTAAAATAATTTATGAAGAATTATAAATATAATTTCAAATAAAAAATTTTGTCTAGATATTGAAAAATCTCCTAATTTTATGTAATGATAGGCAGCTTAGTTAAACATGGTTCTTTTATTAAAACATTTAAATTTTCCTACTTAGTAAATGGAGTCTCTCGTCATATTTACTCTAGCCAAGAGAAAATCTTTCAATTTTCTTTTAAAAATGATAGTAGTGCTCTAAAAGTCGGCACTGGTTAGTGTCCAGAAAAGAGGGATTTTATTCAAATATTAACATTTCTAAAATTCTTTCATTAGTTTCTTTGAGACTCTTGGTAGTTTTTTTTTTTTTTTTTTGATACCCTACAGTTGTAAAACAGTGCCAAGACAATGAATACTAATATGAAAACGCATAATTCAGCATTTTTTCCTTTGTTGTGGCAGGTACTTAATTCCCAGATTCACTGGCTTACCAGATTTAGTTTGGACTAAATGATCTATAGGCAGGAAGGTGTAGGACAAGATATCTGTGATCTGGTTCTGGTTTTGCCTTAAACTAGCTCTGACATCATAGATATGTAAATAGGCCTTTGGTTACTTCTCTGTGATACTAAGAAACTGCAGTACATAAACTTTAAGATAGATTTGCTCTAACCATCTAACCATCTATAATTCTTTTTTTTTTTTTTTTTTTTTTTGATGTGGAGTCTGCCTCTTGTGTTTAAGCAATTCTCATGCCTCAACCTTCAGAGTAGCTGGGATTACAGGCACCCGCCACCATGCCTGGCTAATTTTTTGTGTTTTTTTGTAGAGGTGGGGTTTCACCATGTTAGCCAGGCTGGTCTCGAACACCTGATCTCAGGTGATCCACCTGCCTAGGCCTCCCAAAGTGCTGGGATTACAGGTGTGAGCCACCGCACCCAGCCAACCATCTATAATTCTATAAGAGCAAAATGCTCCGTGATCCATGCCCATTACAAATGCAGGAGGTCACATGTCTTTATGGATTCACATGTATTAACATATAATTATTGAAGAACACTAATTTCCTGATGAAGTTCTACTCTAAAAAATTATGTATTGGTTATTTACATCAGGATATTAAACCAGGAAAATAAATGCAAGTGATGCTTTAATAGGTATTTTAAAAATTTCTGCTCTATGCTATATCTGTGTCAGTTGCTATAAGGGAAAAGTCCCTGAGGCCATAGAGTTCATACACTTATGCACAAAGATATCAGGGCAACTCTCTCCATATGGCATGCAAAAGAATAAACTAACATCACAACTGAAGCATAGGCAATGTGTTGTTCAAATCTCAGATGAAGAAACAATTAATTCTGATTAGGGAGATAGAAAAAATTCCTCAGAGGATGGTGCCAATTAGCTGGGCTTTGAAAAATGAGAGTATCTACATATTCAGAAATAAAATGTCTCTTTCATTTGCTGCCCAGGATGGTGATATTAACTAGTTTTTTGAACTTACTTCATTTTCTTATTTATGAAGTATTAGAAACTATTGATAATTATTTAAAGTAAAAAAAAATCTATGTTTAACTTCTATCTTTAATAATAGAACCTTTTCAAAAAATAAGTAATGGGTACATTCTATTCTATGATTTAAAAATAATGCTTAAAACTTATTTTTGCAATTTTGAATTGCATGTGGTTTTACATACAATTTTTAATTGAATTAGCAACCTGACAAATTTTCTGTTTGCCGTGTTTTTCTGTCTCTTTGAATTCTGTTCAAATTCCTCCAATGTCAGTGCTCATTCTAAATGCTTCCAATGATTTCTAAATAGATGTAATCAAATATAATTCTTTAATTGTTCCTTTTCTAGATTCTATAGGATAATTTCTTAATTTTAGTTTTCAAAGAATCTTCTCTTCTTCTTTTTACTTTGTTGGCTCAACAAATATACTTTTCTGAAAACTGTATGAGAATGGAAATCATCAACCCAGTAATTCAAATCCATCTTAGCCAAAACAATCTGTTAAGATGAACCAAGAATTAGTGACTGCTTAAAAAAAAAACAAAAAACAAAAAACAAAAAAAAAAAACCTTACACATTGAAAGTCCATAATCACGGTAGTTAAAATTGATTAAACTATACATTTAAGACATGAACATTTCAATGTATGTAAATTATATTTCAGTATTCAAAATAAGGTAATTAATTTAAAAGCATTGAGATATATTCTTTTCTGCTATCTTAAAGTTTATGTAAAATCAGTGTTACTTTCTCTTTAATTGTTTTAAATAACTCAGGAGAAGCCATCTGGGCTTACAGATTGCTTTGTGCAATGACTGGCAATTTTAGATTTACTTTTTATAATAAATATAAGACTAGTCAAATATTTAGGAATAAACATTTTTACATCTTAGTTTTGTTTTTCTAGGAATCTGAATATGCCAGTTCAGTTGTCAAGTTTATTAATATAAAGTTGTTGTAATTCCTGTAATTATCTTTTTTAATTTTGGGGGAAGGGGGTCCAGGATGTGCTGGTAAACCAGCTCTCTGGAAAAAAAAAAAAAAGACTTGATTTATAGTATTTACCAATTTTCATAGCATGCATAATCAGATGATGGCCAATATCCAAGTTTTGTAGTTGGAAAGAAATGCATATAATCTGCTGTCATGAGCAAGAATGAAGTGGTTCCAACCAACCACTGTTGTAATCTATAGTGAGACTAGACTGTGATATTGATCATCTGTGTCAATATCATTCAGTTTTTCTCCATTAGTTTTACTAGAGGTTATTCAAATTCCTTAGTTACTTTAAAGAGCCAACATTTGAATTCTAGGTTTTCTTGATTGTTGTACATGTGTTTTCTATTATAATGATTTCTGTCCTTGATTATTCCTTCCTTCTATACCATTATATTTCAAATGCTAATTATTTTTCTAATTTTTAAAGCAGTGATTTGATTACTGATTTTATTATTTTCTGTTTTTCCTCATGTAGGCTTTTAAGACTGTAAATGTTCCTTTAGGTATACTATTAACTGTATCGCAAGACTTTTGATATGTAATGTTTATTATTATTCAGTTTGAAATACTTTCTTATTTTCACTGTGATTTTTTTTTCTTTGACCCAAGGATTATTTAGAACTTTATTTCTGAAGTTTCAAACACATGGGTTTTCTAATTATATTTTTGTTATTGGCTGTAGCTTAATTTCATTTTGATCAGAATTTAGATTCTGAATGTCTTAGTTAGCACGTGTTCCTGTAACAAAAATACCATAGACTGGGTGTTTCTAAACAACAAATGGTGATGTCTCACAGTTCTAGATCCTGGAAGTCCAAGATCAGTGTGTTGGCATGGTTGGATTCTAGTGAGGACACACTTCTGGCCTGCACACTGCAAACGTTTCATATCCTCACATGGAATAGAGCAGAGAGGGAAAGCCAGCTCTCTCTGTAACTCTTATATGGGTGTAATCCCACTCATGAGGTCTCCACTCTGATAACTTTGTCTAATCCTAATTCCTTCTGAAAAGCTCCACGTCCTGATACTATCACAAATGGGTTAGGGTGGGTAAGTAGGGTTACAACAAAAGAAATGTTGGGAAAACACATGCATTCAGTCCATAACACTGAATTACTTTTATTTTTACTTTATTACTCAGCATGTCAGTTTTTTTTTTTTTTTTAATTTTTGCTGTTTTTTAGCTTCTTGAAGTGGGAATTAGATAATTTACTTGAGACTTTTCTTCTTTTTTACTGTAGGCATTTAGCAGTGCAAATTTCCCTCTCAGCACTTCTTTAACTGTCTTACAAATTTTGATATCTTCTGTTTTCATTCAGTTCAGTGTGTTTGTTTTTTAATTTCCCTTGGTACTTCTTTGACCCATAGATTATTTAGAAGAGTGTTGTTCAGTTTCCAAGAATTTGGAGATTTCCTATAATCTCTCTGTCACTTATTTCTCTTTTAATTCTATTGCAGTTAGAGAACAATTGTGGTTTAAAAAATATGTTCAGGTTTGTTTTTAAGCAGCATATGGTCTATCCTATGTTCCATGGGAACTTGAGAAGAGTAAGCATTCTTCTGTTGTTGGGATAATGCTCGATAAATGTTGATTTGATACTATTAGTTGAGTTCTATAATATCTTTGTTGATTGGTTATGTAGTTTTTCCATCTATTTAAAGGGGGGAATATCAAAGTCTCCAAGTATAATTGTGGATTTGTCTATTTTTCCTTTCAGTTCTATCTGTTTTTGCTTCACATATTTTCTGCTTTTTTTTGGAGGGGGAAGGGTATATACAGATTTACAATTGCTGTGACTTTTTAGTGGTTGGACCTTTTGTCATTGTATATGTCCCTCTCTGAATCTGGCAATTTTCTTTGCCCTAAAGTCTACATTATCTAGCCACCCTGCTTACTTTTGATGGTTGTTTGCATGATATATATATTTTGTCCTTTTACTTTTAACCTACCTATATCATTATATTTGAAATGAATTTCTTATAGATAATATATAGGTGAGTCCTGTTTTTTAAATCCACTTTGCCAATCCTTGTTTCAATTGGTGTATTTAGATAATTTACACTGAATATAATTATTGAAATATTAGAGCTTTTCTGCAACTTACCTTCTGTTTCCAATTCTCTGTTTCTTATTTCTGTTTTCTTTGTCTTGACTTCTTGTGGGTTACTTTAACATGAAGAACTTCTTCTTCCTAGAATATAGAGTAGTGTACTTTTCCCTATTCCTTTCACTAAGTATAATTGCATATTTCAGGTTTACATTTTGATTTATTTATAGTATTTTTAAGTGTATGTTTTTATATAGCTTTCCACCTTCCACCCCACCCCCCTAGGCCCTAGCTGTATTTCTAAGAGTTTCTTTGTTATCTTTAGACATTTTATAGTAAGTGCTTAGATGTGGATTTTTTGTGTGTTTATTGTGCTTGGATTGTTATGAGCTTCTTGAATATGTGGATTACAGTTACATAAGTTTTAGAAAATCTTGGGCCAGTATTTCTGCAGATATTTACTTTTTCTCATTCTTTTTCCTGTCTCTTTCATTAATTTAATTTTTCTTATGTTAGACCTTTCACTGAGCTTTACGTATTTTGTGCTCTGTCCTAATTTTTCCTCCTTGTTCTTCTCCATCTGTGCTTCAGTCTACAAATTGCTTATTGTTCCATCTTCTTGTTCACCAGTCTTGTATTCTGTTGTTTCTAATCTACTAGTAGACATATTTATTGAATTCTTCATTTCACTTATTTAATTTTTTTTCATTGTAAACTTTACATTTGATTTAGTTTTATAGGTTCCAATTATCTGGCAAAATTTTTCATCTTTTCATTTAGCTTTTCCCAGCTTTGTATCCTATGTTCTTAAGTATTTCTATCATAGCTATTTTACTGTTTTTATCTGAGAACACCTGTTTTGATCATCTGTGGTCTGTTGGCTTTGCTATATTTTTCTTTGTCTTCTCTCTTGACAAGTCTTATTTTTTACTGACTGCCATTTATTTTGTATGAAAAACCGGCTCAGGATTAGGTTATCTTGCTTCAGAAATATTTTTCTTTTCTTTTTTATATTACTTTATCTTATAATAGATAAAGTACAGTCTTACTGTTTCATTCCAATCAGTGGCTGAGCATATTGAAGACTGGCTTGTTAATGCTGTATTTGTCTGCTATTTGCCCCATTCCTAGGACATAACCTTTCAGTGTTTCCAGTCGAGTACTCTGGACCATTCACTGCAGATTTTTCCTTGGATTTTCAGCCTACAGCTGTATACCTGAAATAGACAATGACTTGAAAGAAAAATAGCTATAGTATGTGAAGCTCATTTTTTTTTTTTTTTCCTTCCCTGGAATTTGATCTCTCAAGTTCAGGTTGCCTGAACTGATATCTGATACTTTCAAAAAGGACTTAAAAAAATCTCATTGGTTTTTCTTTTTTCTCTATGGGAGTGTTGATCAGCTGCCAGTGACCCCAGAAAAGTCAGAAATGGAAATGCAATTCAGTGTACTTTGAACTGAATATATTTGTAGTGAGACAGACTAACTTTGTATGAGTATTTGAAGAACAATGATGATAGAACACAGAAAACTCAAATTTCATAAGTGAGTAAAATAAAACATAACTGAGTAGCTTAAGTTGGTTAATTTTTCCAGCATAAATTTGATACTCCCTTAAACATCTATAGTTAAAGGAGCTTTTGCTATCTCCTAATTTTGAGGAGCAAAAAATGTAACAAAATATGAAAAGACTTTAATCTGATGTATTTACATAGTAAAGGTGATAACAGTAGCATAATTTTACAATGTAATGATCAACAGCACTGAAACAATAATTGGCAAATGGTTCCATCAGAAAATGATGACAAAATTTAAATTGAGCAATAAATTCACAATTCTTTCTTCCCTAATTGGATATGTCTGAATTGCAGTCACTGCATACTAAAAATAATATGGTAATGGATATGTCTTTTTCCGGTGATAATTTAGGAACCATTCATACTTACCAGTTAACATATGATATATGGTTGTATGTAATACAGCAATTTTATTTAGGAAACATGTCATTTCCAAAAGTAAGCTCATAATAGTATTTTCTAGATGAATAAACTCTAGTGTTTTTGTTTTGTTTTTCTAAAAGCACATGTGTCTAAATTCTCTGCCTAATTTTCCTGACCTTGGAGAAAAAAACTAAAGGCACAGATGTTATATGTTTAGAAGTTGCATTATAAGTGGGTAGTATATTGTTTTACAAAAATAGTTTTGTGAAATTATATTTAAAATATTACTTAATTGGAAAATATTTGATTTTTATAATCTTGATACTTTTGATACTTAGAGACATCTTATCATTAAGTTGTTCGTGTTTCCGTTTCATCATCTGTAGACTAAAGATAACATGGTATAAATGATCTGGAAATGAACTTTTGAAAAATGTATACATTTAAGAGCTACAACTTTTTTTTTAATTGAGAAAGAGTTGTTTATGAGTAAAATGAGAACCAGAAAGTAATACTATTTTAAATATTTTTTAAAGGAAATTTTAAAAATGAAGGTGTTGTCAACAATGTAAAATACCAGAATGAGTTAAGGTAGATGAAGACTGAAACATGAAAATAATGCTGCTGGTATACTGTAACATAGAGACACGAGTAAGAAGGCACATTTTGGCAGATCGTGGAAGTAACTAGTATTTAAGAAATAAAGACTCTGGAGTTGGATGATTTGAAGAAGTTGACCATGAATAAAAGTAAAAGTAGGATATGTGAAATAATGGTTTTTAATATAACAGAGACTTGAGCACTTGCAAAAGCTTGAGTTAAGTAATCAGCAGCAAGATGGAGATTGAAAATTGAAGAAAGGAAATGAGCAGAGTGCCGGAGGATGATAGATGCAGGCCCAGGTACAATAGCAATGGGACAAAGAATGGATCATTATGAAACACAATGGAAAAGGCTAGAAAGAGGTGGAACTATAAATGCGCTTTGACGTGGTATGGAATTCACTTTGGGCATTTATACTTAATGCTGTTTTAGTGAAGTAAAAGGCCATAGCTTTTGCTGACTGTGACCAGTAGGCTCAGGTATGGTTTTGAGGATAGTAAGAACAGATTCTTGAAGAAAAGATAAGAGAATGTGAGGGAGGATGCACAAAGCATCACTGAGCAACAGAGAGATTGTTGCATATTAAGTGGCCATGTTCTTAATATTTATTAATAACAAAATAATTTAAAACTAACTCATATATATCTCAAGATTTGTTTTCTAGAAAAATATTTTTAATTGACAAAATTATATTTTCTCACTGAAGTAAAACCTTTCCAAAGTCTCCATGGAAGAAAATTAGCTTGATCTTGCGTTATAAATTGTTATAAATTTCCTCCAGAAATAATTGAATTAAATGTAAGTGAAATATAAACTTATTTTTACTACTCTTAGTCTCTAGCATGTCTGAATTGATTTTAGAATCATTTCTTCTACCCTGTCTGTAATGACAGGACTATATCCCACTAATGCCTGAATTATGTAATTGGCATTCAGTATCTGTTAAATTGAATTAGACAAATGTTAACTTTCACCTGCCTATACTTTCCTCATTCTATTTTACTGAATTTCAGGTGGACTGCAAATAGAAATTAGGAGAAAAGGCCGGGCACGGTGGCTCACGCCTGTAATCCCAGCACTTTGGGAGGCCGAGGCGGGCGGATCACGAGGTCAGGAGATCGAGACCATCCTGACTAACACGGTGAAACCCCGTCTCTACTAAATACACAAAAAATTAGCCGGGCGTGGTGGCGGGCGCCTGTAGTCCCAGCTACTCGGGAGGCTGAGGCAGGAGAATGGCGTGAACCTGGAAGGCGGAGCTTGCAGGGAGCCGAGATTGCGCCACTGCACTCCAGCCTGGGCGACAGAGCGAGACTCTGTCTCAAAAAAAAAAAAAAAAAAAAAATTAGTAGAAAATCGGCTGAAACAAATAACACAGTATATTTGACAACATTCATATTTTGTCAACACAGCCTAAAACTACTTATTACCACATAACTACTGACATTTGGATGCAATAAATGTCTTTCTAAAGTAAAACTGAGTGCAAAGGGATAATTTGGCTATTCTTATCACTAAAATTTTTGCCAAATTTTAAATAATGCTATCAGAAATTATCTGTATTTTTCATATTTGATTTGCCTGCATCCCAATATTATTTCATTCTAGCTTGTACCCCAAATAGTGTTAAGAACAAGGGAATACTTAACAAAAATATAATTCCATGCTGAATTTTTCTGATATCTAAAAGGTTGAAGTAATGACATTTCATCAATGCTTGGGTTTTGCTCAATTTTGCAACAAAAATGTTAGAATCAAGGACAAAATTAAATGTATGGCTCCATTGTTTTGAGCAGTGAGTAGTTGTGGATCTCTCAATCTATTAATGAGAAATTATCCACATAATAAATTGCCCTAATTTATGCCTTCTTTGGATGACTAAAAATATCACCCAAGTAATCTGTAAATTACAAAGGGTATTTTATTAAGGAATTTTTATGTCAAGTGAAGAGTAAGTAACTGTTGATGTTCAGAGAGTTTTCCTCACTTTGGCCCTCTCTTCCTTTCTTCCTTCCATCCTTGTTTCCTTTTTTTTTTTTCATCTCACTTACATGTGGAATCTAAAAAAAGTTGTATTGATAAAAGTAGAAAGTAGAATGGTGGTTACGAGAGACTGGGGGCATGGGGAGTACTGGGGAGATGTTGGTCAAAGGATACAAAATTTCAGTTAGATAGGAGGAATAAGCCCAGAGAGGTCTCTTCAGCATGGCAAGTGCTGGTCAAATATTAGTAGCTTCCTAGAGAACTATGTCCTGAATAAATTATAGGTGTTATCAAGCCTGGATAGGAAGGACTGTTAGGATCATTTTTCAGTAATAGTTATAGGTAGAGAAAGTAGAAATGGAGATGTTATATATTTGCTGTGCTTAGTAGTCAACATTTTCTTTCCAAAAGTTTATTTTTGAAAGATTATTTTATTTCTCTAGTGAAAAATGTGTGAATGAAGTTATCTCAGTTTTTTCTTAATAATTTTCCCCCAAATTTGAGAAGGAAAAAACAGGTACATAGGTTGGTGAGTTGTGCTGTCCTAATGTCTAAATTGGATTTATATTTCAAAAATTTGATATGGATATTTTCTTTGATATGTTGACATTCTAATGAGTTTGTGAGAGATTCTAGCTCCATGTTTTTTATGGGAGGCTGTCTCGGCTTGACTGTTGAAGCATATGGTTCTGTACTTAACTGTCTTTCGGAGTTACTTGTCAGGGAGTATAAACTCAGTTATTGCTACAAATATCTTTCAAAGCCTTAATTCAGGATATTGATATATATGGAGGAGAGCATGTACTATATTTTCAACTATTCTAGGTCAGTAGATCTCATTCTGAAGGATGAATCAGAATCTTTAGTAGACCTTAAAAATCTAGATCCCCAGTCTCTACTCTAAAATATCATACCTGGAATCACTAAGGGATGTAATTCAGACATTGTGGTCTGATGTTTACCTTTTGTTAAGAACTGGCTTCAATACAGTAAAATCTGTCCCTGAATTGACATATCCTATCATATTATATCATATTTCCTCATCCCTCACGTATTAGAATTCCTTTTGCTGATTTCTCTTGGCCTGATGTTTTAAGCCTACACTAAGCAGTTTTTAAATAAATAGTCCCCCAAAATTGTTTCTTGTTTGTTGTAAGAGAGTTTTCAAAGATATTATTCATCACTCTATCTTATACCATTTTTCTGAGAACCATAAAAGAGAAGTTGTACTTCTCTTGTACAACTTTTTTTTAATCTGCAAGAACTGTCCGTTTTATAATTGACCATGTTTTCCTTATCATTTTGGTTGCCGTAATGTTTACTGTGTAATATATGACTTACCATTGTAAAATATATAGAATTTATTGCACTTTTTTTTTCATCAATGTCAGTTCTGGCTTTGTCTTATTTTCCTAACTGGATATTATCATTGCTTCTTTTTTTTTTCTGCAGATGCACTGTGTTAACAATAAATATGAACACCTGGTAAAATGTTCTTAGAACATGGCTAGGTATAAGTAAATTAGTTTCAGCTTCTAACTTGGGTTAAGTCCCATTATGTAGAAAATGCAAAATAACATCACACATATACAGCGATCATGCTGAGCCCAGAAGAACACAACTAAGAACAGGAAAACAACAAAAGAAAACAAAAAATAACAGTAATACAGCTATGAAAAGGGAGAGAACAACTGCATATGATAAAGTTCATGTACATCTTTCACAAAAGAGGCAGCGTAGCAAATTAGGAAAGGAATAAAGCTTTCACACTAACCCTATGATGATTGTAAGGAATAAGAGCTGATAGTTACAAGCAAAGAAAATGACCAAAACGAAAAGCAACTGACACAAAGTAAAAAATGCATGCCTGCCTGTAGCCATTTAGTGAAAGGGGAAAAGATAGTGTTTCTGTTATAATCAAAAGGAATCCAGCGCCTAACTGTGCTGTTCAGTAGTGTAAATTCATGATGCTGGTGCCTGAAAATGCTTAATGTTTAAAGTTGTGGTCTTAGAGTGCTGTTTTCAATGATACTAAAAAAAAAACTTGTTTTAAGTTCATGATGAGTTGCCAGCCAGACAAGTTTTAACTTTGCTGCAAAGCCCTATTAAATGAGAAATGATTATCTTATTAAAAAATGGGTGAGTAGAAATGTGCAGGATTTTCACATAAGGAAATATTTTCCAGGTCACATAAATTTCAATTATGACTCTATTTTGTTTCCATGAATAATAATGATGAAATAAAACATATGAAGCTAATGTATTGCACCATTGCCTAAGTCAAGGGGGTGGATTCAAGAAAATTAATTCTGATATAATCTTCTGAATAATAGCTTTATAAGATTCTCATTGGTTTGTTCCCAAGTTTCATGTGGACTTCCAAATAAAGGTGCATGGTTCATATAGTACGATTTCAAATATGTAGATAAAATAGGAAGTGAAAAAGGAGAGTCAGAGTAATTAAAGATGTTTTTAAAAAATAATGCTTATTGGTTGGGTAATACACACACACACACACACACACACACATAACACACACTCATACATAACACACACTCATACACATATATTGAAATACATCGTAACCTGATAAAATGTGATGGAACATGGCATTGTACTTTCAGCAGCCCCATTTATACATCTTCATTTGGCCTAACTGAGCTTTCAGAGAGTCATATGTTAAGAAAAATGTGTCATTTTGATTTTTAACCGCAAGAAATTATGAATATTAATGAAAAATATTACATATGGTATATATTGGATGGCTCCACATTTTATATTTTTGTTTTTTTCAAAATATCTAGAAAGTTAATGTTAAAGAGTATTAAGTTTTTTTTCCTCTGCATGTTTTTTGGAAAGACAGTTCATCTGTTATAATTAAACTTAAAAAATATTGTACAAGTTTCTATGAGATTTTGAGTAGTAGTTTACAAAAAGCATATAGTATTTATCAGGCACCATCACTAATCGTACCCATTTGTATAAGAAGGATTAATTTATTTCCTTGACAAATATTTTATTGAGTAAAAGTCAGTTTTCTTCACTAGTTTTATTTGTTAGTTATTCTTTGGGTTTTTTTGTGAGTATTCGATACTAATTTTTATATTGGTGATAGTTTTCAAAGGGTCATAAATGTTTAGCTTAATTCGAGGAGAATAGTTTAATAGGAGGAGGATAATCTAGAAATGTAAAAATGCATAGTCCACTGTTATCACTGGAGGGTACAGATTTTGTGTCTGTGGATATAAATAACAATAAACCAGCTGATTTTTTAATATTAATTTCTCAACTTCTTAAGAAAAAATTTTTTAAATATCAAGAATAGTACAAAGAACTCTCATATATAGCCTTTACCCAGCTTTGCTATTAGTTGAGTTTTTCTATTTACTTTATCATTCTTTATATAAATGTGTATAAATGTTTTATGAGTCCTTTGAGAGTAGCTTGGTGATATAGTGCCTCTTTACACAAAACACTTCAGTGAGCATTTCCTGTATAACCACAGTATAGTTATTAAAATATGGAAATTTTATCTTGACAAAATACGATTTCATTGATAGCCCATTATTCAAATTTTGTCAGTTGTCTGATAATTGACAAAATGGAACAAATTTGTTCAGGTTAATGATTAGGTGACAACAATCAATCTGATGACTACTTGGTAATAGCTTCAGATATGTCCCCTCTGGATGAAAAGCTTTACAGGTGTTGTATCTTCCATGTCACCAACCTAAGTGCTGTGACAACTTACTTTGTGGAAGTGAGGGTGCTCAGGAAGACAGCAATATGAAGTACCTCTGTTTTCAGGAAGCTTGAGAGTCCAGAGAATACAAAATATCTGGAAGAGAGTTTTCTTATAGACAAAGAATAGTGGCAATTCTTCAGACTCATTACATGAATTGGGGAAAGCATTACAAAAAAGATGACATTAGATCTGGGCTTCAGTGACTGAATCCAATGTGGACAGAGAGCATGGACAAGATGTCATACAAGGCAAATCCAACAGTAAGGGCACATTCTGGGAGACTGAAAAGAGTAAAGGAAATGCGGGGAAAGGTTTGATTATGTGGAGAATGTGTCATAAATGAAAGAGTGAGAAGGAAAAAAAAGATCAGACATACCTTAAAGTAGTGATATAAGAAATTTAATTGAGGAACATTGATTGAAGTGCTGCATCACATAAAAATCGAGCGGACAATGGGAAATAAGCAACTGTATCTCAGAGAGTTGAGAACAGAGGGTTTTACTAAAGTGGGACCTGTGCTGAGATACAGACTATGGATGTAAAAGCAAGCTGTGAAGAAGTGATAGTGTAGACGGAGAGGAGACAAGAGGTGCCCAGATTCAGGACAAAGGAAATGGAAGTATAATTGGTCTGGGAGCTATAAACAAAAGGTCAGAATAGGTTGTATACAGCAAATGCAGCAGGAGTTTGGACTGAGCTGCTGCTCCTCAGAACATATTCTCCCTGGCAATTGTTAAAAGTTCTGGGCTGGGCGCGGTGGCTCACGCCTGTAATCCCAGCACTCTGGGAGGGCGAAGCGGGCGGATCACGAGGTCAGGAGATCGAGACCATCCTGGCTAACACGGTGAAACCCCGTCTCAACTAAAAATAGAAAAAATTAGCCGGGCGTGGTGGCGGGTGCCTGTATAGTCCCAGCTACTCGGGAGGCTGAGGCAGGAGAATGGCGTGAAGTCGGAGCTTGCAGTGAGCCGAGATCGCGCCACCGCACTGCACTCCAGCCTGGGTGACAGAGCGAGACTCCACGTTCAAAAAAAAAAAAAAGTTCTGTTACTGGTGAGAATCAAAACTATTGAGAGGTTAAAAGTGAGTGATTTATATATTACTATCTTGAGAGTGAGAAATAAAAAGAGAGTAAATAAGAAATAGCTTCAGAAGATAAAGAAGTTGAGGAAAGACTTTCTGTATTATATTAGTTGTTGTTGCTTTGTTTTAATTAATGATTAATTAAATTAATTAATCATTAATTATTTAATTATGATCATGCTAATTTAATTATGATCATGTTCATAAATACATGGGAAAGACTTTACTGTGAGGAAAAATTTTAAGAGAAAATTGATGATGTGTGAGTGATATTCAATGCAAAGCTGGAGCTGAGTTCAGGAGCACAATTTAAGAGGTCAGCTTTAGAAAGATCAACCCGGCATCCTCAGAGACAGGTGGGAAATGAAAGCGAATGTTTGAAATTATAGAGAAACACATTTTGAAGGAACGTGAGAGGATTGTCTAGAGTGATTGAAAGCTAAGCTAAAACCAAAAGTTGGCACAGTACGAATTCCTATTCCAGTACCCATGAAGCTGCCACTCTCTGGAATGACCTTTCAGCATCTTTAACTGTCTGCCTTCCTTTTATCCCCGAATTCTCAGGCACCACCAAATACATGAAGTCTTCTCTTACCCTTTCACAATAATGAGTTGTCTTATAATAAAATACTGTCAGTCTTTGTCTTTATCAAATTTTTGGTTTCTATACTTTTCCCCATCACTAGGCTCTTCATCTGTGCACCTTTGGCAGAAAGAATAGTGATAGACATGCTGTGAGTGCTCAGAAATACGGAATAAAAAGCAGCTCACATCTAGTGTTTGGATATTCTGTGTTGGAACTAGCATACTCAGAGTTTCATGGATCAATTGTATGCTTCATAATTACTACCATTTTACAGATTTGGGAGATTGAGGCTCTATAGAGCTAACCGTACAACATTACACTGCCAATAAATGATGAAATCATATTAGAACCAGGCAGTCTGACCTCAGAATACTTGCTCTTCACTGTTTTCTATATTGACTCTCCCAGAAACCATTGCCACTCACCAAAAACTTAATAGGCTATTAATCGCTTACCCTTAAATTATGACCATATCAGGTATTTAGATATTCCCTCATGATAGTTGGTTACATTCTTAATACTCAGTGTTAGAAATTCGTAGGTAAAGAAGGTTGACTTTAAGGTGCTTAATATTGAGCCCTCAACATTTTTATCATCTTCTGAAGAGATCTGGAAATAATAAGTGTTTTTGTGAAACTTTTCTCAAGCTTTGGCCATGTGGAAAGGAAGTAGTTCCATGTTAATCTATGTGAGATCAGGTTAGACTCTTTTGTTATTGATACTTATGGGAGTTACGTTTAAATAACATTTCAAATGTTATAATTAGGATTAACAGGCTTTTGAAGATCCTGCAAAGTAAAAAGATATGCTATGGCACTTTTTAGTTTGTGCCTTAATATCTCAATAATCCTTCTGGGTGAGCTGATGACCTGCCTTCTCTGTTCGAGCCCTGTATTTCTAAAGGATGGCAGCATAAACTTTTTCAATAACAGAGGCTCTCAAACCCGAGAGTATATCAGAATCACTCAGAGGGGTTGTTAAAATGCAGATGGCTGGACTCTATACCAAAACCTGAGGATTGGGCCTGGGGTGTCATCCAATAACTTGCCTTTCTAACAAATTCTCAGGTGATGCTGCTGATATTGGACTAGGGTTCATACTTGGAGAACCAATACTTTAAACTATCACTATCATAGTTTCACTTTCAAAAAGTAGAAATAACTTCAGTGAATTACTGGTCTTATCATCAACTCATTTTCCTTAAGAATGAATTTAGATCAACTCCTCCAACATAATAGTCATTGTTTCTCTTAGATGTGTCTTAACATTAGACTGACTTATATCCAACAAGTCTCTAAGAAATGCAAACAATTGAACGCAAAATATTTTCTTGAGGTGCTCACAGATTTTGCACTTAAAAAATTGTATTTTCACTGTGTATAGGTACAATATAAGCTTTCTATAATGTCTCTATCCACATGTATTCTTCTATCTACCTCACTACAGAGTCTAGGTCCTAGTTTGGCTTTTCTCCTTTCTTAGAACGTGTGACTCTTATTTCTTATCAGTTAACTATTAATGAATACATTTTCATGTACCTGCAACATATAATACCTGCAAACCCCCCCCCCCCCAAACAACAACAACCAACAAACTTCCTGGGTCATTTTCGTAGAATATAAACTTGTATTCACTCTTGTTTAATATTTACCCAGACAATGTCTTTGAATTTTTCCTTAAATTGAGCCTGAACAACTATACGATGGTGACAGACTCCTTTGGTTCCTGTATAAAGTTACAGTAGTTAGCTCACCTTGAGGTATAGATTGACAACTAGGATTGTGAATTTTATTGTTATGATCACTATAAAGAAGTGGGTAAAAATGCTGCTTGTTTCATGTCTCCTTTATGCAGGTGCAGAAAATACATTTGATTCAGATCTCTGAAACAGGAATAGTAATTTTTGTTTGTTGTTTATTTGAGGAATTGGAGTATTTTTACGTCCCAGATACTGTGAATTGTGAAATTAGTATTTCCCTCTTTGCCTTTCTTCCTGTAAAGAGTAAAGCCAATTAAATGGCTCAACAAACAATTGTACAGGATGGAAAAGTATGTCTATACCACCAGCATTTTGACTTATTTGCTTGTTTGATAGAATTTTCTCATTAAAAAGAGAAAAAAAAAACCCACAGACACTATAGTATGTATTTTAAAAATATACTTTAAACACACCTAAGGAAAGGTAGGGTATACTTTTTCAAAAAGGAAAGATTATACATTTCTATTTATAATACATATAACATATTATAGCATATTAAATTTATTTAGTTTTGAGTCTCTTCACACCTCAGCACCCTGCCATCTTTTAATTAACCAACACATCCGGATCTTTGTTTTGTGGTTTATTATCAGAAACTCTATACCTGCAGGGCATTAAAGATTAAACAGAGCTTACCACATTGGAGAAGATAGCTTTATAAAGGGATTAAATTAACCTCTTTAACTCTCAAATACTCTCGTACTTACATGACATTCCATCTTTGAGCAACATACTGGGGTGTGTGTGTGTTGTAACCATAAGTATTTCTTTGACATTTGAAATTTTGTAGCAACGAATTCCCTAGACTGATCCTATTTTCATCTATTTTAATAATGCACATGACTAAATTTAATGTTGTGAAAGAAAAATTACATTGGATGCTTGTTAAAAATGGCAAGGAATATTTAAAACCATTCCCATGTGGGGAGAGAGATTTAACTCAACTCAGATGTAATAAAAGCAGGAGGATTTTTAAATGCTGGGTGAACTAATAGGAAGTACTGGAATAGGCTGGGTGCGGTGGTTCACACCTGTAATCCCAGCACTTCGGAAGGCCGAGGCAGGCGGATCACCTGAGGTCAGGAGTTTGAGACCAGCCTGGCCAACATGGTGAAACCCAGTCTCTACCAAAAAAATACAAAAATTAGCTAGGCTTGATGGCACATGCCTGTAGTCTCAGCTACTTGGGAAGCTGAGGTGGGAGAATTGCTTGAACCCAGGAGGCAGAGGTTGCAGTGAGCCAAGATCACACCACTGCACTCCAGCCTGGGTGACAGAACGAGACTATGTAAAAATAAATAAATAAATAAAATAATAAAAAAAAAGTACTGGAAGACTTTATGGGAGAGGTTGGTCAATGTGATTAAAACATCTGTCTTTGCTGTTTGTCTCTTTTCACATTTCAGAGTTAGGCTCTAGGCTCTTACCCTCTACAGAGAATGGGAGATAGGGGCAATGTCTCAGGAACTTCAAAGATGACTATTATATTTCAAAGGGATGGCTCCCACATACTTGAGAAAGACATTTTTGAGTTTCAGATTATTTACAACTCGATGGAGCAGAGGAAGAATTTACAATTTCTCTAAATTTTCAAGTTTTGTCGTGTAAATGCTGTATGAAAATGAGGACCAGGGGCCTATAGTAAAAAATAAATCTATGTAACAGAATAGAAGGATGATTACCGGAACAGGGGTGGGATTGGGGGAGGAAGGTGGGCATGGTTAGTTGGTATAAAAAATAGTTATAAAGGACGAATATGACCTAGTATTTGATAGCACAACAGGGTGACTATAGTCAATTATGATTATTTAATTGTACATTTAAAAATAACAAAGCATATAATTGGATTGTAACACAAAGGATAAATGCTTGAAGGGATGGATAACCCCACCCCACCCAAAAAAAGAAAAAGAAATAAATCTATCTAAAGTTTAGTTAAAATAGGGGGAATGGTTAGATGCGCCAGGTCAATAGTATTCACTCTTCATCTTCTTACCAGATAAGGCAATTAAGATAATTTACATAAATTGTTAGTAATTAAAGATATTTCTCATTTAGTCATTCAGTATATCTAAGTTATTTTATTTGGTCTGTAGTGTTAAAATGAAAACATATATTTAAATGATTTTAACACATTTTTCTTTTAAATTGAAATATGCATGGATCTGGTTGCAATATTCTACATCTCAAGAAACAAAACAAACAGACAACTATCTCATGTTCTAACATGGGCAGCAAAAGGAAAGAGAACATCAAGGGAAAACTCCATGGCTTCTAATTACGGCAAAATGATTTAGAAAAATCCTACCTTTCTCAACAAACCTGACTTTACAACTGCTGTTTGAATGATAGAACTGGGACAATGTCATGACAATTGTGATGTGAATGAGAACAGTCCACTAATTTATTTTCGAATGTTAGAACTGTTCAAGTGATAGATAGAACTCAAATGAACTGTTCAAATGATAGAACTCAAATGAACCAGGGAGACTGTCATGACAATTGTGATGTGAATGAGAACAGTCCATGAATTTATTTTCTTAAACGTTATATCCTACCAGTTATAGAGGCCAGTATAAAAGAGATGTTCAAGAAAGAAGAGCCAATAATGTAAAGTGACACGAAGTGGAAAGTGTAAATAATACAAACATGAATGGGAACTAGAAAATATTGGATTAATTGATTAGGAGATCATTACTAATCTTTGAGCCCTCACTGCCAGAGTAGCATCAGTGAAACCCAGCACATAAAGTATCCTAGTGAGTGAGTGCAACTGGTATTTCACCATTTTATCAAGCAATATGCCACAAATGGTTTGAGGGATTATTGGGGTTAAGAGAAGTGTTTTAAGTTTAGAAGTGACCTAAACAAGTTTCAGTCTGAGAGAATACAGTATGGAAGAGGAAATACTGATATTTCAAAAGAAGTGGCCAACTGGATGTAGGACCTCAGGATACTGTGAGAGAGGTTGGCAGAAGGGGCAGAATCACTTTGGAAAGGGAAAGGGCACCGCTTACGAGACAGAAAACAAAAAAGCTCAAGAAAGGTAACGAAAGATTTTAGATTAAGTTAGTCTCATTATCTCATCTAATTTTCACAACTACATGATCAATTTCATAAATATTAAGGATGTACTATTTTCAAAAGGATTTCAAATGAATTATATTTTGTACCAATCTTTCTAAACTGCCACTCATCTGATAGCTGTTTCTAGTCCTAGGTCTTTAGCAACTAATAAAAAGTATAATATACCTGAACACATTCTCATTTCTCATAGTGAAAAAGTATTATTAAATTTGATAGAAAAGGTGAGCTCAAAATACCCACTAATTTTTAACATTATAGGGCCAGCAAAGTAATAATCTTCTATTCAAATAACTGGTGCTAAGGTATCATGCTAATTCAGATACCATTTACATGGTAGCCACATGTAAATGTTTTCATTTATGACACCGATAAAGACATTTTGGTAATTTATCAGCAATATATATATATATATTTTTTTTTTCTTACTTAAAATAGGATTAAAATGGTAGGAATGGCAAAATAATAATGATAATAATTATGTTATTATTTTAGTTCACTTTTTCCCCCTTCTTAAGAAGAATTTACCCCAAAAAGAGTACATTGTGCCTGCCTAAAACGTCCTTTCTTTCTCTAATTCTTACCCAAAATGCTTACCTGCTGATGTTCTATTGAGAAAGGATATTCAAGAGACATTTATAATTCAACCATACTATGCTTAAACAATTCAAATGATTAACTGTACTAATTAGCTTTGAGTAAATTCACAAAATAAATAGAGCCTTGATACTTTACAATTAAATAGAACCCCAACTTCATTTCATCGTCTGACTCTACATTTAGATTATCAGGGGTGCTATGTTAAACCACTTTCAGGAAGGGTGTAACGTATTTTTGTTCTTGCATTATTAATGAACTTCCATTCAGACTAGATTGGCAAATGGAGTTGTTAGATACAGAGAAGTGAGTATAAGAATACTTAATAGCATATCAGAGAAAAAAATTTAAAAGACCTCCCTGCTCATATCCATTTTCCAGAATCTTTAATACTTTTAAGACTAACACTGCATATACTTTTTATAATAACATAAGATATAAATAAATTAACTCAAATTATTATTTCTTCAAGCAAATGAGAAAGATTAAGTCTTGTTCATATCAGTGCTTAGAGTTGTACAAAAGCTGATGCATTTAACTCCTCTTTAATGCTGTTTGCATATTGCAAAATGTACATTTCAGAGACAGGAACAAACTGGTAAGTTAATTTTGTTTTCTAAATTGTTGGTTGGAAAGAAAGAGGCACGCGGCTCTTAGTGTAGGTGAGTTTATTAGATGAATCTGAAATATATTTTTATAACTTCAATGTACCATTACTTATTAACTTAAAAAATTAAGATCATTCCCAAGCCCTTTAGCTTTTTAAATAATAAATATTATTTTCACTAGAGAGTCACACCTTGCTGATTATTTCGTGATGCTCATAAGGGAAATGCCTACAATATTAAGAATGGAATCTAATTTTACAGTCTTTTCAATGATTCTCTTCGACTGGCAGATTTTCTTAGGTCATTGTTTCCCAAACTTTATTCTCTGGGATGCTAGTCCTCAGAGATGTTCCCCCTTGGTAGATGCAATCAGCCTCTCCAGTAATGTGACAATTTGCATGTTAGCATGTTCAAAGCTCTGAAAAGTTTGGGAGAAATACGAACTTTTTTTCATATAGTCAATTTTCAAACTTTATTTGTTACACTTTGGTTGGTTGTTTGTTTCTTTGTTTGTGGTGGAGTTTTGCTCTTGTTGTCCAGGCTGGAGTGCAGTGGCCTGATCTTGGCTCACTGCAACCTCCGGTTCCCGGGTTCAAGAGTTTCTCCTGCCTAAGCCTCCCAAGTAGCTGGGATTACAGGCGCCTGCCACCACGCCTAGCTAATTTTTTGTATTTTTAGTAGAGATGGGGTTTCACTGTGTTGGACAGACTGGTTTTGAAATCCTGACCTCAGGTTCTCTGCCCGTCTCAGCCTCCCAAAGTGCAGGCATGAGCCACTACACCTGGCCTACACTTTGTTTTAATGTAACCTCATTAACCATTTTCTGAAACAGGTTTTAGCAAATACTATTTCAGACAATGTAAATGTGCGTAGATGTCAGTTTTTTTTTTCCTTCTTCCATCTTCAGATTATCAACTGATTATCAGTTGAGTAATTATCCATATTTGCTCAGAAATGATTATTATCTGAAGCATATAAACAAGCCCTTTTGGATGAAATCCTCCTTTACAAAGAGAGTTGTCTGATAGCCGATGTCCCATACACATAGCTAACTAGTCAGTGGATGTGCTAGAATGAGGTTTCTTGTGTTGTGTACAGAATTCTCTTCCTCACATATATTCCCATGTTGATGCTGTTTGTTCATCAAGTGTTATTCTGTTCCCACAACAAAATCACTGAATCCTTGAGGACATCAAATCTGTTCTTTTTCCTATTCTATTTCCCCAGATGCATCTCAGAACACAAGACTGCAACACAAAATCAAAATTAACAGGAACTTACCATACTGAATGGAAACAATTGGCATTTGTAAAGTTAATGCTTTGAAATGTCAATTATAATTAAATTCAATAAAGAGTATTAAGTACCAACTTTAACAATGCACCATATTCAGGATTTGGGGGCAATGAAGAAGAGTAAGGTGTACCCACTCCAACCCCAGGTGTTCACAGCCCTATTGAGGAGAAAGATAGGTTCCTAGTTATAGTAGGACAGATTATACATACTATCGTTTACTATCTTTTAAGTTGCTTTGCTGATGTAACCTATTTCCAACTGCTTATTTAATTGGCATTCAGTGGGTCAGGAAAATACTTCATCTTTCACACATAGATATTTTTATTCTCTTCAGCAAAGAATAAATAGGAAATTGATTTTTATTTATCTGATTGCACTATTAATGGTTTCTATATCCAGATCTCAACAAGGTTTTGTCAGTCCTTTAGGTTGTCCAGAATCCTACAACCTGATTATAAAACATAATCGATTTAGAGAGTCTTTTCAGCAATTTATCAACCTGAAATGGTGATCAGTGGTCACTCTGTATCTTACATTCTTCTGAAATAGATACTTAACAGAAGCTAAAAAGCTGACACCTCATATTTATTATCTCCAAAGAGATGCTTTTCACATTAAAGTATAAGACTGTTGTCTTTTTTTGTTCTGTCAATAAATTTTAGTTTATTATTGAATTACTATGTATTGCATACTTCATGGAACATTTGACCAACAAAACAATGTACGTTATAATTTTAAATCTAAAACTACAATCAAGATACAATCTCACAGCCTCCTCTTTGTGGAAACCACAAGCCTAGACTTCTCTGAAGGCAATGTTCCCTCTTTCAAGCCTATGCTCAAGATGTAATCTAGTTTTACATAACAGGAGTCTTCCATTGAACCATTGACATTCACATTCACAGGCATGGACTCTTATTTCTAGGGAAGGTGAGCAACAAACCCTACCCAAATTTTTGCAGTGAGTAGCCTCTGTTTCAATACTTGGGTTTCACTCCATTTACACAGCACATCTGTGTAGCCTGAAGAAGAGGGATTTCAGTAAGTGCAATTAGAATGTCCTTGCAAGTATACTGTTAAAAAGTGAATATAGGCCAAGCCTGTATTCAATTCACAATATTAAAAAAGGGAGGCTATAGTTACATTGCAATGTTTCCAAACTGATTATCCAGAACAGAGGTTCAGCTTGATGCCAATCTTTTACATGCACTGCCAGACTAAACAAGTACCTTTTAAGGTTCATCTATCACGATTTATGATACATTAAGCCAAATCTAATGTTCTCTCAGGCTGGTGTTAGGGGATTTTCAATATTCAGACTGAGAAATTGCATTTGGGGAAAGGGATTTCTGCTATCCTTTTTCCATAGAATTTGTTTAGTTCTATAGAGTCTCAATAAGTCTATTGGACCTCTGTTATACTCCAGTACTAATTACAGATTGATTTTAAGAGTTTAAAATCTTAACTGGTAGCAGGAAATGACTTTAAATTAACATTACATGAGCTACTATAAATTGTTCACGGAAAAAGAGAGCGTTTAATTATAAACGAAGGAACCTGCTGCCCAGTTGATTAACTACATCAAACACTTTATATTTTCAAAACTCAGGCACAATTGTTAATAAGCTATTTCTCACAATGTGTCTCTAAGGGAGCCTAACTCTATCACCTTCTATTTTCATAAATGATGCACTTGATCCATAAAAATTAGATTGCCCATCTTGGACCACGTAGACATGAAAAACTGGAATTAGGTTGCAAATTCTCAATGTACCCAGACCTAGTTTACAGAGCTATGCTCTTAGTTTTCTGAGCTAAGTAAGAAAACAAAATTTCTCTGTCCTCTGTTACTATATATGAGTACACGCACACACACCTTTTATCTGAACATTTCTTTTTTGTATGCAAAACCAGTTATGTTATTTTGTTAGAGGGACAACATAAACAGAAATGACTCTCTATTAAATAATCTGTTACTTATTCTGATGTTCCTTAACTTGAGCTCACTTAGCAGACTTGTTTCTCTTTTTCCCTTTAGATTCTGTGTCATTCAGAAGACTAGTACAATTGACTTAGGCCAAATCATAGAATTATCTGATAACTAAGATTCACCAATGTTTTTCGCTATGAGTTCACTCTTAAAAGCATGCTTGATTATATTGCTTTTTATTAATTTGTCTAATTGTATATTACATATAATCTTATGTATTAATTGATTATGGGTTTATAATCTCTAATATTTTTTCTTTGGGTTTTAAAGTTGTTTTTATGAATAAATATTCTATAACATAATACAGATACTGATTTCATATTTTTATCAGTATTTTTTGAGTTGTTTAGTATTTTAAATCTAATTTGGCTGGTAAGATTGCAGTTCTCTCAATATCACTTTAATATGTCACTATGCAGAGCACAGAAGTGGAAAACAATAGCTGCATGGTAAATAAATGACAACCACTTAAACATCTCAGTTTTGTGTGTGTTTACATATGCAACCAACATATATCTTTGTAATGAAAACTATTCTAAAAGATATCCCATATGAACCCTGATATTAGTCATATGGTTATTAATAAATTATTATATGCAATAATAAAACTTTCAAAATTGTAATCTTAAAATTTCTCTTTAAAAACAGGATAAAGAAAATTCTTAGCAAATGAAGGGAAACTCTCATTTAACTGTTATGGTGCTAATAAAAGTAAATGCTCTTGACATTAAATTTTACATCTGTTTTTAACAGAAAATATATTTTATACTCATATGATTTGCTTTGTACTGTAAAACTTCAATTACATTGGCATTGTATGAGCACAATTATTATATACCAAATATGGCAGCCAGATATGGACATTTCATCACATTTCCCTTCCCAAATACAATGTAAAGTCATAGGTCAGTGCCTGTGAAAATATGAATATATGATTCTAGGTAACAGAATACCAAAATGTATCCTAATTTCACCCTAGAGTAACTTACTGATAAAGATATGGTTAGGGGTAAATAAGATTCATAAGTTGCATTTTATTATGGAAAAATGTAACAAATGACAGTATGAGAATGTGATTTAAGTATTTGTCTTCTCATGTTTTCATTAAGATTAAAACTTAGTGCATTTTCTAAACAGTAATTCAGGGAGGCTGTCCTCTGAGATTGAAACTTCTTCAGGCATATAAAATATTTCATCGCTATATATGTCTGTGGTTTTTCTAGACATAAGTATCATAAATGTTGTGTGAATAAGTTGGCCTCTAATCTATGAATATGCAGGCTGCAGTACATGAGGGCCATGGTTATGTCTATTTTGTTCATGTCCTGTAGTCAGAACCCAGCCTAGTGGCTAGTCTTGAGGAGGAGCCCTTCAAATATATCTTAAATGAAAAAGAAAGACACAAACATTGTTTTTGATATCTATGTATATCTTCCTATTGAGATGCCAACAAGAAAGCAGATGAAAATATTTGAGGCTAAAGAGTTTTAAAACTTAGAAAAGTTTTTAAGACTTAAAAGTATATTTATCTCTAGTTCATTCTGCATGATTCTATAGATTTTTATAGTGCTTACTGGTTTTTATTGGACTAACTGACAAAAATATGGTTAAACTAAGGAGGGGCTATCCAGAATGCTGTTAGCAGCCTTCTAGTGTCTGTAGGTCCTCTAAATTCATGGCATTTTTGACAATATCATTACATATTTAGGCTTAATGTTAAAAGTGGATGACCAATATTTTATCCTGATAATTGTGTTTCACTGTGTATGCCACATTTTGTCATGTAGGGATAGTCATTTTAAAGGAGAGGGAAATGGGGAAGATGATGAAAAAAAAAAAAAAGAAAAATCTGTGTATAAGAGAATCACTGTCACAAAAGAGAGAAAGCTTTTCCATATTGAGTATTGTGGTATCATTCAAAGTTCAGGCCCTTAGTAGAAAGTCTATAGATGCTCCCTTGGCAGCCTTTTGGTAGTCATTACTACTGACCTCTTGTGAAAACAGCACTGCCTTTAGACCTGGAAAACATTTCTGTTAGCATACAAACCTGTTTTCTAAGCTGTCTGTGGAGAGGTTCTTTTGGTCATCCGCATTAGAGAGCCAACAAACAGTTTTAACTGGAAACATCTATGTATGGTAGAATAGAAAAGTTCATAGTAAATGTTTTGAACATGCTTTTTGCCCCAGGTTTTCTTTTTCAGTTCAGATTATTTCAATATATGAAAATGTTTCATGAATGTGAATGGACTCAAATATTACCGAACTAGTGTTGATCAACATATAGATACAACCTTAGGAGAATGTTCTTATGTCCTTTGTGTAATATTTGAGTTGTTTGGAAAATTATACAATAACTAAGTAGTGACATAGGGAAAGTATTAGGTTAAATGAGATCCATATTCTTACTTTTAATTTTAATATGCTATGACTACATAGAATCTGTCATTTGTTCAAAATTCAATGTCAATATTTAAGTATAATTGCACATAGACTTAAGGCATTACTTTTGATATCACTGGAAAATCTTACCAAATTTATAAAAATCAGTGTTCACAGTCTTTAATTGACTTAGATTTTTTTAGATTATTTCTGGGTACCTGCATGAGGTTTTTTGATGTACACACAACTTGGATATAAAAAAGAAATATATGTACACTTTATTTGGTTTTACTTTATTTCAGCTCAGAGATGATTATCTACAGTTAATGAATCCTTAAAGTTATGAAAGTAACACTAACTCCTTATGGAATTTTTATGTTGTAGCATTAAAAAAAGGACGATTTTGGATCACACCAGATCCTTATCACAAAGATGACAACATCCAGATTGGCCGTGAGGTGAAAATATCTTGCCAAGTAGAAGCTGTTCCTTCTGAGGAGCTAACATTTAGTTGGTTTAAAAATGGTCGTCCATTAAGAAGTTCTGAGCGGATGGTCATTACACAGACTGATCCTGATGTCTCTCCGGGAACAACAAACTTGGACATCATTGATTTAAAATTCACGGATTTTGGGACGTACACATGTGTAGCATCTCTGAAGGGAGGAGGAATATCTGATATCAGTATCGATGTTAATATATCCAGCAGCACAGGTAAGAGGCATATATTTATGATGTAAAAGATGTTCACATTTAGAATGATTGAAGTTTAACAGATCAAGTAGGTTTTAGTTAAAAATATTTTTTCCCTTTTAAGTTTCCTAAAAACAAAATTATAATGTTCTGAATGCTCAATGAATACTAGGTTCTGAAACACTGTTTTATCAGTTTTGATTTAGATTTACATAAGATTTTACAGAAATTATCCAAATAAAATTAATAGCATTGACTAAGATAGATATAGGCTTATAAGTTAAATAATACTAGTATTTCATCAAAATACTCTGAAGAGTCTAAAATTATATTAATAAAATTAAACAACAAATGTCTAGAGTTAAGACAATTTTCAGAAATTTTAAACAAAGCATAACTATATAGTGCTAAGAAGAAAATACTGAGAGATAATTTAAGAGTGTTCAAATGCAAAATATGTAAGAAATGTACCCTACACTAACAAAAATTGATATGTTAAAGTTGTAGTCAGATGTGATTTTTTTGCAGAATCATATGGTAAAATCTGTTCATAATGAAAATAGTTAAGTACGAAAATATATTGGAGTGAAATTCTTTCTTTTAAAGTTAAAAACGAAAACATGTTATTAGTTTTTTCTTGATTAAATGTACATCTGTTGACAAGGAAAATTACAGGGATTTGGTGGAGGAGGGTTCATTCAGATGCTTTAAAGCCCTGTGATTCTATGAGGCACAATCAGCACACATCCAGAGTTTCAAAGTAGCTGTATTTGTTTTGCCAGCTTGTTACCAAATTGAATTTTAATGGAAGATTCTTACATCATGAAAGATAAATAATATGTGTTGAAAACATAGAGACAAATGTAGTAGACACATGATCAGGCAGCGTTTTGTATCTTGTACTTTGAAGTATTCACCTATAATTTTGTGCCTTCTCATGGTTCCAAATTGCAGTGAACACTGGATTGATTTTACTCCTTAAGAATAGAAGTTTATGATTCAGGCTAACAAAAATGTGCTAACTTTGCACAATTGTGCTTTGTTCCTAGAAGATATTCAATTTTTATCATCTATCACTAAAACAAAAGGAAATTAGGGTGATGAAAAGTACTTGTGTTTGGACATTATTTCTTTTCTAGCTTAAAAAAAAGCTAGAGACAATAAAAACATTTTTAAAAAAATTCTAACATATTTAAACGTTGGTGCTAGCGCTAAGAGATGGATTATTTTAGGATATCTGAGGGAAAACTGTTGATACACACAGTCAGTTATCACTTGTTTATGTATTCATTCAATCAACAAATATCCATTGATTCTTCACCTCAGTGTGCTAGGTGACACTGTACACTGTACTGTATGACATTCCAATATAATATTTCCTGTAAGAGAGTAAGAGCAAATTTTGTAGATCCAGGATAATTTGTCCTCATTTTCTGAGGGATAGTTTCCCATAAATGTTCTAGACTTAATCAAAACCATTTCTTTGTTTGGTTTGGTTTGGCTGGGTTTTTTTTGTTTGTTTCCTTTACAGAACCAGTGACACAAAGCTCAGATCCAAAGAATCAATGCTTTTATCTAAAAGAACTCCTTTGATGGGAGCACAGTTTATATACCATTAAACTTAGACAAAAGATGGAGCACAGAATGGAGACAAGAAAGCAGCATTATATACAGGGCTCACAAAACGAGCCCTAACATTTATTTTTAAACATACTAGTTATATTGCCTGTTTGAAACTATGTGTTATATATGACAAAATAGTAAAGATGACCAACATTGATTTGTGAAATTTCCACCAATCCTTTAAAGAAAATTCAAGATTAGTAATAAGAGATTGGTTGTAATCATTAAATTTTCCTAACTATCATTAATTTGCCTGGCTACCCAAGGTAACACTATTGGAGATAAAAGAAATATATTGACTTCTTCCAAAACACTACCCCTGGAAAGTACCCACTTAACTACAGATAGATGTGGTTTCTCCATAGAATGGAAGCTCTACAAAGTCTGAGACTTTGTCTGCATCACTCATTGCTATAATCTCAATAGCCGAAACAATACATGGCACATAGAAGGTACTAAACAGATAATTATTAACTAACAAAATGACTAATTTATGCATAC
Organism: Homo sapiens; assembly: GCF_000001405.40. NCBI lineage: Eukaryota > Metazoa > Chordata > Mammalia > Primates > Hominidae > Homo > Homo sapiens. Next base: position 47,059,145 of record NC_000014.9, on the reverse strand, counting down.
ACCTTTCATTTTAGGTTTTCTCCCCTCCCATTGTCTCTATAATATAGACATTTGCTGTGCCTCTTACTGCCCTTATTGTAATTCCCTACTGACTTAAAGTTATTTGATAGACAAATTTATAGTGACTTAATGTTTTATCACTCCCAAAGACAGGAGCAGCTCCTCAATTTGTGGTGTCCAGTGAAAATAAAAATGCATGCCCCTTGTTCAAAAATTAATAAACTCACTATGGCAACATCAAAGCATTAAAGCAAATTTGGGGCTGTTCTAAGTGTGGCTACACGGATGGCAGGCTCTTGAGGCTAGATGGCCTAGGAGATTTTATTGTGATAGAAGGCCTACAGAAGATGATGCCTAACCTAAAGAATGAGTTACTGAAGATGATTACATATTCTGTCTTCAAGCCAAAACTGACCTTTGATGTTCCAATTTGCTTACAATAGAGTGGAATACTAGAATGCAGTATAAAGTTCTATAAATCTGAGATTGTATGATTCAACTGACATCATTAAAATGATATTTATCCCAATACTATTGAAGACTAAAGTGCTTTAATATGAAAATAGGTGTATTCTAGGATATAGTTTGAACAGTGAAAATGAATAAGCTATAGCATACAAGGAAATCTTGGATTATATCAATTTTATGAACCCTGGAGGATACTGAGGAAATTCACACAAATGGGATGAGTGAGTCAAAGAAAAGGAAGCAACAATGTAAGACATAAATATATATGTGGTGATGTGTTAGATTCTTGGTTTTGCTAGTATTTCTATTATAAGAAATTGAGCATTGACCAAATGGTCAGTAGCTGACTTGTGGGCTAAGCATTTCTTTATGTTAAATATAAGGCATTTTAGGGTGACATTTTAAAACATTTTGAAAATTTCTGAGCTTTTTGTTTTTCATATAAAATCTTACATCGAATCTCAATTGTTACTCTGTTGTTTCTTTTTCCTCTCTCTTTAATTCTTCATCATTCAATTTGAGTGTTACTGTGTTTTAAGAGTCATATAATGATATTTTTTAAGTAGAGGCTGAGATACCACAAGGCATTTTTACCTGAGACAGAAAATCATTTTTCTTAAATGACAGAGCCACATTTCAACATATGTTTTTGATGACTTTTAAAATTGAAATACAAAATATTTCAGGGAAGTAAATCCTAATTTACAGAATTATTCATATTCTCAAAAGACAATGATCTGATTTTAGAAGACAGTTTAGGGCCAGGCATGGTGGCTCACACTGTAATCCCAGCAATCTGGGAGGCTGACTCAGGAGGATCCCTTTAGGCCAGAAGTTTGAGGCTGCAGTGAGCTATCATGGTACCACTTCACTTCAACCTGGTTGACAGACCAAGACTCTGTCTCAAAAAAGCAAGGCAAGGCAAGGCAAGGCAGGGCAGGGCAGGGCAAGGTAGGGCAGGGCAAGGTAAGGCAAGGCAAGGCAGATTGGAGAGGAGAGAAGAAGGGAGGGGAAAGGAGGGGAGGGGAGGGGAAAGGAGGGGAGGGGAGGGGAGAGGAGGGAAAGAAAAGGAAAGAAGAAAAGAGAGGCCTCATGTGTTTTGGAGTTTGAATTTGATTGATAAAAACTATGATATATGTGATTATAGGTTGTCTTACTTTCATCTTTAAACATGCAAATTGTTTCATTGGGAGTATTTTTTTTTTAATTTAAAATTAGTGTTTCCTTTAGATTTCTTTCCTGTGTTATTGCTACATATACACTCTGTGTTATATGGTGATAGTACAAATAGGCCTTGCCCTTAAGGAGCTTACAATCTAAATCATCAAGACAGATTACGTAGAAACTAGGCAATATATAGTGGTTGCATACTGTGCTTAAAGCTTGATCGGACTTCTGTAGAAATTGTGAATTTTTTGTTCATGTGGGTATAAGAAACTTTTACAGAGAAATGACATTTGAGTTAAAACTTGACAAAAGTAGCATTGCGCTAGTGACAGTGGAAGGAGGATATATTTGGCAGAGTATAGAGGATGAAGAAAGTCTCAAGAATATTAAAGTGATAATTATTGTTTTTACTGTAGGGCTGATATTCATTGATATGAATATAAGCAAATTATATTGGTTTATTACAACTTTATAGTTTTTTATTACTGAAGCTATATTTTATCTGGCTAGACTGCAGGTAAGTTAAAATTGTTATAAATGTTTCAATTAAAAAATTAAATATACTATATGCTATAATTAAATATACTATACGCTATAATTCAATTTTACAAAATAAAAAAACTTCACATACTTGCTGAAAAATGCATGTGAATTTTAGCCTAAAATTTTGATGAAAGTTAAATTCTTAATTATTGTCACTTGATTGTCACTCATTTGCAAAAATATAATCGTTATACAGCAGTAGACTTAATTTTCAAAGGCATTGTTGCAAAATATCTCATTGCTTCTTCCAGTATTATTCCATGGTAGAGTCCTTGGATGCTCATTAGCTTGCACTTATTTCTTTGCATGACTTGACAAACTTGTAGGTTTATAGTAAACTCAGAAGCATCTGCATCATGCCTCGAAAACCTAAACAGTGAAACTGCTGATCTGTGGAATTCCCATGATGAGACATCTGGTGGACAAATATAGCAGAAGACTCAATACAGATTTTGATGATCTTTTTTCTACCTTGTTAGAGTACATGGACATTTTATAGGCAGAAAGTGGATCCAAATTTTGAAGTTTAAACAAGAAGCTGAAGCATAGGCATAGGTGCCTAGTGGTGACCAATTGAGAAAATCTGTTCAAAATTTTAGTTTGCTGCCACCCATCTAGTTACTATAATTATTTTAGTTAACCAGTGTCTGTACAAGTATTCACATCTGCAAAATGAAAGTTGTTGATAACACAGGACTACAGTACACAAGAAAGAAGAATAGTTAACAAACAGGAGGGCAACAGAAAAAATGACTAAGTCCAATTAATTAGATTTGCTTCCTTGTCCTTTCTCCAATTAAGGAGGAATAGAAACTCATGAAATTCTGCTGATTAAAACTGAAGTTTTATAGAATGGCTATAGTAAGGAATAGGTTATTTTATGTAAGTAGAAGTCATAAGACTATCACATAAAATACCCTGACAGAGCTTTGATCAGAGGAAGCTACCCTGCAATCAAAAGTTATGTAATTAGCATCTGAGGTACTGAACAGAGAAATATTAATTTCTTTCCTTGAATCCAAAATTGTGAAGTAAAATCCATGACCTCTGAATTAATGATGGACATCAGAGACTGGCAAACATTTCGTAAAGGGCTGGATAGTAAATATTTTCAGCTTTTCAGGCCATATGGTTTCCATCACAACTATTCCACTCTGCTATGATAATGGGCAAGCTGCCATAGGCAATAAATAAATGGGCACAGCTGTGTTCCAATAATACTTTATTTACAAAAACAGGTGGTAGCCATATTTTGCCCACAGGCTGTAATGCATTGACCTCAAACCTACACTTTTGATATCCTATTAATTCAGAAATAAAATAATTACAAAGCTAAACCTCATGGGCTTACTAGCAAATTAAACTCACATGTAACCGTTACTTGTCTATACAAACATTAATACATTTTATAAGATTGAGGTAAAATCTTATTAACAGATATAATCTAGCATTTGCTTTAATAAACTATAGAAGTTATAGGGGAGCACACAGAATAATGTTATTGAATCTAGTCAGCAAGAGTTCCATAGAGCAGCAGGTAGCATCTGAGCTGGATTAAGAATAAGGCACTAGATCTTAGGAGGAAATGAATCTCATTAGATCTTATTAGCTCACATTCACACAATCAAGAATGACCAAAGTATTTATCAGGGAGGCAATATGATCTGATTTGTGCTTTGGGAGCCAATTCAGTTGGTGAATCTGCAGAGTTCAGAAAAGAGACAATTAGAGAAATGATGGTGGAGAAATAAAAGAGAATTTCAAAAGACATTCTTAAGGCTTAACAATCAATCTGACAATGACAGCTTTTCCTGTTTCCCAAACAGTGAGACTACCTTTGCATTGTGACAGAATAGTCAGTGAATCATTTGGAGATAATGTAACAGAGAGAGGCAAAACACTTTCATTAAGATAAAAATTGCCTGGGTGACAGAGTGAGATCTGTTGGAAAAAAAAAAAAAAAAAGAAAAGAAAAAAAAATTGGACAACGGGGACAAGCAATATTTTATGAATAGTGGCTAGATAAGAAAAAAAAGATACAGAAAGCTTAGCCTAGTTTTTCTTCTAGGGTTTTTATGGTTTTAGCTCTAACATGTAAGTCTTTAATCCATCTTGAATTAATTTTTGTATAAGGTGTAAGGAAGGGATCCAGTTTCAGCTTTCTACATATGGCTAGCCAGTTTTCCCAGCACCATTTATTAAATAGGGAATCCTTTCCCCATTGCTTGTTTTTGTCAGGTTTGTCAAAGATCAGATAGTTGTAGATATGTGGCATTATTTCTGAGGGCTCTGTTCTGTTCCATTGGTCTATATCTCTGTTTTGGTACCAGTACCATGCTGTTTTGGTTACTGTAGCCTTGTACATCATTCTCAGCAAACTATCGCAAGGACAAAAAACCAAACACCTCATGTTCTCACTCATAGGTGGGAATTGAACAATGAGAACACATGGACACAGGAAGGGAAACATCACACACCGGGGACTGTTGTGGGGTGGGGGGAGGGATAGCATTAGGAGATATACCTAATGCTAAATGATGAGTTAATGGGTGCAGCACACCAACATGGCACATGTACATATGTAACAAACCTGCACATTGTGCACATGTACCCTAAAACTTAAAGTATAATAATAATAATAATAAGAGCTTTGAGACTCACTCAGGAACAACATCTGAGAAGTCAGTTAACCTCTTTGCATGTTAGATTTCTTATCTCTCCACCACAGGTTTGGAATATTTACAAGGCAAAGTTTGAGGAAATAGAATGAATGAAAGGGAGCGTAAGAAAACATTCTGCAGATTGTGTGTGAAGGGTACCATTTATTCAGTTGGACAGATAGATAGGAATCAGATAAGGTGCTGGGTAGTACTCACAATCTCTCTCATAAAAGGGCAGTTAAGTCAATGACCAATGTTCTTAAGTCAATTTAAGAAAAAGCCTGATTGATATCAGGCAGACTAATGTAGTGCAGAGTCCAGGCCCAAATTTACCTCCTAGTAGCTTTATGACCTTGGTCTGACTGGGCCTCAAAACTTTTCATCTATAGAATTATGGGATCAGCTGGAGAACTGATTTCCAAATAGTGTTTTAATGGCAATTTGGAATATTTGCAAGTGCTACTGAACTGCAGAGAGAAGCGAAATAACCAGCAGAGAATTTTACTCATTTCTTCCCTTTTCAACTTCAATCAGAGTAAAATATGTTTCTCTTGTATACATAGGACTTCTGTGTAAGATTATATTTGGACAAAGGATTCTGATTCTCAGACATATATGTGTGTGTGTATATATATATGTGTGTGTGTGTGTGTATATATATATATATATATATATATATATATATATATATATATATATATATATACACATACACACTAGGAGTATTTGCTACTCATAGTTGAAAGCTGTTGGCTTAGATGAGTTCTTCCATTCCTTTTAAGTATGTTGTTTTGCTTCTATGATCCCAAACTGTTATGCCTCGGTCATTTAGAATACAGTAATGTCACATAAAGGATGTATGTTTGTGAGAAGGTTTGAGAGAACAAAATGGTTTGAGATTAGTTGTAGCTGAAGGGATGGTGAAACATCCTCATGTTTCTGGTGAGCAATTAGAAAATCAGTTCTGATGATCAGGAAAAGGTCAGAACTAAAACATAGACTTCACAAGTAATTGTATTAATTTGAAACAGATGGGCTCACCCAAGAAGAGAATAAGAAGCAAAGCTATTACTGTCCAAGGAGATGATAAAAAAAGAAGAAACTGTGAAGCAAATGAGAATGACTGATCAATGGAAATCAAGGAAAATAAGCTCTCTAATTTGAGTAGAAAAAAAGAATATCCATGCAGTGGAAAGCTTTTTGTATTTAGAGCATCTTCACAGCCTTCAGTACTTCTTCACCGGCATGAAAATAAATGTGAATGATTGTATTTGTCCCAGAAACCATAATATTGATGCATAAATTTTGATAATGGAAGTGAGCTCTTATTTTCATTTAAGTGAAAGGATTGAATATGGAAAGAGTGAGGGAGTGTGACAGAGACCGACAGAATGAGACAGAGGATTAAGAGGAAGAGAGGAAAGGAGAGGGGAAAATGGGAAGGTCAAGATAAGAGGTCATCAGAGTTTAAATAGAGTATTTTGGTATGAAGAACATCCATCCTCAGATTATGCGGCATCTTCTTAAACAAGCCACAGGTAGCATTATAGACACTCATAGAAGGTGACAATTATATGAATCCTCTTTTCAAGAAGACCATTTAAAGGAGTGAAAGGGATTATTTAAAACATCGTTAGTTGCAAGTTGTTTTGAGAAGCATAAGTTATATCAATATTTTACTAGTTATATTTTGAGGGACATAAATATAAAAATGGAGAGTATTCTATTATTTCCTGTAATTGTTCAGTAAACATTAAACATGTTTTTCTATTAGAATTTTTCACATAAAATTGAATCTGTATTACTATGGAAAGAACATTGGATTTATAATTTCCCTCCAATTATCAACTGAAAATACTCCAATATTTTCCCCAAATATCAGAACAAAGGTTTGACTTTACAACTTATTATTTAACAGTGCTTAATTAGCTTTTGTCTAATTACTGTCCCATGTGTTTGGGACTTTCTTCATTTGATAATATTAAATACTTTTTCAAATTCTCAGGTGATAGGAAAGCAAGAGCAGATCAAAGAGAAATGAGAGAGTATACCCAATATATACTTCCTGTGCCCTTCTTTCTTTTCTAATGCAAGCAATGGGAACATAGAAACTATTTGAATTTTAAACGACTGGATATAAAATTCTCCAATCCAATGAGGGCTGAAAATAATTTTTAGCTTCAAAATTTGCATTTAAAATGATAACAGTGAGTAATGATGTATTAGAGTTAAAGAAACACTTGTGACAGATATCTCCATTCGCTGATAAAGAATAAATGCTTCCACCAGATTTATAGTTAACAATGGAATGTACATTACAGCATATTATTTTAAGGCTATAATACCAAGACCAATCCTGAAGTTTTTTATTAGAGGAGAAGATAGAGGTATAGGAAATGGTATGTTCACTACTAATGTAGTTATGATCACACTTCAGATTTTTATGGTCACAGATGACACTACTAACCTACCATTCACAATTGGCAAAAAGAAAATTAAATAGCAGTATTTATGATGATTGGATCCACAGGCTAACAGTTTCATCACCATTTTCTTCTATGTGGTAGTGAAAGCTCTAGAACTCTAGACCTCTTAGCAACAGAGAGAACAGTTATTAAAGTGATTTAATTTGTATGTGGTGTGTTTAAGTTTCATTTTACAGTTGGAATGTCTTAAAGCTCTTTCTTTCAAGGGTTCCAAATAGCTAGAACTATGATTAGTGCAAAGAACTTCTCCCCTCAAATCTGCTTGCCAATAAATATCTTTTCAGTTTTAAAAGAACCTAATTTTCATAATCTTTTGATTATTTTTCATTCAACATTGTTAGATATCAGTGAGGTTTGGAAAAGGGATGAGAAAAATTTAGAAAAACTTGAATTTGGGTTTTGATGGTGCCTTTATGGAACATGTGGTGTGTTCTAAATATCTATTCTTAATTTAAAAAGAAAATAAAAGATTACTGGGACAGGTCTCCACATATTTGTTTCATAAAACAATTTTAAAAGATAACCTACATGTCTTAATTATTAGCACGGATTTAAAATACTGAGGGCTTATTGATGACCTAATGCCTTTCATTTTATAGAGAAGGAAATAGACCCCAGAAGCATATATACTGTGTTCACTTCCACCTGACTTGACCTTGAAATCTCAGATTTCAAATCCAGTATGAAAGCTTGCAGCATGCCTTAAAATCTTAGATTAAATGAATATTTCCCTTTATTATCTCAGGCATTTCAAATATTCAGTCATATCCCTTTGACAAAGGCCTTGCAAGAAATGGTCATTGTTGACAGGTGTTGCAATATTCTAGAAGTGATTCAGGTAACATTCTAGTTGGATCATGTGATGACTTATTCTGTTGATCATGGGGCACAAGATTATCAGAGCCATATTCCAAGGATGCCACTCCAAAAAGTGTTAGGATGTTAGAGTCTCCTTGCCAGTCCCATATCCCGCTCCCAAAAGTTGGGAGAGATCTTACTTATTCTCACCAATGCAAGTATCTTTAATAGTATTTATTTCACCATGGAAGACCATATTCAACATCATGCTACATTAAAATTTCTTTAGTTCAGATCAAGATGATACTTGCCTTCTCCTAGCTGCCTGAAAACAGTGGACCCATGGTTTGGGTTTCTAAATTGCTATCTAACTGCAACTGGAGTGGATACACATGAGTAGCATTATATTAACAGCATCACTAGTATATACAATAAAATTTACAGCACACAAATGAAGGTCACATTGTTTATGGTGAATTATTTTTTCAACTCTTATTTCAGTGTATAACAGAAACACAGAAAAATGCATAAATTGTAAGCATGCAGTTTTGTGAACACCCATGTCAACACCAAATTTAAGATACAAAGTGTTGCCATATGCTGAAGTATTTCAAAGTAAGTTACAAGTAGACAGAAAATCTAAGGTGTTTGGAATGCTTCTTACATTCTCATTGCTAGGTTAAACACTTTACAGTTGGTATTTCACTGACGCCTCAGGACACCATTTAAGCAGATTTTGTGATTATATTCATTTTACGTATGAGAAGCTTAAGCTGTAGAAAGCGTAGGCCTGACTTTTATTGACACCACAGTTACTAAGTAGTGACATACAGTGTTGAACATAGGTGAATTCTGGCTGAAGAACCTTGGTTCTTTACACAGAACACACAGTCTTTCAGTGGAATGGGCTCAAGTAATGAGATTTTAGGCTCCAGAGATACACTCTGAGAAATGTATTTTTGATGAGGGAATCCATTTTAGAAACCTCAAATCACATTGTATCTGCCTTCTGACCTATTTGACTAAGGAATTGGAGCCTGGCAAGTCCTGTTGGGTGAAATTTAGCCCAAGAGGATGCTGAGGATCAGGGCCAAAAGCTTTAGAAAAGGTTGCAGAGCAATGATTTGCAGGGGAGGGAAAGAGTTGAGAACAGTGGAATCCTCTCCAAGTATATGATGGGTAAAGAAATCAGAATTTCCCAAATTTTATAGGTGTTCTGTCAGCAATAATGACTAGACCAAAAATATGTGAAAAGAGAAGACTGCCACTGCACTTTTGAAAACATTCTATGCAGAATATGAAAGGAAATACAGTCAGCCCTCTATATATAGGGTTTCTACATCCATGAATTCAATCAATCTTGAACTGTGCTCACTGTGTGACAGGATCATTCCTACCCCAGAGATCAGCATCATGGAATATACTCATGTAACAAAACTGCATATGTACCCCTTGAGTCTAAAATAAAAGTCGAAATTATAAAAAAATATTCAGAAGAAAAAACAATTAAAAATACAACAATAAAAATTATACAAATAAAAACTAATATAGTACTACTATTAAATAGCATTTACATTGTATTAGATATTATAACTAATCTAGAGATTTTTTAACATGTGTGGGAAGATGAGATAGGTTATATGCAAATACTATGCCATTTTATATAAGGGACTTGAAAACCTACAGATTTTGGTATCTGATGTGGTCTGGAACCAATACCTTCCCCCACCTCCATCTCCATGTCCTGTGAATATCAAGGAAGAATTGTATCTGTATGCTGGTAATTTAAGTATGTGAAGTAGAAATAATAAAATGACAAGCAGTTTAAATGTCGATGTCTAAAATGCATTTGGCATGAATGACAGTCCACTGTAAATGAAACGTAAGTAGTCCACTTTTACCATGGCTTTCTAAATAATACTTGTAAACAAAATAGATATAGTTGACATTTAAACAGAAATGTCCTTTCTTGGGAATAAAATGCAATGTAAAACCATATTTAAAAAATTGTATTAAACTCTTCACACGTATTAGTCCAGAATGAGTTATCTATCATTCCAATCAATCACATTATATAAGTTTTTATGTGGTTTTAAAATTAGGTCCATATGTTTATTGTAAACTTCTGTATACTTCTACAGACTAGCAGAATGGTTTGTAGAATGCAATCATGCTTCAGTAGAATATTTGTTAATAAGGCCTTCATGCAGCTATAAGAAGACACTCCTTTTTTAATTAGTTATCTATTAACGGATCTGTTAATTAAACCTCATTTGCTCTAAAGAACATGTGACCCTGATCTGTTGATGGAACATTGTGTTCACTGGTTGTTTCATTTTGCTCTTGACAAAAGATGAGAGAGCCAGCTTCGTTTTATGTCAAAATGTTTATTAAGGTGGCAGTAGTGTCTATTTCTACAGGATAAGGCATATTCAGTGGTATACAATCAGTGGTGTAATTAGGGAATTTGTAAAACAGGCATTGTCCAGGGTGATCATTTATAAGAGAGCTAACAATGTCACATGGGTTCTACAAGGAGACAAATGGCCTTTTTATTGCAGAAGTAATAAAATTTTGATTTTTTCTGGCCATTCTGCGTTGAGGATTTTACCACTGTGAGCAACAGTTGCTCCAGAAGGTAAAATAAATTGTGAATTACTTTAAAGCATCTTTCTTTTTCAATGCTTTTATAAAATGCCTTTGATGTATAATTTATGGCTTATCTTCCTTTTAATTTAGAATTCCTTTATCCACCAGAAAGCAATAACATAATTAACATGATCAGACAGTTCCTTATAACTTACTAGTCCCTGGTTTTCATGGCAACACCCTGACCTTTGTAAAAATGGACAGCACTGACATTTTGTTATCCTTGTAAGGGAGGAGTAGATGTATATAGGGATGTCCAAAACTCGTTATTTCATAGAAATAGAATGAGAGCTGAGATATCTGTATTATGTGCCATTTTGTTATAGTAACCAAACATATAGATCAAATTATTATGTCTAATGGGAGACAAATGCAATCTTCTTTCCTTGGATGGCTTTGGGGGAATGCCTCTGACTATTCAGATTAGAAAAGGTTTATTCCTGTCTTTTCTAAAATGTCATTTTCTTCAAATAGTATCCTCATGTAAAATGCATATGTGTCTCCTGGACAACAGACAACAGCAATAAAATTTATTTATATAGGTATAAATATATTTATATATTTGAATTATATAAACCTTTGTTTGACCGTGTAAGTACCTATCCTCAGTACTCGAGACATCATAAGTATGAATAAAACAAAATCTATATAGAAATGTATGCATAATAATAAAGTATGGTTATTGATACACAACGTACAGTGATAAGAAAACATAGTAATAACTAACATATTAATATATGGAGTGTTTACTATATGCCATACCTTGGCTTAAGAGGTTATGAGTGTTAAAAAATGTGAAGTAGGTACGATTATGCTCACTTTACGTAAACTGAAAGGTGCAGACTTGCCTACTTTCCCAAGTATACCCAGCTAGTAGGTGATAGAGCTAGGAACTGAATCTAGGCAGCCAGACATAAGCCTTGCTCTTTACAAATATATTACAAAATTCAAAGTGTTTAGAGGACACTTTCATGAGCATTGTGCCATTTTTTCATTACTCATTAAATTCTTATTTTCATCAGCTTAATTTGCAGATAAGAAAACTAAAATTAAGAAATCCCTTTGCCAAGGTTACACAGCTAGTATGTGGATTACAACCTGAGCCCAGGTCAAATTTCTAATCTTGTAAATTTACAAGTCTTCCAAACTCTCCATGGTTATTAAAAAAATCCTTTAATTTGGAAATAATAATTAGCAACCATCAGCTACAAGAAGCCTTACTTCTTGTGAAGTGTAGGTCTTGTGAAATATAAATATATGTTTTCACAATATATAGTGTAATTCTTGAAGATAATGAATAGCCAAATTTATCAGTCTTGCCCCTAGTCCTAGGCATATTTGTCTATTGAAGGGAATCAAAAATGTATATTAAAATAAATTGGTATTATCTCTAACATTGGGTACAAATTGTAACATATGTGGCTCTGCTTTTGTTACTCCCAGAGTAGTTGCTATTAATTTAAAGGATAACGCATTTGTGTAAATGTATATAAGTGTATTTGGATAAATCATGGCACCATTTCTAAGAGCAAGTAGGCAAGGATGCAAATATATTATGGAATATAAGAACTGTAGGAATTTGGGAATCGTAGTTGGCTTTTTAGCTATAGGATCCTCCTGCCTATTATTAGTAGTTTGTATAATAAACTGTTTGGAGTGCAGTATTCAACTTTTAAGGTTAAAATTCTTTATCAACTGCTTATACATAAATACAGTTTTCCAGATTTACTCTGCATTATTTTATTTATATTTATTTATTTATTTATTTATTTTTATTATACTTTAAGTTCTAGGGTACATGTGCACAACATGCAGGTTTGTTACATATGTACACATGTGCCATGTTGGTGTGCTGCACCCATTAACTCATCATTTACATTAGGTATATCCCTGATGTTTTCCCTCCCCTCTCCCCCAACCCCATGACAGGCCCTGGTATGTGATGTTCCCCTACCTGTGTCCAAGTATTGTCATTGTTTAATTCCCACCTATGAGTGAGAACAACTCTGCATTATTTTAAAAAATAACAAACATGAACTAAAACTTGATTAAGAAAGTTAATTTGAGGAATTGGTTTCTAGTTCTCAGAAATGGTTATAGGTTGACTAGTTCTTCATCGAATGACCTAGCCATTTCTTAGTAAATGAATATCTCAGCCCTTTACTTGATGTTTTGCATCTTATCATACCCCCTTTCTTTTATTTACTTTATTATTATTATTATCATACTTTAAGTTTTAGGGTACATGTGCACAATGTGCAGGTTTGTTACATATGTATACATGTGCCATGTTGGTGTGCTGCACCCATTAACTCGTCATTTAGCATTAGGTATATCACCTAATGCTATCCCTCCCCCCTCCCCACACCCCACAACAGTCCCCGGTGTGTGATGTTCCCCCTTTTTTTTTGAGACCGAGTCTCACCCTGTTGCCCAGGCTGGAGTGCAGTGGCACAATCTCGGCTCATTGCAACATCTGCCTCCCAGGTTCAAATGATTCTCCTGCCTCAGCCTCCCAAGTAGCTGTGATTACAGGCGCCCGCCACCACGCCCGGCTAATTTTTGTATTTTTAGTAGAGACAAGGTTACTGCATGTTGGCCAGGCTGGTCTCAAACTCCTGACCTCAGGTGATCCACCCACCTTGGCCTTCCAAAGTGCTGGAATTACAGGCGTGAATCACTGCGCCTGCCCCCCCTTTCTTGTTATAGCAAATCCAGTGTTTCTTTTGTAGAGTCCCTATTCCCTCCAACATTCTCAATCTAATACATATTTGTTGCTTACTACAATTTTGACATAATTCTTTAACAAGCTGAAATATCTTGCTCCTGTTTACTTAGTTGTTTCAGAAAAAAAAAGTTTTCCACATGTGAGACTTTATATACTTAATTAGTGTTTATTATTTATTTATGTATTTTAGTATGTGAGAAACATACAAGTCATGGAGGTTAAAAAAAGAAAGAACTATTTGCTTTTATTTTTTTTCCAAAGAGTTTAGGACATTCTCTTAAGAGATTTATTTTAATTATTCTAAAAAATATTTTATTATATGCTCAAGTTAGAAAACCAAATTATATGAAAATCATAACAATTCAAGATACTTGAAATCTTAGCCAAATCGTACCTTAGCAACCTTAGCTGAAGTCCCATTCACTTATCTGTTCATGAGGCAGCAAGAATAGAACCTGTGTTTATTTGCAACTGGTCTTGTAGCTTGAGTAGCAGGGAAAATATGAATGCCATGCAGAGAATGATTTTCTATTTTGTTCTTTCATCTTACACTTTGTATTCTATTGAATCCCTCAGAGACTATTCTTATGCCATAGCAACACCTGCTGGGTGAGGGAAGTTGGAACAGCCACAACTGTTGCCTGCCAAACCTGTTTTCCTGATTGAATGGCACTGCATGCTCCCCATCTCCAATACCAAACCTTTTAGAGTTGCTACCCTCCAGGAACCTATTTCTCCCCATATGTTTCAAGTAATGAACAATGCCGTTCTAATAAGATTTCCCCATTTCTTTCAAAAATAGTCATTATGTATGTGTGTGTATGCGTGGACATTTCCCCTTAGAACTTCCAAATGCACATGCTGTGGTATTTTAACCTCATGTTTGTTTTTAATGTGGGCTTTCTTCCTGTTCAATTGCTAGATTTGTAAACATTGTCAATCCTGTTTAGTTAGCATTTTCTGATTTACTATGTGTGAGGTACTTAAAAGTGTGTGTCAGTGTGAAAAAAGGCAGTTTTTATTTACAGAGTGTGATAAGAGATGTATTATGCTTATTCATATTATGGACAAAAACGGTAGGCATACTATCTGGTGTGAAGACATATTTATAAATGCTTGTTTCACATAGGAAACATTTACACACAGGACTGCAAGTAATACAAGTCTTAGAATATAGATCCACATGGACATTCTATCATAGGGCCAACTAGCCTTTCCTTTACTGCTGATTGAGGAAAGTCATGGAGTGGACAAATTACTCAATATTACCAAGTGCTTCCAATATTTTAGTGTATTATTTCTACCTCCTTGCATCATTACTGTATCCAAATCAAAGTCTAGTAGATGTACTAACATTATAAAAATCTATTGTTTTTTGGTGGATGTTTAAAATTAAAAAATAAAAGAGTTCATATATGAAAAATGATCTTGAAATTTATATGCTTTATAATTAAGCCTTGGATAATCAAGAGCTGATTATTAATCAATGGTTTTCTTACTTTGGTTGCTTAGTAACCTTGATTTGTGCTCTATCAATCAATCAAGAACTTATTAAGCACCTTGAAAAAAAAAAACCTTTAAAATGTTACATGATGTGGGAGCTACTGAAGAAATAGAAAAACCCTGATGCTTACATCAGGACATTTTCGTTACATATGTAAGTGCACATTTCGTCATGACATGTACAGAATAAATTGGGCATGCTCTAATTCAGAGACATGGAAGATGAATAAAAGATGCAGAAATCAGAAAAGAGTAAATAGAACAAGAAACTTAAATTGGACCTTAAAGAATGTAACAATCATTGGTTGGGAGGTCAAACTCATTCCTGAAGAGAAGAAAGGAAGGAAGGTGAGGCAATGGGAATAAGTCAAGTATGTTAAGCAGTTGAAAAGACCAGCCTCAATTGAATAGAGAGCTTTCCACAGAAACACTGTGGCTTATTAAGGTTTGACAAATAAGATGGAAAACAAGCAGTGGGATTTAGACCTTCTGTTCTGGTAAATGGGAAACTACTGTAGATATTGAAATAATATAGTGACATGATTTTTAAGAAATAGTAATTGAGAAATGGTAAATAATATTTTTTAGATGAAGAAGAGACATTAGTCAATCAGATCTTAGTAATTCATTTAAAAGGGGAAGGACAACCCAGAAGGACATGTAACAATATAATATTATTATATCAACCTATGGCTCAGGGAAGTTCTGCATATTTTCAAACCACCACCACACACAAAAAAATTTAGGTGCTGCATATTATATAACTCAACATGTTAACTTCATATTTTTATATACTAAGAATTGTTTCTAGTAAGTATCCAATAGCAACCTTTATTCCTTTAATAAGAAATGAGCTGTAGTTTAGCCACCTTCCATCAAACCGTGTGTTGCCTATCATGATCTCTAAAAGGAAGCAAATATCAGCAGGTCCATTAATAAATGAGGAATGTCTAGCATGTTGGATTTTTTTTGTCATCCTGAACATCTCTCAAGCACACATTACTGTATTTTAAAAATTGACACGCGGTTATAATCATACTGGAAATGGGTCAAGCATATTAGTTTAAAAGGTATTATTCAGACTTGGAATGGAATTATTTTTGAATAGAATGAAATTCTCAAATTTGCCTTGTATCATTATATGAATATTTTCCAGTGGCCACTGACAATTGGTGTTCTTATAAATTTTGTATTTTAAGGCAATTCTTCTAAATCTTAGTGGTGTGTTCACATCATCTGTGAGGTATATGATAATTATAATATTTCAAATATTAATGTATGGAGGTTTTAAAATACAGATTAGAGTCATGACATTATTCTCACTTACACTGAATGTACTTTCTTGAATGAAAGAGAAATGAGTGGAGTTACAACAAGCATACTGACAATTTCACTTAACCAGAGGCTTATCTTACTTATCCTGTTGTGAGCTATCATTAGTGATGTGCCATTGACAGTTGTTGCAAACGCAAATTATTTAGTTCTTTGCTTCTATGTAAAACTACTTTGTGACTTCTCAAAACTTCAAAATCCGAGTATATCCATGTGCATGTCTCATGCTTATGAAGCCAATCTGTAAATGTGCTAGCAAAGAAGAGATGGAGGACTGCTGACACAAACACTGAAACAGCACTCAAGTGTGATAGAATATCTTTCCTTTAAAACTGTGCTCTGAAATGAAGATGTTGCTTACCTTGGAGTCTCAATCAGATCACCAAAGATGAAACTCATCAAATCTACAGCAATTTTTTTAACCCATCTCTTGTTTTGAAGACACGCACCTGCATGCGTGTGCATACACACACACACACACACAAAAAAAAAAAAAAAACATAGATTTGGTTCATTTGGATTATTTGCATCTACAAATTTACTACTTACTTTAGTCCTACTTTTTTACATTTGTTTATATCTGGTCAGGATGAGAATTATTGAATTCTGTTCTCTAAGGGTAACTTTCATAAACATAGTATCTCTGAAGTTTTATTTATTTATATGTTAAATATAGACTATACATTCTACTCGAGAACATACATATCTTTTATAAAGTACTTCCCTCCAAAATTCAGGTGTAATTGAATTAGTGCCATGCTTATTTTAAGATTCTTGGAAATATGAGTCTGATTGTCTTTTGGAAGAAAATTATATTATTTATTACTGAGCTTCTTATGATTCTTATATTGAAAGAAATATAGCTTTTGTTTCAATATCTACTATTAAAGTGCACTACAGTCATATTTTTAAACCAATAATTCCATTAAAAGCACATTCAGATGTCTTTGTTTCAGACAGCATGATATTTTTCCACATAGTTCAAATGAACTAAACTTCTGCATTCTTTTAAGCCATTTTCTAAGTAAAGAATAAAGATAAAATTTTCTCAGCTGCCTTCCCAATGAAGAAATGAAAATATTTTCTTTTTCTATATTTGCTTCATTTTACAGTCTGTGATCAGTGGAAAAGTTGACAGAAAAGCAATGTGTTCAAATCATTTGTCTATTTATTTACGTTTGGAATGAGAAACTTTGGTGTCATATCATGTTTTTCCAGTTTCTCTGATTATAACATCTCCTGCAGTAGTATTTCAGGCAAAAAAATATCAAGGGCTGTGTATAGACTATATACACATATATACTGTAACATATATACTATATGTTAGAGAATGTATCTGCATTTTTATTAGGAGTGACTTTTTCTAGCAAGTACATTGCATAAATGGGGATCTTACATGGTATAGACATTTCAAATATTTATGCTAAATTTGATACGTTTTCATTATGAGACAATTTTTTTAAATAATTTGATTTAAGACCTAAAAACCAAATGATAAAATTAAATTTCATGTCTTCAAATTGCCTCTTTCCTCTGTTTTTTTAAAAAATAATTCATAACTTATCTATTCAAATATTTAAATGAAAGAAAAAAGAGAACTGGAAGAGTCTTTTCTTGACTTCCTTAACTTTTTCACACACCCACACATCTCAAGATCTGCATCAGAAGTATATTCTAACAATATATTTTGCATAAGATTATGCTACTTGTAGGAGCTACTAATTGTAGAATTACTATATTTCATTATTATTTATCACATTTGTTCCAAAATATACATGATTCATATTGATTATGTTTATCTCTATTATCTATTATTTTGATAGCTTTTTATTTTCCTATGTTCCTACCATCTTCTTCTGCTCTGCCTTTCTTTCTTTCTCAATTGTTTCACAACTTTCTTATCTGTGCCAAACAGGAAAGCAAGACACTAGACTTTAGAGACAGATTAAGGCTCTGTGCCCTTAAGGAGCTGCCTGGTCAGGGATATAAACATAGAAGAAAATACAGGACAAAGTCACAAGGACAGGTTAAATGGGTAAAACATACAACGTAGTGTGTAGTCAGGAAGAGTAAGTAACCAGGTCAGCCTGGATTTACAAAGGGAATAACATTTGAACTGAGTTTCAACACATGGGGCAGACAGAGGGTGCTAGAAGACAGCAAGAGCCAGACACTCTGACCATGGAAAAGAACTGCTCATTCAAGGGCTCAGAGGTTAACTAGTTGGTGAAACTTCAGTAAAGGAGTGTTAACAGGAGTTAGTGATTTTGGAAGAGCATTTCTCAGTCTATGTTTTCAGAACATCATTTCCAGAGTGATACATTTGTGTTATAAAATGTGAAGTTTTCATTGAATGAGTTTTGGGAAATAGATTGAATTAACATTTTAAAAATTTCTGGGCTTCTTGGGCCCTGTAATATGTTATTATGCACTATATATATTGTTTAATCAGTAAAAAAAAGAGGGAAATAAAGAAAATAAAATTTATCAGTAATCCCACACTCTAGAGAGAACCGCTGTTAGTGTTCTGGTATAGTTCTTTCTAGGATTTCTTTTCCTCTAGACTTTTCCCCATGTAAGTCTCCTCTTCCCTGAATTAGTGCCCAATTACCTTGCTATTTAATGTATATATTAGGTGTAAAATTTTGTACTGTGTTTCTCTATGTGAGAGATGGTATGCTAGATGGTAACAATGTAAAGACAGAGCATGTATAGCCTACCCTTCAAGAAGCTCCCTGTTAACATTCATTGAAAATTTTTTTAAAATAAATTTTATTGTATATATTTGAGGATTACAACATGATATTATGGGATACATATGGATAGTAAGATGGTTGCTATAGTGAAGCAAGTTAACATATTCCTTATCTTGCATAGTTACTTGTGTGTGTGTGTGTGAGAGAGAGCCAAGAGAGCTAATATGTAGTTATTTAATATATAAAAATTAGATACAACTGTTTATACTGAACAGTAACATGTTTTACACACTGAATAATAGTCATTATAGCTATTTATACTACTTGCTAACATGCTTTTCCCACTTAATATAAATGTCTTATCAATAAATATAGGTCTATTACATCATCATTTAAAAAGACTGTGTCATATTCTATTGTTCAACTGTTTTATGATTTATTTAACAACTCCATTAAGCTGTTTTCAGGTTGTTGTTTTTTAAATTAAACCAGTGTTGTGACAAGCACTCTCATTGAGGTTTGTAGTCTTCATACTGACATGAACAAAACTGTTTATGATGATAAAGCTTAGGGCAGCAGGAAGCCTGGAAGAATGAGGCTAGTGACAGAGAGACCACTTAGGATGCTGTCACAAGAAGATAAAATGATGACTTCTACTGAGAAAACTGCCTATGGCCATGAAAAGAAACAGGCAGATATGAGACATAGTTTTAAATAAAGAAATAACAAGATTTGATGGCTGTTTTGAAGTGGTGGACAAGAGGAAATGGTGAAACAAATAATACTGTATGGTTTTCAATTAATAGATGGAATCTGTTGAAATTAACTATTAACCAAGTCAAGAAATAAAATGGTGCTTAGGCTTGAAAGACTTTTGGAATATAAAGATAGGCTGCAATTATGAGCCATTGGAATAAAGTTATAATTTGTTATTATCAACACGTAAAACAGAAGTCTATGAGAACAAATGAGATCTCTCAACAGAAAAAATTATAAGAACAATTAAGAGAGTTGAGTAATTCTTAGAGATAGAAAATTTAGTGGGGACAGAAAGATAGAAAAACATATAACAGGTTTGAGAAATTATACAGTCTTTTTGGCCAGGAGAGTTGTAGGGAAAGGTTAACCCTGACTTCTAGATTTAAAATCTATTTTTTTTTTTTTTTGAGATGGAGTCTCACTCCGTTGCCCAGGCTGGAGTGCAGTGGTATGATCTTGGCTCACTGCAGCCTCCACCTCCTGAGTTCAAACAATTCTCCTGCCTGAGCCCCTAAGCCTCCAGAGTAGCTAGGACTCCAGGCGCCCACTGCCACGCCCGACTAATTTTTTTTTTTTGTATTTTTAGTAGAGATGGGGTTTACCGTGTTGACCAGGATGGTCTTGATCTCCTGACTTTGTGATCTGCCCTCCTCGGCCGCCCAAAGTACTGGAATTATAGGCATGAGCCACCGCATCTAGCCTAGGAAGAGACAGATATTAAATAATCTTTTAGCTAGATTTTGCTATTTTGTAAAACCTGGGCTAATTTATCTAAAAATCAATTTTTATGTTATTGAGATTAAAATTGAGGTTTATATTTCTGTAACTTTAATTCAGCAGGGAGGAAAGTTTATCTAAATACATGAAAAACATAAACAAATTTTAAAAGGGATATTTGAAATATTTAGCATGATAACATTTAAAAAAATTATAGTCAATAATCTATTGTGATTTGAACGGTCTAATGTAATAAGTTGTTTAAATATCCATTTTATTAAGTTAGGAAATAAATACTATCTTTTGACACCACTTCTCTTTTTAACTTTTTACTATTCATTCTTGTAATCAGAACATCAATAACGTTGAGGCTAATAAAGTACAAATTCTTAGTTTCAAAAATGGTAAGGCTGAGCACGGTGGCTCACGCTTGTAATCTCAGCACTTTGGGAGGCCGAGGAGGGTAGATCACCTAAGATCGGGAGTTTGAGACCAGCCTGGTCAACATGGTGAAACCCTGACTCTACTAAAAATATGAAAAAATTAGCTGGGTGTGGTGGTGCACACCTGTAATCCCAGCTACTCAGGAGGCTGAGGCAGAACAATCACTTGAACCCGGGAGGCAGAGGTTGCACTGAGCAGAGATTGCACCACTGCACCCCAGCCTGGGCAACAGAGCGAGACTCCATCTCAAAACAACAACATCAACAAAAGGTAAAATTAATACAGACGGTGTTTTGGTTGGCCAAGGTCAGGTAGCTTGTTTTTGGAACAGATATGGATTGTATATTTCAAGTAATAACCCTCCATTAGTCTTTAAAGTTATACATTTTTTATTTATTTTACACAGATTTATCTAAATTTGGATATTTATTTTGAGGTTGGTATATCTTATAAGCAGTTTTGACATGTGAAACATATTCAGATATAGATGATTGAGGTATTTATTTAAGAAATATAGATGTTGGCCTTATCCACTGTGATAGCAATAATAAATGACTAAAGAAATCAATAAGAGGATAAAAGAAAGAAAAGATAATTTGCAAAATACTTACTGTATACTCCCTCACATTCATCTCTACTCTTTCATATTTGAAACAGTGACCAAGTGACAGGCAGGGATTTTGTCCAATTTGTCATGAGCAGGAAGAGAGGAGTCTATTGCTAACGCTCAAAAGTTATTAATTCCAGATACCATTGTTTATTGAACCTGCTTCAGTATTCATATCTTTACATTAGCTACCTGCTATAAGTTAGTTTTTGTTTGTATTCTGTTCAAATTGAAGTATTTATTATCTGTTATTCTCAATGTTCTTAATTGTTTATTTTAATATTAAATATTTGGTCCTTAAGATTATCAAGGGGGTTTAAATGAAAGCATAAAATCCTTAATTGTGCCTGTCACATAGTAGGGGGATAATAAATGTTAAATGCTGAGGTTATTCTGCACCCTTTCCCATGGAGGGTGAATAAGTGTCACAGTTCCATTCCAATCCCATTGTCTGAGCATGCTGCTTAGATTTTAATTACATCATTCACTTCAAAAAGAACAAATACTTTGCCAAAATTATTTAATTGTTTATGTATACCAGAACAAATTACCCATTTGGGTTTATAAAATGGAGCCGTTTTAAACATATATTTTGTTAATGTCAATTTCTAGGATGTATATATCTACTTCAAAATGGTGGTGGTGAATAGTTCATATTGTTTAAATTCTAAGACGTTATGCATTATGTAATTAGTGTTTTAAACAATAAGTGAAGGAATTAAATGAAAAAGTGAATTGAAGATATTTGAATAGGAAGATAATTGTCATATCACTTTGAACTTGAATTTATTTGTCTCTATAATGAGGAAAACAACATTTCAAAATTAGTTGAAAAATAATTTTAAACATAATTATGTTTGGTTTTGTACCTGGGCAGTGGGCCATAATCAAACTAGAAGGAAGAGTAAAACCTTTCACTTTTCATTCATGTGCAGTACTACTTCCAAAGGGAACATATAACATTTATCGGAAGGATAGAATTATTCATGTTTCTGGTTATTCGTATTTATAGCATTCTATTTAGCTTGTGCTTTTTTGATAGATGTTCTACTGCACAAATGCATTTGAATTCATATACAATTGTGTAGGAAATAAGAATCTTCCAGTGGAACTAGTGATGTTTGTAAGAAAGATCGTTGTATAGTATTTCCCTCATATCACTTAATGGTTTTCACTAAATTCTAACATAAATATATTTCAGCACAATAAAGTAAGTTACAGTAAAATCAATCTAACTTCTCATAAATATTCTCTGTAAATCAGAAATTAACTTTACTCGAGAAAAATTATAATTCTTTTTTTTTTTTTTTTTTTTTTTGGAGACAGAGTCTGGCTCTGTCGCCCAGGCTGGAGTGCAGTGGTGCAATCTCAACTCACTGCAAGCTCCGCCTCCCGGGTTCACACCATTCTCCTGCCTCAGCCACCCCAGCAGCTGGGACTACAGGCGCCCTCCACCATGCTGGGCTAATTTTTTTGTATTTTTAGTAGAGACGGGGTTTCACCGTGTTAGCCAGGATGGTCTCGATCTCCTGACCTCGTGATCCTCCTGCCTCATTATCCCAAAGTGCTGGGATTACAGGCGTGAGCCACCGCGCAAGACCAAAATTATAATTTTTATATTCGTTGAAATATATTTTGAAGATTTAATTAAAATTAATTTTGTAGAAATATTGGCAATATTATGGCAAACTATTTACAATGACATCAAAATATTATGAAGTGAAATAATAATAAATTCAAATATCACAAAAAATTAAAAGTCCAAAAATGGAGAATAGAATGGATTTTCAAATTGCTTGATTTCACTCCCACTAGGCAAAAAACAAATCCTAAATCTTAGCAATTTGGCAAGTTTTAAACTAGTCAAAACTTTTGATTTTAGATCAGAGGTTTCTCTTTTTCCCTTTCTGACTACTTGCACTTATTGTGACTACTGAGTCTACACAGCTGAATGCTACTCTTCTATGAAATGCAAATGTTAAAGCCCCAGTTAATGGCTAATTATTACAGGTCATTGAGAAGATTATTCTTATATTAACCATTTTTCAATTGAATGCCTTATTTATTTTGCTAATGTTTGAAGTCCTCATTTTAAAATATACAGTGAAAACAATTAAGAATGATTTTCAGTGAGAGTATATTCCATTTATTCCCAAGGTTTTTGATCATCCGAATTGTCACATTTCTTCAGCCAGCAGAAATTGTTTCCTTATGATTTTCTGTATCTGAATATGCTTTACCAGTTTATACTAACCTTGAAAAATTTTCTTTTTCCCATTTCAAGTTCCACCCAATCTGACTGTTCCACAGGAAAAATCACCATTGGTCACCAGAGAAGGAGACACAATAGAACTGCAATGTCAAGTAACTGGCAAACCTAAACCAATCATCCTTTGGTCTAGAGCGGATAAAGAAGTTGCAATGCCTGATGGATCAATGCAAATGGAGAGTTATGATGGAACACTGAGGATTGTGAATGTATCTAGGGAAATGTCAGGAATGTACAGATGTCAGACCAGCCAATACAATGGATTTAACGTGAAACCAAGGGAAGCCTTGGTGCAGCTCATCGTTCAGTGTAAGTAAATTCCCTTTTATGCATTTCCATATGGGGACAAGGGAAGAAGTGTTACCATTATTCTACTATTAATATGAGGTGATTTTTGTAACTAGATTGAATGAACTATTTCTACATTTCTACATTGGATTGAATGAACTATTTCTACATTCTACATTAATGATACACAATTTAAACTATAATCTACCCTAAATGTGCTTTTTGCATGAGCTTATACACACTAATAGAAAGAGTTGTTTTAGTGTGTGTGTGTGTGTGTGTGTGTGTGTGTGTGTGTGTGTATGATAATTATGATGGTGTTATCTGGTTGATGGTGAGAAACTGTCCATGTGCAATAAGCAAAGTGGAGACTGGAAGTAATTGCTAATTCAGGTTGTAATACATGTTTGTTTTCACAGTCCATGTTTTTACTTCAGGCAATTGCATGTCCTTTTCCCAAATTATCTACCTATTTCAAGCATCTCTTTGCTTAAATTATGGAGATCTAATCATTGAAATGTTATATTTGCATACCTGAAGTTGTAACAGTGAATTACGTAATTATCTAGTAATATAGTGATAATTCAGGAAAGTCTTAGGTGCTGAATTTTTGCCTGATTTAATCTTAGCGGGTAATTGTTTTACTCTGAGAATTGAATAAGATACATTTTAAACTATTTTTATATTTTTACTGAAATCACGGTTATAGTTCTAATTAAAAATGTAGATATTATGGACTTTACATTTGATTTTATCATTAAAAATACCTAAATCCACACACTTAATGGTCAATAAAATGTACCAGTGTTACTATTGTTTGGTTTTTACAGAATGCCCTGGTAACTGGGCTGCCCAATGGTAAAGACACTGCTGAAAAAGAAGAAAACTAAACACAATCTACTCAACCTCTGATAGTGCTACTGCAAATTTTAATTGACATACTATTTGTTAAATATACAATATCAAGTTTTCATTAAACAGATGAATTAGGTGAAACCATGCACTTCAATAAACGATGTCATTTTTGTCTGACTCTTTTGTAACTCAGGAAATTGAAAATAGAATTTAGTCCAAGAATGTCTATTTTTATATTAGACTTAAAGTTGTTGGCAGAATGAATGAACTATTTCATATTTGAGAGAATAATTAAAGTATGAGACAAATGTATTTATGCATGAGATATGTGAGTGTGGGGTGAGAGACAAGGTTCTGGGTGCTGCTTAACCATTCCCTGCCCCTCTTCTATAGAACCTCAGATTCCAGATATGCTATTTGTCTTATAAACACGCAAACTGATATTTGCAAACAAATGCCAAATAACCTGGCTGATTTCTAATCGATTATGAGTTTTTTCTCCAAATAAGGCAGGTTTTAGATGTCAGGTTTCATTCAGCAGTTTAATATTGCCTTTTTCTCACTGGCCTCTATACTCATGACAGTCTGTTCATGGGTATGAGGATCATGTGAAAACAGGTTTCAGAAAAAAAGAAAAGAAAGAGAGTGAAACTGCTTCCCATTTTCTAAAAAATGAGATACCCTTAAGTGACCACAAAGGAATTTGATGTAATTTGGAACACTTCAATCTTGTTGGTAAACACAGAATTCTGAGCTGCTTCGAGTTATGCACAAAGCTTCAGTGTTCCTGCAGCTATTAGTGCAATCAGTTTTCACTCTGCTCACTCCTTTCTGCAGAAGCTGATACTAGTAAAACCTACAGAACCCAAATGGCTTTAGCGAACTTCAAATTAAAGTTTCAAGAAATCAGAATCTCTGTTCTCCATAGAATATTCTTAACTCCAGAATTCTATTGATTAACTAAATTTCCTATTTTTTCCTTTCTCCTGCTTCTTAATTAGTCCGCTAGAAAATAAATTCAGCATAAGATTTTAAAATTCAACTCTATAATAGGAATGACAATAAACAGTGGCACAGTTGTCTCTAGTGTGACAGGGATGAACATAATTGAGTAAAAAATACCGATAGACACAGGCAAAGTTTAGTTATTTTAATGTAGGTAAAAATGATACAATTTGTCTGCATCCCAAGGTGACTTCCCAGAGCAGGGGTTATAATCCAACTGCATTTCCTCTCAGAGGAAAACTTCCCTGGCCTGCCCAGGAAGGCAACTGGATGCAGGCAGTCTTGCCAGCTCTAGGTGAGGATCATGTTATCATGGCTTTCAAGGACCTCCCTTCCATATATTTCCAAATCTTCTGAAGAACTTGGTTATATGTCACTATTTTTCAGGTACAAATAACTGGTAACAACTCCAGAATATTCCTGAGTACATCAAAGGTTCATTTTCCAGGCATGTAATCTCTGCCAGCAGATCTTGCCTACATGCCTATCTAAGGCTTATTCTTGCAAAACTAATAGTACAGGAATTCAGATAATGTTTTTAAATTGAAAAACAGTCTAACTTTTATAGTGATTTTTTTAAGAGACAGGGTTTCACTCTGTTGCCCGGGCTGAACTACAGTGGCACGATCATAGCTTACTGCAGCTTTGTTCAGTAAAATCGGGCTCAACCAATGCTTCCACCTCAGCTTCCTGAGTAGCTGGGACTACAAGTGTGCACCTCCATACCTGGCTAATTTTTTAATTTTGTGTAGAGACCGGGTCATGCTATGTTGCTCAGGCTTGTCCCAAACACCTGACTTCAAGCAATCTTCCTGCCTCGGCCTCCCAAACTGTTGAGACTACAGGTACGAGCCACCATGTTCATCCTGATTTTTTTTTAATTTGAAAATAATTTATTTTTTGCTTAACTTGGATACCTGTGCTACATGTAAGAAATATTAATATGGACTATTAAAAACTAAGTTATATCATTCATATGTGGATATACATATGTATACCTCTCTATATATATTTTGTATCATCCTTAGCAATTAAGTCCATCATTGCAGATAACAAGCTATGCTTTATATATTTTGTATTCCCAGCATAATATATTTTACATGATAGCTGTTCAGTAAATTTGTTGTGTAAACACACAAAAAAATGCATGCCTGGTTTGTTAGTCTATTGTTGCACTGCTATAAAGAAATACCTGAGACTGGGTAATTTATAAAGAAAAGAAGTTTAATTGGCTTACAGTTTTGCAGGCTGTATAGGAAGCATGATGCTGATATCTGCTTCTGGAGAGGCTTCTGGAAGCTTACAATCATGGCAGAAGGTGAAGTGGGAGCTTGCACATCACATGGCCAGAGCAGGGGCAAGAGGGCAACCTGGGAGGTGCTACACATTTTTAAATGAATACGTCTCATGAGAACTCACACTATCCTATCGCAATGGCAGTGCCAAGGGGGAATGGTGCTTAACCCATTCATGAGAAATCCCACACCAAGATCCAATCACCTACCACCAGGCATCACTTCCAACACTGAGGATTACATTTCAATATGACATTTGGGCAGGGACACAGATCCAAACCATATCAGCTGTTTTTTTATTACTTAAGTATCAGGGATAGCTGAGGATTTGCTGCATACAGATTTCTTCCATAAGATGTTTATTACATTGACAAATTCTGGAACTGCCTATTTTACACGCAAGCACACACATATTTATGTATAATTTCATCTTTTAAGACATAAAAGAATGTAAAAGAGGTGGCAATAATAAATAAGATAGAAAAAATCCAGTATTTTCAAGATATTTTTACTTGCTTAGTTTTACTTGCGTCCAATTAAACAATAACCACTCAAAAAAACTAAAGGAGCACAGAATGAATTGTATGTAGGACATCAATGAGTGTAGGGCGTCCATCCCTAAAAGGAAATAGTGTGTGTGTGTGTGTATATATATATATATATATTTCTAAATAATGTAAATAATGGAACCATCCACTTATAGTTCTAAATATCCAAATGAGGTTTATTCTTAGCTAATGTTATGTTTAAAAGGAAGCAATATAACTTACAAAATTATAATGTTTATACAAACTTTTTGAATTACTTACTCTCACTAATTAATGCCTCTTGTTAAAATTTGTACATAATGAGGGACAGAAGCCTAGAGATATTTTAGACCATTCTATATCCTGTTAAGAGTAACATAGTCACTACAATGAAATAGTTTGATTAATTCTTGTTCACATTGCTAATTTTTAGAAAACAAAAGGCTTTTTCTTTATGACTTTTAACTTCTACAATTGCCAGTTACCACACAGATTATGGACCAGAGTATGAAGTTGAAAATATAAGTGTTTTGAAACAAAAGTATTTTAAAATTAAACTTAAAAGGTTTTTCTGGGTAAAACTGCAAAGTACAATGTAATGTTTTAATAACATTAAAAAATTTTGTCCATTGTTTAATTTATTCCCATTTTTTGGAATGATAATACAATTTTTTTGAATATTTGGCTCATTTTTATTTGAAGCAGCATTAGAATAGCATAATTGAAAATAAAGATATTACATATATTAATTTATTCATAGTATTTAAAAATCATAGTATGTATAGAGCTTACTGAACAAAACTGAAACAACTTTCTTTTTTCTCTTTTTTTTTCTGAGATGGAGTTTCATTCTTGTTGCCCAGGCTGGGGTGCAGTGGCGTGATCCCAGCTCACCACAACTTCCGCCTCCCTGGTTCAAGCAATTCTCTTACTTCAGCCTCCCAAGTAGCTGGGATTACAGGCATGTGCCACCATGCCCAGCTAATTTTGTATTTTTAGTAGAGATGGGGTTTCTCCATTTTGGTCAGGCTAGTCTCGAACTCCTGACCTCAGGTGATCCACCAACCTCAGCCTCCCAAAGTGCTGGGATTTGACAGGTGTGAGTCACTGCGCCTGAACAACTAAAACAACTTTCTAAACAAAGTACCTGATTGTTTGAATATTAATTATATAAAAGTTCCATTGGATTTCCAAATATATATGTTAAATAAGAAACCAGGATATGTGGGCGGGGGGTGGCTCACACCTGTAATCCCAGCGCTCTGGGAGGCTGAGGTGGGTGGATCACGAGGTCAAGAGATTGAGACCATTCTGGCCAACATGGTGAAACCCCAACTCTATTAAAAATACAAAAATTAGCTGGCTGTGGTGGTGTGCACCTGTAGTCCCAGCTACTCGGAAGGCTGAGTCAGGAGAATTGCTTGAACCCAGGAGGTAGAGGTTGCAGTGACCCGAGATTTTGCCACTGCACTCAAGCATGAGTGACAGAGCAATACTCATCTCAAAAAAAAAGAAAAACAAAAACAAAACAGGATACAGGATATGCTTATTGTCTTCCTAAAAGAAAGTATTGTTTTTATATCTGTATTATATAAGTATACTTACACTTATAAAATTATATGCTACAATTTTAATTTGATAAACTATAACATTTTATTTGTAATATAAGCTGTCCTTTAGTTTCATCTCAAAGCGCTATTAAAGTCTTTTAGTAATGTGAGTATATTTCAAAGTATACTTCCTTGAAAATTAACTGGAGAATATATTGCATTGAATGTCACTTTTGCTGTTAAATCTCCACCATGTAGATGCACATTTGTTGTACCTTCAACTAATGACATGATATTTCTGTTAAGCGGTATAAAATATATACTAAAAACCAAAGACAGATGTTAGTGTTAGATTGTGTTAAGTAACTGCCTTTTACCTAATTCCAAATCTAATTAATATACCCCTTATAATTTGTATTTTCCAAACAAAGAAAAATTATGAAAGAAAATAATCAGGGCTATTGATAAACCCATGTTCCTCACCTGTTTCAGTTTCCCAAGCAAGACCAAATTAGGTGAAGGAGAGAGAGCCAGAGATCAGGGTTTTATTTTTGAGGCTTTTTCTCAAGAAATCTAATGAAGAGAGTATGCTAGTTACTTTTAATCTAAATGAATATTCAACAAAAGCATAATATCATGAACCTGACAAAGCAAAATAAAATTAATGATAGATTGGAAAGTGCTGTAATACATATGTTCACTATTGTTAGATGAGTTACTGGGTAATATTCTGTAGCGTTGAGATAGAATTAGTGTACTGAGGTAATATAACAATTTTGTGATTTTCTAAAAGCAAAATTGTTCTGGAAATATCAGTGTGACCAGGGATTTATCTAAAACTGATATCAAAGACAAGGTAATTATTGATAAAAGAGGAAATACAAGAGGATCTAGGCCAGGCAAAAAGGCTATCCAAAAATTTTATAAATGAATGAATGAATTTTTAATTTATTAGGAGGGTAATAATGACTTTCAGCTCAGTAGCCTGAACAAGCTTTACTTGTCCAGCTCTGTTTCTTATTTTCTGTAATAATTCAGTCCATCTCTTCTCAGTCCCATAAGCATGATAATTCAATGTTGCCTCTCTGGCTAGGCTTTTATGCTCCTCTTCTGTTTATAACAATTCTTCCAATCTTTTTGCCATTTAAGTCCTAGCTAAGTCGCAACCCTCTATACTGCCTCTTGGTGATGACGAAAGATCTTTATTGATAGCTCCATGGACACTAGCATTAGTATGTAGAAGACAATTTAGAGCTTCAAAGTAAAACTTCATTTTGAAGACACACATTAGATGATATATTTCTTTCAAAATCACTAGGTTTTGTTTCAGTATTGCCTTTCTCAGAACTATCCTGTAATATTGGCTATATAGATAGTTTGGGAAATAATTCTAATGGTTGTATATATTTACACTGAACTGTTATTTTCTAATTGGATTTATTTCTTATGCCAAAATGACTTGATTCTAACAGCCTTTGGTTTCCTCACATAATATAAATTTATACTCAAAATTTGAGGACTTACCTTTGAGATTATTCCAAAGACTCTATTAGAAACATTAATGGTAAGTTCAAAGTTATTTTCCAGATGTTTTTGGTGATGACTGCATTAAGACTATATATCCATTGCCACTATAAGGATAATGACTTCGAAGAGAGCTTTGACTTGGAGGATTTTCTTTGACTCATAGAATCTTAGTTTTACCACTTATTTACATAAATATTTCTATTTTACATATTCCATCATCTACCTCTTCTCTGTAGTTAAGATCTTATCTTAAAAAAGAAGAAACAATGTATATAGAAACAATGTATTATAAGATAATGTCCAATTTAAACTCTGTACAAAATAAGATCTAGGATTATTATTTCCAGTCAACATATATCTTACTTTATCTTTCCATGGATTTACATTACTCTTGAATATTTGAAAACTGAGCTTCCCACAAATAAACATTATTTTCCAGAATGTTTCTAGGATGAATATACTTTAGTTGAACTGCTCCTGACATTCTGGGCGTTTTCCTTGCTCTCTATATTTTCATTCTTCCAGAGAACACAGCATGATATATAACTAAGGGGCAAATAACCATCTAAGGAAATTGTTCAAGAAAATAGAAAGAAATTTTCAGTCTCTTAAGGACTGAGTGCATTGCATATATATATATATATAATATATAATATCTTCAGATAGAGCAATTGACTATACATTATCTGAAAAGAAGATCAGTTTATCAAGTATGTGGCTCATGTAAGGAAAATAAGCACATAGTTTATTTTTCTGGTTTCTTCTCTGCTGCTACCTTAAAGTAAGTACAACCATAATTTAATGTTTAGATAAAGTGTATGTATTAAAATTTTTATTTTTCAGCATCTATGCAAAGAAGTGGGAGAGTGACCAGCTAGTTTTAACAGAATGATTAAAGGTACAAATTAAGCCAGGCAAGACTCATTTTTATTGATATTGTCAGCTAGGTACTTCTGTCCACCCCAACTGTGCAAAAATGAATTCAACTGGATAATATCATTATATCATTTCCATAATACCATAAGGCCGTAAGGATATTTTCTCCCCTTGAAACCCTTCACATATGTGATTAAGTTAAATTTATTTTATAGGTTTTTTTTTTCCATTTTTTGAGACAGGGTCTCTGTGTTGCCCAGGCTGGACTGCAGTAGCACAATCATAGCTTATATAGCCTCAACTCCTTGGCCCAGGCGATCCTCAACCTCCCAAGTAGCTGGGATTACAGGTGTGAGCCACCATGCTGGGCTAATTTTTACATTTTTTTTAAGAGACAGAGTCTTGCTATGTTGCCCAGCCTGGATTCAAACTCCTGGCCTCAAGCGTCCCTCCCATCTCAGCTTTCCCAAGTGCTGGGATTGAAGGTGTGAACCACTACGCCCCACTGAGTTAAATTTTCAATAAAAAGTTTACATGCCTCTGTTCCTGGGGGCTTTTTTCTTTCCTCCCTTTTTTGCTTTATGCAAATATAGTTTCTTCTAAGAAAAATGAACATAAACACATATATAAATATATAAGTATGACTATAAAAGTTCTGTGCCTTCATAATCTTTCTTAGTTAAAAAGGAATTTGTCTTTCTTCCAAAACCTAAATTCTTTCTTCCCAAATACAGAATTTGGGCATTTCACACATACTATGATCATCTCCCCTGTAACACAAAGGTAATAATAATAAATGATTATAATAAATCACACATAAAGGTGAACAATAATATATCATATGAACATTCCTGTGATATTATCAATTTATTTTAAATATACCAACAATAATATGCTTAGTGCTAAGGGAAATATAAAGTGCTATCAAATTAACTTACAGAGTTTAAGTTAATTTTTTCTAATCAAAGACCCATGCCTTTTGGTCTTTGATTAGAAAAAAATAAATTCAAAGAACTTCAGAAGTTAAGCAACAATGTAAGAAATTGATTGTCAAAAGAGTACTTTAATTAATGCATGATAAAGCCAATCTGAAAGTGAGAAATCAAAGGCAGTATTTGAGAGAAAGACATAACTTCCTCTCCCTCCAGCAAGAGATACACATTTACTAGAGTGTTTAATCCACCTACAGGCAGTATTCATATAGAATTTTAGCTTATATGTTGTTAGCAATTGTATCTTTATTATCAATTGTTTGATGTAATATCATATTTTAATATTTAGTACTAGCCACACATTTTTTGGTTTTGCATATATCATATTACGTTGGGTTATATTATGTGACACTAATAACTTTACTTTGTAGTAAATTCCTGTATTGAATAATCTACCAAGGGTCTTAGATTCCACTGCTTTTAAACTTGCGGGACTACTAGAGGCGTATTTGGTATCAAATTCATACACAAGGGTATAAGACAGAAACAATAGCTTGCCAACATGCCCTTCCACTCCTATTCCCTGCAGATCTTTGAAAATGTCTAAAAACATGTTTTAATTGAATCAGTGGAGGAAAATGAATGCTCCTGGCATCTAGAGAGTAGAGACCATGGCTACTGCTAATTGTCCCAAACACATATGGCAGTCTTCCAACACAGTTTTCTTGCCCAAAATATAATTTTTTTTTTTTTTGTGGTGGAGAAGGAGGCTCTAGCTTGTTTATTGTATGGTGTTTAGAGGCTACTTAGGCTTGTAATCTTTAGATTCCAGTAATATGTCCTTCTCCCCTATGTCATGACAATAAAAACTGTCTCCAGACATTGCCAAATGTCCCTGACTGGCAAAATCACCCCAGGTTAAGAACTGCTGCCTAGATGATGACTCATAGACAAGGAGACAAAGTCTACATAATTTGGGGATGGGAACTCTGGCAGAATCCTCAGCCCCACAGGAGCCAAAATCTCTGTTGTAACAAATCTATAGGCAGAATTTCCAGGGTCCTTGAAGAGACATGCCAGTTACAAGAGCCACTGCACTAAGCTCAAAGCCATGGCTTCCTATTAAGTATTAACATTCCTCTCAAATCCAGAAGCAATTTAATGTAGAAATGTCACCTAAGATTATAGTTGACATTCTTCCCTTGTCAGGTTATCAGGGGATCAGAGCTAGAATTTTAAAAGAAGGTCAAATTCTTGTACAGTAGGGAAAATGTTTATTCCTTTAATTGCACCTACTCTTTTCATCTGCCAAACTAAACTCTTAGCAATTCTTTTACTCTTATATTTTTCTGCATTTGATAATAATAATTATAGTTTCATATATTAAGAAAGCATGTTTCCAATATATTTTTGTTTTTTAACTTGCCTTTTGATTCATCTTTTGTGAACTGCTGTGCCTGTATTCTTCCTTCATAGGCCTTTTGGCTTTGTGTCTGGGTTTGGCAGGGAGTAGCTGTATTTCATGCTGTTCCATGAAATCATTTCAATCTACCTTGTGAGTTCCTTTCTCCTGGCAAATGAATATTTCCTTGAAGCCTTAAATATTATAATAAGCAAAAATAAAGGTTCTTCAAAAGGACACCTCAGGACTTAAACTGACCATGCATTATAACATTAAAATAAAATCTCCTTGATTATATACCATTAAGACATTTTAAAGGTGGAAATTACTCTTTCTTCTTAATTCAAACTATTTTCTTAAAGAAAGAAGTCAAATACTTTTCTTGAAATTTAATATGTGTATTGTTTTCTTTGATATTGTTTCTCATTCAATGAAATACGAGTTTTAAAATGTTTTTCTAGAAAAAGATTATTATTTAACTTGAGTAGCATTTCTTTTTAAGAAGATAATTACACTAAATTAATCAAGGGAGGAAACTATTCAAAGCTAAGCAGGAAACTGAAATGTATTTAAGAAACAGGAAGTATTCATTCTTATAAGTTATTTGCCTTGAAATATATGGATGAAATGACAGAAGCGATCAGATGTTTCTTGAGTATTCTGTTTCTTTGTGCCCATCAGTTTCAACAGTTTATCCAGTGTTTGAAGCCATATGTTCATAAACACAACATAATTGCCTTGTGTACAACATAAAATGATGAATATAGTGCTTTATAGCTCAGTTAAAAGATGTAAGTAATTTCAGTACACAAAGTTTTCACTTTAAGTGCTCACTTGAAGCTCTAAGTTACAATCAATCATTCAATCACAGATATACATAGATATAGAGGCAGATGATGCAGATATTTAGAGAGCTATGTATGAATGCAGTGATGTATCCCTATCTACTCATCTATCCATCCACCTGTCTATCTGTCTATGTCTGTCTTATCTTCATGCAGAGGACATATTTACTGAGTGAACACTCATTCCTGCTAATGCATTTTTCTTCTTTGTCTTTTATGATATTGTAAATGCTAGTTCCGTTTTTACTTTTCAATCTTGTTTTGGCTGCTATTTATTCTTCTTCTCTGTATATCAGATTTTGATCCTATTGTTTCCTTACTCTATACTCTCTTGCTTGGCAATATAATGACTCAAACTGTCATTGCTAAGCAGATCTTCCCCAAATTTGTATCTGAAATATTCAGCTACTGCAAAATGTCAACTTAGTTTCTGTATGAATAACTTAGTTTCTGTATGAATTCTAAAATCTAATGTGACTAAAATTAAAAGTATAGTAATTCCTTTTAATTATTTTTTTCTCCTCTTGAATTCCCTGTTTCACCAAAAAGATTCCTCTCCTCTCTATTATCAAGAGCAAAGTCATTCTGTCTTTCCTTTTTCTAGCATACATTTCAAATTAGGATATTGTATTCTGAATTAAAGACCTGGTTTGAATTCCAGCTTTGCTATGTATTCATAATTTCTCTAAATATTCACTTTCTTATTTGCCATGATGAAAAGAAATCTTGTTATGATGGATTTTTCTGAGGATTAAATTAGATGATGCCTAAAAAGCATTTAGACCAGTGTTTGACAATGTTAGTAGTACTCCTTAAGGTTGCCTCTTTTTTCCAAAATCCTCTGAATTCTTCCCTGCTTTTCCATTCCAGCGCTTTTTCAAAGGTCAGACCCTTTTACCTCCTGCAAGAGATTCCTACTATTTTTACAACCTTTGATCTCTTTCCCTTGGCAACATTGCTGCATTGCTGTCAGATGAACTTTTTTCTTTCTTTCTTTTTCTTTTTTTTTTTTTTTTTTTACGAGTGGGAATACTTTCGGTTGCAATTGATGGAAAATTCTTGTCTAACTGTTATAGGCAGGAAAGTGTAGTGGGTTCCAGGAATGTAAACATTACCATCTTCTCAACTATCAACTCAGTTCTTTCTGTATTTGCTTCACTTAGTGGTTCTCATTTCCAGTCCACCTGAAAAAGCTTGCCCCTTTGTCTCTCACCCAGAGATTAACTACAGAGACGCGATTGGTTTGGCTTGGGTAACCACACTCCACAGCAGAGGCATAAATGCAAGCATTGTTCTATTTGGAAATTCTCTATGGCTACTCATCACCTGTGATTCAAAGTTTGGTATCCTAAACTGGCAAATAGCATTCCCTACCCTTTGTGAGATCATATTTCATGTTCCAGTCAAGGTGAACAGTTTATTCTCTTATGCACATTTGAACTCAATGCTTTTTGTCATTTCATTCCCTATGTCATGAATATCCTTAAAATAATCTTTATGAGCCCACTCTTTACAATCTTCAAGACATTACTCCAATATCATTTCCCCCCTGCTATTCCCTGAAGTCTCCAGCCATGTGTAATTTTTTAAAATTCTAAGTCTGTACCTTTTTAAAAATTTTCTGAACTTAGCAATTTCAGTCTTCAACTCCTAATATACGGAGACATTTTTCCTGTTTCTTTTTTTCTCTGTCTCTCTCATAAGAGATTATAAACTCTTTCCTTCATGACATAATTGCATACTGTAAAAATGCCTAGATCAGTAAGTGCATACATTGGTGAATTATTTGAAATATGGTTATGTTTTTCATTTATTTCATTTTCAATGTTTATTTATTTGGGCTGGGTGTGGTGGCTCATACCTGTAATCCCAGCACTTTGGGAGGCCAAGGTGGGCAGATTGCTTGAGTCCAGAAGTTCGAGACAAGCCCGGGAAACACCCCATCTCTGCAAAAAACTACAAAAATTAGCCAGGCATGGTGATGCACACCTACAGTTCCAGCTACTTGGGAGGCTGAGGTGGAAGACTTACCTGAGCCTGTGGAGGTCAGGGCTGCAGTGAGCCGTTATTGTGTCACTGCACTCCAGTCTGGGAGATAGAGTGAAACCCTGTCTCGAAAAAAATATATTTTAGATTCAATTGTTTTATTTTCAAATGATTTAGATTATATTTTTCAGTTACAGTGTTGTCAGTGAAGTTATAACTCTACACGTACAGTTTTTTGATACTGCAATTCAACCTAGGTGACAGTAAAATAATAATAAATAATAAAATGCAAAACAGGTTTAACCATAACTATAAATACGGTTACAGTCTGGAATAGGGGCATGATAAGGAACTATAAATATGGAGTATCGATTCTAAGTCTGGCTCTGGATTCAAATTCTAGCAGTGCCAATTTTAATTGTGTGACTTGTGTCTGTTTCTACCATCAAATTTTCTATGCAAATAAAGGGCTTAGTATGATGGTCTCTAAGTAATCTTCGAGTATGGAAGTTATTACCAACAAAATTTTCTGATTTATATAATAATGCATATGTAACAGAAACCATACTCTATTAATTGTTTCAGAAATCTCCTAGAAACTGCATGCTTGAATTAAAGGATGCATGGATGACAAAATTGCATTGCAACAAGTTATCTGTGTTAAAATAATTCAGATATGTGTTATAATGAAAGACAAGAATAAAAAATAAGAGATTGAAGGCTAGAGGCATACATAATTATATATACTTGGCTTTGTTGCATCTAGAGAAAATGCAGTGCATTTGCAATCTTATTAAAAGCAATTCTTGCTATATATAATGACAAAATTTCAGTGCCCGATGAATTAAAATTTTGAAAGTTTATAAAGGATGATGTCTTGTGAATTTTACCTTAATCTTTCCCTTTGGTTGTTTTGTGGTTAGCTTCTGTTTAGAATGAGGATGGTTGCTAGGTACACTACTGGATCCATATATCATGCATCTAAACATATGTTATTTTACAATTCCTTAGTTTTAAAGACTGTGGATCTGCTAACTTATGAAGGATACTACTATATTATTTCTTCTTGATGTAGCCAAACTTTTACACAAATACAAAGAAAAAAATCACAATGCTTGATAAATTGACTTAAATTATTTTATTTTTGTCTGCATGTCTGTTTCTTTGTAGATATTCTTTGCAGCTTATCTGTAAAGAAGATAAATTTTACAAAGCAATGGAAAAATATAGTAGCCTGGAAATTCATATTTCTCTCTCAAAAGCCATTTTTTGTCAAATGCCTAATTTAAAAATTATTTTCTTTTTCTTTTATTGTCTTTTTTAAAAAGCTTCTAATTTTTTTTTTTCTTCCTGAAAGTACACTGTCATAAAGGTTTGCTTCCAGTGTTTTACATGTATTAGTTCATTCGAGTGAGAAAAACTAATTTGTTCAGCCCACACAAATACATTTGTCTGGAGTTGAAAAACATTTGAATTGAAATGACCATTTTGATCTTTGGCAACACACAAAGTAACTTTTAATAAGTCACGTGACAGTGCCACAGTAGGTGTGTTAGGTTTCCTTCAATAGTCTTGGGAAAATATGATTATTTTCTTAGGCTGCTTTTGAATATTCTTAGCTTCAGACAGTTTTTCTCTCTCTTTCCTCTCTTCCTCTCTCTTTCCATACACACACATACATTCATACATACTTTTAGGGGATTGTAATTTGAGCCTATTGCTCCTTGAGTGAAGATGGAACATATCTGTCACTTGTTTTAAACAATCAGATTGGTTTTCTCTAGAATTCTACATAAGACATTCCCGATCTTTTTTCATTTTTGTACTTAAGATGGGTACCATCCTATGAAATATGTTTGGTCCCAAATTGTAGCTTGACCATAATTATAGAGTTTTGACATTGATGACTAAATAAATGTATTCTAGTATTTACTAAGAATCACATCTGATCTTGATCTTACAATTCTCAAATGTAGATTCCAGTAATTTCATATTTTTTATTTTAATTAGCTCATCCATAGAATTCCTTAACACTGATGCGTTTTCATTGTTAGATAAAGCGGTTCCCATAGTTGGAAAAAGATTGAAGATCCGCATTTACATTCTCTTTGTTGACACTTGATCCCAAAATGTCTGTGCCTTGAATTCGCAGCTTTAGTTTTGAGTGGGGACCTGTAAAGTTGTGCACAATATGTCTATAAAATGTATGTATGACCCTACTGAAAGTGAAGTTTCTGCATTCATCCAATTACGCTGAACCTAATACAAATATAAATGCATACTATTTTCCTTTTAGCAATAGTAATGCTACACAAATCCTTTTAAATATGATGCTGAGGTTTTAAAGTGTTTTATCTCCTTTACCAGGTAGATAATTTTTTTTTTTTTTTTTTGAGACGGACTCTCGCTCTGTCGCCCCGGCTGGAGTGGTGCAATCTCGGCTCACTGCAAGCTCCGCCTCCCGGGTTCACGTCATTCTCCTGCCTCAGCGTCCTGAGTAGCTGGGACTACAGGCGCCCGCCACCACGCCCGGCTAATTTTTTTGTATTTTTAGTGGAGACGCGGTTTCACCGTGTTAATCAGGATGATCTCGATCTCCTGACCTCGTGATCCGCCCGCCT
The DNA here is from genome assembly GCF_000001405.40 of Homo sapiens. Taxonomy (NCBI): domain Eukaryota; kingdom Metazoa; phylum Chordata; class Mammalia; order Primates; family Hominidae; genus Homo; species Homo sapiens. The sequence goes on along the minus strand of NC_000014.9, from coordinate 47,019,610 downwards.
CGGCCTTCCAAAGTGCTGGGATTACAGGCGTGAGCTACCGCGCCCGGCCTACACCAGGTAGATAATATTTTGACTTGAAATGTTGATTGTTCCAAATCCCTTTACACGTTGTTATTAGGTTGGTGAGAAAGTAATTGCGGTTTTGGCCATTACTTTTAATGTCAAAAACCACAATTACTTTTGCACCAACCTAATAAAACAACAGCAACAACAAAAATAACAATGAACTGACTTTTTAAAAAGCCAGATTACAAAAGAACATCTGCTTATAGTGTATCCTCTGTATCTCATTATTATTGTTTTGTGTACTTACGTATTCCTTTAATTTTGTCAAAATTATGATGATTCTTCCTACATTATACTCAAGACATCGGCATTGTTTTCATTCTTGGCTTAGTGATGGTTACTTTTTAATGCTTCATTCTTTTCAAGGTAATGAAACTATTTTTCATATTTTTTGACTTTAATCAGTATTCAAATTTGAAAGCTGTGAGGAATTCAGTCAATAAATATTTACTTCAATTAATTCATTCAATAAATGTTAATTCAGTCAATAAATTTCTCTGCTAGATGAAGGGAAATTCAAGTAAGAATTAAAGGTAATCTGTATACTAGAAAGATTATAATCTAATGTAGAAGCAGACAAAGACTTTTAAGGTAGGTTTCAGAGGTGCCATGTGAACACAGAGGACGGACGGTGTACGCTAATTATGTTTTGTCCTGACAGCCATATGTGTCTGGTGTGTGTTTTTACATTTGAGTTCAACAGCATCAATAGGTATAGATGTGAATGTGTAGAAGGATTTCCCCCTATTTTCCCACTTTGTTTTGATTCTCTCAATGGAGACTTTTTTTTTTTTTTTTTTTTTTTTTTTTTCAGTAAAATGGCTTGAGCCTTACAGTTTGGGAAGTTGCTTGGCCTGCCTTCCTAATATTTCTGAGAATTTCTGGAAACTCCAAGTCTCCTGTGAATCTCTTGCTTTGAATTCTTCCTGTGTTCTCAGTATCTACTTTGCTATCATCCTTTAGCAATTATAATTTTCCCCTCACATTACTTCATTTATTAGACATAATCTTTTTATAATTTTTTCAAAGCAGTTTTAATCTAAGGCCAAGAGGCAGAACAGATTATTGAAGATTTCTAGAAGCTAAGAGGAGGGGAAGTAAAAGAAAGAGATACTCTGAATGAATTATCAGTGTTCCCAGATAGCCATCATTAGCCTTTTTCTGCAGAAGCAACTTTTCTTTGGTAAGCCTTTTGTTAATTCCCATCTGAGTGAGATCTTTACTTCTCTTTATCCTTAGTGCTAAGCCACTAGCAGAAGGCACAACTCATAAACATCCTACTTATCATGTATAGCAATTTAGTTTTTTCCTGGTAATGTTCTCCTGTTTAGACTCCTGTCACAATCTAATGGACTAATAAAGGCGTTTCTTTAAAAAAAAGAACGGGGGGAAAAAAAAAGTCAATTACCCCAGAAAAAAAAATTATGATATTTCCACAACATAGGGTCAATTTGGACTTTAAAACAGTACACTTTTTACTTCTCTTTATAGTGTGTGAGTATATATGTTTCTGCATGTACTAGTGCTCTTGTGTCTGTAGGAAGGACTATCGAAGATAAAACAGGCAGAATGCACTGGGAAAAAGAACAGAGAGCAATAAATACCAGAAATATTAAGTCTAAAATTCAGCATAGTGATAAAATAAAAATATCTAAGCAAACAGACATTTTGCATGGACTCCTCTTAAGGGTTTGACATCATGTTAGTTTCATTTCTTGCAATGTGTTTTAGATCATTAGAAGCAATATTTAGAACACAAGATGGTAGCATAGATTTATATGGGATCTCTGAAATTTGAGAACATATATTTTTCACTCACTAGAGCAGGAAGATAGGGCCTATCTGTCTAATAAATGAGGGCAATTTTTTTTAATCTGTATTTTTCAGCTTTATGTGGAATTTTAAAACAATTTTCTTAAGAAATCATGTGAATATTTTCTTGTATTTTTTCCCCCTGAATGTTGAAGATTGCGTATATTTATATAAATGTTCCTGCTCTGATTTCAGGGTTGGTTAAATCCTCAGACTGTGTCATACTTTGTTCCTCGACTCTTCTCATTTCCCTTTTTATGGCTCTATCTCTTTGTAGCTGGACATAATATAGAATTGGAATGTATTTTATTTCTTATTGTATGTATTTCCTACTCAGTTTAAATATCATTCAGTGGAATATTTTATATCTCTCACTAAAGACAGTACAAAAATAAAACTAGATTTAAATTTTCTTCTTCTTTTTTTTTTTTTTCAATGTGGGCCTTGATGAATTCTTTTTGACCCTCTGGGTCAGAGGCCCTTATGGAGCAATGCTTCCCTTTCTAGATCTAAAATAAAACCTGTCTCTATGGACAGCAAAGGAGCATGAAGTCAGGAAAATGTTTTCCTTTGATAAGCTTGAAAAGTCAATTTCAAGGATAAAGCACCTTGATAAAAGTCAATCAGACTAGATAAACACAAATGGAAACCAAGAGAAATAGAGACATAAATAGATATGCAATATCATATACTTTTCCTAAATAGGAAAGGAGGTTACACATAAAATGCAAGTATTTTGCAAGCTGGAAACACAACAAAACAGAAAATAAGATAGAATATGGAAAAAAATAATAAAAATGACTACGAATAAGAGATATAAAAATATTTTGAGCAAATGTTTTAGAGGCTTTTGCAGGTGAGTTGCATAAACGCTCCATAATTTCCTGTTAACTTGGATCTATACGAGGTGGATTAACAAAGAAAACAGAGTTTAGACTATTAATTTCATTTAATTTTTTGATTATGAATATATATTTACAATAAATAATAAACTTTGCTTTAAAACATACTCATGTTAGTTATATTCATTATGAATTTGTTTGGTAAAACATTTTCACAGTTCCAAAAGCTGTGTCCAAGTTGCATCATCATAGGTTTCAAATTAGTAGAGTAATAATGATGGTTTTGAGCTGTTTCCTCATATATGCATATTCAGAGTGAGTCACGGAAATTCATATGATCATAGCTTTTTCAGTGCATTTATTTTTTAAGTGTATATTTGGAAATACTTTTCATATAAAGTTATAACTTTATGTTGACTATACAAAGTGAAACATAAAGAACAAATTGTGAATGATAAAGAAATGATCTCAGCTAGTTTTCTTTGTTAATCTTAAAAACCTAGCAGACTTAAGGATGTAATATAATAACTGATACTACATTATTTGGGAAAATATTTGAAGTGCTATTAATGATTTAATGTAATTTGGACCTCATGTTATGAAGGACTTACTGTTACTCTTCAGAGCAATCCTATGAAGAATGCATACCTACTCACCATTTTTTAAATGGCTAAGCCATTAAAAACCATGCAAATATTGTAACTGAGTTGGCAATTGAATCAACTAAAAGAGATGGAATCCACAGGACAGCTTGCAGACTCTTTCAACCTAGATACTTGTAAAAAAATACAATTAAAGAAATAAGTTTTAAAATTTTTAAATATATTTTTGCCTGTATTCTAATAACATAGTTATGTCTCTACCAAATAAACAGACAAGCATTACCAGTAAAGTAATGCTTTACTGGTGCCACCTTAATGGTTAGTCTGGGTAACTACTTCCAAATGGTTTACCTTTTGCTTGATCATTATAACTCTCCAAATTCTTATTTCATTCTTTGTTTTTGTTTTTTACATCTGGGCTCCTTAGATTTCTGTAATTCTGCATTTTGGGGGTTTATTTTTTCTCCTCTCTAATTTTATCAGTATCTTTCTCAGACTTCTTATTTGGAAGCATATGTTACATTCTTGTTTTCACTTCCAAAGTCCTAGTTCAGACACTCCTTGGGTCTTGCTTACCCTTTCTTGAGTCCTGACTTCATTTTTGGATATTCTCTTTTCTTGGGATTCTGTGATTCTCATCCTCTTATGAATGAATTGCAAATCCTTTAGCCTTGGATTATTGGCACAACTTAATTGGCCTCAAGCCTTCCCAGTCATGACTTTTCCACACCTACTCTCCATTGCAGCCATAGATAGCTCAGTTTTCACTTCCCCATGTTTTCATATTGCCACCTTTTTGTTCATGTCTATTTGATTTACATTTCTCCTTCCTTTTTTTTTTTACCTGAAGATAGTTAGGAATATTTTGTTTTATTGTCCTTTACTTCTTTGACCTTTCACATACTGTGTTTTTTATAAATTGAAGGTTCGTTTCCAGCAAGTCTATGGTGCCATTTTTTTTTTTTTTAACAGCATGTGCTCACTTTATGTCTCCATGTCACATTTTGGTAATTCTTGCAATATTTCAAACTTTTTTATTATTATTATATCTGTAATGGTGATCTGTGAGCAGTGATCTTAGACATTATTATTTTAATTGTTTTGAGGTGCCATGAACCACACCCATAAAAGATAGCAAACTTAACTGTTAAATATTGTGTTCTGACTGCTTTACTGACTGGCTGTTCTCATGTCTTTCTTCCTCTCCTCCTTGGGTCTCCCTATTCACTGAGACACAACAATATTACAATTAGGCCAGTTAATAACCCTATAATGTCTTCTAAGTGTTCAAGTGAAAGGAAGAGTCTTACATCTCTCTTGTTAAATCAAAAGCTAAAAATGATTAAGCTTAGTGTGGAATGCATGTCAAAAGCTGAGAGGGTGAAAGCTAGGCCTTTTGCACCAGTTATCCAAGTTGTGGATGCAAAGGAAAATTCTTGAAGGAAACTAAAAGTGCTACTCCAGTGAACACCAGATGATAAGAAAGCAAAATGCTTTATTTCTGATATGGAGAAGGTTTTAGTGGTCTGGATAGAAGATCAAACCTGCCACAACATTGCATTAAACCAAAGCTTACTTGAGAACAAGAACCTAAATTCTCTTCAATTCTATGAAGGCTGAGAGAGGTGAAGAAACTGCAGAAGAACAGTTTGAAGCTAACACATGTTGGTTCATGAGGTTTAAGGTAAGAAGCCATCTCCATAACATAAAAAGTGCAAGGTGAAGCAGCGAGTCCTGATGTAGAAACTGCAGCAAGTTATCTGGAAGACTTAGCTAAAATCATTAGTGAAGGTGGCTAGCCCTAAACAACAGATTTTCAATGTAGACAAAACAGCCTTCTATTGAAAGAAAATGTCAGTAGGATTTTCATAGCAGGACAGAAATCAATGACTGGCTTCAAAACTTCAAAGGATAGGCTGAATCGCTTGTTAGGGGCTAATGTAGCTGGTGCATTTAAGTTGAAGCCAATGCTCATTTGCCATTTCAAAAATCCAAGGGCCTTTAAGAATCATGCTAAATCTACTCTGCCTGTGCTTCATAAATGCAACAACAAAGCTTGGATGGCAGCACATCTATTTACAGCATAGTTTATGGAATATTTTAAGCCCACTGATGAGACTTACTGTTCAAAATATTACTGCTCACTGACAATGCACCTGGTCACTCAATAACTCTGATAAAGATATACAAGGAGGGCCGGGGGCAGTGGCTCAAGCCTGTAATCTCAACACTTTGGGAGGACAAGGTGGGCAGATCACCTGAGGTCAGGAGTTCAAGACCAGCCTGGCCAACATGGTGAAACCCCATCTATACTAAAAACACAAAATTAGCTAGGCGTGGTGGTGCAGGCCTGTAATCCCAGGTACTTGGGTGGCTGAGGCAGGACAATGACTTGAACCCAGGAGGCGGAGGTGCAGTGAGCTGAGATCATACCATTGTACTCCATACTCCAGCCTGGGCAAAAAGAGCAACACTCTGTCAAAAAAAAAAAGGAGATATATATATATATATATATACAAGGAAATTAATGTTTTCATACCTAATAACACAACATCCATTCCGCAGCCCATGAATCCAGGAGTGATTTTGACTTTAAGTCTTATTATTTAAGTAATACATTTTATAAGGTTATAACTATCATAGGTAGTGGATCTTCTGATGAATCTGGGCAAAATAAATTAAAAACCTGGAAAGAATTCACCATTCTAGATGTCATTAAGAACATTCATAATTCATAAGAGGAGGTCAAAATATAAACATTAATAGGTGTTTGGAAGAAGTTGATTTCAACCCTTATGGAGGAGGGATTCAAGATTCCAGTGGAGAAAATAACTACAGAAATACTGGAAATAGCAAGAGAACTAGAATTAGAAGATAGAGCCCGAGGATGTGACTGAATTGCTGCAATCTCACGAAAGAACTTCAGTGGATGAAGAGTTGCTTCTTGTGGATAAGCAAAGAAAGTGGTTTCTTGAAATGGAATCTACTGCTAATGAAGATGCTATAAACATTGTTGAAATGACAACAAAAGATTTACAATATTACAAACTTCGTTGATTAAGCAGTGGTAGGGTTTCAAAGGATTGACTCCAATTTGAAGGAAGTTCTACCATGGGTAAAATGCTATCAAACACCAGACATGCTTCAGAGAATCCTGAATGAAAAGATGAGTTCATTGATGCAGCAAACTTCATTGTTTTCTTATTTTAAGAAATCGCCACAGGCCGGTGGTGGTTAACAACCACCATCCTGATCAGTCAGCAACCATCAACATCAAGGCAAGACACTTCAGCAAAAAGAGTACAACTCGATGAAGGCTTAGATGATCATTAGCATTTTTTTGCCTTAGGGTATTTTTAAATTAAGGCACGTACATTGTTTTTTTAGACTCAATGCTGTATAGACTGCAGTATAGTGTAAATGTAATTTTTATATGCACAGGGAAACCAAAAAAATTCGTGGCTTGCTCTTCTGCAATATTTGCTTATTGCAGTGCTCTGGAAATGAACTGCAGTATCTCAGAGGTATGCTTGTACATGCCAACTCTGTCAAGATATCTGTACTGAAACTTCCCACTGAAATATGACCTCCTGCTTCTACACCCAGGTTAACAAACATAACATCAGTAACAATGAAAACAGTATTTGTGGAACACTCACTTTATGCTAAACACTATAGTAAGTGCTTTATATGCACTATTTGGTTTAAACTTTAAGTCACTCTCCAAATGTACATGTATTTTTATTTGGTTTTGTGTTTATTTAAGCCTTCTATGTTACTTTCCTAACCTAGGAACTAAGCTTATTAAGTTTGTTAAAGCTAAAGTGGTGATTGATTTATCTTTGTATTTTCTGTTATAGACAGTTCAGTAGTTGACACTAAATTGGTATTTGAAAATGAACTATTAATAAAAAATTACTAAATGATATAATAAATCAGTGGAAAATGTTCACTCTGAGAATGCAGCACCTGAAGTGTATGTTTGAACTGATTTACCATTTGCATCATGGAGGTTGATTCAACTGACTATTTTACAGACAAGTCAAATCATTTTATGCAAACAAGTATATTCAGTTTATAGAGAAGAGATTTTTCAGGAGACATATGAGTGAATCTCTATCCTTTATACCAATCTTTGATTTTTAAATTAATTCACTTTTGCATTTTTTTCTCTGATCTTGTCATCATACACTATTTTAATTAATATAGTCCTGACATACATGGAGATTGAGGAAATCATCAAAATCTTAATGTAAAAAAATGTAAATGCCTAAAAGCTAACGATGACACAATTCAGGAAGGTGCTGATGACAATAGCACATACTCAACTGAACACTTTGACATTATGTTTCTTCTTTGCTGGTGAAGACTGAAATTAAGAAAAACAGCAAAGAGAGAACCTGAGAAAAAATGTATACGATTTCATTATTTCTACTTTTACATGACCTATGAAGTATATTATTGTTTTCCATGGGGGATATCAGAGCTATCTACATGCTGATATTCTCTACTTTCCTTTGGATCTCTTAATGTAGATTGTCCTAATTGTTATATAGTATCAGAAATAAACTGTAAAAAATAACCTGTATATATAAGAAGCAGCCTATTACAAATATGCATTTAACAGTGTCATTTTTTGTCAACATGTCATTAAATAAATTAAAAAATATATGCTAGAGTGTGAAACTAATAGACTCTACATATACAGTTAGTGGAATTTATGAAAAATTTATTTCTAGAACTCCCAGTGTACTGCTTTGAAACATGTTTTGATGAAACATTCTATGGGTAGAATTTATAGGTTCAACAGAACCACCCAACTGAACTTGTTACTTTTGCTTCTCAACATATGAGCAGAAAAGAGATTCATTAGATTATCTTATAAAAGTTCACTTATAAGGCATTTATTTAAATTTTAAATTTAAGAACATGCATTCACATAGAAAATAATGTGATGAATGGTATGTACATTCTTACGGCCAACCACAGATTTATGTAATGTTCATGAATTGTAGTAAGAACAATGTTATTCCAAGGTCATAGTTCTAATTTCATGCTATGTGGGAAGTCATTTTTTTTCTCCGAGCTCTAATTCCACAGTAGAGTGAGTTTTTGTGTGTTTGTTTGTATGTTTGTTTGCAATTGTTCTACTTTTCTTCTGATTATCTTTGCCCAGCTCCAAATTCACTTTTCCCTATGATGCTAAAAAGTTATCTACTTTCTTTATTCTCCAAAGTAAACTTCTAATCATTAACCTTAAATACTCTCTGTACATAAACATAATGTGAAGTATGAGTTAACAAAATAAAACGCCATTCTCTTACTGCAAATGGATATTAATGGAAAATAAATCTGATCTAATTAATTCATGTCCATCTGTCCATGACTTATATTTATTTAATTATAATGAGGTACCAAGTTTAATTAATACAGTATTTAGTTGGTTAACAAAAGGAAGCTAGACATTCAAAGCACTGAATGAGTTAGATGAAGACATTTCTATGCAATTGTTTATATTCAATGACTAGAAAAACTTAAATTTCACATTGTGTTAATTACATAGGTGGGGACACTTACCCATGTCATTAATGCAATGCAAAAAATTAATGACATTTTGTGGGGACACTTAGGCGAGTCAACAATACAATGCAAAATTTATGTGTTTTGCATTGTGTTAATGACTCCCCTAAATGTTCCCACCAAATATTTAAAGTGGGGTAGGAGACAAAACTGGGAAATAAAGATATAGTTATGAATTTAAATAATCAGTTTTATAATAGGCATAATTAAAGAAAAAAATGATTACTTTATTGGAATATGTCAGAAAGGTGAATAAGGTACCCATATGTTAACCAGGTAAGTCCACTAATATTTTACGTCAGAGTGTATACATTCAGCTTTAATAAATTAGAATTTTATGTTATTTTTTTATATCTATTTTTTTCCTAAGATCTTAAATCCTTATCTGATTACCTTTAAGCTAGCACTTAGATTATCTCTAAGATTTCTTTGGATCAGTTCAAAAAGCATCTATTGACTATTTGCATGCCAGCAATTGGACTAAGTGCTGAGGATCCAAAGATTATTATGATCTAATTTCTATCCTTACACAATTTCCAACTGTCCAGGAAGTCAGAAATATACATGGATCATTTCCATGCCAGTCAGTAAAGGCAAAGATGCCACAGGGACTTGATGTTACAAGATCATTAATGGAGGAAGATTCAATCCTACATAGTAGAAGGAGTAATCAGAACTCTTCCGTAAGGTGTTGTCTAAATTGAGTTTTGAAAGATGATCAGACTTAATAGGTTGGGAAAGGGGGGTAAGGGACAGAGAAACCAGCATGCATGAAGATTCAGAGGGCTAGAAATAGCATGATGTATATGGATGACAGAGATAGGCTGATCATTTGTAGAATGAAAATTAAAGATAGAAAAGGCACAGCTCGGACGCAAGGGGTGTGTAGGGATCAAGTTACGGAATGCTAAAGTGTTGTCTGTCTCTTCCTGCTGCTGCCCTCTTTCCCTGAGAAACTAAAAGTTCAAAATTCTTACCTACATCTAATCTGATTCAGTAAGTATGTCCAATTGAGGAAATTAAATGCACTGCCTCACTGGGAGAAGACAGAATGACAATTTAGTGTTGTATACATAGTGTTCATTCATTGTGTCACATTGACCATAAAAAAGTAATTCTCACATCCTAGTTGCTATAGATCTGCCTTTTTCCCCTTTGAGTTTGTATTGCTGATAGAACTTAAATGTGCTTGGTTAGAGAAAAGTGGATACTGATTAAATTTTAATAATTGGGAACCAGAGGGCTAGGCCAGATAGCATGTCAGGATTCCATAATTAGGTAATGAGGTAAAAAAGTTTCAGGTAATCTGATTTGCAAAGAGTTGTCAAATTGAAATCAGCTGCATTTATGTTTTATTCTCATAATAGTTATCTTAGGAGAAACTATAGCATATTAAATTGGCTAACTTTTTTAGAACATCTAATCACTGTATTTGAGTATTTCTATCATGTATTATTGCTTTAATGTTTATTCCAGAGAGTAGAATAAATTTATATATAAGCAAAAAACTTATTGTAGTACCAACTTGATTTATGTGGAAAATGTGAACTAAACTATAGGACTATTTGGAGTGCTATACTGTACCATTTTATTTATCTATCGAATGAGTGCTACATTACATTGCACTGCTTAATTAAATATCGTAAACCTGGTGATACTCACTAGGAACAAATACACATTATTTTATTTATGAGTTGGGCAATGGGAATATTTTCTTGTACTTCCATGCTCTTATTTTAAAAATAGAAAGAAAGGATAATCACTTAATTTGCTGAGTAAGATTTAATGATTGAACAGCTAAGATGTGCTCAGGGAGAAATAAACATTTGAATGAATTTTTTAAATAAGGACCTTACCTATTTTTAAATAGCATAAATATTATTGCAAAAATAAATAAAAATACTGGAGTGTGAGATCTGATAGAATGATTGTTAATTATATGTATAAAGCATTTTAATTTTTAAAAACCCCTCCAAGCACATTATTTTAACTGTACTTCCAGGGCAGATATTTTATAGACAATGACGTTATAGCTTAAAAGTTTAAGTGACTTAACTAAATCACACACCTGATTAGTGACAGAACTGGGGCCAAAATTTCTAGAGCAGTGCCATTTCATCCCATTCTGTCAAATCCCATAAAGGATTTAAATATTTAAGTCTGTCTAAAATAGCTTTGCTGGGCAGAAATGTAAAATATATCATGCTTCTTAACTGTAGAAACCAAGGGATATCAGTCTTAGAAATTGCAGCTTATTTAGCAAGGTGGTCCAGGGAATATTTGGTTTCAAAGACTTACTGCCTTATGCCAGATATATTGTTTAGCTGCTTGTATGAGCCAATTAGGAGAACAATAACATTAGGCATTGGCTTGTTCTGCCAACACTACCTGTTAGGAATCGTTTTATCCACCTTTAGCTTTGAAATTGTATTTACCCTTTATGCTTTTGTTTTTCTCATAGTATCTTTGCCCTTCTTCATATTTACTCGGAGGACCTCTGAAACGTTTTTTGTTTCTCTAACATACACATTTCTAAAACATAGGTCCCCTGGTCCACATAATTTATATATAGAATGAGACTCAGTATATATTTATCCATTATGGAATATTCAAACTCATGGTTATCCAGTAGTTCACTACTGGTTACCATTTGATGCTTAGTAAACTCAAAAGTAGAATTGTAGAAACAAATAAAGGTCACAAATGAAACAAATGCATTTGGAAATTGCATGCTTTCCAAAATAATTTTTATCATTACGATACACTCTGTGCTCATTTTATTTTCTTAGATCATAATTGGAAATGAATATACTTGAGTATTTTAGAATTTGTTCCACTCAAATTTAATATAATTCTAGCAAAGGAAACAACTCATGGCATTAAAATGAGTATCGCTTACATGAGAGGCAAAACAATCTGATACACATTTATATCAGTAAACAGATAATTGAGGGACAAGAGAAATGATTGGGTGATCATTGAAAAGTATCAGTACTTTTGCACTGTATTTAATTTTCCTACCTATCTTCTTTAATTTTCTAATCTTGGAGGAAAAACAAATTGACCTTCTCTAATCATTGTTACATTCTAAACAGGCTACGTAAAGTTTTATTCCTTACTTCTCAAAGTAGCAAGGTCATGTTCACGGTGTCTTCATTTAGTTATCTGTGTTCATCTCACACCTAAGGAGATACGGTAAAATTTTAATGTATACTAAAATAGCCTTTATGAGTAGGTGTATGGTGAGCACTTTCCAACAATCAGACTCGTTCTTGTTACCTTCACTTACCAGATGCATGAAACCCTACAGCAAACATATCAAGCCATGGTGGACACCCAACATGAAATCTCAAACTTCAATTCATTAAGTAGAATCAATGTGAAAAATTGTAGGGCAGCAATTTATGACTGAATGTTTGGATTTTTTTCCTTAAGCATTTGTATTTGATATTTATTACTCTGCTTGTTCAATACATAACATTATTCACCATCAGGTATCTCTGTTCATTAGTCCATCATTTCTCTAAAAATCTTGACCCAGAAGTGGAGATTAAACCACAAGACCAGATTATCACTCTTATATGATACAAATTCCATATGAAGTCCTCAATGTATCCTCCATGGATGTTACCACAGTTTATCAGTTACCTGGAACTTGGAACTTTTAAAACGAAATATTCTTAAAGTTTCTTGGTATGTACATAAATTTGTGGAGGTAATGAGTTGCAATGAGAAAGAACATTGCTTAAATTAGCTTTCAAAAAGTTTATCTAAGTCTCCAGCCTGCTCCAGGACAATAATAGTCTGTTAATACTATTCTCCGAGAATAATGCATACTTTTCTGTTTTACATCTACCTAGCTAAAATGAGAGACCTAGGGGGTTATTTTATGACACAGGAACTCTGTTTAAAGATCAGTTTGCATCTTGCCTTTTAAAGGAAAAAAGCAAATTTTAAATGGAATTCTTATAGCTTAAAAAATAATAGAAAATAAAAGTTCAATGTCCATTTCCTCATCAGCTGGTACTCCAAACAAGTCAATGCTGAGAAAGAACTAAATAATAGACATCATCAGCTTCCCTAATATGGAGGATTAAAGGCATTTTCCTTTTCTTATTGTACACTTGATTTATATTATTTAAGTTATCTGATATGATATAATAGTTGACTGGGTGCTCACAAATTCACATTTTATATTCAAACTGGAATTCTGTTCACTCTTTATGTTATTAATGATATTTTATATATTTTAAAATTATAATTATAATTAAAACATATACATATAATATAATTATAAATATAATTTTAATTATATAATTATAATTATAATATTTTTAATATATGTTGTAGTGAACCACTTTTACATCTGTTTTTGTGAAATGGAGACAACGTTATTTCAAATTTAGCTACTGTAAACATTAATACCACAAGATTCTGAAAACAACATGAGACAAAATGAATTGCATCTTGACAGCTGAAAGATACCTGAGATTAACTGACCATAATAGTCCTTGCAATGTATGCTCAACACTTGAAATAAAATAATTATTATTAACAAAATTTTTTTGAAAACAATTCCTAATCATACATTTCAAATTGGTAAACAGAGGTGAAATAGTTGAACTTACTGTTATGTTCCAGGAACAACCATGTTTACTGATGACCACAACATAGGACTCCAGATAAACTAGTGGTTCTCAGAAAACATTCTGAAAAGTGTAATCCTCTGACAATCAGCTTAAAGTGCCGACAGCATCCATTTATAATTGCAGAATATTATAATACAGTTGTTAATTTTTAAAAAAATTTTAACAATAGATTTGCATAGTTTTAAAAATACTACACGTGGCTTATAAAACATACAATCAATGTTTAAGTATACAAATAAAAATATAGACAAAGCATCATAATTCTTACCACCCAGCAGTTAGTATCAATAGCATTAGATTGGTATCAATATACATATAGGGAGATGAAAAATAGAAAAATAACTGTATAAAATTTTAATATCAAAATTAGGTCATATTATACACATTTTTTCAGAAAACCAAAGTGTAGAGAGTACTTCCCAAATCATTCAATTATGCCAACATTATTCAGATATATAAAAAAGTAAATAACCATACAAGAATGTAAAAAAATCCCTACCAACCAAAATCCTTCATGAACATGGACATGAAAATTCTAAACAAAACTTTAGTAACTGAATCAAGCAATATATAAAAATGATAATACATTATGATGATGCAGAGTTTATGCTGAGAATATGAAGTTGGTTTAACACTCAACAGTTAAGCAATATAATTCATCATGTTAATAAACTGAAGAAAAAAATCCGTATGCTTCTTTCAATAAGTGCCCCCAAAATTTGTTGAAATCCAACAACAGTTCCTGGAGAACAAAAACAACAACAAAAACCTCTTAGATAACTAGACATAGAAGGGAACTTGCTAAGCCTGATAAAACTAAATACCAAAATCCTAGTTAACATCATATTCTATGATAAAAGACTGAATGCTTTCATCTAAGTTAGGAAAAGGCAAGGATGTCTTCCCTTATTATTTCTATTCATTAACCTACTAGAGGTTCTAGCTATTACAATAAGACAAGGAAAAAACATAAATCGCATCAATATTGCAAAGAAATAAACTGTCTTTATTCACAGATGATCTTATCATCTATGTAAATAATACAATGGAATCTACAAAAGATACTAGAGCTAATAAATGAGTTCAACAAGGTTGCAGAATAAGATATCAATATACAAAAATTAATTGTAATTCACCCCATATCTTCTGTTTATCTTCTATATATGACCAAAGAATAAACAGAATTTAGAATTAGGAAAGAATACCATTTTAAAAACATTTAAAATGTGATGCTGTATGATTGTCAGGGAAAAATCTGTGAAAAGATGTGAAAGACCTGCACACTAAAAGCTATAAAATACTGCTGAGAGAAAAACATTAACAAAGACCTAAATAAATGGAGAGATATGAGTTATTCGCAAATTGTGATATTCAATATTGTTTTTAATACTCCTCAATTGAATCTATATTTTCAAAACAAGCTCATTTGAAATTCTAGAAGTTTTCTTTGTGTTTTTGGATTTTGGTGTGGCAAAAGTTGACAAGTTAATTCTAAAATTTAGATGGAAATATAAGGGAACAACTATGGCCAGAGTAATTTGGAAAGGAACAACAAAGTTGGGTGACTAACACTATCTGATGGCTTATTGCAAAAATAGAATGTGGTCTTGGAATAGATGGACTTAGATTAATGGAACAGAATAGAGATCCATAAATAAACCCATATATATGTGGATATATATGGTTATTACAAAAAATGCTAAGGCAATTTAGCTGAGAAAGGATAGTGTTTTAAACAAATTATACAATAACAGTTGGATTTCCATACACCAAAAAGTGAACTTTGGTCCACCTATTGATCTATATACAAAAGTTGACACAAAATTTATCATTAATTTGTATTTCTCTGATGACTAATAATGTTGAGTATCTTCCGTGTAATTATTAGTTATCCATATATCTTTATTGGTTAAGTGTCAATTCAAATTTTATCTATTTTTAAGCCATTGTTTCATTATGCAGTTCTGAAACACCTTTACATATTCTGAATATATATCTTTCATTAAATGTATACTTTGCAAATGTTTTCTCACAGTCTGTAGCTTGTATTTTCATTCTTCTAAGTGTCTTTCAACAGAAGTTGTTTTATTTTTAATTTTGATACAGTCTAATTTATCATTTCTTTTATAAATTCTGTTTTGGGCATTGTATCTAAGAAATCTTTGCTTAATCTGAGGTCACAAATATTTTCTTCTATAAGCTTTATGATTTCATAATTTCTTAAATGTAGCACCCAAAATGCAATCCACAAAAGAAATAAATAATAAATTAGACACTACAGAATAAATGCCATAAACTTCTGCTGTTTGAAAGATACTGATAAAAGAATGAAAAGACAAGCCATGGTTTGGAATAAAATATTTGCAAATTTAGAATATGTAAAGAATTTTCAAAACTCAGTGATGAGAAAATTATAAAAAAAATGAGCAATATAGACACTTCATCAGAGAAGATATATGGATGGCAAATAATCACCAGAATGAGTACTCAACATTATTACTCATCAGAGAAATGCAATTCAAACCACAGTGAGATACCACTACCCGCTTATTAGGATGGCTGATATTAAAAAGACTAGCCATACTAAGTCCTGGAGGGTATGAATAGGCGATGGAACTTAACATGCTCTGCTGTTGAAGAATGTAAAAGGGTACAAACCATTGTGGCAAACAGTGTGGTAGGTTTTTTTTTTCATTTTGTTTTGGAATTAAACATTCACTTATTATAATCCACATCTAGGTATTTACCAGTGAAAAATGAAGCCATAAGTCTACTTAACAACTTACACACAAAGGTACATAGCATCTTTGGTTGTGATAGTCAAAAGCTGGCAACAACTCAAATGTCCACAAATAGATGAAGGAAACAAACTTCAATCATGGACACACGCAACAACACATATGAATCTCAAAATAGTTATTCTTCATGGAAGAAGCCAGCTTTTTTTAGAAAAGTACATATGGTCTGATTCAAGTTGCATTAATTCTAGAAAATGCAAACTAATGTACGGTGAGAGAGAGTAGATCATTTCTTGTCTGGGGACAAGGTGAGGAGGAAGGATTGAAAGGAATGGATTACCAAGGAGCATGAAGAAACTTGGGGTTGATGGACATGTTCTCTAACTTAATTGTGGTGATAGCTTCACAGGTTTGTCAAAGTATATGTCAGTAATTATCAAATTACACACTTACATATGTGTAGTTTATTTTTTGTCAATTATACCTCAACAAAGCTAAGACAGACTTACACAAAATGCATATATTTATCTAAAAATATCATTAATTTATCAAATATGTTAAATTCAAGTATAAATAAATTAAATTTTTTTTTTTAGATAGAGTCTTGCTCTGTTGCCTAGGCTGGAGTGCAACGGTGTAATCTCGACTCACTGCAACCTCCACCTCCTGGGTTCAAGCAATTCTCCTACCTCAGCCTCCCAAGTAGCTGGGATTACAGACATGCACCACAATGCCTGGCTAATTTTTTTTCTGTTTATTAGAGACAGGGTTTTGCCATATTGGTCAGGCTGGTCTTGAACTCCTGACCTCAGGTGATCCACCCACCTTGGCCTCCCAAAGTGCTGGGATTACAGGCGTGAGCCACTGTGCCTGGCCTAAAAATTTTTAATGTAAGAGATAAGTTATTGAATTTCTTAATCCATCAGGAATATTTATTTCCCACAACAGATATTTTGTCCTAAACCATTTCTCTAAACTTAAAAAAAGAAATTATGAGAAAAATTAAGACACATAAACCATTATATATTTTTAACAGTATATAGGACTTCAGACCATATTCATGAATTTAAGCCTTCTTATTCTTTATTCAATCTGATTTTCTATCCTTGTTTTTGTAAGTTTTGTTACTAGTTTTACATTGGGAAGGTTTATGAAATTTACATTGTTTTATAATTATTATTTTTTAAATTTAGTGTTAGTCTAATATTTGCATTACATTAATTTAGTGCCCACCAGTCCTGTTTACTCAGCACCTCTCCATTCCCAGCATCTTCAATTCAGTTGCCCCCACTCCACAACCTGGAGATAACAGATACAATATATTTTGCCTTTAAAAATATGTAGTTGAGAATCTTAATTCTTGCTTTCATAGCTTAGCAACATTTTGGCTGGAGATCTCTCTTGCCTGTGCTCTCCCTCTCCCTCCCCACTCCATTGATTATTGCTGTGAAAATGTCTAGAATGTATATACCACCACTGCTGCTACCAATACTTCTCCCAGGCAATTTATTCTGTCCGTGTGAATTGCTGAAGAACTATGTCTTATAACCTTGCATTTCAGTAACCTAACCAGGATATGTACCAGTGTTGAGTATTATACATCATTTTGTTTTTCTCTTGGGGTAATGTGGATTCTTTATTTTAAGAAAAAAAATTACATTTTGTGTAGTTTGCAGTTTCATTTGTTCAGGTCACTACCTCAGGAATACTTTATTTTTGTATTGAATAGTGTTTGATTTCTCCATTTATTAGTTCCTTTCTTATTTGAAAAGTCTCTTTCTTTTCCTATATGCATGTATCCTGGTTACATCAAATCTTTCTACCATGTTAGTAACAACTTTCAGCCACATAAGTTTTGTTCCCTTTTGTTTCTAATTTATCTTCTTGGTTGTTTTGGTCCTCGAATTGTTTTCATAGTGCTTAGTGTTTCTTTTCATCCTGTTTTGTTGCTTTAACTCCTCGTTTATGAACACCTATTTTACAGAACTCAATTTCTTATTAAGATATCCTATTTCACAGAGCACTTATGTAAAATTTTCTTCCATTCCTTCAATTGTGATTTTTTTTTATTCAGCTGGATTTCTTGTCTATATTTGTACGTCATATTCCTTTTCTTTTTAAAATTTGCTTATATTTTGTATTCCTAACCTGGCTGCATAAATGGCTTGAAATTTTTTCCATCTTGTTCCTGATTTGACAGGTTAAAAGAGACAATTTACTTGCTGTGATATAATGCAATTGACTTCCTGACTGTAGTTCCACTGTTTCCTCCCCTAGTTTAGTGTTCGAAGTCTGAGTATTTTATGTTCTGTCCACATCTTGGGCTGATGATGTAGTATTTTTTTCTCACCTAAAATACTTTGATAAGCTAACCTATTTTCTTTGTGTGTCATATTGAAATAATATGTAGTTTTCTTAGTTTTAGAATCAAACTATGCTTACTTTAATAATCAAAGAATTACTTAGGTTTTAAATGGTATTATTTTCTTCTCTATGTTGATACTTGAAGGAACATTATCTCTGAAAAGTCAAATATTCAAAGTGTAGCTTCCTTTGCATGCTAAAACACCACGATTATGAATCTAAGCTATTCAGTTCTCTTCCCAGGTCTGCTGCAACCTTAGGCAATTTACTTAACTGCCCTATACCTAATATTTGAACTTATGGATTACAAAGGCCTAAAAGATCTCAAAAACTTTTGTTTTATATTGGATCCTAAAACTTTATAATCATTCTATGCCATTTGCTTATAAATTTGGGAGTTAAACTTCCTCTTATATTTAAATATCATGATATAATAGCCAACAATGCACAGTTAGCAATTTAACTTACAAAGATCTTGCAACCTGTTATACATATATATATTTATATATATATTTATATGTATATATATTTATATGTGTATATATATAAATATATATTTATATATAAATATATATATATAAATATATATATACATATATATGTGTGTGTATATATATATATATAAATATATATATATACTCACAGCTGTCTGGAACCTAAGCAAGAAAGCTATTATTATCCTTAGAGCAGTTACATGCTTTGAAGTCAGGCTTTCTACCCTTTAAATTCCTTGTGTATTAAATAGATATAATTATGTCTAACTCACAGTGTTGTGAGAATTAAATATATCTGGCATATAGTAAGTATCAGATAAATGGCAACCACTAATATTCATGTAACTTTTTAGCTATAATATTTTTATTTTTATACATATAATTGCAGTTTTTTTTAGGCAAGATAACTAAAAGTTGTAAAGGGTAAATGACTTGTAAAATGTGTGCAGCTATCAAAGGACAATGCTGGTATTTCAATCCAGGTGATTCACTTCAAACTTCACCATAATTAAATACTATGTGTTACATCTAATGAGCATGTATCATTCTTGTGAAAGCCAACCCCTTAGACATGTGTGAAGGTAGACAGAGCAGATGATCTTACATGTCCTAATTTGTTAGGTATGTGTGCCCTTCCAGGCTATTTCTTCATCAATTGAAATATTAGTCAGGATGATTCAAAATTTCAGAATGAAGTTTGATACCCACAAAGATAATCCAGAGAAAAGGGGGTGGAGGAGTGCCTTCTTTTTGGTTTCCAAGCTGTCAGACGAGGGAAGATATGGCTGCCCTTGTTTCCTTACAGCCCCCTTCTTTCTTAGTCAATACTTTAAATATTTAAATAATGATGGATTCATGTTTATTCAGTTATACTTATGACAGTAAGTTTACCTCACTGCAAATACATCTATCAATAAATTGCAAAGAGGAATATCAGGGGAAAATTTTTTCTACTCTTCAATTACAGTGCAAAAAATATATTTTCTTTTTGAGATATTGCACTTCATTTAGAATCTAGTAATTTTGTGCCTATTTGGGCTAGTAATGATGAATCTAGTTTTGCAATACCTTTCCAAACACTTGACCTTAATTTAAAAACCAATCAATAGTGTCTGCAAATACTGCTTTTTTGCTAGTGCTTATGATCTCAAGAATTGGAAAAAAAGATTTTTTTTTAAATTTATTACCTTAATTACATTTTTTAGCATTATATTGTAAAATAGGTGGACTGCATTGCTTTACAGCTTTTTTTTTTACCTGCTGTGACAACAGTAGAATTTTTGCCTTCTGATTCCACAATTTATACTTAAATCGTATTTTAAGGTGCTGTATTTTAAATTTGACTAAAAAAGTCAACACTATTGATTGGTGAATAAAAATAATAATAGCCAGTGTATGCCAGAGATAATATTTTTCATCTACTGTATTCCATTCTGCATTTCTATTTCACTTTATCATTTTATTGACAAGTAATTTAGTGAACAGTGGATTGTTTCCTACTGGGAAGGGTAGGTTCCTGAGATTTCTTATGATAGAACAATTTGTAGTTGAACAACTTAACATTATATAGGAAAAACAGAGCAAGGGAAATTAAGGTTAGAAATGAAGGCATCAAATTCCTTGTCCAATTTGTAAGTACCTTGAATAAGATAAAAGTTGACCCACTAATTAAGATTATATAAATAAAATCATACACATATTTAGTTAATAATGATGGGTAGTGGATAATTAGTGTTCATTTAGTATTCACAATTGGCAACATAAACTTTAAAATTCTCTGAGAGGTTTGAAAAATGATTTTAATTATTTTTATTTTGCAAAGAATAGCTATACTAAAAAGAATTTTGTACGAGTATCAGACTTTCCACGAGCTTTTCTCATTTTGTTACTCAGTCTTATTGGCTTTCAACTTCTGGATCTCATACTGGATTCAGAAATGCAAAAGAGCTTGATATTGGAGTTTTAAAATTAAATACAGAAGTTTATGTAACCTTTATTTAGCCTACTTAGCTTTATTAAACATGTCCAGATAATATATTTCTAAACTTTCCTCTAATACGTATGTTTATATAACCCTAGGTTTCTCAAGATAGCTTCATTAGCTCCACCCTTCTTACAGTTGACTTGGTTTCCTCACTCTTCATAGACAGATAAATTATTATTTTTTCTTTTCATCTGTTTTTATAGAGACTGGATCTCACCATGTTGCCCAGGCTAGTCTCAAACTCGTGGGATCAAGCAATCCTCCTGCCTTGGCCTCCCAAAGTTCTGGAATTTTAGGTGTGAGCCACCATGCCTGGTCTAGATAAATTATTTTCTAAGCCCTATGATATTTCACTTCATTTCCCTTTTCTTCTTCAGGGCTCTTCAAAAATAACTCTTTTTTCCTTCTCTTCCATCTATTTCTTTGTCTAAATGTCTGACTCTTGTTTCTTATTTTTTTTCTGATGATATTCAATAAGGATTATTCAAAAGTCTTCAAATAACAAAATCACCATTGGCCTTTAAACTTAAAGTGTCTACAGAAGTTTTGATTGTTGATGATTTTGAAATCAGTCACACACAAAACTTGTTCACTCTACTTCCTTCCCATTATAATAGAATTTCATTAGTAATACTCATAAATTTAACAAACATTTTATCTTCTCTTTTGCATTTTTTTACAATACAACAGTTTTATTAAGCATGTGAATGCACTTATTTGGTACAAAATGTAGTCACATTTCTTCCTCTCCTCTGCCCCTTGAGGCCACCTCTCCAGAACCTTATGTTCCTATAAATGCATTTTTGGCAGCAGTAACAACAAAAAAGTGAAAGAAAATGCAATTCTGACAGTAATGCTAAATAACCAAAGTGGGAAACACAAATAGGCAGGGGTTAGTGGGTTTCTTAGCTAGCTCTTTAACCACGGGCCTTAGTACTGCTCATTTTAAGGAAACATTTTAAGAATAACAAACCCCCAAATGTTATTTAAGTAATACTGCTTACCTCTGTTGGTGGCACTTTTCTTCCATCTAACCTGATGTTATAACAAGCTTATTTGTAATTTCTTCGGGAAATTCTGCCCTAGTATATACATCTCTATCAATCTCCTTTGAGCTTAAAAAAGTCAAGAAGCAAAAACAGAAGACTAGGCAATTTCATAAGGATGCCAACTGAAACTTTCATGAGACCTACTTCTTAGAAGTCAACTGGCCAAATATATACACAGCTGTAGCCAATGGATTCTGAAAACAGATCCTGCTGGAAAATATCTCCAATACCCAATTAAATCTAGTTATTTGTGTCTATAGATTTTAAATGATCATCATTCACAGTGGGATAAATGTATCCCTGTATTCTAAGAAAAATTCACAGCTTCCTTTATTGAGGCTACAGATGTGTTGGAGCTGTTTCTTAAGATCCTGAAAGCTCAATCTTTCAAACCTTGGGCAAACCTTAATCAAATCCAACACCTAGTTTTTGGCCACTGTAAAGCTATTTCCTGGCATGAAGCTATTCCCACCAAAGTTCCCTACTTCACCCATTCCTGGGTTGCTGCTAGGTGCTCTCCCTTGCTGTTAGATTTGCTCAGTATCATATGCATTGGCTACTTCCAGAATATGTGTGGAAAGCTCATTCATATCCTTGAGGGGCATGATGTTAAAAGCTACTAGGCTCTTTTTGTTCTGAAAAGATCTCAGATGGCCATCACTTTCCCATATGTTTTTGAAGGAACCACAGTGTGGTTACCACTGACACTGTCTGCATTAAATCACTGGTGAGCCCCTATTGATGCAACTGTTGTGTCATCCATTTCATCAACAATATTGGCTGGAGTCCTCTCTGCAATATCTAATTATCTCCACAGTATTGATTTGAGAAATCTCAGCATTCCAAATTTTGAATATTTCACCAACAAGAATGGCAAAAAGACGCTGAGATCTGGTACAGAGTACAATGTTCTGGGCTTGGGCTCTTGATTTTTTTTCTGAGACGACGTCAGTGTTCCAAAGCCCCAGAGGACTCTGCACAACCACTGGCTCTTCCATAGCTGGAGTAGCCATGGATTTCCAATGCACTATTCCACATCTTGGTTGTGGTTCCCTCAGGAAAGAGGCCCAGAAGGCTTAGGTCTGGTGGGTTTCCAAGACACCTCAGAACCCTGTTGCTCCTGCAGCAGTCTACCTTTCACTGGTTTTCCTTGGCATTTTGGATACGAACAATGTTGAGTAGAGATTTAGAAAGATAATTCAAGTATGTAAGAATTTAATTTCCTATCAGCAGAAATTTAGTGCTCTTTGAAAGCAATGGCAAAACTTAGACAATAAAAAGCTTTTCCTAAAACCTATAAAAATAGTGGCACTTATCTCATATCTCCCAGGATGCTGCTTAAGGACTTTACAAAACTCTTAACATAAACTTACCATTTTCCTCCTTTTATGACCACAGGCTTAGAAGTGAGTAGACACTGGATGGATATAGACCACTGGATATAGACCAGTGCTTTTTTTTAAATGTAAAAAATGAAATGCGGTCTTCATTTTTTTCAACCAACTGAATTAAACATGTCACCTTTACACAAAATATATTATATAATATACAGAATTTAAGAAATTTGTTGTTTAACTTGCTTTAATTCTAAATATTTTTATCCTGTTAGACGAATAAGAAATAATTTTATATTAAAGAAATGAATATAAATGTTTATTATTGTATTACAAACATTTGATAATTTTCTTATACTAATCTTTTCCTTATTTTAAGTGTGTGAACTGATTTTTCATATTTATAAAAGTATATTGAAGAAGTTTCTGCTGAAAATACTTTGATATAAATATTATCAAATGAAACATTAAAACATTCAGAACAACTGGCAAGACTTATTTTCTTATAATGGATTCAGCAAAATGTATAGTCAAAAAAAAAGCAATGGTTATGAAATAGTTTAAACACATTGATTACCTGTCAAAAATGACAAATTAATTTAGAAATTGTAATTCATTAACTTCCTAAAATGTAATTAATTTAAATTCTGCCATATTTATTTAACACAAAGCAGTGTGCTAGGTCCAGTCTTTCAACCTTTAATTTATATTATCAGTAGTTCTTAAACTTTGGTCTGCAACAGTACTATCTAGGAGCTTGTTAAAATGCAGAAACTCAGGATTCTGCCCAGTCTATCAATTTGGGATAGCATGAATTAGGATCTGAAAATCAAAAAACTCCCTAATTGGTTCTAATGGACATTGATGTGATAGCCAGTAATAGTAATTTAGTATAACAAAATGGAATTAAGGTAAATAGAAATAATTTTTGTTTTGTTTTACTTAAATTGTTTTTTGATGCCTCAAATCCTTTTCATAAAATATTTATCGCCATCTCTGATCAGAGAAATGCTATTTTACTCATTAAATTTTAGATGTATGATTTTACTCTGTACTAAACAAGATAAACTTAGAATTCAGAATTCCAAATTTTTTATTTTAATATTGGTATTGACCAATATGGGTGTATCCACAAGAATGATACTTGTGGATAAAGTAATGAGCAAGGTCTGAAAATGATGTCTTCAGAAAACTGATTAAAGGAGCTATCCTTTGTGTTTTAAAAAAGGAACACAGTATAAGGAATTATATTTAATTGCATTTCCACTACCCTATGTTATTACCTTTTCATCAAGACAAACAATTAATGATTTAATATTTTCAATTTTAGAAGCTTTATACTTAAGGGTGTTTTGCTCTTATATTTAAGGCTGTTTTGCATCAACACTTGAATTGACTATTAAAATCCATTTATAGTGCAAGAGGCATGAGAGGAAGTAACGTGGCACTGACAGTAAGTTATTAAAATATATTTATTAATCTACGGTTTGGTCTGTTGATGTTCATTTTTATGTGTGGACTGAGTTTCTGTGTTTATGTATTTGAGTGTTTTGAGTGTGTGTGTGTGTGTGTGTGTGTGTGTTTGTATGTGTGCATGTTTGCCTTTTAGTTAATTTGTCATCCAAGCACTTCTGCCCAGGAGTTAGTCCAGCTGCAAAGCTTGAGGACACAATCCTTTGCAGACTGTCTTCACTCCTGACACCAATTGCAGTCCTGAAGGTCACTGTTAGGTTTGATAACTTGTTAGAAGGACTCAGAATTCATTGAAAGCAACTGTACTTAAAGTTACAGATTATTGTAGGGAAGAATACAGACTAAAATCAGCCAAAGGAAGAGTCATATAGGGCAGAGCTTGGTAGGGTTCCGAGTGTGAGGCTTCCATCCTTTTTCTGGTGGAAGCAGGATGGGCATTACCTTCCGAGCACTGATTTGTGACAATATGCGCAGAGTATTGCCAACAAGTAAAACTTATTCAAGCCTCTGTGTTCAGATATTTCTTTAAAGGTCCATTATATAGGTATGATTGATTGATCGATTACCCCGTGGTTGAACTCAGGTCAACTGATATGGTCTGACCCAAAGCCTCCTCCCTAAATCACATGGATGGTTCTTCTGGCATGTCTGTGCTACAACCTAAGATTGTTGGGTGTGACCAGTTCCCAACCTAAGCAAAGACACTTGTATCACGTATAACATGGACACCTCCCAGAAGCTGAATACAAAGGCAATACCTTTCTTTGGGCAAGACAAAATCTTATACTACATAGTTTTATAAAGCAGAAAGATTAAATAAAAAGATAGCCAGTATGGATCCTAGTATATAAGAACAACATAGGGGCCAGGTGCAGTGGCTCACGCCTGTAATCCGAACACTCTGGGAGGCCGAGATTGGCGGATCGGTTGAGACCAGGAGTTCAAGACCAGCCTGGCCAACATGGTGAAACCCGTCTCTACTGAAAATACAAAAATTAGCTGGGCGTGGTGGCATGCACCTGTAATCCCAGATACTCGGGAGGCTGATGCAAGAGAATCTCTTGAACTCGGGAGGCATAGGTTGTAGTGAACTGAGATTACACCACTGCACTCCAGCCTGGGCCACAGAGCAACACTCTGTGTCAGAAAAAAAAAAGTCCCCCCCAAAAAAATAGAAAAAAAGTGATAATTTTGTAAAATGTATAATAAGTATTATTTATCATCAGTGGTGTAAATGTTCAGGATTTATAAATAGTTATTAATTATGAACAATTGAGAACCAAACTAAATTTGAAACCAAATTAGGAAGTAAATAACCTTTCTGGAAGTAAAATGTTGATAGAGAAGGCAAATTGCTTCCAGGTGTTTTCAAGCAATCTCTGTTCAATTATGAATAATGGATAAAATGTGCTTAATAAACAATGCTATTTTATTAAAAGCATACCTCGCATCATCATAATGCTAGAATAATAAAATGTATTTATATTTCTAATAATCTGTTAACATTTTTTCATCAGAGGTTACTTTCCTAGTGTATGAGAAGAATTTTTTTTTTTAAGGATAACTATTTACAATGAATAACTAAAGAGCCAAGTAAAGCTCAAGATTGTATAAGTTATAGTTATTGGGGAATGAAGTATACAATTTCAGTACTTTTGGTTGAAAATGTTTTCACATCACTCATTTTCACTTGTCAATATTAAATGATATGTAAGCGATTAGGTTTAGTCGAGGCATATTGCTATGCTATTAATCAACTTCATGCAAGCCTCAGGAATCATCAGGGGAGACATGGATGCTATTTTTGCTCACAATTCATTTTGTAGCACTGAGCTCAAAATTTAATTTCTCTGCATATCAAAGTGAAACAATTTACACAGCTGTGCTCATTTTATAGGAGCTTTTGGCAAAGTGCAAATAAGTATATGATTACTGGAGAACTCCGGTCTCTATCAAATTACTATGAAGTAGTACCAACAAATGATCTGAATGATAGAATATTCTATTCTTGAGTGAAAAACATTATACAAATAAAAGTCACTACATTATACTATTCTAATGCATAATAAATTTAAGCATAAATGATTTCTACCAACTGTTACAGTATATAAATTACTAGTTAATTGTTCTGAAGCATTTCATTGTAACAAACATGGAGCTGCCAATAATTGTCCCCTTATGGGAAGAAGAAAACTGAGATTTAAAAAAAAATTGTTCAAAACTTAACTAATCACTTGAATGGTGAATAGTCCTGAACGTCTTCTGGTAACATTGGTAGATTTTAATCTACATTTTATTTTTGCTTTTGAATAAAAATATAGATTTAATTTTACTGTGGACATTTTAACAATTTAGCCACCTCCAAATTTAAAATTCCAAATTAGATTTACTACAGATTATTATCACTCGTTTCTTTCTTTTGCTTATGTTCATATTGTGGATAGATTTTAATTGAGAATTTCTTAAGCAGTGTCAGTGGAAGCAGTTTTATTGTCGTGTTGTGTACCTCAACTATTGAAAGTATCTGCTAGTTTTGATCTTTTGACAGAAAGAGTGTATTGTTAGGCGTAGCTTTTATTACTAAATCATGAAATTATGAGTTGGAAGCCATTATTCTCCTCCTAGTGAGACCATACAACTGTGCAATTTTCTGAGTCCATGACAAAATGCTAACCTATAATCAAGTCTCTTTTTGTATTTCAACCTTTGGATGGGATCCAAGAGAGTCTTATCCTGAATTCTGTGTTATTACAGATAGTGATCTAGCTAAGTTCTAGCCAAGTGATCTAGCTAGTGTATTGAAGGCACAAAATATTTGAACATTAACTTTTAATTTTAGGAGTTTATTATAAAACACAGTTGTATTAACTATTTTGTTTCTCTTGCAAACATTAGGGAAAATGACCAAGTTTTAGTTTCAGTGAATGAAGGAATTTCATATTTTTCCCTTAGAAACATTCCAGTATGAGAGGAGAAAAACTGATTAACTATTGTTGTAAGTTGGGAAATGTTCTCACAGACATCATTAACTTTTTCCATAAAAAGTATTGTTTTCATGTGTACCATTTAGTAGATATAAAATTTCCAAATAATTTAAATGTCCAAGCCATAGATGACTAAACTTTGCTGCTTTGACTCTTAAGACACAAATGACAAAAAGATGATACTAGAGACTATTAAGGCAAATTATCCAGTGACAGCTGGTATTGCTCTTTAATAAGTGTTCTCTTTGATAATAGAATGGACAAGTCAGTACTTAAAAATAAAAGTTGTTTTCTAAGTCCCAAGATGAGCATAATATTTCTTTTCTTTCTGAAAACTATAAGATCTTCTTTACATTCTATAAAAGATTTAAATAATCCTCAGGAAATGACCTTTCTAAGGCAGAGGATGTCTTCACTTTTATTATTCTGTATCTTGATGCTCCTGTCAAACTATGTGACATTTCCACAGAACTTTAAATAGAAATATGAAAGGACAGAAAAGGAAGTACATTCATAATAATAAAAAATGTCTGGCCATATGACCCCAATAAGACAAGTTAAATATATTACCACTACTTATTTCATATTGAAGGACCAGATGGTAGCCAGACAAAATCATTGAGGATAAAGCCTAATTCAGAGTGTGTGTTCTGATACTTGCACTGTAATCCCATAATCCTTTAAAGAAACAATCAATGATCTCTTGCTTCTGTATTTTCTAGCTGTGTCTTACGCGGGGTGTGTGTGTGTGTGTGTGTGTGTGTGTGTGTGTGGGTGTGTGTGTGTTCTAATCCATATATGATTATTCAATAACTAGAAGCTTGATGTTTATACCTTTTTGTGTTTAATCAGATTAGTAAGCACATTGCTATAACCAGCAAAGTAACATTTGACATATTATCCAAGAAAAATTTGTATTTTATTATCTATCTGGATCTAGGAGCCTTACTATAAATTATTTTTAATCTTTGATCTTGCTTTTTAATAAATCACACAATGTTCAAAGACTCCTATTTTCTAATGTGTAACTAGACATTAGCAGAACCTCAAAAATAAAAGGAGATAAAAGGAGTGGTTAACAATTTTTTGAAAATGTGTAACAAATGTTAACATGTTTCTTTACCTGTTTCCTGTATATGTTTGCAATACTTCTCAGAACATTTTTTTCTTGTTAAAGAATATCATGGATTTTCAAGAGGAGAATAGAAACTGTAGCAGAATTTTTAAACAAATTTTACTATGAAGATTTTAGTTTTCATTAAATGCTCATGATTTATATCTAGTAATTTATTTAAGAAATACTAAATGAGTACTTGAATTTCTATAGTAAACAAAGCTTTACAAGTCCTACTCTCACAGTAAACTAGTCTCTTATGACTAATATTCCATAGAAACTTTGTAATAGCTGAGAGGGAGTAAGGGACTATAATAAGTGCTTCATATATGATATCTCATTTAATTTTCAAGACAAACCTAAGAGTTAAGCACTGTTATCCTCATTGAAATTGAAACCTAAGGGAAATGAAGTTAACACATTTCAAGGTCACATGTCTAACAAGTGATAAAGTCTGGATTTGAACCTATGAACTCTTAGGAACATTGTATTATATAGAAGAGTATTCTTTAGTGACAGCCTGTCCTATAAAAGACAAAAGCAAATACTTTGTTGTATACATAAAAATTGGGGCTGTTATTTTAATTTCATAATATGGATAAATTGAATGCTGGGATACTAGTACCAGAAATTTCAGTTCAACTAAATGGGCTGTTGAAGTGCTAGCCTCCTCTATTGTTCTTTCAAATTCTGAGAATTCTTTTTGATTTTATGAAATATTCATGATTCACTTGGTGGTCCCTGCCAGCTGTCTCCTCTGCCATCTGGTTTGGTCCTGCCTAGATAGCTAATTGTGTAGAATATATATAAGTGCCTGTATATAGTTCAATCTGAAAAAAACACAATCTATATGGAAGTCATTTTAGAAGTAGAAGCAATCCATTATCTCATATTGTCTACATATTTTCCTTTCCCACTGGCAAATTACTCAGTAGTTTACTGGATCTTTATTGAGTAGCTATTGCCAACAGAAGATTAAAGTTGATGTAATATTTAGTCTTTCCTATGATAGTACTAGCATTGTATAATTCTAGCCATGAAGAAAAAGATGGATTAGTCACATATTGTCACCTGCCAAGATGAAAAATTATGAGCTTTCCACTTTGTGTTTAAATGTACCTGGAGTTCACTCTGATGAGAAATCATGTTACCCAAGGCAAGTCTTTTTTATTGTCTTCACAAGGATACCCCCCTTTTTTTTTTCCAGTGCAGCTATCCTTTTCTGATATGTGTGGGGGGAGTTCCATTTTCCTTCCACTATCTTGCAAGTATTCCTAGCCCATATAAATGGAGCAAGCCACTAAGAGCTGCTAGCAGAATTGGGGAAAACTACATAGACACAGAAAGTGGAAGTTTGAAATGGTATTAGAACTCAGAGTTGTGTGGACAGATACAAAGAAAAGTGATAACCAAGCAGAGAATTATGAGTGCATGTAATGAGTAATTTTTTGTTCATGTAAAGTACTAAAATCTGTGACTTGGTTTGTTTATGTAGATATAAATGAAAAGAGATTATTGCAAATTTGAGCTTATGCCATGGATATGCTTTCTTTAAAATGAAGGATGGAGTTTACTCTAGCAGTCCAGAAACTGTACTTTGCACAGTCTTTTAAAATCCTTCTCTCTAGTCTGAGAACACATGGGATTCTGTTGCGCATGCTACTATTTTCCAAGCGTCATGGTGGAGAAACAGTTGAAAATTACTCTTCTCAAAGAATCTATTCTGAAATACATCTCATTCCTGCTGGTAGAATCATTATAGAACACAAATTTCAATTCTACCTGAGAAGAGATAGATAAATGACATCTCCCTAAGATTCCTTAAAGCTCTACTCCATCCATCCCTCTTTCCAGCTCACACAGGGCATCCTCACTGATGCATATGAAAGCTGCACTTATTTATTCTCTTCATTAAGATTTGGTTTTCCGTGAGTCCTTCTGCCACTCATTAGCTTCTTCCTGACCATAATATGCCTACCCTGGTGTCCAACCGCTACACTAAATCTTCTGAAAACTGAAACACAGCTGTCACCATGCCCCACGTCAGCAGCTTCCTATCAGCAAACATGTCAGAATCTAACCTTTGCTTCCCTGGTGTTTCAGTTTTTATTAAGTTGCTTATGTTCAAATTAAACTTTATGGCAACAGCTGTCTCAGTTGTCGAATCAAAATTATGCTACTCTTATTTGATTTTTTCCATCAACCCTTCTTGTTTCTATCCAGTCTGTAAAGTAAATATAAATTCTTAGTAACTCTGCTTCTTTTTATTTGACTCTAGTTTTCTATTTCCTTCTTCATAATTTATGGAATAATCAGCATGATTCTCCCATTTTGAATCTGAGGACACAATAATAAACCAGAGAGAAGAAAAAAAAATACAACCCTTCTCATACATTCATATATGGCACTGCTAGCTAGTACCATCCTAAGAAGCCATGTTCTCCACTCTTTACTACTATTTTACTTTAATAATATTAATTTCAATATTATATTACTCATTTTTCCTTTCACCATAACATACTATACTCTGTACTTTACATAATAGTAACATACTTCTACAGCAAATTACAACATACACACACGCGCGCACCCCCCCCCACCCCAGAATATTCAGTCCCAACACTTTTTGGCATATATAGTTCCCTTACCCTACTAAATATAGCAGTTTATTAGTAAGGAAGATGTCCCCTTCTGAGGCCCTTAACAGTTTTATATTATTATATTTTGAATTAACTTAATCCAGGTTAAATTGCTTTGCACATAGAAGCAACATAGTAGTTGCCTTTCACATAGTTGTAAGTTTCACTGTCATTCCCTTCCCTTCAAGATCAGGGAGGCATTGTTCTAACTTTTTGTTAGTCTTATGCATATTTAGGAGCTTAATTAAACAAAAACGGTGAGATACAGGAGTGTTGCTCCTTAAAATGATTTTCTATTTTCGTATCACCAAGGTAAATTCCTTCTCAATATTTCAATGTGGTGAGTGACGCGTGGCTGCATCTGACTTCAGAAAAACTCAGAACACAGGCCTTCTGCCCTCTGCATAAAGGAGGAATACCTATAAAGCTGCTCCGTGGTTTCTGATAAAGAGTAGCTCTTGTGGATATCATGAATAAATAGTGAATAACAACATTCTGTACATTAGACATTTTTGTGTCGAATTCTCAGTTATGCTCTGGCAGGGCAAATCACAAAATATTTTGTGACAGTGCTTCAGCATTAACCAAGAGGACTCATTCATCACATGGACAAACAAACCAGTGATGAAAATCCCAGCCCTGTTTGCTTGACCAGTGTGATCCCAAAGAGTCACCGTGGGCATATTAGTGTTCATCATTTACTTGAGAGAACTGTCATTTGAAAATAAGTTTTCTGTCAATAAATTTATTAAAATAAGTGGAGGTAAATGCACATTCTATGTTACGTGTTTTAGTGTCACTATCATGAACTGTTATTACTACCAATATGCAGACACATACATACACACATGCATACCTACATGCCTACCTACATAAAACTGGTACAGAGTTGTGAGTGTCACTGTAATGACATGAAATTGAGCTAGGGCCACTTTGAATAAATGTGAAAAGTTGCCTTCATGAGTTATAAAGTCCATCTCTCAGAATGGTCATGAAAATCAATAAGCATTGTTAACCAAGCTTTCTAAGTAATTTCTGATAGAAAATCAGACACACTTGGCAGGTTATGCTAAAAAGTGTAGAATAAGTTACTCAGTTCTACTGACTTCAATAATTAAATCAGTCCTAGGCAATAAAATATAGCTTACTCTTGATGCTTTGGGACAAACAATTTGCCAGTGTGTTTATAAGACAGCATGCTAAGCAGCTAGTTGTGTCTTTTGGGTAGTTGATTTCTGTTGAAACTAATTTCCTTAAGACATTTATCTTTTGGAAATTTCATCAATAGCCTGTTTGAGACTATCTGGAATCCAGCAGAGTTAATTATGAATTTAATCAGCCTGTACATGAGAATCAGAAAGATCTTACATCAGTATTTTGGGGGAATATGATTGGGATATTCTGGGATCAGTGTTGGCAGATGCCCAGGTTGTCAGCCTTCAATATTGTTTTCCCATTTCATGTGGTCTTTAGTGTTGAGCAAATCACCCTGGTGCTTTATAATTAAAGGGAGTAGCTTTACCTCAGAAAGAATTCCTGAAGAGGCTTTGTTGGTATAAATAATAAAGGCACAGATGTAGAGGTAGCTGATAAAACTTCTTGTACAAAGGGCTTCTGTATCCATATGTGCATAATTGAGTTCTGCGTGTGACACTGTTCTTGAATTGAGAACAATTGATATATTTGTGCCATCTGTTATGTTGTGTCTGTGCCAAGTGCCAACACTATAAGCAAAAAAACAGTGGTCTGTGAGCACTGTAGTATACTAGTTACTACCTTCCCTTGGAACTTGATATTTTAGCAAGATTCCTCAGGCTGTCAAGGCTAACAAACTACAATGGCACTTTTTTGGTAGGCAAAGATAACACTCCTTATGTTTGCCTCTTGCTGAATCACATTCTTACAGCAACCTTTGAAACCTTAGAAGTCTTGAGGTTTTGTGTCTTTTTCCTAGAAAAAAAATGACTCAGTTGTAAATCGCTAATGGTGACTCTCAATAAGGTGAATAAGGCATTATTAATGCAGGAAGAAAAGTTGAAGAGGTCTGTGATTCTTAACATTCTTTTCACTTGATTAACCTGTTCATTGAAATTATGTAAGGTCCGTAAAAGTGTTCTTTGACTTTGCTTTGTGTTATTTTCATGATCAGTAGATGTTACCGTCCTGAATGTGCAACTCACTAATGCTCGACTTTATCAGCTCCACAGTAAACCATTCAAGCAAAGGTTTGCTCAGTTGTCAGGATAAGTGCCATATTCTATTGCTTAATTTTGAGAGCAGATTTTTCTACTGTTGTTTGGATTCTTTTTAAGTACGTAATATCTTTTTGACAGCACAGTATTTGGGGTAGCAGTAACTCAGGTAAGAAATAAGTATGCCCCCACAAAATTTACTCTTCTCCAAAAAATTGATAAAGCAATTCAGCATCCCATGGGACATAAAAACTTACATGTATGATTACATATAAATGTGTAATCCACTAGGTTCGGTTCAGTTCTTTTCAACAGACTCCTACATATACTTAAGTACTTGTGCTGGATTCCTTACACAGATGAAACAAATTAGTAGTAGAAAACAAAATTGATACTACTAGATTATCCCTTGCCAAGGTATTATTTTATATTTTTATCACTTCTTTCTAGTCACTTTCACGTTATTTCATTTAATCTTTATAAGAACTCATTGATAAAGACAGGAGAAATCTAAATCTAAGATTCACAAAATGCAAACTAGGAATTGAATCCCACAGAAGGTCAGTAGTTTGGTCCTAGTAACTGAAGCTATCAGCTTGAGCAATGGGAGGAGAGTTCTCTTTCCATGTCTGTAGCTCTACTCTATTCTTCTTTTACTGCTGTCTAATTCTCTTCTGAAGATTTAAGGGAGAAAATGAATATGAAAAAAATGTACTGATATTTAAAGAACAATTACTAGTTAAAAGTATTTTAAGGGAAATTCAGCAAGTGCCTACTTAGAAATTTCAGGATTAAGTATAATTTAGAATGACTGTTATTAGGTCCAAGCTTAAGTTTTGCCACTGTTAGCAAAACTAGGTGTTAAATATGAAAGGGCAAAGTGGAAAATTAAGTATAAATTTTGTATTTTTTCTTAACAGAAAATTAGAACGTGGAAGTAATTGTTAATTCTTTTGCAAATTGGCAATTCCAACTAACTATTCATCTATCAGTACTTTGATATGATTACCAGAACACATCTAGTTAAATAGTTAAGGACAAACTGTAGTACTATAAATCCATTGTGTAAGATTATAACTGTGGAATTGATGGACAAGGTAAGTATTCTTGAGAAATGTAATGGGGACAGCTGGATACAAGAATCCACTGGAAACCACTATCATGATTTTGATATAATTGCACTGATTTTCTAGTTAGAGATGGTGTGAGCAGAAAGCATCTATTTTCTAATTGGAAATAGTATGGGTGCTTTGATTATATAAAATATAATCAAAAATAGAATTACATAAAATATACAAAATATAATTGAAACACTCATAATATTTCCAATTAGAAAATACTTTCTGCCCACACACAAGTAAAAATAAAATGAATGCTTCCGTATTTGTATGACAAATAGGAATACTTCTACTGAACATTATTAAGGAAGAGGAAGTGAAGCAGTTTGAGGAAGTAGAAATTTACACCAGATACTCATTTGGAATACCAGGAAAATGAAATACTGAGTATATGATTTTCTGTGTTTGATAACATAAGTAAAGAAGCAAGACTGATGATGCAGATGTAGAGACTGGTACATATGCCCTGGGGGTTGGAATCTAGAGTTCTGAGATATCCAGTGGAATCATGTAAAATATTTGACGTATCTTTATTCAAGTAATATAACTATGTTTTATTACTAATATACTTACAGCACTATATTTGCACTTGTAACATCAATCAGATTAGTTATAATTAATATATAAATATACTTGTAATATTCTATTCATGTTAATTATAATATTAATTCTATGCACTTAAATAAATATTCAAACTAATTTTATTGAGAGTCCCAATAAGTATTAGGAGGTTAGCAGTTTGTCAGATGGAGAAGAGAATTAATCAAAATTCTCACTGTCTCCCATCTGTTTTGAATGGCAAAGACAAGAAATATGTTAGTGAAAAGTTACCACACAGCTGAAACTATTCTCTTTTAATGTGTGAAGTGCCAAAAAATTTAAATTTTGACACTTTCAGCACCTTGATATTACTGAAAACCAGGTCTGCAACCAGGAAGATATTGAAATTCATCCCTACAGAGCAAGGAGACTAAACAAATTAAACAAGTTCTCAAATGTATGTCATTTAATTTTTAATTCTCCAGTGGCACTTGGGATATCTCAACTTTTGGTAGGAATTTTTTTGATGATGCTTTGCTGGAAGCACACTTAAAGGCATTATTTTATTAATAGAATATTTCGGTTGACAGAGAAAAGCCAATTGAAGATTCTGTTAATTTCAAATTTATAAGTCATAAAATATAACTGTGAAGAAAATTTCAGAAAATTTTATTTAAAAATTAAAAATAATATGACCACATTAGAAAATATATTTATCAGAAAAATATTAATGAGAATATTAGAGAGATTCAGCTAAGCCACTGAATAAGGTACATGATTATTTGCCAAAAACAGTTTTGTTTATTTTATTTGTAATGCTCCTTTAACCAATACAATGTAATTTAGAATATTTCTTTAGGAGTGTGCATAGATATGGGCTATATTTTACTCTTTGAAAATATTTTTGCATCAGTTTTTTTATCAATAAACGTAATCCAGCATATTAACAGAACCAAAGACAAAAACCACATGATTATCTCAATAGATGCAGAAAAGGCCTTTGACAAAATTCAACAACCCTTCATGCTAAAAACTCTCAATAAATTAGGTATTGATGGGACGTATCTCAAAATAATAAGAGCTATCTACAACAAACCCACAGCCAATATCATACTGAATGGGCAAAAACTAGAAGCATTCCCTTTGAAAACTGGCACAAGACACGGATGCCCTCTCTGACCACTCCTATTCAACATAGTGTTGGAAGTTCTGGCCAGGGCAATCAGGCAGGAGAAGGAAATAAAGGGTATTCAATTAGGAAAAGGGGAAGTCAAATTGTCCCTGGTTGCAGATGACATGATTTTTTTTTTTTTTTTTTTTTTTTTTTTTTTGATGGAGTCTCCCTCTGTCACCAGGCTGGAGTGCAGTGGCGTGATCTCGGCTCATTGCAACCTCCACCTCCCAGGTTCAAGTGATTCTCCTGTCTCAGCCTCCCAAGTAGCTGGAATTACAAGCATGTGCCACCACACCCAGCTAATTTTTATATTTTTAGCGGAGACGGGGTTTCACCATGTTGGCCAGGATGGTCTCTATCTCCTGACCTCGTGATCTGCCTGCCTCAGCCCCACAAAGTACTGGGATTACAGGCATGAGCCACCATGCCCAGCCAGCATTTGTTTTTTAAAGGAACTAATTTTTGGTTATACCAATATATTAAAACTAATTTGTCCATCTGTAAATAAATATTTTTATTTTAATATATACCATTTTAATAATACTACTTTTACACCATTTTAATCATAGTATAATACTATTTTAATAATTTATGGACCTCCTTTACACAGTTTGGAAGATAAATTATACGGTTACCATACTAGTCTTTTCATGTTAGTACTCGTATGATATGGTGTCTTTTATTGTGGTCACTTGTGTACATAGCTGAAACACTGAGGAAAATTGAAAAGTTCTTGTTACAACACTTGTATGTGACATCACTCAAATACTATGTCTGAAAGAGTATTTAATATTTAGGTGATGCTCAAATACTTATGAATGTATGATTGGACTCATAAATCCGATTATATGCATATCACATATTGCTCAACTTCTGAAGCTCTAAGTTGAACTGATGATATCCTCCTATCCATCACTTCTGTCAGTATGCTTTTGGTTTGTCACCCTGTGATTTTGTTTGTAGAATCATTCACCTCTGTGGCCAGTCCATATCTTTTAGTTAACCAAGACCCATGTATATTAAAAATGCAGACTCAGAAAGTGTACAGTGCTCTGATTTTTAGTCCCAGCCCCTCTCTACTGTGAATGCTACCTTCTCACAATTTTCTCGACTTCTTTCTCTCTGTGTGATCAAAAGCTTGTTTACAAAACAGGTCATGATAACCTGGATCACTTCATCTTACAGTGATGCGCTCTTCTTGTGAAAACTTACAGTACTGGAACTCTATATCACTCTTTTCACACCTACCACTTGACATTCTTAAACTATTAAACTTATCTATTGTATTATTTAAAGGTTCATATATTTACGCCTTATCTTCTTTAACTTAGCCATAAGCCCTATGAAAAGAGGGACTTTGTATTATTTCTCAAAATGCCTGAAATGCTGACTTGCATACAGTAGTAATAAAAGCATAAATTTATATTTTATATCCTAGTACAGACTTTTTTTTTTCTTGGAGATGGAGTCTCCCTCTGTCACCCAGGCTGGAGTGCAGTGGTGCTATCTCTGCTCACTGCAACCTCTGCCTTCTGGGTTCAAGTGATTCTCCTACCTCAGCCTCCTGAGT
Organism: Homo sapiens; assembly: GCF_000001405.40. Taxonomy (NCBI): domain Eukaryota; kingdom Metazoa; phylum Chordata; class Mammalia; order Primates; family Hominidae; genus Homo; species Homo sapiens. The sequence continues at coordinate 46,981,292 of NC_000014.9, read as the reverse complement.
AGCTGGGATTACAGGCGCATACCACCACAGCCAGCTAGTTTTTGTATTTTTAGTAGAGACGGGGTTTCACCATGTTGGTCAGGCTAGCCTCGAACTCCTGACCTCATGATCCGCCCCCCCCTTGGCCTCCCAAAGTGCTGGGATTACAGGCATGAGCCACCGCGCCAGGCCCAGACTCTTAAAAAGTCTCTTGAAAGGAGTCTTCAATCTCAATAGATATTTATTTATTGTCATAAATATATGCTGTTATCCAGAGACAAATAATAAAGGCTTTTTAAAGTCAAAGATGGTCAAAAGTCAGAATTTGAAACACAGGTATTCCTCAAAGATATTGGGAGTTCAGTTCCAGACTACTGCAATAAAGCAAATTCTGAAATGAGGCAAGTCACACAATTTTTTGGTTTCCTAGTGAATATTAAATTTATAGTTACATTATATTGTTGTCTATTAAGTGTGCAATAGCATTATGTCTAAAAAGTGTACATAGCTGAACTAAAAATACTTTATTGTTAAAAAATGTTTGCAATCATCTGAACCTTTAGTGAGTCATAGTATTTTTGCTGGTGGAGGGTCTTGCCTTGATGTTTATGGCTGCTGACTCAATGCGGTGGTGGTTACTGAAGGCTGTGGCAATTTCTTAAGATAAAACAACAGTGAAGTTTGCCACATTGATTAACTCATCATTTCATTTCATGAAAGATTTATCTGTAGCATGTCATGATGTTTGATAGCATTTTGCCCACAGTAAAACTTCTTTCAAAATTGGAGTCAATCCTCTCAAACCCTGCCACTGCTTTATCAATGAACATTATGTAATGTTCTAAATCCTTCGTGGTAATTTCAACAATGTTCACGGCATCTTCACTAGAAGTAGATTCTATCTCAAGAAACCACTATCTTTGCTTCTCCATAAAAAACAACTCTTCATCCACTGAAATTATTCTGTGAGATTGCAGCAGTTCAGTCACATCTTCAGGCTCCACTTCTAATTTTAGTTATCTTGCTATTTCCAGCACATCTGCAGTGATTTCCTCAACTGAAGTCTTGATCCTCTCTAAGTTTTCCATGAGTGTTGGGATCAACTTTTTCCAAACTCCTGTTAGTGTTGATATTTTGACCTCCTCCTATTAATCACAAATGTAGATTGTAGCATAATTCATAATGTTGATTTAGCATAATTCTTAAGGGCCCTAGGATTTTGGAATGGCAATTGAGCATTGACTTACACTTACACTAATGCACTTAAACCAGCTACAGTAGCCCCTAACAGTATAATCAATCTGTAATTTGAAGGTTTGAAGCCATGCATTGACTTCTCCTCTTTAGCTATGAAAGGTTTAAATGGCATCTTCTTCCAATAGAAGGCTGTTTCATCTACATTGAAAATCTGTTGTTTGGTGTAGCCACCTTTATCAATAACCTTACCTAGATCTTCCGGATAACTTGCTGCAGCTTCTACATCAGCACTTGCTGCTTCATCTTGCACTTTTAAGTTATCATGATGGCTTCTTACCTTTAACACCATCAATCAACCTTTGATAGCTTCAAACTTTTCTTCTGCAGCTTCCTCACATCTGTCATCCTTGATACCATTAAAGAAAGTTAGGACCCTGCTGTAAATTAGGGTTTGGGTTAAGGGCATATTGTGGCTGGTTTGATCTATTCAGACTGCTAAAATTTTCTCCATATCAGCAATAAAGTTGCTTTGCCTTTTTATCATTTTTGTGTTCCCTGGAGTAGCACTTTTAATTTTCTTCATGAACTTTTTCTTTGCTTTCACAAGTGGGCGATTTGGAGCAAAAGGCTTAGCTATTGGCTTATCTCAGCTTTCAATATGATTTCCTTAGTAAGTTTAATCATTTTAATCTTTTGATTTAAAGTGAGAGATGTGTAACTCTTCCTTTCATGTGAACACTTAAAGGCCATTGTAGGGTTGTTAATTGGCCTAATTTCAACACTGTTGTGTCTCAGGGAAGAGGAAGGCTTAAGGAGAAGGAGAATATGAGAGACGGGGAAGCAGCTGGTTGGTAGAGCAGTCAGAACACACACAACACATATTAAGTTTGTCATATGTGCGCAGTTCCCGGTATTCCAAAACAATAATAGAAATAACAATAGTAAGATCACTGAAAAAAAGGTTACTATTTTGGATATAATAATAAAGAAAAAGTTGGAAATATTTTAAGAATGACCAAAATGTCACACAGAGACACAAAGTGAGTACTATGCTGTTGGAAAAATGGCACTAATAAATTTGCTCAATGCAGGGTTGGCACAGATCTTCAATTTGTAAAAAATTCATTGTCTGTGAAACACAATAAAGTGTAGCACAATAAAACAAGGTATGTTTTTACATAGTTACAATGTTGAATAGCAACCTGTGTTTACATGAGCAGTCAATTCATCTATATATTGAAAGTCTATGAAATGACCTTTTTGCAAACTCAGTATCTAAGAAAAATGTAGTTACCATAATACTGAATGTGAATGGAGATATAAATATTATCTTGCCTCTCTGAGTCATTCAGGAAAGATTTAGCATTTTTTATAATAGGGATTCTATAGTATTTTCTCAATGTGTCTAAATGCAGCAACTATGACTTGGCAGAGGCAATGATAACAGTCTTTTTCCTGTTAACAACAATAATCTCCAAAAGCTGAAACTTCATATTTACAGTTATTTGATATAAAGGAATTTATGGCACATTAAAAAGTGCATTGCTTCTTCTCTCAGTACCTGTATGTGAAATATAGTGAAAATATATATTTTTATAGTTGTTGACTATTTTGAAGTATATCATGAGAGCATCCACTATAATGCCTGGTAATTAATATCAGCAGCAAAACACATTACTGTCTAAATTAATGCCCATATTCTTTATTTCATTTCTTCATTTAATTCAGCACTTCAATATTAGCATATATGTTAAATATCTTCCTTAAATTATAATAAATGAAGAAGCCAATTTTGAAACCTAATTACAGTGATGTATTAAAACATTTTCTAAATATGAATGGTTCCTAACATATTTTTCATCTGAATGTTTATCTTTGTTATAATAGACAAAAGAGTAAATTAAGACAATGTGATCACTATGCTTGATATGACACAATTTTACAGCTACTGGAATTATAATCATTTTAGTTTTATTTTCTTGCTTTGTTTTGTTTTGTTTGTTGTTTTGTTGAAACTATTATACCTAGAACATAATGAATGTCTTTAATCCTCAAGAAAAATAAAATGAGAAACATACTTGTTCAATATAAAGATACTCTGAAAAAAACTGTTAAGCCATAAGCAAAAACTGGAAAGAAAACAACCTCTACTCACTCTCATTTTTGGAGATGAAATTTATTTTTATAGTCCCTTACTACTGAGACTAAAGCAACACATTATCTACTTTTTTGGCCTAAGATGAGCCTTCACAATTTCTCCAGCAAGATTTTCAAGGATATTTTTTTTACCGAGTCCCCCTACATTATCTCCCCAATTTCTGCTGTTGTGAAAAAATTCTTTATTTCTGAAAAGTTTTATACCTACTAAGTTTACTACCATGTTATTGATCAATATTATATCTGTAACTGGTTTATAAAAGATGATCAATTTATATTGCATTTGTCAAACTATTTGTCTTCTTAAGTAAAATTCTGACTTAATTAGAACTATCAGCATATAAAATGGTTAGTTATAATAGACTTCCTGGTGCAAACGGCAACATTTTAACTACATTTCTGGGAGGCCAATATTTGCCTAATTGTGGCTATTATCAAATGACCATTTCATATTTGGATGTAAAAATGTGGACAATAATAAAATAGATTGTCTAATTGTGATTACTTACTAATATAGTTAGGGTTACTTATTCTAGAAAATGAAGTCTCTGTTTTCATCTTTTATTTTTTTTCTTGCATTAATGTTTGTCAGTCCTTGTGACAGGAAAAAAATATTAGAAATTTAACCTCTTCTTATTTCAACCCCTCCCATTCATATCATCCTTTAAGAAAAAAGTGAGGGCCTTGAATCCTAGAATGACTAGTGAAAGTGTTTTAAAAAAAAAGAGAAGAAATTTGAAAATCGGCTTTTTTTCTGATATGAAATTTCTAGAGTTAATTTTTAATCTTGGAGCTTGATGATACATATGTCATATAGTCATGTGTACTCTAATATGGTATATTTTTTTATGAAGCATAACTGTAAATATCTATTTTATAAAGCAAAACTGTAAATAATAAAGAATTGAGAATTTGGTCTCCATGTCATTAGTAACATAATTTGGATAAACAATCTTTTTTGACTTCTGTCTTAAATTCCATGAGAATGATGAAGTTTGAATAATATAAAATGGTATGTTTACATTCCAAGGCATGAACTTGTTAAAATTACAATTAATCTGCAATTATCTACTCATTAGTTTCAATAATGGTGCATATAATTTGAGAGCAGATGAGTAAGAAAAGCACAGTTCCTTTCTATCTGTGAGATTATATTCCTGAAGACTCAATTCTAGAAGAATTACTTTTAGAAAAATATGAGAAAAAAAGTATGTTAAATAACTGAAGAAGTGTCTGAACGAATGAACGATCTTGACAGTCATTAAATAAAACAATGAAGACAGCAAACTCAATTCAATATCAAATTAATAACGTTATATGTACCAATAACGGATATGATAGCTTCATTTTGGGATCAACCTTTTTATATTTTCAAAGAATTATTCATAGATTGGTTTTTATGCATGCTAGATAATGTAAAATAAAAGCAAATTTCTGCCTGAATGTCTAACTAACTGTTAGAAAAAACAGCTCTAACCAAGCTGTTTTCTTATTTCCTGATTCACAAGTATGAAGTCACATCAAATAGTATCATTTGTTCTAGAGGTAAAGAATGATGTCTCTGTCCTTTTTCAGTTCTATTTTTTAAACTTTACAGTAATGTTGGTTCAATTTCTGTAACAGTGGTTCATTGATGTTCTGTTTTGTTCTTTTTTGTTTTGTTCTAAGCCACTGTGTTTTTGTTTTTTGTTTGTTTTAAGCCACTGACTTCATTTTTGTTATTGTGGTAAAATACACATAATATAAAATTTGCCATCTCAAATATTTTTAAGCATATGGTTTAGTGGAATTAATACATTCCTAATGTTGTGTATCCAACACTGTCATCCATCTTCATAACACTTTTCATCTTGTAGAACTGAAACTCTCAATATATTAAACAATAACTCTCCATTTTCTCTGAAAATTATTCCACCATTTTCTCTGAAAATAAATCACCATTTTCTCTGAAAATAAACCACCAACGTGGTTAGGTATTAGAAGGTTGATCCTTTTGGGAGGTGGTTAGGTCATGAGGTCAGAGCTGTAAAGAATCGGATTAGTGCCTGTATAAAAGAGGTTCAAGATTGTTGTCTTGCTCCTTCCACATGCGAGGACATAGCAAGAAGCCTTATGTCTGAACCAGGAAACTGGCCCCCCTCAGACACTGAATCTGCTGGTTTCCTGATCTTGAACTTCCCTGCCTTTAGAACTCTGAGAAATAAATATTTATAAGCCACTCAATTTATGGTATTTTTTAATAGTAACTCAAACGTACTAAGATATCTCCTCCCCCAGCCTCTGGCAACCACTATTTTATTTTTGTCTCTAAAAGTTTAACTTCTCTAAGTACTCTATGTGAGTGAAATCATAAAGTATTTGTCTTTTTGTTACTAGTTTATGTCACCTAGCATAATGTCCTCAAAGTTCATCCATGTTGTAGCATATGTCAGAATTTCATTCCCCTTAAAAGCTGATTGATATTCTATTGTATGCATAGACCTCATTTTGCTTATCCATTCATCTGTTGATGAATACTTGCTTTGATCCCATCTTTTAGGTGTTGTGAATAATGCCGATATGAACCTGGCTGTACAAATATATCTTTGAGACTCTGCTTGCAATTAGATATACACTTAGAAGTAGAATCCCTGGATCATGTAGTAATTCGTTTTTTAAAATTGTGAGAAACAACTATACTGTTTTCCACAGTGGCTGTACCATTTTGCATTCCCTCCAACAGTGCTTAAGGGTTCTAATTTCTCTACATTCTCACCAACATTTGTTATTTTCTTTTTTTAAAAAGTAGTAGCTCTTCTAATGGATATTAAATGGCATCTCATTGTAGTTTTAATTAGCATTTTTCTAATGACTAGTGATGTTGAGCATCTTTATGTGCTTATTGGCCATTTGAGTATCACTGGAGAAATATCTGTTCAAGTTCTTTGCCCATTTTTGAATTGAGCTATTGCTTTTTTGTTGAGTTTTAGGAGTTTTTATCCATTCTCCATACTAATTGCTTATCATAAATCTGAGTTGCAAATATTTTCTTTCATTCTGTGGGTTACATTTTTACTCTGTTGCTACTTTAATGCACAACTTGAAAAAAAATACGAATTCCATTTGTTTTCTGTTGTCATCCATGCCTTTAGTGTCATACCCAAAAAATTACTGCCAAATTCCATGTCATGAAGTTTTTGTCCCATGTTTTCTTCTAAGAGTTTTATATTTTTGAATCTTACATTTAGGCCTTTGACCCATTTTAAATTAATTTCTGTACATAGTGATCTAACTTAATTCTTTTGCATGTGAATATCCAGTTTTCACAACACCATTTGTTGAAAAGACTATCTATTCCCCATTGAATGACCTTGCCTCTTTTGTACAAAATAATTTTACCATATATGCAAGGGGTACTTCTGGGTTCTCCATTCTGTTTGATTGATCTATATGTCTATTTTTATGCCAGTACCACGCTGTTTTGATTGCTGGAGCTCTGTAGTGACTTTTGAAATCAAGAAGTGCGAGTCTTCCAGCTTTGTTTTGTTTTTCAAGATTTGTTGTGGCTATTCAGGGTCTCTTGAGATTCATATGAATTTTAGAATGGGTTTTTCTATTTCTGCCAAAAAAAATGCCATTGGGATTTTGATAGGGATTGCGTTGAATCTGCATACGTCTTTGGGTAGTTTTGACGTATTAACAATATTAGGTCTTCCAATTAATGAATATGTGATGTATTTTCATTTATTTATGTCTTGTTTCTTTCAGAAATGTTCTGTAGTTTCCATTGCACATGTCCTTTAATTCCTTGGTTAAATTAACTCCTAAGTATTTAAATGAATTCTTACATATTTTACTACTTTTGATACTATTATAAATGGATTTTTTTTGTAATTTCTTTTTCAAAATGTTTATTGTTAGTGTATAGAAATGCAGCTGATTAGCTGGGTGTGGTGGCTTATGCCTGTCATTCCAGCGTTTTGGGAGGCTGAGGCAGGAGGATCACTTAAGTCCAGGAGTCAGAGGCTGCAGTGAGCTGTAATCATGAATAAAACTGTATCTCCAAAAAAAAAAAAATAACAATAATTTAAAAAGGAAGAAATGCAACTGATTTAGTATGTTGATTTTGTTGCTTTTTTACTTTTCTGATTTCATTTATTTGTTATAACAGCTATTTAACATGGAATCTTCAGGGTTTTCTGCATGGTTTTCTATCATCTGCAAACAGAGGTAATTTTAGTTTGTTCTTTACAATTTGGATGCCATTAGATTGGGGTTTGTTTCATTGTACCTGAAACGTCTTTAGCTGAAACATTCTTTTGCCTTTTAGAAAAAGCTGCCTACGTTTCACTGATACCTACATTTTTAAATGCATATATTCTAAATCTCCATTCATTTTTTTTATTTCAAAGCAGGCTGGGTCCTGTCATGACAGTTTTGCCTTCCATACAGACCTTCCTGCATTGTCTGTTAAACATTGACCAATTATTTGATTAAGGCATGGAGTCCAGGTCAGTGTTTCTCAAAGGGGCTGATCTGCAAGCTTTATGTATAAGCTGCACAATAGGATTATGTTGTTTGTATTAAAATGTAAGTTGATGCACTACTTCCTTTATTGAAAAAGTCTTCCTCAAAAAAATTACCAGCTGAACTTAACTGCACTGTCATGTTGGTTGTTTTTTGTAAACATAAGTTTTCAACTCCTTTGAGTAAATACTAAGGTCTATGATTGCTGGATCACATGGTAAGAATATGTATACTTTTGTAAGAAACTGCCAAAATATTTTCCAAAGTGGCTGTGCCATTTTGCATTTCCACCAGCAACGAATGAAAATTCACATTGCTCTACATCCTTGCCAGCATTTAGTGGTGTCAGTCTTCCAGATTTTGGGCATTCTAGTAGCCGTATCATGGTATTTTATTGTTTTAATTTGCATTTCCTTGATGACATCATGCACAGCATCTCCTCATAAACATAATTTCCATCTGTCTTCTTTGGTGAGGTGTCTGTTAAGGTCTTTGGCCCATTTTAAAAATCAGGTCATTTATTTTCTTATTATTGAGTTTTTAGAGTTTTTGTATGTTTTCAGTAACAATCATTTATTAGTATGTCTTGGCAAATATTTTCTCCCAGTCTGTAGTTTTTCTTTTCATTTTCTTGACTGTGTCTTTGCAGAACAATGAAAAAATAATTTCAATAGAGTCCCGCTTAAAAGTTACTTCTTTCAATAATTATGCCATTGGTGTTGTATCTAAAAAGCTATCACCAAGCCCAAGGTCATCTAGCTTTTTTTCTATGTTAGTTTGTAGGAGTTGTGTAGCTTTGGACTTTGATGTCATGTGATTTGGATTTGGATCTAAACCTGTTATCTGGAATGTGTGGGTTGCTTGAAAATGTAACTTCTCAGATTTAATTTCCTTATCTATAAAAAGGAGATAGTGATAATACTTTACACATTTGTTATAAATATTAAATGAAGTAATAAGTATATGAAATGTGCTAGCACAATTATATACTGAGTTAACCTAAAAAATGTTGGCCATCTCAATCCTTTTTTCTTCTATATACATTCAGACAGATCCTACAAATGGCTCAATATCTTTTCTCAAGTAGATGATTTCCATATAGTTCTCTACTGAATAAATTGGATTTATTTAAAAACTTGATTGGCAGTTCTTTTGTTCTTTCTGACACCAAATACCTGGTGTGTTTTCCACATCAATTCTCCAATTCTCCAGCACTAACTGGGTATTCAACAATTCAGTTTAATTCTCACAGTAAATATCCTGAGTTAGCATACATCCTACAAGTTAAAGGACTCAGCCCCACTAGATTGGCCCCATTTCAAATGCCAGTTACAAATCCCTGTTTGCCATCCATACTTCTAACCTACCAGCTATAGATTCTGAGGTTCCCATGATAACCCCTGCCACCTCAGGTTTGATAGTTGACTAGATGAACTCATGGAACACAAGAAAACATTTTAATTACATTTACAGGTTTATTATACAGTAGGTTTTACTTTCCATTGTTTCAACAACCCAAAGTCAACAGTGTTCCAAAAATACTACAGGATTTAAAACAATTGTACTGATAACAATATATTTTACATATTTATGAGGTACATGTGAGGATGTGTTACATGCATAGAAGGTGGAATGATCAAGTCAGGGTATCTGGGCTATCCATTACCCTGAATATTTATCATTTCTATACATAGCTCTTTTAGCTATTTTTAGCTATTTTTTAACTGTTTACCTCTTTAACTATATACCTGTCTTTTAGCTATTTTTATTATATAATACATTGTTGCTAACTATACTCTCTCTAATCTGCTATCAAGTATTGGGGTTTATGTCTTCTATCTAACTGTATATTTGTACCCACTAATCAACATATCTTTATCCCCTCCTCCCACCCATACACCTTCCAAGCCTCTGATATCTATCTATACTCTATCTCCATAAGATCTAATTTTTTAATCTCTCACATATGAAAGAGAATATGTGGTATTTGTCTTTCTGTGACTGTCTTATCTCACTTAAGATAATGTCCTCCAGTTTCATCCATGCTACTGCATGACATGATTTCATTCATTTTAATTGCTGAATATTACTCCATTGTGTACATATGCTACTTTACCCATTCATCCATTGGTGGACACATAGGTTGATTCTATATCTTTGCTATTGTGAATCATGCTGTGATAAATGTGCAAATTCAGGTACGTATCCCTTTGATATATACATTTCTTTTCCTTTGGATAAATATCCAGTGGAATTGGTAGATTGTGATAGTTCTATTTTTATTTTTTTTGAGTAATTGTCATAATGATTTCTGTAGTGGGTATACTAATTTACTTGCCCACTAGCAGTGTATGAATTGTCTTTTCTCTGCATCCTCACCAGTATCTGTTTTTTTGTGTTTTTGTTTTGTTTTGTTTTTTGTCTTTTTAGTAATAGCCATTCTAACTGGGGTAAGGTAATTGGTAAGGTAATTGTGGTTTTGATTTGCATTTTCCTAATGATTAGTGATGTTGAGCAGTTTTTCAGATACCTGTTGGCCATTTTTTATGTCTTCTTTTGAGAAATATCTATTTATGTCTTTAGGCCACTTTTAATGAGATTTTTAAAAAATTATTGAGTTATTTGGGTTCTTTGTATATTCTAGATATTATCCTTTGTCAGATTAATAGTTTGAAAATATTTTATCCCATTCAGCAGGTTGTCAGTTCATTCTGTTGTTTCCCTTGCTGTGCAGATGCTTTTAAATTTAATATAGTCCCATTTGTCTATTTTTGTTATAGTAGCCGGTGATTTCAATGTCTTAGCCATTAACTCTTTGCCTAGACTGATGTCTTAAAGTGTTTCCCCTATGTTGTTTTCTAGTTGGCTTTATAGTTTTAAATTTTACATATAAGTCTTTATTCCATCTTGGGTTTGTACATGGGTAGAGATAGGCATCCAGTTTTCTTCTTCTGCATATGGGTATTCAGTTTTCCCAGCACCATTTATTGAAGATAGTATCTTTTCCCCATTGTATGTTCTTGGCACTATACAAATTGTCAGTTGGCTGAAAATATGTGGATTTATGTCTGGACTCATTACTCCATTCCATTGATCTAAGTCTGTTTTTATACGACTGCTATACTGTTATTGTTACCATGGCCTTGTATTATATTATATTTTGAAGTTAGGTAATATGATGCCTTTAACTTTCTTTTTGCTTAGGATTGCTTTGGCTATTCTGGCTCTTTTTTGGTTTCATACAAATTCCAGGATTGTTTTTTTCTAATTCTGTGAAAAATGATATTGACATTTTTGTAAGGACTGCTTTGAATCTATAGATTGCTTTGGGCAGTAGAATCATTTTAATGACATCAATTCTTCTTATTCATGAAAATGGAATGTCTTTCCAATTGTTTGTGTCCTCTTTAATTTATTTCATCAGTTCTGTAGTTGCCCTTGCAGAGATCTTTTACTTCCTTTGTTAAATTTATTCCATATATATATATATATATATATATATATATATATATATATATATGGAATACTTTAAGTTCTAAGGTACATGTGCACAACGTGCAGGTTTTTAACATAGGTATACATGTGCCATGTTGGTGTGCTGCACCCATTAACTCATCATTTACATTAGGTATATCTCCTAATGCTATCCCTCCCCCTTCCCCCTACCCCACAACGGGCCCCGGTGTGTGATGTTCCCCTTCCTGTGTCCAAGTGTTCTCCTTGTTCAATTCCCTACCATCAGAGTGAACAGGCAACCTACAGAATGGGAGAAAATTTTTGCGATCTACTTATCTGACAAAGGGCTAATATCCAGAATCTACAATGAACTCAAACAAATTTACAAGAAAAAAACAAACAACCCCATCAACAAGTGGGTGAAGGATATGAACAGACACTTCTCAAAAGAAGACATTTATGCAGCCAACAGACACATGAAACAATGCTCATCATCACTGGCCATCAGAGAAATGCAAATCAAAACCACAATGAGATATCATCTCACACCAGTTAGCATGGTGATCATTAAAAAGTCAAGAAACAACAGGTGCTGGAGAGGATGTGGAGAAATAGGAACACTTTTACACTGTTGGTGGGACTGTAAACTAGTTCAACCCTTGTGGAAGTCAGTGTGGCGATTCCTCTGGGATCTAGAACTGGAAATACCATTTGACCCAGCCATCCCATTACTGGGTATATAGCCAAAGGAATATAAATCATGCTGCTATAAAGACACATGCACATGCATGTTTATTGCGGCAATAGTCACAATAGCAAAGACTTGGAACCAACCCAAATGTCCAACAATGATAGACTGGATTAAGAAAATGTGGCACATATACACCATGGAATACCATGCAGCCATAAAAAATAATGAGTTCATGTCCTTTGTAGGGACATGGATGAAACTGGAAACCATCATTCTCAGCAAACTATTCCAAGGACAATTTATTCCTATATTTTTTCTAGCTATTGCAAGTGGGATTGTTTTCTTGATTTTTTCTCAGCTAGTTCATTATTGGTATATAGAAACACTACTGATTTTTTTGTTTTGATTTTGTATCCTGCAACGTTACTGAATTTATTTATCAAATCTAGGATTTGTTTTTTTTTTTTTTTTAGACAGAGTCTTGCTCTGTTTCCTAGGCTGGAGTGCAGTGGCACGATCTCAGCTCACTGCAACCTCTGCCTCCCAGGTTTAAGCAATTCTCTTGTCTCAGCCTCCCAAGTAGCTGGGACTACAGGCACACACCACCATACCCAACTAATTTTTTTTTTGTATTTTTAGTAGAGATGGGGTTTCACCATGTTGGCCAAGCTGGTCTTGAACTCCTGACTTTGTGATCCACCCACCTTGGCTTCCCAAAGTGCCGGGATTACAGGTGTGAGTCACTGTGCCCGGCCCAAATCTAGGAATTTTTTAAATGAAGTCTTTATATTTTTCTAGATGTAAGATCATGTCATCAGCAAAGAGGGACACTTTGACTTCATTTTTTTAATGTAGATGCTTTTTATTTCTTTTTCTTGCCTAATTGCTCTGCCTCGGACATCCAGTACTATGTTGATGTGCTGCTGAATTCTATGTGGTTATATTTTTTTGGGATTTTTGCATCTACCTTCAGGGATTTTGGCCTGCTGCACTGTAAGCCTGTCTCTGGAGAGGGTGGAACCACTGTCAGTGGGAGCAGCTTAGGCAGGCACCTGTGGAACAGGTGATCTCCCCTTGTCTTGGTCCCATAATAGCCTGCAGCATCAGCATCAGGGAGATTTGTCTTCAGGGTGTGTGAAAGTGCCCAGCCTCCTGCCCTCCACCTTGGCCAGCTGCACCAGAGATGGTGTTAGCCCCAGGGCAGGTCACAGTTCTGGAGCAATTCCTCTACATAATATCTAGGCAGCTTTCTGTGTTAGTCTGGAGGCCCCCAGAGAGTCAAGCGGTTTTCTCATGCTTCGGATTATTGAAGTCATTGGTGGGGTTGTGAAGCCCTGGGGGTCAGTCACTCACTCTTTCCCGGCATCTGCAGCTTCTTTCCTTATTATAGTATTTTAAGAGAGAAGAGGAGGGACTATATTTACATCACTTTTATTACTGTATATTATTATAATCATTCTTTTATTATTAGTTATTGCTGTCCATCTCTTACTGTGCTTAATTAATAAATGAAAATTTATCATAGGTATGTATGCATGTATAAGAAAAAAACAGTAAATATAGTGTTCAGTACTATCTGCAAGTTCTGTCATTTGCTGGGGATCTTGGAATGTATCTTGCATGGATAAGGGGGGACAACTGTAGTGAATACAACTCAGGAACAGCCAAATAGAAAAGATGCAGTGGGTAAGGATTGATGAAGGTGAAGTATAGATCTTCCATGCTGTCTTCAGGCACACCACCCTGCCAACACTTCTATGTGTTCATGGAGAGAGAGGTTGTCATATATTAATTGTAGCAATTCAACTCTTCTTAATGGGCAATGGAAGAATTTAATTCCCTGACCTAATACTCTAACTCCTAGATTTTCTTTTATAAATATTGCATTTATAAATAATTATGAGCACAATTTTCCTTAAATGACTTTAATCCCAACAAAGAACCAGACAACAAGTATTTGGTTGGGCATGCTTTTGACTTGGGAAGATGTGGCTCGAGAGGAAATCACTCTAATGAGTACATATTTCTCAGTGCTCCTCCAATGGTTAAATAATTAAGATTGTACTTATACGAAGTCCTCCAAATAGACAGGACTGTTTCAACTCCTCTTTCAACTGTACGTGATTGAAGACAGCCCATGCATATTTAACGTCCATTGTCTCACACTCCCTTAAATATTTAAAAACAGGTTATATTAATATTTTTTAATATTCATTTGAAGGTTCTATTATTTATTTAAACATCTTTTATTGTTTTTAAAATTAAAAAAATTGCTTTGCTTACAGTTCTGGTACTCATTGAAACTGTCATTTTTTTTCAAGAAATAAATGCAAAATTTTATTCATGCTGTCAAAAAAATGCATGAACTACTTACTCTCTCATCCCCTTATTAAGAAATACACACAAATAAACATTTTCCTATAATCTGGTATTTTCATGCATTATTCTTCCCAAATAAGGTAGATATCTCTATATGGATTTAAATATTAGAACTAAGTATTTAGAAACCTTGCTGGACATCTTGAGCCAGTAGATACAAAAAGAAAATGCTAAAATCATTAATCTTGGGCACTTGTTACTTAATGACTTTATTACAACTAAAATCCTTAATTACTTTGAAAGGTTACACTTTTACCTTCAGACATTTAATATTCTACAAACACTTGTATAGATTATAATATATGGGTAATACCAAAATTAATTTACATGAAGTACATTGCCATATAAACTGCAGTTTGAATTTGATTCAAAATTCTGTAACATTTTTCTTTAAATTAGTAGTTTTGTTGTAATACTTTGATGCTTTCCACAAAGCATGACTTTTCTTCATTGCCTTTGCAAGGCTGTGAATTTTAAATGATGGTGTGAGTAGGTCAACCTCTATTTTAATTGATAACTTTAAATAACCAGTAAGGCAAGATTTTCGAAGTCCTCTTTTAGGGAGAGAGCTAATTCATGAACCACTGGTAGTATCTGCAATTGGAAATAATGTGACATAGGCTGTTTTTAAGAGCATGCATTCTGAAATCAGATTGCCTTGTTTGATTCCTTAGTCTGCTACTTTTTAGCTGGGTGACTTGCTTAATTTTTCTGTTCGTCTTTTCTTTTTCTTCTATAAATGGGTTATTGTTATAAAAAGATAATCTGTGTGAATATCTTAACACAGTATCTAGCATTTAGTAAATATTCAGTGTCAAGAAATATAATCTTTATTTTTATAATCATCCTTCAGTATACATGTAGTGTGGTAGTTTCATAAATAGACTTTTTAACCAACTATCTTAGTATAAGTGAAAAAACTTGTATAATATAATAATATAAGAGTCATATATTTTAATTGAACAAAACACAGGCACCTACTTTTCTTAAGAAATCCTACTTTTAAGCATTTCAGAATATGCTAAGTAGATTTTTCTCATAATATTCCTATATATTTCATTTCCTTCATGTTGAATACTTCATAAAAACATTCTGAATAAATTTTATGCCATAAAAAACTGATTCTATCACAATAGTGAGCTCTAACTTTTTTTTAACACCTGAAGATTTCTTTCATCATATTCGAAATTTTCACACTATACATTTCATCATAACTGCAAAGGCCTATCCTTCTCACCGGATATTCCAAAGAATGAAATGTCCAACTATTAATAGCTAGTATGCTTAAAATGAACCATCTATCAGGAGAAATTTTCCATTGACAGACTTGAGTGCACTATAATGAGTGCGCTTGGTTTAATATTATTTAGCTTTTTTGCGGTGAAGAAACCACCCTGGAATCAAAGTAGTGTGGGCAGTCTTTTAAATAAAAGGCCTTTTAAATAGCCTTTAATTTAGGGATGCTTTGCAACTCAGACTCTATTAAACTTTATGAAAATAGACTATGTTTGAAGAATTTTAACCCAACATTATCATTCTTCCTTACAGGCCATTGAAAATTGAATGGGCTGAATCTTTCAGGTGTGGGCAAATGACATTCATATATAGAGAGAGTCTAGAAAAACCCCCATTGCTGGTAATAATTCATTAAGTCGGATACTTTCAAAGAATTCTCACAAAAATCATCTATAAAAAAGTAAATATAGGCCGGGCGCGGTGGCTCGCGCCTGTAATCCCAGCACTTTGGGAGGCCGAGGCGGGCGGATCACGAGGTCAGGAGATCGAGACCATCCTGGCTAACACGGTGAAACCCCGTCTCTACTAAAAATGCAAAAAATTAGCCGGGCGTGGTGGCGGGCGCCTGTAGTCCCAGCTGCTCGGGAGGCTGAGGCAGGAGAATGGCGTGAACCCGGGAGGCGGAGCTTGCAGTGAGCCGAGATCGTGCCACTGCACTCCAGCCTGGACGACAGAGCGAGACTCTGTCTCAAAAAAAAAAAAAAAAAAAAAAGTAAATATATATTTGGGGATATTTTCCCATTAGGTATAATGAATTACACTGACAACCTCTTCCACTTAAAAGGAAATTTCTCCTTTTGTAAGAAGAAAAAAAATAGCTACAAACACGTTAACTTTGCTAGGCAAATACAAATATAACTTGACAGCAAAGACTGTATTCACTTAACTTATTAGTATTTGACTGTAGTATCATTAATCTCCACTTCAGTATTACATTCCAACGGTCATATCTTTGATTTTGTAATCATTCCAAACTTCTCTACCTGTGAGCTATTAAATTGCAACAATATGCTGTTCATTAACTGAAACGTTCTGGCTCCCGGATACCTTTGTCCTCAATGTATTTGCTTTTCAAGTTTTCAAGTTGTTCTAGCAAATCAGTCTGTTGGCTGTCTTCCCCTATGAGTTTCCTTCTGAATTCTTTCCTTCCTGAACCAGCTTAGACTGTCCCTTAAACTATGCCTTAATGTTTTGCCTCCTTGTCCTTTTGACTCCACTCATAGTGTCAGACTCTTGACTTTTGAAGGATAGAAGGCATCTGTTTCAGTTATTTCTTGCTATGTAACAAACTACTCCAATACTTCAGAGCTTAAAAGAACCACATTTTATTATATCTAATCATAGTAATTCTAACAGTGGATAGCTGATCTGGTCTCTAATGTCCAAGATGGTTTCTTGTGTCTGGAACCTTGGAAGGGACAAGTGGAAGTCTAAGCTAAACTCTGCCCTCTCCTTCTCCATATTGTCTCTGGGCCTCTTCACATGGTTTTTGCAGAGGAGAGGTTGAAGTTTTACATGGGGTTCAGCACTTCCAGAGTGGGTGCTTCAAAAGATAGGAAGTGGAACTGCCAGACACTTGTGTCCTGGTCCCAGAAATTGGCACAGCATCACTTCTGCTCTGTGTTCTAATAGTGAAAATAATCACAGAGCCCATCCAGACTTAATGAAATGAACATAAACTCCAGGTCTTGATGGGAGGAATTTTGAAGAGAATGTGTACATCTTTACTCTTTTAACACCACTCAAGTATTCATTTATTTAATGAATAATGATATATCACCAATTATAATGACAGATACTGTAATAGACACATAGGATGCAACAATGATTGGAGAATTTTAGGTCCCTTTGTAATGGAGCTTACATAAACAAGATATGAACAAAGAGTGAACATATGCAGAAAATATATGCAATGATAAATAAAAATTAACCAAGGGAGAAGTTACTTTACTAACTTGTCATCAAAGATGGGCTTCCTAAAGAGGTAAAATCTGAATGATGAGAATGAGCCAGCTATTGAAAGACCAAAGGAAAGAACATCTCAGGCAGAAAGAACAAATTAGAGGTCTAAAGTCTACAAAAGACTTGTCATGTAGAAACAAGAAGAAAACTTATGTGTTTGGGACATAGTCATCAAGACAAGAATAGTTGAGAATATGGCCAGAGCCAGAACTTGCAGGACCTTGAAGTCCTGAATAGCAAACAAGGGTGAGTCCATAAAGTTTTTCGAACAGGAAAGTAACATGAGCTGATTTTTCTGTTAAACACGCATTTGACAAATCTCAGAAGAATGAGAGAACAAAAGAAGTACATTGACCTATTACAGGTATACTGCAGGGAATTTGTTGTAGTCCATGTGAGAAATAATAGTAGTGGTAGTGGATATAGTGACAAATGTATAAGCTCCTAATATATTTTAAGGTAGAATCATCATAAATAATTATCTTTTAAAATCATGGACAGTGTTCTTGAACAGTTATCACTCATTATTTCTACAGTTTAACCATCAATTCACATACCCCAAACCCAAATTATATATAATACACAGAAAAAATGCTTCACTATATTCCTTAATGGTACTAAACTTGTCAAAGAAAAAATATATATTTTACATATCTTCAGTCTTAACTTGTTTTTTGATAGCATTTGGTACTTTTGACCACTCTTGTTCTCTAAAACATGCAGCTCCTTTAATTTTTGTAACACAACACTCTAGATCCCCACATCTCACTGATTGTTTATGATTATTCTCCTTTAAAAGCTTTTATTTTTCTCTAACCCCATAAGTGATTATATTCAAGAGTAAAGTTCATATTTGGCATTTTACTTATTTTTGTCTATACTCACTCTGAGCTATCTTAATAACTGTAACCTTCAGTCAGCCCTTTCTTCTGAGTTTAAGATCCATTTTTTCCCTTGACAATCAGATACATGTTTCTAGGCATGTAATAGACAAAATATTATGTAAAATCTCTCCAATGTAAACAACTAAAATCTGGACAATATTGTAAAATTAATATTAAAAACATTTAAAATGTTTATTTGAAAAATACTTTGTCAAATTTAATGAAAGAAGTACAATGAAGTTACATTTGCCTTGAGGGTATTTGCTGAATATGGACAAATTTGAGCTTCAATTCTGATGGCATCTTTGGGCAAGGGGTGCAGAACTTCAAACCCAGAATATTCACTAGGGGAGGGATCTGTTGGTAGAACTGTCTCCCAAGAAGTTGGATCTCAAAGGATTATATCTGTAGGGTAGGAGTAAAGCAGAAGTAAACCCAATCTACACATTCCCACTCCCAAGGGAGTGCAGGAAATGTGTGACTTTGAAATGAACAGGATGGGATGATGTGGTTATCCATTCTTGAAATTATAGTTACAAGTTGACCTTTATATGGATTTTTAACTCAAATTCAAGTCACTTGATAATTCAAATCAGCCTCAAGTCATGCACTTAAATGTGATCCTAGACAGTGATGTCTATAGTTGCCCGTGGACACAAATTTTCTCTGGAGAAAGAAACCATCATTTTAGTCATCAGCATATCCTATAAATATTTTTAAAGGGCAACAAATAGCATAGAATCAAATTGATCAAAATTAATCAAGAACACACAGGAAGACAGTACTTTGAAAGAAAACCAACAGAAAAACTTCCTCAAAACTTCAATTGAAATTATCAGGCAGTGGCCCGGTGCGGTGGCTCACGCCTGTAATCCCAGTGCTTTGGGAGGCCAAGGCAGGTGGATCACGAGGTCAGGAGATCGAGACCATCTTGGCTAACATGGTGAAACCCCGTCTCTACTAAAAATACAAAAAATTAGCCAGGTGTGGTGGCAGGTGCCTGTAGTCCCAGCTACTCGGGAGGCTGAGGCAGGAGAATGGCGTGAACCTGAGAGGTGGAGGTTGCAGTGAGCTGAGATTGCGCCACTGCACTCCAGCCTGGGTGACAGAGTGAGACTCCATCTCAAAAAAAAAAAAAATTATCAGGCAGTATAAAACAATTACTTTGTTTAAAGAAATGGAAGATAAGCTTAACTACTTTTTCAGGTAGTGGAAACATACAAAAAAGTGGTGTGCAGGTATACAAAATAACTATACAGAAAAAGAATAAATGAAGTATACGTTATTGGAATTAATACACAATATATATTTTGCAGATTAAGTAGGATTGGAGAAAGAATTAAGAACTGAATTAGCTCAGACGAATTTATTCATAATGCAGTACAGAAAAACCAACAAGTGCAAAATTTGAAAAGGGGTTAAAAGACATCAAAAGCAGAATGAACAGGATCATCTAATGAGGCTATAAAGAAGGAAATAGAGGTGTTATTTAAACAGCTAATGATGAGAATTTTCCAAAATTACCTCAGATGAAAGACACCAAACTTAACAGATCTAAGAAGCCCAACAAATTTCAAACCCATAAGTAAAAAGAAACTCATCACTAGGAACCGTATATTGAAACTGCAGAACAGCAATGACAAAGGTATTTCGAAAGTGGCTGGAGGAAAAAAAAGACATTCACGTCAAAGTGTGAGACTTTGAGTTGACCTCTTTACACCAACAATGGCCATCTGAAGACAGTGGAATTATATAATGATGCGCTGAAAGAACAAAGCCTGCCAACCTACAAGGAAAATACCTTTTAATGTTTTATGTGTGTGTGTGTGTGTGTGTATATATATATACGCATACACATATATGTATATATAAAACATTAAATATATATACATATATGTATATATAAAACATGTGTATATATAAAATATTAAAATATATATGTATTTTAACTTATATGTACACATATGTATATGTGTATACATATGTATAATTCTATATATGTATAATATGTACACAAATTCTACATATGTGTGCATATACACATATACATATAAAATGAAAATTATATTTCATGTACATATATGTGTATATATACACATATGTATGTATATGTGTGTGTATATATATAACATAAAAATGTATACACACACATACATACAGACATACATATACTTTGAGACCTTTATTTACTTCCCCACATCACTAATCATGGATTATTGCCTGCTTACGAGTGGCTAAGTCTTGGATCTCCTTAGGAAAACATAGCACTATTTCGTGTGTATGGTGTCCTATAAAGAACTTCAGTCTTTGGGTATAGCATTAAGAGCTCTTGGTTTCCCAGCCCACAAACTAAAATATATTTTTTAGAAAATCATGATCAAAAAGTTCACTAAAGATATGATAGATCTAAATGATAACTTCAGACACAAGGAAAGTCATCACAGATGGAAAGTCTACAATGAAAGAAGGAATGAAGGGCAAATAAGCTAGCAAATATCTGGACATTTTAAAAAATACTATAGGTATACCATATTATACTATAATGTACAATATAATTTTTTTTTTGAGGCAGAGTCCAGCTCTGTTTCCCAGGCTGGAGTGCAGCGGTGCAATCTCGGCTCACCACAACCTCTGCCTCCTGGGTTCAAGCGATTCCCCTGCCTCAGCCTCCCAAGTAGCTGGGGCTACAGCCACACGCCACATGCCCGGCTAATTTTTGTATTTTTGGTAGAGACGGGGTTTCACTATGTTGCCCAGGCTGGTCTCGAAGTCCTGACCTCGTGATCCGCCCTCCTCAGCCTCCCAAAGTGCTGAGATTACAGGTGTGAGCCACCACGCCCAACTATGTACAACAGACTTTTTATTAAAAAAAGAGGATTGAAATTCATGACACAGTAACACGTTAGAATGAGAATAAAAGGAACAAATTATCCTTAGATTATTGTGTTCTTCAGTAGTATAATAAGGGTATTGATTGATGTTTTTGGATAACTTAAGTATGCATGTTGCAAGCTTTGAGACAATCGGAGTAGTAGAAACAGAGTAAATAAATCTTCAAGTAGTAGTGGCAAAAAGATCAGAATGATAATGTAATCCATCCATCTAAAAGAAGGCAATAAAGAGTAGCAGAAAACAAATAGTACAAAATAATGTTACAGTAAATTTAATACAAAAATGTAATAAAATAAAAGTACAAAATAAGTAGTTACAGTAAATGTCAATGAATAAAGTGCTAAGTGCTCTGGGTTAAAAAAAGATTGACAGACTTAAAAAAAATCCTAAAAAATAAAGCATAAGCTCATGATGTTTAAAAGAGGTGCTTGTAAAATTTAAAGATACTGAAAGTATAAGAATAAAAATACTTATAAAGATATTAAAAGTATAAGATTAAAAGGATGGAAAAATATCACATGCAAATACTAACATAATAAATGCCAATGTAGCCATGATAATGTTAGACTATATATATATATGTATGTATCCACACACACACACACACACACACACACACACACACACACACACACACACACATATATAGCATTGCTGGAGATAAAAGAGATTATAGTGATAAATATTCAATATTCAACTCATGGACAACATAAAACAATTCTAAATTCATATATACTTAATAGCATAACCTCAAAACAGGTAAAGCAAAAAGGAGGCAGAACTACAAGGAGAATTTTTTAAATTAGATATCTAAAACTTTTAACTTTTTTTAGAGGAGTTTAACATACTCTTATGAATTAATTCAACTGGAATAAGTAGGCAAAAAATAAATGAATAAACAACCATATAGATGATTTGGACAACTCCTCGATATTAGAGTTGGCCCAATAGATACATATCAATCACACTTCAAAAGTGCAGACTATTCCTTCTTAGTGGGCACACCCAGAACAGAAATCTATTATATATTGTGTCATACAGCAAGTGTTAACAAATTCAGAGGATTGAAAACATGTGGACTATTTTATCTGACTACAATTCAGTTAAGCAAAAAATCAAAAGCAAAGAGAAAATAAAACATTACCCATATGTTTGGAAATGAAGAAACACTGCTTCTGGATGTAATTGACAGGTGCATGAAATGGACACATTCAACACACACCAATCTACCTCTCCTTTTCCTCACTGTCTTCATGACTGACACTGTTATCCACTTCATTGCCTAAGGCATCATTTTTGGTCCCACTGACCTCACCTTAGTTCAGGCTTTCACCAGTGATTTAATTTTTTTGCAACTTGTCTCTTCCCTCTGTGGTTTATGCTTTTCCTGTCTACCACAGTGTTTTTCCAAAGAAAAAAATTATTTGATCATATAAATCCTTTATTTAAAAATTTTAGAAGACCTCCTCAATACCAAGAAAATGCATTCCTTGAATAGAGTCTCTTTCTTTTCATCTTTATTTCCCCCCAAGCGCTTATGGTCTTCTTTTGTGCATCAGCTATGCTAATCCATCTGCATTTCTCTGAACATCCCTTCCTCTTCAGATTTTGTACCTTTGTATGTACCCATTCCTCTACCTGGAATGCCTTCTCTTACTGCTTACTCACCTGACCATCTCCTATACATTCTGGAAGACACAGCTGAGCATTATTTTTGTAGCATACTTGCCTGGTCAACTCTCATAGTGTCATTCACTTCTTATTTACTTAGCACTGTAGAATTATTTTTCATACAGTTTTGTAAATTAGCTTTTTAAATAGCTGCCTTCAGTATCAGACCATGAAGTAAATGAAGAAAGGAATCTTTTCATTGCATAATAAAAAAAGAATTCTTACCACTTTTAGACAAAGGACCCCAAACAAACAAAAAAGGAATATATTGATAATATTAGAATTAATAGGAAAGTTTAAAAATATTTGCTGAAAGAGGTACGAAGGATCAGTCAGCTCTAGTAGTTTCACCTGCAAATGCATTTGTAAAGCAAGGAGGCTCATTTACTTCCTACCCTCAGGAAATCACATTTCCCAACCCAAGCTAAAATTTCTGGGCTTAAATATGTTCTTCATTCACCTCCTACACTCCTCCTCTATTGCTGCATGTGTTACTGCAAATGGCTTCTTCTAATAAGAGTAGCTTTTGGCTTATTGCAAGTCACATCTTTCATCTGTTTTTACATATCTTTTCTACAGATCCCCCTGCAGTGGAACCAGCATTCTTGGAAATCCGGCAAGGACAGGATCGAAGTGTCACTATGAGTTGCAGAGTACTGAGAGCCTATCCAATACGGGTGCTGACCTATGAGTGGCGCTTGGGCAATAAATTATTACGGACGGGTCAATTTGACTCTCAGGAATACACAGAGTACGCTGTGAAGAGTCTTTCCAATGAAAACTATGGGGTTTATAACTGTAGCATCATAAATGAAGCTGGAGCTGGGAGATGCAGCTTTCTTGTTACAGGTAGGATTCCAGATATTTTCTTTTTATACATTTTGTTTTATTAGACCAAGAGATCTTAGACCTATGTCAATATAAGAATGAAAACATTTGTAAATCAATGGAGCATAGAACAGCTTGACTCCTCAAGTTAGAGTTTCTACAAATTTATTTTTAAGTCAAATTTATTTTAATAGTTAAAAGAATGCACAGGCCTACAAAATTACATAGAAGGTTATCTGAATTCTAGTAGAGTTAGTGAGGAGGAAATTGGTTATTATATTAGTCAATTCTCACAGTGCTATAAAGAACTACCTGAGACTGGGTAATTTATGAAGAAAAGAGGTTTAACTGACTCAGTTCTACAAGCTAAACAGGAAGCATGACTGGGAAGCCTCAGGAAACTTACAGTCATGGCAAAAGGCAAAGGGGAAGCAAGGACCTACTTCACATGGTGGCAGCAAAGAGAGAGAGAGTGAAGGGGGAAGTGTCACACACTTTTAAACTATCAGATCTCATGGGAACTGACTCACCATCACGAGAACAGCAAGGGGGAAATCCACCCCCATGATCCAATTACCTCCCACTAGAGCCCTCCCCTGAGAAGTGGGGATTACAATTCCACATGAGATTTAGGTGAGGACACAGAGCCAAACCATATCAGTTATTTTGAGTGTTTCAATAATAATAAGACATACTGTAGTGTTGGCTGGCTTTAATTAGATCAAGTTGCAAACATTTTTTTTTTTCTATTCAAATCTCATGTGAATAGATAATTGCTCTGGTTTTCTTATTACCAGAATTTTTTTTCTTTTGTTTATTTGCTTATTTATATATGTATTTATTTACTACCTGGCAATATATGGTGACTTTCAATTTTGTCTTTGACTGGCCATATGTTTACAAATATTCCAAGAAAAAGCAGTAGAGTTGTATCTGACAGATAGTAAATTAGGGAGAAGTATTGACTCTTTATGTCATTGTGTTTTAAACATTCCCTCTGTATTATGTCTTATGTAATTATTTACGTTATTTTTATAATCTATATACTGTACATTATTTATGAGTGACAAATTAGGAATGCATTAAAAGAAAATACTCCTCATTTTCTTTGTCATAGGTAAAGTTAGTTGTAATAGTTGAAATGTTCATGGTAGTAAAAAAAAGAAACTGGACATTATGTGTTATCTAAAAAGAAGTCATAAAAATGATTAAAATGTTCCAGACTTAAAACTTATTAATAGCATAAATTCTAAGTGGTAATTTCTAACTCATGAGGGAACTCTCTAATTATGAACTGCCTTTCGCCATTTTTGCTTTCTGAAATGTAATATTAGCTAGTCTAATCTAGGAAAGCATATCAGATGTCTGGATGAAACTTTGAAACACCAATTAGTTCATTTACTAAAACATATCAGGATTAGTATTCCTTATGAATTTCTCATGACTCGAAACTTTGAATCTAACGTAAGAGAGTCAGGGAATAGAAGTATACAAAGATCCATATATTTTTAATGCACAAAGCAAATCTTTCAAGATAATGCTGTTTACTTCTGAGACTCAACCAAAAACATTTTAAATTTTATTTTTTCAATTATTTTACTCTTCCACTTACCATGAATTTTGTATAGTCATCCCAAAGTACACTTGATCTACCTATACACCGAAATGTACGGAATTGAACTAAAATGCAATGACGTCTATACCTGTATTAGCTCACAGGAAATCTTAAAAGATTATTCCTCTTTTCTTTCTTCTTTTAAAATTCTATGTTTATGATGTATGTTAGAGTAAGGGGCTAAGAGAATACCGTTGTGTTCACTTAAATGTCAGAAGGGGTGTGAAAATAGTTTCCTGCTAGGAAAAAGAACAAAGTAAGCAAAGGTATTTTGGAAACTGTGATGAGCCTAGCTTGTAGTATATTATCCATGTTAAAGATAATTAACTATAATACTAAAAAATACTTTGCATTTGCATATATTTTATTTACTCGTATTTTAATGGTGAAGTCATAGCAGTTTTATGAGGTTTAAGTGAGCTTCATGAGCTTTAGTAGAAACCCAGATGCCATTTTTCATCTTCTATGATGGGCTATTTTTTACAAGTTCTAAAGGTTAAGGTAGCATATTGATTTATTAGAATAAGCCCATTTGTAAATTTGAAATTCCAAGTATTATCTATATTACTTATATATTAATATGTAGACATAAATAGTTCTATTTTAATAGTTCTGTAATATTATAGCACAGGATTTAACTGGAGCATGCATTTCAGTTTATCAAAGATTCAAAATGTCTCAATATTTAACTCTGGAAAAACATATACTTCAATACTTCAAAATATCTGGGCTTATTTTTTCATGGCATGACTGAATATCATTCTATGTTATACCCCATTATGTCCCATCACATTTCTTGATCTAGAAAAGAAAACCAGTAAATCTAGAGTGATTAAATAGATGGAGGATGAACAAAAGAGTTAATGATTCAGTGAAAGAAAATTTCTGAAAATAATTTTTAAATGAGAAAAAAGTGAATACAGAGAGGGTAAAAGGATGGCTTAAGTTGAAAATAAATCATATATATTTTAGGAAGCTAGCTAGTGCCCTCTGAAAAAGATAAGTCTATGTTCTAATCCCTGGAACCTGTGGATATTAACTTATATGGCAACATATGTAATTAAGTTAAGGATTTTGAGAGAAGGAACTTATCTTGAATTATCTGGGTGGGCCTCAAATGCAATAGCATGTATTCTTATAAGAGAGAGGCAGGGGGAGTTTTGAGAGAGAAGAGGAGGCAATGTGAGTGTGCAGTAATGCAACCACAATCTGAAGAACCCCTGGAGCCACAAGAAGCTGGAAGAGCCAAGGAATATATTCTCCCCTGGAGTCTCTACAGAAGTAGGAAGTAGGGTCCTGCCAAGACCTTGGTTTCAGACTCCTGGCCTTCAGACTTGTGAGAAGATAGTTTTTGTTTGTTTGTTTGTTTAAGCCACCCAGTTTGTGGCTGTTTGTCGTGGCAGTCTTAGATAACAAATACACTTTACAACTCACTATTTCAAAGAACCCTGCTGTTAAAAATTATACGAGATGAATAGAACAGTTTTGTCAACTGTCCTCAGTTTTATCACACTAAGCAAGCTAGACCCTGGAGACATGGGTGCACGTGTCTTACAACTCAGCAAAGTTGTGAGAAGGGGTTGCTTTTGCCACCTAAAGGGCTAACTGGAATAAGCTTACAACTGCAAGAAGCAGTCAATGAGGAAAATCAACCTGCGAGGTTTCAGGTCACCTACATCAGTAGACTGTGTAGGTTTAAGCTACACATTGGCTTAAACCAACCCCAAGGGATGCTTCAACATTGAAATGTTATGCCCATTACACAATATAGCAGAGAAAAGATGTTTCCAGCAGCTTGATTATATAGGAAACCAGATGACAGAATCTACTGGTAGATTCGGTTGACAGCACCAGAGATTAATGAAGATGCACTTTTATTCTTTTTTTGAACGTGAAGATACAGGCAATCTGCAGCAAAATGCAGCATTTATTTATAAAGTTTTAAATTATCTATGTCTTTCAAATTGTTCTAATTGATATTCCTAAATATTTAGCAATCAAGATGTTAGTTCTAAGCTATTCTAATTATGTTCCCACTAACTACACTTTCTTCATATTTCTTTACTTTAACAGACTTGTTTCTGACATTATGTTTTTACTGAAATGTTTATGGGCATCGGGAGACTAATATTTCTTGACAAGTCAGGCAAGACAATAATGTGAAAAAAAGCATAGTTTTTATATTTAGCTTTTTTGTTTTGTCTAGTTGCTTAAATGCAATAGTCTAAGCATATGCATTTATTACATGGTTTTAGATCAAAGAAAATAAGAGGAAAATAAAATGGTAATCAATGTTCCCTATATAATCCAGGAGATAAAAGTAGAATGCCCTTCTAACTTCCAGAAAGTGCATGTACACAGTTATATATACTTAGAGTTGTAAAATATTTAGGAATTTTATCAATGGAGACATTTTAAGATTCTTTTAAATGAAAGATACTAAAGGGGTGGTGTTTTTTTTTCAAAAGTTAACAGTGTATATATATAATAGATTTTTTATTGCATAACCATAAATTATAATTGAGTATAAAACCACCAATATGTACTCTCAACTGATTTTTTTTACAGTCAGGAATGTATTTAACAAGTATTTACTCTCTACTTACTAAGTGTGAGGTACAAGATTAAACATCAGAAAGAGAACAATAAAAACTTTCTCTGAAAAACTTTGCCAGTTTTACATTTGCATAGTATCTTGAAGTAATTTTGGTTTTATATCTATTGCACTTCTTAAGCCTTATATTCTCTTCTGGGATACTGCAGTTTCCTTTTATCTGATCTCTGAAATTTTCATATTGTTGGGCTTTATTTTCCTAGAAAACCTAGCTTATCTTAAGTGAGAAAGGTTGATTCTGTTCATTGCCTATAGGATGATATGCAAATTCTTCATTGTCATAATTCTTCAAAGCATTCATTAATATTTAAAATAAAATATATAGCATAATCTCTATTTCAGTTCTACCAGTTATTCCAAATTCAATTCAAATTTGACTATGCTGCCTTCCCCCAAATCATCACACATTTGTGGGACTCTGCCTTTCTTCACATGTTACTTTATTCTGAAATACTAGCTTTTTGTATATCTCTATGCTACAGTTATGGTGACTTTTGTATATGACTTTACCAGGGTTATGTTAATCATTATTCTTCAGCCAAATAGAAAGGTGCAGGCTGTGATAATATTTTATGATTCACAAATTAATGATTACTGCTGTAAATGCTTTTCTCTGAACATGTAAATAAACTCCAAATAACCAGGATTTAAATATGGCTTAACCATTATTTAAACAGTCTAGAAAATTATTTCACTCAGGTTAAGTGATGTATCATTTCAGAAAGTAACACGATGGTTCTGTTCCACAAAGTCCTTGGGAATTCAGGCTTCTTCCATCTTAATCCTCAACCACCATCAATAAATGGTACATCTTATAACCCTGACTACTTAAACTCCAGCTATTAATTCCACATTTCCTCCAAAAGTAAAGCATGCTTCTTCTTTTTGAGGAGACTTCCCAATAATTTTAGACACTTTTTTTTTCTGCTTGGATTTCATTGAAAATAACTTTATTGTATTGCTTCACCGTCAATTAATGTTGTGGGTATAGATTTTATTTTAAGAAGATTAAATTGCATTTATTATATATTTAAGTTTCCTTTATTGAAAATACTGCAATGAAATTAAAATGAGATTGCCAAGGAAAATCCTTGAACTATGGTTTTATCTCTGTAAACTATGCACCATTACTATTGTATCCCTTTTTCAGAGCCACGGACATTTAGTCTCAGAATAATTTCAAAAGATAGATGATATGAGGTTTAATTATTGACTCAAGATATTTTAATGCTAAACATAATAAAATTGATGGTGCTGTGTTGGTTATTATTTCTGCATAAAGAATTACATTATACAAAGTCAAAAGCTTTAAATAACATATTTATTGTCTCACAGTTTCTATGTGTCAGGATTCCAAGCATGGCTTAGCTAGATCCTCTGTTCTGGGTCTCACAAGGCTGCAGTCAGACTGTTGGTTGGGCTGTGTTCTTATCTAGACGCTCAACTGGGGAAAAGTCCCTTCCAAGCTTATTCAAGTTATGTGAAGAATTAATTTCTTTGTGTTGTATGATAGAGGCCCTGGTATTTGCTGGTTATTTGCTGGAGCTACCCTGAGACCCTAGAATATGCCTGCAGGTCCTAGAAGCTACCTGCAATAGTTTGTCCCATGGGCTTCTCAAAAGTGACTACTTATTTCAAACCCACAAGAAGAATCTCTAGCTCCAGTCTGCTAAAATGGAATCTTATGTACATAATACGATCACAGAAGTGACATTCTGTAACATTTTTTAGGTTCTGTTAATCAGAAAGAAGTCACGGTTTTTCCCTGACACTGAAGGAATTACACAAATATATGAAAAACAAGAGACAGGAATCATTGGGAGTCATCTTAGGGTCTTTCTGCCACAGCATTTCCTGCCACTAGGAGTCCTTTTTGAACATAGCCTACATAAGAATGAAACTGCTGTATCTATTGAAATATTAACTAAATAAATCCTTCATAGTTTAATCCCTTTCCTTAATCCTGCCAAATAGGGTTTTACAAAGCAAAATTTTGCCTGTAACTGCTACTCTCACCTCTAGTTTGGAAATATTTGAGCTAGGATTTCACATCCTGTATTTTCCTTTTGGCATATTACAATATTCATATTGACATATTGGAACTACCAGTTTCTCCATGTTCAGTATATAAAGAAATTAAAAATGACTGAGGACTTTAATATCACCTAAAACAAGATGTTAAAGGAATATAGCATTTCTTATTCCTGAAGAATAAATGGGAAGAAACAACTACTAAAGCAGATTTGACTCCACATCAAAATAAAGTATTTTATCTTTTTTTTTTAAATTTGGACTGAATTAACAGTGACCAGATAGAAAATATATTTTAGTCTCTGGCAATGTTTTTATTTACTTATTTATTTATTTATTGCTATTCAGCTAGATACTTCTTTCTTAATAATGTCTAAAAACAAGCAACATAATATTGTTAAAAATCATTAATAACTATCAGAAGTAAGAGCAGTCTAAACATACTTTGAAAATGAAAAATAATTGCCAGTAAAATTGTGATAACTCTAAAAGGCAAGAAATTTCAATGTCAAATCAAAGTTTCTCAAGGCCAGAATTTTGCTAAATTTATTAGAATTTTATTTATGATGATAACAGATGGACTAGTGGATCCCAGTATTTTAGCCAGCTTATGAGTTGCAGCTGTACTGAAAAATAACTTTAAGCAGAAAATGATATCACTTCTATGTACAGCCTTCTGTAATATACGAAGTGATTCCATACATATCCTTATCATCTCCAACAACCCTACTACATGTGCAGAAGAGATGGTATCACCCTCCTTTGACAGATAAACTAACAGAGGTCCAGTAAGCCAATAATAACATAGTTCAAACTCTTTTTGACACATATCAGTGACTCTTTTAGTAGTGATGATAAAGGAATATTTGAATAATCAATCTAGATAAAATATAGGGGAATCCATGCGAAATCTGAAAAATTAGGAATAAAAATGTAAGTATCACTTAATGAAGTTAATGCTATCACTTATTACTAAAATATATACCTTAATATTCAATTTAAATTCATATAATTTTTTAAACAGTTATTTTTCTCCAGTAAACATATAATGAGGAATTTATATTTCATATCATACTTAAATAAAAACTTCAATTAAAATTTTCATTATTTTTACAGCAGTTTGATGGCTCCTTAAATTATTTGCATTACTCATTTTCTTCATTATAAAATCATTTAATTTCTCCAATAAAAGATTCAGAGCAATGTTGCTATCAAAAATCTACTATTTAAAGTGCCACTAGCATTCAACCCTGCCATCCCACTACTGAGTATCTACCCAAAGGAAAAGAAATAATTATATAAAAAAGACACCTCAACTCCTATGTTTATTGCAGCACTATTTACAATAGCAAAGTCATGGAATCCAACTAAGTATCAATTAATAGGTGACTTAATTAAAAAATGTGGTATATATATGAGGAATACTATATAGCCATAAAAATTAATGAAATCATGTCCTTTGTAGCAACATGGATGGAGCTGGAAGCCATTATTCTAAGTGAAATCACTCAGAAACAGAAAATCAAAACTCAGTGTTCTCATCTATAAATGGGACCTAAACAATGGATACACATGGACATAAAGATGGAAATAATAGACTCTGGGGATTCCAAAATTGGAGAAGAGAAAGGGAGGTGAGGGTTAAACAATTACACATTGGTAAGCATTTCAATGCTCGCTATTTGGATGATGGGTACACTAGAAGCCCAAACCTCAGCATTATGCAATATAGCCATGTAAAAAACTACACATATGCCCCAAAAATCTTAAAAAATAATAAAAAAGAAATCACAGTATCAAATTACAGCATGGAGCAAATTACGTGAACTCCTCTAGTCCACATGGAACTCTTCTGGATGATGTACTGTGGGTATGACTGTGTTTTATTCTTGGTCAGTATGTAAAGAAAGTTCTCCCATGAATGGAAGATTTTAACATCTTCTAACAGATTAGCTCTGTGCAAGCCATTTAATTCTTTGTGGCCTTGCTTCCTCTATCTGTAAAATGGGAGATGATAAATCTGCTTCCCATGGCTCACATAATTTTAGGATTATCAAATAAGCTAATCAGTTTGAAAGTGTTTTAAAAACAAAGCAGTATGATCATAGAAAAATAAGATGAGAAGATTTCCAGATATACCCATAGGTAAGCTACTTTCTGCCTGAGTAACACAACATTGAAAATGCCCCTCCAAAAAGGCAGAGATGGAGAGGATGACTGATGTCAGAGATAAAGTAAGTAATCAATGCACAATTGAGCTTTGGTTGGAAAAGAAGTGTGGTAAGAATATTAGGCTGGAACCAATGAGGCCAGTGACAATATTTTGTGGCTTGTCTGAGAGATAGCTTTGCATTTTAGGTGAGCTTTTTCCCCTCTGTATATTATTCTGGGTGGCTTATTGCCTGACATTACCAAGGAGCAGAAAAGCAGCAATTCTAACTTGAAATATTAGGAGAAACGTTGAGAGAGAATCAGAGCTGGAAGGGACAGTGTATAGAAATGAGGGCAACAGGGTGGTTGGCTCTCAGAGTTTCTACTGTTCTTCCTCTCCTCACATCTCCATCCACACTCCCTCAAGCTAGACCACACCCAAGAGGCAGGCCAACTTAGGGTAAGAGCAGTGCCTGGACCTAGAGTATTTCAAACTGAGAGAACTGGAGGGAGAAAACTGAAGAGTAGAGGGAAGAGAAGATAGAGAATGGTAAAAATGATACTGCAACCAGATCTCTCCGTCCTGAAGCACTCCTTCCCTTTACCTAAGGAACACAAGCAAGAGCCTAGGTCATCCTTACTCTCATAGACAGTACTGGTCAAGATATTTAGGGATCTCACAGGAATAAAATATGCAAAATCATGAGCAAAACAATTATGAAAGCAAGAAGACAAATGGAATAATCTATTCCACATTAGGTAGGAGTATTAATAATCAGAAAATAAGATTTTTAAATACATAAAATTTCATCCTCAAAGAAAGCAGGGAGGATATAAGAAACATGATGAAGAAAAAAGAGCATTGCAGAAAAGAAATTTATGACAATGGGTATAAAAATGTAACAGTTGATATAAATAACTATATTACTAGACTAAATTGCAGAATAGGCACAAGGCAGGCATAAGTAGTTTGAAAGATGTCATAGAGGAACTCTCCCAGTAGAGGACACAAAGGTAAGTAAAGTCTTAAGAGGTGTGAAGGACAAAATAATAAGTATCTGCTTAGCAGGAAACCCATAAAGAAGTAAAAGACCAAATGCAGAAATAAAATTAAATGAAAAAAATAATAACTGAGATTTTTTTTTTAAATTAGAAAGTAAAAAGGACGACTGTATTAGTCTGTTTTCACACTCCTAATAAAGACACACTCGAGACTAAGAAATTTACAAAAGAAAAGGGTTTCATTGGACTTACAGTTCCGTAGCTGGGGAAGCCTCACAGTCATGGTGGAAGGCAAGGAGGAGCAAGTCATGTCTTACATGGATGGCAGCAGGCAAAGAGAGAGAGGGAGCTTGTGCAGGGGAACTCCTCTTTTTTAAAACCATCCGATCTCATGAGACTCACGGAAAGAGCATGGGAAAGACTTGCCCCCATGATTCAGTTACCTCCCACCAGATCCCTCCCACAACACATGGGAATTCAAGATGAGATTTGGGTGGGGACACAGCCAAACCATATTGGCTAGACTTCTGAGTGATGTGGCTCATGGAGTGACAGCAACAATATGTTGGGGGGAAAATTTACATGCTCTGATAAATTTAAATGAATTTTAAAATATCAAGTACAAAAATGTTTGAAAAGTTATTTATAGAGATAAAGCAGATAATTTATACAGGATTTAGAATTATATAGACATTAAACTTTGTGCAACTTGACATGCAGAGAGATAATGGAGTTATGTCTTCAAAATATTAAAGAAAAAGTAATTGAAAAAGAATTTTGCATGCAAATAAATGTACAATTAATTGCGAGGACACAATGAAAATATTCCTATTCTAAAAGTTTATCTTACAAAGATAATTTTAAAAAGAATTCTTGTTTGTTGGAATTAAGCAAGAAAGAGATGGATCTGAGGGAAAAGAATGGAATATGAGAAAGAAGAAAGAATGAGTAAAAACCTAATCAAGTCTGTTTTTTGTAAACAAGTAATGTTTAAAATATTTTATTCATAATCATTCAGTATTAAGACTTGAGTCAATGCCAATATGACATAAGGGGCAGGTCTTATGAGGATATAAGGGGAAGGACCTGGCATCCTTCCTACGACCTGTCAGTCATGGTAGGGAGTTGTTGACACTGAAAAATCAGTGTTTCACTGTACTGTCAGTTTTCCCTGGGCCTGTGGTGTAAGTAAGGTGGCTGGAGGAACTTAGGGGTAAAAGAGAAAATTCTAGTTTTGGAATCCTCTTCTCTGGTCTTGGTATGACTAGCTCTTTCTTTTTCTACAAGTCTTAATATATGTCATCTCTCAGAGACTGTCTTCAGAATATTGTCAAACCCAGAAATTATGTAACTGTTTGTTGACTACATCCACATCATAATGTATGTTCCATAGGAGCAAACATCAGTCCATTTATTGAATGAATATTTCAGGCCATTAATATTTCTCTTAACAAGCACTTATTCCTGCTTGTTAGCCTTTCATTTACTGCTGTATTGGCAACACAACTCAAGTGCAATATCAGTTCACAAGCAAATGCATTCATTCATTTCAAAGTACAGAAACCTTTGAAAAGGTCATTTTTTTTTTGCAGGCACATTAATAGATTGTTTTGTGAGTAAACAAGGGAGAATACACCAAGTTTCAATAATTATCATATAAATTGGCATTACAGCTGTAAAATCAAGCAATAAAGTTATATCATATTGAGCTCACTGCCTACAATCTCCCCTCCAATATCTGTAGGAATTCCTCATATATAGAGCACTACTAATGAATACTTATTCAATGAGTGAAGCTATAGGAAGAGAAAGGAAATTTAGAAGTTTAGATCTCATACCTTAATTTTTATTCAGATTAAATTAAAACATCATTTAGAGTTTTAAAGATTTTTGTCCACTTTTTGACTCAGTTTATCTGTGTTATAGCATATTATTTGTTTTTTTCTTTGTGCTAATTTTCTTTGATTTTTAATTTAAGCAACACTATCTACTTAACCATATTTGTTAACCATGTATTTAAAATACATGCATTATACAACTCATGTCTTCCTTAAAATCTTTTGAATATTGTGTTGTAGCTTTGCTAAAATCTTGGAAGTTATCTGGAAAATACTAATGGAGCCAGCCTTTCTACTACAAACGACCATAAAATTGGACAAACTACATGAGGTTACAATTTTAAGGAATAAAAACAGACAGTGCAAGGCTGCATTTCCTGTGAGAGGGAAACCCATGAAGTGAGCCCCATGATTATTCTAGCTCTCCATTTGGGGGAATTTGCTGTATATGAGCATAGCAAGGTAGATTCCAAGCCGAGCATGGATTTCTGGCTAAGTTTAAGAAACATATATTAAAACTCAAAGCAGCAAAAGCATCTATCTGCAGGACAAAATACTGTATAGTAAAAAACTCTGTAGAAGAAGGGTCATAGGAGTTAGTGTGGATCCTTACCTAAGGATCAGACTCTACAAGGATGAGGTGATTTACCATTTTCTTCTCTATGGGATTTTTGTGAGTAGAAAATTGATAATAGAGTTCTAGCAATGCTTAAAGGAAGCCAGAATTTCAGCTCATCAGGTAGATTATACCTCCTTAAATTCTAAACATCCTGATGAGACTCCAAAAGGATTAAATCAGAGGAACAAAAACCATGTCAGAGTAAAGACTTATTCTAGGTACTCCTTAACAAAGACTAACACCAAGCTCTGCTAAAATTTAGAGGGAGGCGGAATTTTAACGGTGAGTCCCACCAAGTTAGAAGAGTTTAGGAACATCCTTGGATTTCCACAGATTTCATCACTTTTTACATTAAACGTAAATGGCAAACAAAGGTTCAAAAGGGACAGCAGGTAATTGAACTGTCTACTAAACTAAAACTTGGCACTCTTTACAGGGTGAAAGAGAGCACAGTCCAGTTATTTATCATATATTCTTCATAATGTTCATTAAACAATAAAAAATTACCTGACATGAAAAGAAAATAGGAAAATGTTACTTTTGGTCCAGAATAATAGTAGTTTATTAAAAACTAACCTTAAGGTAGGCCAGATGTTGGATTTAGCAAAAAGCTTCAGGTAGCTATTATGAATATTTTCAAAGTATTATGGGAAAATATGTTCAAATAATTAAAGAAAAATGCAGATTTTGTGAGCAAATGAGTAAGAAATTTTAGCATACAAAAAACCCTAAAAAACAACTAGATGCAAATTGAACAACTAAAACTGCACAATAATTGAAAGAAAAATTCTATGGGTGGGCTTAATAGTATATTGGAAAAGGCAAGAGGACTGGTAAAATTGAAAACAAATTGAAAGAGCTGATACAACCTGATAGATCAAAAAATAGAGGGATTGAAGAATAAAGAGAAGGGACCTAAGAACATGGGGCACAATATAAAATAGTTGAAAACAGGTGCACTTGAAGTTCTGAAATAGAGTGAGAATGGGGCAGAAAAAATGGCTGAAATTTTCCACAAATTTACGAAGCAAACCCACAGATCCAAGCATATCATGGTGCACAAGGCAAGAAAAATACAAGAAAACCACACGTAAGAATACCATAGTCCAATTGTGGAAAACTAATGATAAAGAGAAAATTTTCAAAGCAGCCAGAAAAAAAAATGATATTCTGATGATATGTATGACAATTACTTTCTCATTAGAAACAATACAGCTTAGAAGAAAGTGGGACATCTTTAAATCTTTAAATATCTTTTGAAAATACTGTCAATTTATATTTTATGTCTAGTGAAAATATACTTTAAAAATTAGAGTCAAATAAATATATATATTCTGAAAAAAGCCAGAGAATTGGTAGTCTGTGAAACTGCAGTACAAAAATATGCTAAACGGTGATCTTTATACTTAAGGGAAAGGCTATCAGTGAAGACCAGGATCTATAAAAATAAATGAAGAGGATTAGGTATAGTAAATAAGTGGGTAAAGATAAAAGACTAAGTTTCTTTTATCTTTCAATTTCCCTAATAAACATCTATATAAATGGGGTCAACAAATAGCAGCCTGAGGTCAGCAAACTGTTTTTTGTAAATGAAGTTTAATTGGAACACACCTTTCCTGATTTGTTTATGTATTGTCTAAAGCTGCTTTCATGCTACAGCCACAGAGGTGAGTAGTTGCAACAATGACCATATGGCTCAAGCCAAGAATATTTACTGTCTCACCCTTTACAAATAAGTCTGCCAATCAATCTCCAGTTTGAAGAAAAAATAACAACATTGTAATTTAGGGTTCACAGCATATTTAGAGCTAAAACATGCCAATAGCACAAGCGATGGAATTAATTTGAATTATACTGTTGTAAATTTATTACATTTGTGATGTGGGAAGTGAGAAGTAAATAGGGACCTCAGAGAATCATGAAGTATGGAATGTGATATGTTAACTGGTACAATATTGACTCTAAGTAGAATCAGTAAGTGAATGTTGCATACTTTAAGCCATATAAAAATCCTTCAAAAGTTTTTTGAATTTAGTCAAAATACACCAAGTAACAGATGAAGGAAATATTGAAGAGACAAAACAAAGAGCAAGATGGTAGACTTTAACTCAGTCATGTTAATAATTACAGTAAATGTAAATGAGTTTAAGATTCCAATTAGCTGTCAGAAATGGTAGAACTGGACTGAGAAAAAAAAATGCACTATCTACAAGATACACACTGTTTTCTACCAAAAACGCACTTCAAATACAAAGACACAAAAAGACTGAAAGGAAATGGGGGAATACATAGCATTCAAACAGCAGACATAAAAATGCTGGCATGGCTGTACTATTACCAGAAAAAGTAGACTTCAAGATAGAGTAATTACGAGAGTTAAAGAGGAACACAATAATACTACAACAGGAATTTATAGGGAAGACATAACGGTTCAAATTATGTGAACATCTATTAATAGAGCCTTAAAATTCCTAAATAAAAAATACTACAAGGAGTAACACACTATTCCATAATTATAGTTCAAGATTTTAATACCCATTTATTCGTGATTGATAGAATATGGAGATAAAAAACACTAATATTTTAGAAGATTTTAAGCATACTATTAAGTAAATTAATTTACCCAACAGAAATGAAAGCACATGTATACACAAAGACTTATGCACAAACTTTAATATCAGCTTCATTTGTAATAGCCTCAAACTAGAAACAATCCAAATATCCATCAACAGATGAACAACTTGTGATCTATTCACGAAATGGAATTTTACTCAGTGTTAAAAATGGAAAGAACTACTGATACATGCAAGTGGATGGATTTCAAAAACAATGTCGAGTGAAAAGAACCAAATACAGAAAGTGCATATTTTATGATTTCATTTATATGAATTTCCTGAATAGGAAAAACTAATCTTTAGTAATGAAAAGTGGATTTTTGTTTGCCTGGGTCAAGGGTGGAGGTGACTAATTACGAAGGGGCAGGAGGTAACTTTCTGCAGAGATGGGAATCTATATCTTGATTATGGTGGTGATTACATAGCAATATATATTTTTCCAAACCCATCAATAATCACATTTAAAATTTATGAAGTTTATTATATGTAAATTATATCTGAATAAGGTACTATTGTGTTGTAAATGAATAAAACATCTGCTAGCTAAGGTAGGCTTCAGAATAGGAAGTGTTTCATAATGTGAATGACATTTGTTCCATGTAATGTTATAATGTATGTAATTTTTCTAATGCATATTGTAGTAACATATGCAAAGTAATTTAGCAAAATTAATTTTTCCTCAAGAATGATTTGTTCCTTTTTCTCCTCCACTAGCCTTCAAAATTATTTTAGTTGGGGAAGCTAAAATGGTTATTCTGCACAGTATTTCCCCTCTCCATATCAATGTTTCTCTCTTATATTTCTTGCATTAAGAGACAGCGAATGTTACATCAAAAATATAGAAAGACCCAATTTGTTGGTAGCAAAAGTCATATATAAAAGTTAAATCAGAAAGATATCAGTCAGGTTTGGAGTATTACCATTTTGTAAGCAGAGACAGTCACTGCTGTGTAAAATAATGGAAAGACAGAGATATCAGTCTCGAACAAGCTAGGGTGTAGGGTTGCAAAACTGTGTCTTACAGCTTGCTCACATTACTTTTGAGTCTGCATTAGATCTAATTTGTAAATAATAAGAAACAGTCTAAAAATTCAAACAGTTTCCTCTGAGAGAAAAGAAACTTTCTAATATGTACTGACACCAGAGAAGAATAGAACAAAGAAAACTGAATACAGAAAAGCACATCTATGTATATTAATATCCTATGTTTAGTACTGCTATTCTTAAGGGCCTATTTACCTCTTAGCACATTTAGATTTTCCGGTAGAAATTGAATGGTAATAAAACCAATCTGTGAAGGAATCACAGAACTTTTTAGTTCAGTGGAATCAAAGCCATCTCTCAAACCTCCCGGTGTCTGTTTAAGCACCTGGCCTCTGTCCTTCACCCTGAAGGAATGATTAATGGATGAGAACAGTGCAGAGTGTGTTCCAAGGGCATGCCTGAAACTAAGAGTGGTCAGGAGAGAGAATCCACAGATGATAGCCCACAGCCTGATCTGGCATCTTTTATCAAGAGAGATTTTGTGACAGGGCTCTAAGTTGAGAAAGTCAATAGACGTTTTCTTGTTACAAATTCTGTCAAGGATTCAGACCAGAGGTTATAACCACAGTCTTATAATTTCACATTACTTAAGTGAGCATTACTTAAGAAATCTCCTTCTCTTATCATTCTAATGACTTTGTCTATTTTAAAAGAATGTATGACAAAGACAGTTACTAGGAGCCTCGGGATCCAACTGCAGGCAGATAGATACCTGCTTTGCAGTCAGATCCAGTCCAGTGATTCCTTGCAAGGTGATAAGAGCAGTTATTTGTGCTCTATTCTTTTTCTTGTTCTAGGATTCAAATTCAAAACTTTTAGTTATTCCTGGAGAGGCACAGTGATGCAGGTTCAATAACCGGTTTCCTTTATTCACATCTAAATCTACTTTATTAACTCAAGTTATATGTTTTGCAGAAAATAAATGTTCCTAGAAGATAAACAGCATACCTTCTGGGCTTCTCTCCAACTCACTTGAACACCTCTTGCTCCTTGCCCAAATGATATTCAGCACATTCATATTCAGCGATGGACCACCCACATGTGCAGCAGCAGCACTTGCCAAGAAGTTAATGTGGTCTATAAGTACACCATTGAACATTCAGTTCTTTCAGCCTGGGAGTCGCTGGATCAGTTCATCCATCTGTTCCCCTCCACGCACACACTCAACCAATGGTCCTTTAAATGAATACAAGGCTTTTAGATATTTTGGAACTATTAAGTTCAACTTTTTTTTTTTTTTGAGACAGTCTCGCTCTGTCACCCAGGCTGTAGTGCAATGGCATGATCTTAGCTCACTGCAGCCTCCACCCCCCGGGTTCGAGCAATTCTTCCACTTCAACCTCCTGAGTAGCTGGGATTACAGGCGCCCGCCATCATGCCTGGCCAGTTTTTATGTTTTTGTAGAGACCAGGTTTCACCATGTTGGCCAGGCTGGTCTTGAATCCCTGACCTCAGGTGATCCACCCTCCTCAGACTCCCAACGTGCTGGGATTACAGGCGTGAGCCACCGCGCCTGGCCGGAACTATTAGGTTTTAAGGAAAGATATAGCTTTAGTCAAGACTAAATACATTTATATGCAGCTTATAGTATATTTATTATTCTTGAGTTAAATATTTAACAAAGTACTTGTAGTTCTTATTCTAGAGATTTAGTCAATCCTTATCTTTGTAAATTCCTGAGTCGACAATACTTTCAAATAGTGATATAGCAAATATGATTGAGTCCTAGGGATAAACTTGTAGTTTAAGTTTCCATACTCACAGAGGCAAAGTGGAGACCCTTTTGCAATAAGTCCTCCATCCTATCAGAAAGTCCACTAGCCTATACAATAACTCTGTAAATTAGGAGGAGAGAAAAGCTCCTTTCTTGAAGTAGATGTAGTTCCTATACCAGGGTAAGAGTCGTAGCAAGAGTAATACAGCCTGGATTTCAGCCTCAGTCATGCTTTCAGCAAGGCATGCACTTGGTTGTGAGCAACCATACCCAAAGGTATTGGAAATTAGTGTAAAATGGACTTTGGACAGCCTGAGTTCAAAATGTAGCTTCGTGACTTGATGGTTGCTTACTATAGGGAAAGTGGCTTAAGATCTCTAATCTTCACTTTAGTCTGTGAAAGGACAAAATGATAAGGATATTGCCATCTTGCATGAGACTGTGAATATTAAAAAACATATGTATGCAAGTTGATTAGCATGGTGCCTGACAAATACAGCAACTAACAACAAAAGTGCCTTAAAACATTTTGTTCTGTCTGGGAGAGATTAAACACCAATTCTTCCTTAGGCCTAGAAATAATTGTTTTATCAAAGATTAAGCTTCCAAATAATGCTTTAGAAACTGCTATTTTTAGTATTTTCTATGAACAGTGTTCTGTGGTAGAACACTGGAAGCAGGTTTACAAGGTCATGAATAGAAAGATCTCAGTGGAAAGCATTTCATGAGAATCTTGTTAAAAACTTTTTAAGTGACTTATAATAATTTTACTTATTTATGGGTTCCAAAGCAATGTTTTGATACATACAATATGTAGTGATCAAATCATAGTAATTAGCATATCTACTATCTCAAACATTTATTATTTCATTGTGTTGGAAACATTCAATATCCCGTCTACTAGCTACTAGAAAATATATAATATATTGTAAACTATAGTCATCCTACAGTGCTATAGAACACTACAATTTATCCCTCCTATCTGTAATTTTGTATTCTCTCAAAAATCTTGCCCTATTCTCTCCTTCTCAACTACCCCCCCACCAGGCTCTGGTAACCTCTGTTCTACCCTTTACATTTATGAGATCAACCTTTTTAGCTTCCATAAATGCATGAGATCATGAAATGTTCAACTTCCTGCTCCTTGCTTATTTCGCTTAACATAATGCCCTCCAGGCTTATCCATGTTGTTGCAAATGACAGAATTTCATACTTTTTTATGGCCAAATAGTATTTCATTGTGTATATATACTACATTTTATCTTTCAAGTCATCCCTTAATGGATACTAAGGTTGATTTCATATTCTGACTATTGTGAATAGTACTACAATAAATATGCGAGTGTAAGTATCTCTGTACTGTACTGATTTCCTTCCCTTTGGATAAATATCAGTAGAGGGATTGTTGAATCCTATGGTACTTTCATTTGTAGTTTTTTGAGGAACCTCCATACTTTTCTCTGTAGTGGCTATATTAATTTACATTCCCACCAACAATGTTTGAGTTCCCCTTTCTTGCAATCTTCACCAGCATTTGTCATATTTTGGCTTTTTCATAATAGCTGTTCTAATTGGGGTCAGATGATGTCTCTTTTTTTTTTTTTTTTTTTTGAGATGGATTTTCGTTCTTGTTGCCCAAGCTGGAGTACAATGGCATGATCTTGGCTCACTGCAACCTCCACCTCCAGGGTTTAGGCGATTCTTCTGCCTCAGCCCTCCCGAGTAGCTGGGATTATAGGCTCCCGCCACTACACCCAGCTAATTTTTTTATTTTTAGTAGAGAAGGGGTTTTACCATGTTGGTCAGGCTGGTCTTGAACTCCTGACCTCAGGTGATCCACCCACCTAGGCCTCCCAAAGTGCTGGGATTACAGGCATGAGCCACCATGCCCAGCCGGATGATATCTTACTGTGGTTCTGATTTGCATTTCCCTGATGATTAGTGATGTTGAGCATTTTTTCAAATATTTTTTGGCCATTTATATGTCTTCTTTGATAAATGTCTATTCAGATCATTAGCCCATTTAAAAAATTAGATTGTATATTTTTGTGCTAGAGATGTTTGAGATCATTGTATTTTCTGGATAGTAATTCCCTGTAATATGAATAGTTTGCAAATATTTTCTGCCATTCTGCATTGTCTTTTCAGTCTCTTGATTGCTTCTTTTGATGTTCACAAGCTTTTTGGTTTAATGTAATCCCATTTGTTTATTATTGCTTTTGTTGCCTGTGTTTTTGAAGTCTTATTCATAAAATCTTTTCTCAGCCCAGTGTTCTGAAGCATTTCCCCTATGTTTTCTTCTAATAGTTTTATAATTCCAGATCTTACATTTAAGCCTTTAATCTGTTTGGAATTAATTTTTATATAGAGTAAGAGATAGATGTCTAGTTTCATTGTTCTGCATATGGATATCTAGTTTTCCTAGCATCATTATTGAACAGACTGTCCTTTCCCAAAGGAATGTTCTTGGCACCTTTGTCAAAAATCAGTTGGCTGTGGAAATGTCAATTAATTTCAGGGTTCTGTATTCTAGTCCATTCGTCTATGTGCCAGCACCATACTGTTTTGGTTATTATAGCTTTGTAGTATAT
This sequence comes from Homo sapiens, assembly GCF_000001405.40. Classification (NCBI taxonomy): domain Eukaryota; kingdom Metazoa; phylum Chordata; class Mammalia; order Primates; family Hominidae; genus Homo; species Homo sapiens. The sequence goes on along the minus strand of NC_000014.9, from coordinate 46,937,560 downwards.
TTTGAAATTGGTAGTATAACGCCTTCAGCTTTGTTTCTTTTGCTCAAGATTGTTTTGGCTATTTAGAATCTTTTGTGGTTCCATGCAAATTTTAGGATTTTTTTTCTATTTCTGTGAAGAATGTCATTGGTACTTTGATTAGTAATTGACAGCAATTGCATTGAATCTATATATTGCTTTTGTGTGTGGTCATTGTAACAGTATTCTTCCAGACCATTAACATGGGATGTCTTTCCACTTCTTGGTGTCTTCCTCAATTTTTTTTAACCAGTATTTTATAGTTTTCCTTATAAAGATCTTTTACTTCCTTTGTTAAATTTGTTTCAGGTATTTGTGTTGGGGGGGGTGTCGGGGGAGCGGTGTGCCTGTTGTAAATGGCATTGTTTGCTTTATTTCTTTTTCAGACTGTTCACTCCAGGCATATGTAAATGCTACTGATTTGTGTAAGCTGATATTGTGTCCTGCAACTTTATTAAATTTATTTTTCAGTTCTAAGAGTTTTTTTGGTAGAGTCTTTAGGTTTTTCTGCGTATAAAAGTATGCCATCAGCAAACAGGGACAATTTGACCTCTTTTCCAATTTGGATGCCTTTTACTTTTTTCTCTTGCCTAATTGCTCTGGCTAGGACATCTAGTACTGCGTTGAATAAGAGTGGTAAGAGTGGGCATCCTTGTCTTGTTCCAGTTCTTTGAAAAAAACATGTTTAGCTTTTCTTCATTCAGTATGATGTTAGCTGTGGGTTTGTCCTATATAGACATTATTGTGTTGAAGTTCCTTGTGTTATGGGCCTTCTATACCTAATTTATTGAGAGCTTTTGGTTTTTTTTTTATGAAGGAATGTTCAATTTTATCAAATGCTTCTTCTGTGTCTATTGAGATGATCATATGGTTTTTGTCCTTTATCCTGTTGATGTGATATTTGGAAGCTATCCATACCACAGTATATGACGGGAAGAGAAAAGTCCTTCAGTATCTGATATTACAGAGATGAACAAAAATAAATTAAATTTCTAATATATTGTAAGTGAGATTTTTCCCTTGTTTGGTTATATATGCTATTTCAGATTTTGTATGTTGGTATTTTTTCACATATTATTTTACTTATACAATTCAAATTCATATAACATCTCCCTACATGTACCAATATACATGGACCTCCATTCCCATAAATAAAGATATTTTATTTAATAATGGGAGGTGAAAAATAGCAGTTCCTCATGGGAGAAGAGAAGGCCCAGCAGAAGAGCAAAGATGATGTAAGGGAAAGGTGTATATCTGTTCTCTGATTGTCCCTTTGCTTCTGGTTTGCCCCTATCTTATGGGCTGGTGTCAGAAGCTGACAGAACTTTTCAAGAACGAAATTGTAGACATGAACAGGAGCTCAAGTGATTGACTGGCAGGGACAAATTATGACTTTTAACCATAGGCACCTTTGTCTTTGTGGACCACTTCCTTCATTAAAAAATAAAGTAATACATCAAAATTTAAAATTATATATGTATGACTGTATTTATATAAATAGGATCTACAATCCCAATTATTATTATTTATTTAGTATTATTATGTTCATTTTTCTTCCAATTTTAAAATGAATTAAATTTAAAACATTTTCTTGGACCTCTGAATTATCATAGGTCCTAGGTGCTGTGACTCCTGTGCCTAATGAATAAATCAGTTCTGTCAAGTAAAATGGAAGTGTCGCAACTTCTCCCAACTCTCCATGTCAACCCAAACACTTTCTGCCATACCGATCCCTGCATTCCACACTCAAGGAAGTGTTGGAAGCCTCTGGAGATAGAATACCTGGTAGTGGTGGTGATGGTGAAGGTGAAGACAGTGGTTAGCTTTGTCTAGCTAGCTTTGTGGGCATTTATCATGGACTGGTGGAAGATGGAGCAAGAAAGGAAGGGCAGGAAAACCTAATGTTAAGTGGCTTTGTGATTACATGTGAGAAATCTCTTGGGGATTCCCAGAAAGAGGCAGGAAAAGGTTTTGGGGCTTGTAAGAATGTGGGTTCTAATAAATAATCACAGTTTTGGGTTATTTTACATATTGGCTTATAAATGCTTTTGTATATCTTGTGTATTTAGGAGGAGTACAGATAACATTTATGCTTCTTTTATGGCCCACATGCAAATAAGCAATTGAGTTTCTATATGATTGACTAGATACTTTAGGGATTGAGTCTTCAGCAGGGAATCAAGTAGTATTTCTTAGGTGCGGGATATGTAGGGTGAGCTGGATTGGTAAGAGAACTAAAGTGTGCTCACGGTGCCTATAACATGGGAGATTTGTAACAAAGGTGCACTCACTACAAAATGGGCGATTTGTGCTGATCTCAGGAATTGGGCATAATGTACATTAATCATTTTCTGCTTCCATCTCATTAAATAACATCCGTGGAATTTCTTCTGCACTCCTGATAATATCTGTGCTCTCCATGCCACCAATTCACATACTCTACAGTTGTTTCAGTAAAACATATGGTTGTGAGATTTGAAATAAGTGGCATAACTCTTTTTTTTTTTAAATTCTGACACTATCCACCTGGAGATGAAGTGGCATAACTCTTGAAGCAGTAGTTTGGAGAGTATTATGTACAAGCAAAAGAGAATCGCAAAATTGACCCAGAGCCTTAACTGTGACAAAAGCCAAATGCAGCATGTCATAGCTATTTTGACCTTGTGCTTTCCTCACCCACTGACAAAAAAGTAGTAATGACAATTGACATACACCGTGTATTAATGAAATGATTTTTTTAATATAAAATTAAGCAAAAGTAGGTTTGTGTTCTTTCTGCGTTCTTACAGCATTTGCTGTAATATTTCCATAAGGAGGGATTTCTGATTGTTTCATTTTACCCTAACATTCCTAATATAATATACCTTAAGGAAGGTAGACACAGAACCTCTCAGTTTGAATGCCAGCTTTCTTTGTATGTTTAGGTGAATTATGCAACTTCTCTTCCTTCTGACAAAATATCCATTTGGATCTTTTTGAGGTAAGATTTGCAGACCAGACAAGGACAGTAGTACGTGTCAGTTCAGTAATTATGATAGTCTTATTAACTTTTAAGATTTGCAGTTCAAGCCAAGAAATATGCCTCTGTGTATTTGACCTCCCTCAGCTCTGTGAAGACTGAACTAAGTTAATATTTGTGAAAGTTCTTTGTGAGCTGTAAATTCCTATATAAAACTGAGATACCATTTTCATTTATCAAGGTTTTTCTTGCTCCATAAGTCCATGTTTTTAGTTGTAAATTATAAAAGAATAATTTATAAACAGCAGTGCAGGACCATAATTCTGGTATGTGTCTTAAATACTTGCTAGAGTAGTGGTGAATGAAGGCCCCTTGGAAATCTCTATAATAGACAAACAAGAGGATAGATAATTTGAAGATTCCAAGTATAACATAAATGAAAATATAGTTTTTATTTCCCAACATTTTTTGAGTCCTAGGCAATTTCCTACTTGCATGCCAAGTGTAAAAACTATCGTTTCAGCAAATTTAAGTAATCCTTTTGAATTTTTGGATAAGATTCTTAACTAAACTTATTTTGAGAAAAAATTTGACATGTATTACTCATATTTTTCATCATTTTTTTGCAAAGTGTATCCAGGATTTTAGAGTCAAGGAGTTATTCATTTAAGTTGAAACAGTATTTATCTGTTAAATGCAGGAATTTATTTTATATTGTCCAAGAAAAGTATATATATATATATATATATATATATATATATATATATATATATATATATATTTGTTACATAAACCAGTAGAACTTTGTATAGTTCTGTAGGACAATGTCAAAAAGAAGCCATGGGTGACATAATTGTGTTGAAATAATGCCTCTTTAAAGTTTCAAGAAAATAAATGCAAACTCATTTAAAATTGTCTAATTAATTTTCAAATTCCCTCAAATTCTGTATATGTTAACAATAATCAAATTAACTTATGGAAATCTTCCCAAAGAATGTTATTTGATTTGATTTTCTTTTGTTGTTGGGGTGGCAAGGGAAGTGTAGTGGGAGATTAACATTTATTAAACACTTATATTTTGCCCAATGTTCTGATAGGTATATTATATAGACTAATCAGATAATTTTAAAAATAATAATTTGTGTATTATGATCCTTTTGGATCTTCAGATATGTCTTTTTATTCTAGCCCAATTCATAAAGTACTTGTCATTTTGAGAACCAAAAAAAAATTTTTTTAAAGACTTCTTGCTAGTAATGAAATCAATCTATTGCTATTATTATTTTGCTGATTACCTATATTTATTAATTAATTTTGTGAGTAAAGTCTCTTGATTTTCTATGACAGAACTCTACTCAAATGACATGAACTTTTCTGGAACGTGTCTTAAACTGGGGGAGAAATTTTACAATGGGAAATATATCAGGTTAGCATTCAACTGATGTGGAGTATGTGTGGAGTGAACATTTGATGGTTTGGTAAAACAGATATGTTTTCACCTACAAGTACTGTGGGGGTTTTGTTAGATTTATGCCTAAGCATTTTATATTTTTAATGAACATAAATTATATTGTATTGTTAATTTTAATGTCCATATGTTTATTGTTGATACATTCAAATACAATTGATTTTCCTTTGTTTATCTTATTGCTTACAACCTTACTGAACTAACTTATTAGTTCTAGAAATCTTTTTATATATTTCTCGTGATTATCTGTGCTGATAATCGTGTCATTTGCAAATAAAGACAGTTTAATTTCAAAAAAAAAAAGACATAATGTTGTAAGGATGAAGTAATTACTAAACCATGTTATTTCTGAAAACCCAAGTAGTTTGCCCACCTATTTCAGTCTGAGTGACTTGTTTCCTAATAACCAATGGCAGGATTCTTGGTGAATTATACAGTCTTGGGATCTGATCATCATTTTTCTAGTTTCTAATTCTTAGCAGTAAGCCTGGAGGGCATCATCGTGGGCCTTATTTTAATTATCTTTGCCTTTCTAGTGGTTATAAAATATTAATACAGGAAGATGATTTTAGGAAAGGTTATAAAACTAGATTTATGTTCATCCTATATTTAAAATATTGAAGAAAAATGATTTTTAAATTTAGATCATTTTAACTCATTATACTTAAATAACTTTTCAAGTATATATTTTTATAAACATACATTCTGTGAATATCTAAACATTTAAAAAGTATCTAAAGGAAATTAGTTTATATAATGTAATATTATATTCATGTGAACTTACATTATTGAAGCAAATTATAAAAAGACTAAGTTACAAGTTTTCATACAAGTCTAAAGATCTTCCTTTCTTTTTTTTTAATTTAGGAAAAGAAAATTGAAGTTGCCATAATTTTAATTACTATCGTTCTTTATGCTATCGTTCTTTATGCTAACACATATTAATAGCTATCGTTCTTTATGCTAACACATATTAATAAAGGAAATGAACTGTATATCATGAGAATCCTGCTATATGGCATTTTCTTTAAATGCATCTCTGAAGATTGAGTACTGTAAAAAACATAAAGCTTAATTGGAATTTGTCGAATTATGGGTTATGTACACACACATTATTCCATTTTGCTCTATATTACTTATTGTTATTCCATCGATATTTTTGATATTCTATGGATTACTCCAGTCATTTTTATTTACTTAAATAAAAATTTAATGAAAAATTTAAAAATGTTTTTATTCATATGACTACAATTAAATTGATTACATTTCTCAATTATAGTAACAAAAGTAGGCTGGGTGCAGTGGCTCATGCCTGTAATCTCAACTCTTTGGGAGGCCGAGGCTGGTGGATCACCTGAGGTCAGGAGTTCAAGACCAACCTGGCCAACATGGCGAAACCCCGTCTCTACTAAAAATACAAAAATTAGCTGAGTGTGGTGGCTCATGCCTCTAGTCCCCGCTACTCAGGAGGCTGAGGCAGGAGAATCACTGGAACCCAGGAGGCAGAGGTTGCAGTGAGTTGAGATGGCACCACTGCAATCCAGCCTGGGTGACAGAGCTAGACTCCATCTCAAAAAAAAAAAAAAAGCAAAAATAAACTAAAAGCAATTGGAATGAAACACATTTTTTTTCTAAATTATAACTAAAAATTATAAAAGAAATTGTCCTCCAAAGTTCTACTGAAAAACGTGGTACATATTTGAGTGCTTTATTCAGGGGAGATATTTTCCCTGATAATATTAACAAATTTAAAAATATTCTTTCAATTGACAAAATTTAACATATTTCTGATAACAACTCTGTAAGAAGTAAGTACCTGAATTACTCCTTCTTTCCTACCAGCTGCAAAAGACTATCTCAATAAAAAGATTTTGAGTTTTTTTTTTTTTTTTTTTTTTGAGATGTAGTCTCACTCTGTCACCCATGCTGGAGTGTAGTGGCGCGATCTTGGCTCACTGTAACCACCTCCTCCCTGGTTCAAGCGATTCTCCTACCTCAGCCTGCTGGGTAGCTGGGATTACAGGTGCGTGCCACCATGCCCTGCTAATTTTTGTATTTTTAGTAGAGACGATGTTTCACCATGTTAGTCAGACTGGTCTTGAACTCTTGACCTCGTGATCCGCCCGCCTCGGCCTCCCAAAGCATTAGGATTACAGGCGTGAGCCACTGCGCCTGGCCCAGATTTTGAGATTTTTAAAAAGAGTTTTATTTTAAGTACAATTGATTTCCTTTCAGATCCTCAACCGATGGGACAATATATGAAGAAGAGATATTTGCCATCTGGAGCTTATAATTTATTTAAAAAACAGGAAGATAAATTAAGACAATTAACTATTGAAAGGGTGATAAAATATAATGTGGTCATTTCATGGAGGTATTGTATTTAGTAACAGCAGTCGCTTTATCAAAATGAAGGTAGTTATAAGGATAGGGATTTTATGAATAATCCTAAGGAAAGAAAAGATTTGCCAGAGTGATTAACTCTTTCTCATTTCAAGTACACGTGATAAATAGAATCTTCTTAGTCATTATTTGTCATTAAACCGGTCTTATATAAGATTATTTAAGCAAGGAAAATAAGCACTTATTTTAGCTGAAGTTTTCTTCTAAGGGTTTTTAAGTTTGTGATTTTTAAAACGTCCATTAAATGTTCTAAATATTACTGTTTTTATTTACCAAAGTTTGTTTTTTTTACTGATGTTGGTATATGAAAGAATAATGCATAGAATACCAAAAAGGATATGAGAGTAATTTGGCTTTTAAAAAAAATATGCTGATGACATCTTAAATCTCTTTTAATTTGTTCTAGAGAAATTTAAAAAGGATTGCTTGTACTGCATCTACAAAGTGCAATTGGGACTAAGTTTTAATTATCTATCTGTGGGAGACAAATTCTGTTAAACTTTATTAAACTTTGTTAAACTTATTAAACTTTTGCCAACATTTGGGTATTACATGTTAGAAATATTGAACTTCTCAATCTTTTCAGTTTTTTTTTCTTCTTTGGGTGTTGCATACTCATGAAATAAATAGTTTTCAGTTGTAAATTAATACTTACAATTGGAATGACATGGTCAATTCCGAAAATAATAAAAATAGGAGCACAAATAACCTGTCAACTCATTGCATGATTAGGTAACTTTTGCATTTGTCACCCTCTCAAATTATATAATCATGGGCCGGGCGCAGTGGCTCATGCTTGTAATCCCACACTTTGAGAGGCTGAGGAAGGTGGATCACCTGAGGTCAGGAGTTCCAGACCAGCCTGGCCAACGTGGCAAAAACCTGTCTCTACTAAAAATACAAAAATTAGATGGATGTGTAATCCCAGCTACCCTGGAGGCTGAAGTAGGAAAATCACTTGAATCTGGAAGGTGGATGTTGCAGTGAGCCAAGATCGCACCATTGCACTCCGGCCTGGGAGACAGAGTGAGAGTCCATCTCGAAAAAAAAAAAAAAAAAATGTATATATATATATATATATATATATATATATATATATATATATATACACACACACACACACACACACGTATATATACTTGATATATATACATTTGCCCTACCAAATAAATTCTGTTGTCAAAACCAGATCACATAAATCATAGGCCTTTCATAACCTTCACCTTGAGGAATAATTAGCAAAGTTTCCAAGCAAGTAATTCCATAGACCCAGTATTCACATTTAGGAGGTACCAAATCTATCAGATGTAACTTCCTAATATTCATTTTCCCTTTTTAGGGGTTTGATGTAACATAAATGTTAAATATACATCATTCAAATTAGCACAGGGAATCTAGGCTTGGGGTCTTTCAAGTTTTATACTTTGCTAGTTAGAGATTCTATGTGGCTAACTTTCACTCTTCACCAAAGCTATGGTTCATACATATATAAATGGCATATTTGTTTAAAATAACAATTCGTCAGACAGGTCAAGCCTAAGAAAGACACTTTTTAGATGTAAACTTAGCATATTCTGAACTCTCAGATAAGAACCTAGTAACAATACACTGCAAACTGTAACATCCTGAAATAATTTAGAACAGAGTTTAGCAATCATGTGACCCCAGAGCCAAATTCAGCTGGCCAACTGTGTGTATATGGCCCATGAGCTAAGAATGATTTTTACATTTTAAATAGTGTGGTTGCTTTGTATTGTTCAGTACCCTCTACTGGCTTCAACTATATTATGTCTAAATCTGGGAAAGGACCTCAACAAGAAATAAAAATGATTTTATAGAAAACATTTTCCAGAATTCTTACATATTGGGATAAAATTATGATATGTTTTTGTAATTAAATGCTAAGTACTATGATGTAAATAATTATCATAGAACAAAGAGTTACTAAAGGAAGGAAGGATAGTCATGATTTTGGTATTAAAAGATAGATAACAATTGGAAAGCAGAGAGGAACTGCAGGAGGAAAGTATTTTAGTTTATGGGATCAAGGTGTGTGAAGATGAAACTGGGGCTTTAGAAACATTCAGTTATTGGCATGCTGAGTCACTAGAAAGTGGATAGGAGAAGTGAAATCATGTGGAAAGTTCATTGATTGATTTATTCAATAAATACTGAGTTACAAAGCTTTTGTTGGTGTGAAGTGATAAGAGTGAGATTCAATGTTATTAGAATAAACTCTAATAGTTACAAAGAAGAGGCAATCTAAAAGATGAATCTATAAATGCAAGAGAGGAATCAGAAAAAGATGACTGGGCAAGACTTCCTTTTATAAGTGAATTCAGCCATAAATTCCATAAAGCTTGTTCCCAGTTTCACTTGGTATATGTTCATCATAAAAATGCTTTAGACATATTATTACAAATTTATCAGTTCATAAATTCATATATTGGCTGAATGTATTGTTTTTGTGACTGAATTTTTTTAAAATAATGCTAAAATTGATTTTCATAAAAAAGTTTTCCAGATTAATAATAGGAAGACTAACTTGATACAGAATGTTTTAAATAAAATCATTTCTGGGAAATGAGACATTTATTTTTTCAGCAGATTTATTTTGAAGAGGCATAACCTACAAGAGAAATCATAATATTGTAACCAAAGCAATTGTACCTTATGCCCAAGCAGATTTAAAGGCTTTCTTTAAAGATCCCAGTGATTTGTAAAGACTGACAATGTATCAATAGTTTTATTATTTAACTAATCAGTAAACCTGCTTTCCAGGGCTATAAATTCTTAGGAAGCTCTTGAGTGCTGAAGTGTGGTCGCAGGGTAGTCTGCCTTAATGTGATGTGTACAGCTCTGCCTCGAGCAGAAGAAAATGAATTCAAGTAAGGGATGAATACACCAGCTATATTGCAATTTAAAAATAATGTTGTGATAATGACTAGTCATTGAAAAATATATTTGCTGTTACTAAATGGGAAGACATAGTTTTGATAAACACTTCTCTGTCTCAAGTACAAACGCGCTTTACCTAAATGATTTAGTTGGATTATAAATTGTTACACACATCTTGCATTCATTTTAAAAATGAATCTTCAACTGAGAGATGTTGTCATTGACTTCACTGTTGTATTAATTAGTTGTTATGTTTTTATTTCCTGCATACATATTGACAAGTTATCACTGTTGAACAAACTATTAATGACATTGAGTTTTATTGCTGCTATGACATTCATCTTAATTCCAAGATATGGTTTTAAAATCAAATACAATTGTTTAATTTCTTAAGTATTGCTTGTATGTTTAACATTTTTAAATTCCCTCTTCATATTAATTTAGTATCTTTCAAGCCAATGAAATAGGTAGAACCCATCAAATTGGTAATAATTCCTGTATTACTTACTTTTAATATGATAAGACCTAATATTAAATACCCTACAAATAAATGCCAAATATAGATAACAGCGATGAGTATATTGCTATTTTTTAGAATTTTCTTTTGACTTGACAGAATTAAATCTTACTTTCCTCAAAGTATTCTTTATGCTCCCAATTTCATGACACATACTTTTATATGGCTTTGAATCTAAAACAATAAGCCTTCAGAAGGACAGAATCTCAAGAGGTAATGAAATTTTTGACTCCTTTTCCAGGATGAGATACTCACAGTCATTTTCCCTCTCAGTTAGAGACGCTAGTGACCATTCTTCTCTCAAGACTGAAAATTTAGGAGTCTACGCTCAGGATCCGGTCAGAAGACACATGTTGATCAGCAGTATGCGCAATCACTTTTGAATTCATCAGCTTTTCTTATTTTCTCAAATCACATATCTTTTTTTTTATATAGGCAGTATTTTTTTACTAGTTTCCTGCCTAAGGTTTCTCACTCATTCAATCCATTAGCTTCTTTCCCAGCAGTTATTGTTGTAAAACATAAAATAAATTTATATCATTTCCCTGATTAAACATTTAGAAAAATGCCTGTTTCTGTAGCAACATTTTTTTCTCTCTTCTTTTCTAATTAATTTACTCAAGATTCATTAATTTGAAGATAATGTAATTTTGGTTCCAATAATTGCATGTTCTGTTTTGCCCTATGGAGGAATGACAGAGAGCTGCGTATATTTTTATTGTGTATTTTACCTAACATTTTAACACATAACCCACTGCCTTAGCCAGTCTATGTATGTGAACACTATATGACTTTGATTCTCAAATCGTTTGGCTATATGTATTAGCTTCTAGAGCTGTGATTTCTGATTTTTAGAAGGCTTTTTTTTTTTTCAAATCAGTGCATCATTGGCGTTTAAGTTCACCTTGGATTTCAGTATACATTTAAATTAGGTTTTAAATGAGAAGTTTTAAATTAGGTTTTATTATTTTTGATACTTTGCAAGTGTGTCTTTTGTGGAATTCTTTCCTTACCGCCATTTAAATTATTTGGTTCCTATCCAATTATTTGCCATCACTCAGTTTTCACACTAAAAAAATGAAAATTAGTGGATTCACTATAAAATCTTTTCTCCCATTTTCATGAGGACTGGTTAAAGTCATTTCAGAATAACTGGACTTTAGAGTAAATATTCAACATCTTATATCACTAAGATGCTTCACAAGTTAGCACTGACATATTTTTCCTGTATTCTGCAAGCACATGGATTACGTCAGCCATAGTGGTGAGAGCTGATGATACCATCCCTGTTCTTGAGAAGTGCACAGTTTGGTAGGAAAGGTGGGCACTGAATGTTATAACAGTACCATATCCTACAGTAGTTTCTAAAGTATCTATAACATATTCATTTTTCTCCACCTAAGGACATGCTTTATTTCTTCTCTTTTTTTATCCCTTCATGAACCAACCTTTTCTGTCTGAGAGATTTGATTTTTTCTTCTTTAAGATCAGTTAAAATGCCAGACATTCCTCTTGTGAAGCCTTTCTTTGGTCCCAGTAGACAGTATCAATTATTCTTTCATAGAATGTTCCATGGTGTTCGTTTATATTTTTCTATTGTATGACTTCAGTCTTATTAAGTATACTTATAAATTCTATTTCCTTTTTTTTTTTTTTTTTTTTTGAGGTAGAGTCTTGCTTTGTCTTCCAGGCTGGAGTGTAGTTGGGCAATCTCGGCTCACTACAACCTCTGCCTCCCGTATTCAAGTGATTCCCCTGCCTCAGCCTCCCGAATAGCTGGGATTACTGGTGCCTGCCACCACTCCCAGTTGATTTTTGTATTTTTAGTAGAGATGGGGTTTCAACATGTTTGCCAGGCTGGTCTTGAACTCCTGACCTCAAGTGATCCTCCCACCTTGACCTCCCAAAGTGCTGGGATTACAGGCGTGAGCCTCTGTGCCCAGCCTAAATTCTATTTTATTTTTCTATTATCTTAAGTCTAATCTTACTATTTATTTACCTTGTTAGTCTCTCACAGTGGAACGTTTTCTTGTGTATTTGTGTATTCAAAATGTTTGTGAATTTATAATCATTGGGATTTAGAGGAATTCTCTGCGCTTTAAGTTGACAGCATGTCTTTCAAGATCAATTTGTCATTGGCTCTTTTCAAGCACTCCAGCAGTATCAAAAGTCAAAAAAATTTTATGGTAACATAAATATTTTTGTCATCTTCCTATACTGGTGAGAGTCAAATGTTTTCTAGCATATCCTATGTCTGAAACTATAACTTTTCTAGATTTTAGTCATAGGTGGTGGCCTCATTACCAACTTCTCTTCTTGCAGTAGTCTATTAACCTTATCTCCCATGGGCCTGAAAATCCATCTCCCAATGGTAAAAAAGACCAACAGCACTCTATTTTTCTCCCCAAACTCTTATTAAATGGCTTGTTTTCAGCAGTGTTTTTTGATCCCTAGAGACTTCTTTTTCTTGCTTGCAAACATACATCTAAAAAGAGGTTTGGCATAATTTCATCTAGCATTTCTAGATGAAAGAAAGAAATTTGTTCTTGTTTTGAGTCAATTATGCCACCAACTGTATCAGAATTTGTTGTCTGTATGAGTTTTTTTTTTCTGAGATTGTGCAATCTGATAATAAAATGGGCTCATTTTATTTATCTAGATTTTCTCAGCACCTCGTAGGAAAGCAATATGTATTAGCTATGTATTGTCTGTTTTACAAAGTGAAAAATTGATAGATATCCCTAAATTTGCAAACATGTCCTATAAACCTGTGTAATTCTTTTAAGTTTATATTCATACAGTCTATTTTCCAAAATGTGAATTATTTTCAAAAGCAAGATATGTGTGGTCTTGATCAGTATTATATACCTTATTTTGTTTTTATTTCAAAATCTGTATTGACTTTACTGAAATCAGTTCCTTTATCCGAGCACATTTTAAGTGTTCATAGTGGGAATAATAATTGTTTTTAATTTATGTTTGAACTTTATGCATAAAATTATATTTTGCAATCTCAATGTAATCATTTTTCAAAACCATTTTGCAAAATGAAATACCAGTATTTCTATATAAATCTATAAAAATTTTCAAAAACAAATTTTTTCTATATAGATATTTTAGGGATATTTTTTAAATCCAAGATTTATATATAATCATACATGATGATTCCAAAATTTACCTCCCAGTTCAGTTAATGAATATAGTTCTAGGTTAGTTAATCTGAAAATATTTAGATTGGAACAACATTGTATAAGAATAAAACTAGAATGTGAAAAGTTAGATTGGAACAACATAGTATAGGAATAAAACTAGAATGTGACAGAGTAAGAAAATTTTCTTGGTATGCTTATTGGAAGAATTAAAATGCCTGAGGCATTAAAAATATATATATTTATGAATTCTTTCCCTGTTCAACCAGTAGATGTCATGTTTGGATGTCAAAGCCCAAGATTATTATAAGGATATTTCTTTGGTTTTACTGTGTCTTTCTTATGAATGAATATATAAGCATAAAGTATAATTGGCTCTGAAATTAGAGGAGAAAATTAAGTGTGTCTCATTTCAAAAAATTTAAGATGCCCTTTTCCAATAAAATCAGGAAGCATTTTTCCTTTTAAAGCTTTTCCACAGTAGGCTCAGTAGAAAGTATGCTGTGAGGCATAAGTAAGCATGCCTATATTTAATCGTAACAACTGAAAATTATTTCTCATTAGCAATTACTTATTACTAATCATTACTATTTATGCACCATCTAAAAACGTTTTTTACCTTTAATTCCAAGTAATATGATTATTCAACTAAAAAAAACTTTATTTTCTAATCTCATGATTCTAAGTAAAAAAAGTAACGGATCTTATTGTATTTGATTATTTATTTGTATAACCTTTCATATGTTATCCCCATCTCCATTCTGCACCTTCATTTATTTATCTATAATATGAGATATTGAAATAATCTCTAAAGTATTTTCTAATCTAATGCTCCATGAAAAAATATTACCTGTGATTTACCCAATACAGATAAAGCATTTAAAAAAATACATTGGAAAGTCTTTGTGAGAGCATGCAATTAAATATAAAGATAACGTTTTATAGTGAAATTTGATATATTTGCAATATTTTAATGGGTTAGATTGGAGCTTAATTTTTTACTACCTTGAAAATGGATCTTGGTAAACAAATTCATATTACTCACAAGATCATGAGGATCTGTTTTTCAACTTCAGGGTAAAACTATTTCAGTAACTTCAAAAGTGTTCATTTAGATAAATAATGTTCCTAGAATAATGGCAATTTGTATTCATGGCATGCAGCCAGTTATCCTCGTGGTAGTCAACAAAAGTCAACTATAATAAGATAGCTACTTCCTGAAATGCTTCGAATATTTCCTGTTATTATTCTATCCTACTTCGCTCCATCCGCATTATCTGATGTCTCTCAGTCTTGCCCCAGAGAGATCCTGGCTGTTGGATCAGGCATGCTGCTGCCAGTCTCAGAGGAGGAAGAAGACCAAAGAGATGTTTCTTATGACTTTAGGATAAGTTTTTACATCTTTTGTTATATAGACCTGGAGGTAATTTCAGAGAGAAATTTCAGCCTCTTTAAAGCATTCCAAATTGTAAGGTCTGTATTTCGTTGCATCAGAATAACCTAGGGTATTTGAGAATGTCTGGATTCCTGGTCACCACCTTAGAGATGAATTCATCCTTATGAATACTATATTTGGAAAGACCTTATTCTTTTTAATAAATATGGCCTTTCAAGAGGAACTTTTTTAATGTTATGAGATAATTTTGAAGTGCCAGTTCCTCCGTATTTAAACCATATTTAATCTAAAATTAGTTAACATATCAAATCCAGTTTGACAGGCAAATGTTTTATAGCAGCCTACACAGTTCAGTTTCGGGACTGAAAGTTAATTTAAATGACCATCTTGTGGGCAGCTACCCATCTCAGTCCTGCTAAATGGCTGTTTAAGTGTTGACTAAATACCTCGAATAAAGGGAAATTTATAGTCTACTGAGGTAGGCCATTCCATATTCAAAGGTCATTGGTAGAACATTTCTAAGTCAAAATATTTACCATTTTATTCGGAAATCACTGGTATTCATCTTATTTCATGTATCTGTTAACATTTATTCTGATTTTTTCTGTGATCTATTTCAACTCCTAAAAATTCTGTTTGCCCCCCCGCCTTTTTATCCATGCTAAAAAAAACCCCTAGTTGTCCCTGTATTCTCTTCTTGATTCTCTTTGAATGAATTGTTTATTTTATTAAGAATGGGCTACTTAGAACTGAATCAATCACCCTTAGGTTTCTTCCTTGATTAAATAACAGAAGCAACCCCTCAGTCCTCATAGAAAAGAAACACTAGACTTTTACCTCCCCAATTCAATCTAGATACCACTCTGTAATGAAAACACTCTAGGTTTATGTTACTCATCTAAGCAGCTCATTACTTCTTTAGTAAATTTGTAGGTATTGGATGTGTATTTTTAATTAAAACCTCTAGCTGTCTAACTCAGCTACTACTAAATTCACCTCCTTTATTTCATTTTGAAAAATTTTGTTTCAAATACAAATTATCAAGAATGTTTTGCTTGTTGATTCCTTCACTCAGTATGTTGTTTTCCTCTCATTTGAGACTTTTCTTTTTTTTCTTTTCTTTTTTTTTTTTTGACAGGGCCTGGCTCTGTCCCCCAGGCTGGAGTGCAGTGGCACAATCTTGGCTCACTGCAACCTCTGCCTCCCTAGACTCAGGTGATCCTCCCACCACAGCAAGTAGGTCTTCCTGAGTAGCTGAGACCATAGGTACACTCCACCACACCTGGCTCTTTTTTTTTTTCTTTTTCTGGTAGAGACATTATTTTGCTATGTTGCTCAGGTTGGTGGGTCTTTAACAACTAGGTTCAAGAGATCCGAGCACCTCTGCTGCCCAAAGTGTTGGGATTATAGGCACGAGCCCTACAGCTGGCCTAATCTAATTAAAAGAAAGAAAAAAAGAAAAGATGTTAAATGAGTGATGATAAAAATACAGCTTTTAACTTATTAAGAATTGCGAAGCTACATGAAAAGTCTGGAAAAAAAATGTAATTAATTTCCATGAATGAGGAGGCCATACCTGATTCATTGTGTTCTTAATACGTAGGACAATATTTTGCATTGAATAGGTTCTCATTAAATATTGTTGTATTATTAAATAAATATGTTATTTGTAATAGAAAAAATTATACTTCAGAATATTGGGAAGGTGGATCTATAATTCCAAATGGTGTGTAAACTTTTCATTTTGGCAATTAAGAAAAACTGAGATGGTTTGTATGTGGTATATACACTATACGTAATTCACATTTCTTTAAAAATCTAAATATAAGCTAAATATTGACCAGATCTTTTATTAATTAATTGTTTTAAGTTTTATTAAGTTCACTTTATTGATGAAAGCTGCAGGTAATACAAACACAAATTTTCATTTCCACTAATTGTTTTCTACACAGTGGATCACTCACTTCCCGAAATACCTCTTTTGACCTCTAGGATACCACATTTTTAGTTTTCCCCAAATTTAGGTTGTTCCCTCTCAGGCATCGGTGTGGTTTTTATCTCCTCCCATAACTCTTAACCTTGGATTGCCCCAGTGTCAGACTTTCACCTTCTCTATCTACTCACACTTCCTTGGTAATATCCGTCTCTTGGCTTTAAATTTAAATTCTATCTGCATGCCTATGGTTAGCAAGATTATATCTCCAGTCTTGATCTCTCTTGTATTCCAGACTAGTTATATCCTACTGCATACTTGGTGTATCCATTTAGATCACTCAAATTATTTAAAAATGACTTTGATCTTCTTTCTCCAGATTTCATCCTCCCATGGATTTCCATTTTGGTTGATGAAAATCCCATTCCTCCAATCACTTAGGCCAAATGCTTTGTGTTCTTCCTTCTTTTCTCACACTGCCCATCCAATCAACCAGGAAATCTCACATCTGTTCTCAAAACATATCCAGAAAATTGATTGGATTTTATAATTACTAATGAAAAATATAGTAGAAATGGTAAAAGGGCCAAAGGGAATAAGTATGCTTACACTACAATATGTCATCATTCAAATTTAAGCACACTTTCTGTTTTCAGGAAAGGCCTATGCTCCAGAATTCTATTATGATACCTACAATCCAGTATGGCAGAACAGACACCGTGTTTATTCTTACAGTCTACAGTGGACACAGATGAATCCTGATGCAGTGGATCGGATTGTTGCATACCGGTTGGGCATCAGGCAGGTGAGAAATCTAACTGATGTCCTTTTTTCTTTGTGGTCCTCTGTGAAGACCTTGTTGTTATCATTTTTCTAAGAGTTTTGCATGAATTCCAAAATATATTTTATGTATATGTGTTTCTGTATATAGATAGACAGATAGATATGTTTTCACCCTATGTATATTACTCCACATAAACTGTTCCGACTTACTTGAAAAATCTTTGAAATTACATATTTTTCACTATGACAGCAGACATACTAAAGTGACAGCCTTTGAGCCTTCTAAAATCCTTCATCACTAGATAAGAGAGATAAATTACATGGTATAACTTCATAAAAGGAACTTATTTCAGATGTGCTCACACTCACCTATACTGCATAATCATTTGTCTTGATTCCTAAGAAGCCAGAAGTTGTACATATTTTTGCTTTAGGGGTTCAAGACATATACAGAATGTTGCATAAGCTAATTTAATATGTCTGAGAAATAGAAATACTTTTGTAAAATGAAAAGAAATTAAAGTATGATAGTTTCTTAAGGGAGCTGAAGATCAAGGGTTATGTGGAAAAAACTGTATCTTTTTCAAAGGGTTAAAATGTTAAATTCACGTATCCTTTGTTTAAATGATATTTTTGAAATTTAAGTGGAGGTCTTTACATTGTTTCTTCTTAGCATATTATCTGGATGAATTTCAGCATAACAAAACATTTTTGAAGATTTATTTGATCACCACATAATCTTTTAGCTCTCTCCCAAAACCTTGTATTATCCCTAGATTGGCAAAGTGCATGTTCCACTTCCTTAACTGTATCACAGAAAAATCTTTTGAATTGGGATGGTAGAGAGAATAAAATTTTCATCGAGTAAGACTGATCAACCTCCAACGATTCATTCAGCTATTCTATCATAAAACCATTGTGTTTTACAATAAAATACTTGTGTGACACATTACTCACATTAAGATACACTGTGGCCGGGCGCGGTGGCTCACGCCTGTAATCCCAGCACTTTAGGAGGCCGAGGCGGGCGAATCACGAGGTCAGGAGATTGAGACCATCCTGGCTAACACGGTGAAACCCCGTCTCTACTAAAAATACAAAAAAATTAGCCGGGCATGTTGACGGGCGCCTGTAGTCCCAGCTACTCGGGAGGCTGAGGCAGGAGAATGGCGTGAACCTGGGAGGCGGAGTTTGCAGCGAGCCGAGGTCGCGCCACTGCACTCCAGCTCTGGGCAACAGAAAAAGACTCCGATTCCAAAAAAAAAAAAAAAAAGATACACTGTATGTAGCATATTCTTATTCACCCTGTTTAAGATTCTCAAAAAAGTGAAAGAGCTTTTCCTAGTGAAAACATCCTGGCCTTTGATAATTACTGGATTCTTCTCTAAGTGCACACAGGCTACCGATACAGCAGACCATAGTGGATCATTCACAGTGTTTCTCTGGTTATCCCTCATTGAAAAAGGACTGTAGGTAAATCTGAGCAAAACCGAAATCTATATTAACATCGTTCTACCCATTCTAATTTGCTAATTTTCTTAAACAGAGAAGATAGAAACAATAGCAGCAACAAAACAAATTAGCAGTTCTTTCTCCCTCAGTTTGTGGGCTTATTTCTTTTTTCCTTAACACAGCTAATATTTTATAACCTTTCATATTTGGAGTATCTATAAGGATTCTTGACTTTACACACCTCATACTCTTTTTAAAACTCCTTACTACATTGTTTAATCATTCATATTCATTTTTTTGTTATACATGCTTTGTAAAAATGTAAGAATCTATGACTAAATTTTCATTTGTAAAATCAATTGTTTTCTTTAGGTAATTATTGTGCTATTTTCTGGTTATAGGTCTATTTGCAAAGATAGAGTCATAATTGTATCTTTAGTTTCTTACTTTCTTCCTCAGTTACGTTTTCTTGGAGTCTCTGGGTAACTTCCCATTACTAGCTGTGTGTTTTAAGTTCATAGAATTTACCCAACCCTTCTCATCATCTTCTTCCTTTACTTTTATGCACCTCAAATACTTTGTTTCTACTTAGTATCTGTGTTGTGGATGCAAATCAAAATCCTTACCTATAAGCGAAATTTAAATGAGTTAGAATTCCTCCCAAGAGAGATCCCGTCATTTAAGCCTTCTCTTTCTCATCCATATCTTGTACTCATTAGCAGACTATCCTCTGTAATATTTTTTGCTGGGAAATGCTACACCATTTTCCAGTGACAAAGTCTTCTTTTATTTTCCTTTCCTGACATGAACATCTCCAAATTCAATTTTTTATATTTTTTATCATAAAACTGGTGTATAACTCCCTGATACGCAGTGACACACATTTCTCAGTCATTGTATTGTTCCTTTTGAAAAATTAGTGAATTTTCTCCTACTCTTCCTCTTTAGAATAAATTATATATGATTCCATATGTATGTATAAATTTCCCTTTTCTATGTTTTTTTAAAATAATGAATTCCAGACACACTTGGCTTCCAATTCTAGCCAATACGGCCTCATATTTTTATAGCTACATAACCTTGAGCATGTTTCTGAGCATATCTAAGCCTGGGTTTTTAATCCTGTAAATTGAAGATTATACCTGTCAGGCAATTGGAATATGAAGTGGATTATGTCCCCCACTTGTTCCACAGGCCAGGTACTCTTGTGCAGGGCACTCCTTGCACAAACAGTTATGGCAATTCTTATACTCATCTGTCAGTGTTGTATACAGATTTTTTAAAAGAGTACATTTCATGAGCTGAGCATGTGTAGTATTTTTATTATTTGAGTTTTATTCTAAGCCTAAGCATTATTTCAAGTCATGGTTTTCACAAAATAATTTCTAGACCTTTTTTTATTATGTCTCATTTTCATTTCAAACCTATTGTCTTCTGTAAGATCTATGTTATTGATTCACATTTTTCTCTTCCACTTCGAGTTTCATTTCAAGCCTTCTTGATTGGATCAGTAAGTCTGATACTAATACTGTTCTTTCCAGGTTTTGTAAGATGCATGCTATTCACTAGAGGAAAAAAAAAACATATTTCTAGTGTAATAAACCATGGTGCAGAAAACAAATATTTCCCTTACTCAATTTTTGAAGCTAACTCTTTACCTGCCACTGTATACATTCTTTTCTGTACTCCTTTGTTCTTAGGATTTTCTTTTATATTTAGAAATAAGCGTTTTTTTCTAGGGTGCTTTTTATGATGCCGTATTCTAATTGGTAATTTTACTCTTTCCATGGGAGAGAAAACTTTGATGTATCTTTCAGGGATGTCTCAATAAAGAGTAATGACTTTGTGCTGTTCTGCCAATGTGAATAAGATGGTGCTGTTTGTAGATGGGGTGTAAGAAGAGAAGGAGCACGTAGACACACGCCTCTTTTTTTCAAAACTATAACCTCTGCACTGAACTCTTGCATAAAACATCTCTACATGCAAAATGGCCCCAGCAAGCAACATTGCCTTTGAAGATTCACTTACAAACAAAAGTTTAGGATGGTAGGGCAAAAGTATTCTAGATACAATAAAATCGATGTAGTTCTTTTTTAAAAAATTCCTTTTTAATAACAGGAAACAAAGGCATTAATGGAAATAGGTGCTTTTTTTTTTTACATTCTAAAGGAATTTATTGCAAACATTACCTTTTTGGAGATGGGGAGACTGAGGATCAAGATCTCGAAGCCAGTTAGTAGCTGAGCCAAGGCTCGAACTCAGGTCTCTGTACGTTTCTCATGGACCCCAGCTCCTCCGCCCCTCTTCATCCTATGGAGGATGCTGGGACTAATGGGATTTTGAACAAGTCTTGGGAGTAGGAAGTGATGAGCTTTTTTAATGAGAACAGGCAAAGTTTTATCTATGTGGCGGATGTTACCAGACAGGGCAGTGTTAACCCTGGCTGCCCACTGGAATCACCTGGGGAGTGTTACATGTGGGCTAATGTCTGGGTCCCACCACAGACCAGTTGAAACTACTTCTTTGTTCTCCTCGAAGTGTGACCTGTCTCACCAGCTCTGTCATCTTTAGGAATGACATTATAAGCCAGGTTTTCTGGAAGTGAGGTTTGTAGACAACCTCCATCAGGATGCCCAGAGATGCCCAGAGATACCCAGAGAAGCAGATACCAAGATCCTGTGAGCTCCTCCTTAATACAAGCTCCTGGGTTCAGAAGCCTGGCCGCTGTGTTTATAGCAAGTGTCCCAAGTAATTCTGATGCACAGCCAGTGTATTGGATGTGGTTTATTTTTCTTCTAGTCCACATGTCCCCCGCAGTTCCTTAATGATGCCTCCTGCCGCTTTGCTTCCTTACCTTCCCCTTCTGCAGACCTTGAGTGGAAGCAGGCGTGACCCTGCCTTGGGAGGGACTGCTGAACTTCAAGGTTTTCAATTGATTTTGATGCTTTTCTCCTTCCTCAGAAAGGAAAGAGATTTAGAATATGGGCTTTCTTCATATTAGATTTAAGATAAGAAATGATAATTACAACACTAAAACTAACCTTTAAAAAAATCTGTTGATTTGTTTGGTAAATGAGTGATAGGATTTTATCTTTCTCCATTAGATTAGCCCCTCTGTTCTTATTGATACACTATATTTATACATGTTTATGGGGTACATGTGAAATTTTCTTACATGCATAGGATGTGTAATTATGAGGTCAGGGTATTTAGGGTATCCATCACCTCGAGTATTTGTCATTTCTGTGTGTTGGGAAGATTTCTAGCATTTTTATATTTTCTCAGAAAATTTAAATTTCTCCTTTACCAGGCATTGACATTTAAATATCAATATTATCTTAGGACACAATCAGATACTAACTTTTAAAAATCACCTTTGGATAAAGAAATCACTCTTGAATTCTGAACTGTTTATTATTTTAATGAAGATTTTATATTACATGCATGTAGCCTTTTTCATCTGCCAAACTATTTCAGAATCCTAAATCAATGAGCTTTTGAACATAGTAAACATAACTTGGATGGTTTAAATACACTGAGTTAGGCATGTGGCCTAAGCAATATACATTTTTAAATACATGGATTTATGTCCTAATAACTATGGTTCACATATTTTACTAGAAGGCCAAATTTTATTCAAAGGATTATTAATTTATGTTACATATTTTGTGATTTTTAAAGTCTTATTATTTTAGGCAATATTTCTATTTTTAGCCTATACATGTACATGATTTCTTCTATCCATAAAATACCTAGGTTATCTAGTACAAAAATCTCACCTCTTAATATCAAACATTGCCTTGATTACATAATGCATTTGTGTATGAGATGAAGTCTGAAAACAAATTCGATTCTTTAAGACTAATAGCAGATTCACTTCCTAAGACCTTACCTTATTTTTAATCCAGAAACCTTTAGAAATCTTATTAATCATTCTTAAATTAAATAGGATTATAAAAACCATTGCTGTGTTATTAAACTCATAGATGTAGGGGGTTGATAAATTGAACCCAGCATTCCCTTTTGGTTAAACTGTATGGTCTGTACTTAAATTTGATTAGGAAAGTTGTCTCAGATTTCAGTATTGACTTACACAATTTTCTTGTAAAATAATGCATTATATCTAGAAAAAAAGCACTGAAATTCTGGAATCACTGCTTTAAGAAACTTAAAAAGAGAACTAATATATAATGAGAAGCTAAAAAATTAATTTGTGGAAAAAAGTTTTCTCAGAATCTTTATGTCCTAACAAAGTTGTACTTTTTAGGCTCAGCTAAGCAATTGTTTAATCTCCTTAGACAGCTATTAACCTCCAATTATTTGCTTCATTTGTTGCTTAACAGGAAAGAGAAAAAGATTATTTGAATATCTACTTTCCTTGGTATCTAAGGAATTAAAAAACAGGAAAAATGTTTCTAAGTTATCTAAATATACCAAGCAACGTAAACATCATTTTACTTCATTTGAAATGTACACAATTACAGTTTTAAATAATACACAATTTTATACAGTTTCCTTTTTTATATTCAGCCATAGAAATACACAATGATGTGACTTTTTGACTGTATCTTTGGAAAGTAGGATATTTTATTTTAAAAAAATCCATAATTGACCAATTCCTTTTTTAAGTCATGTTGTATTAAAATATTTAGAATTATCATACTTATTTGCTCTCCCATTCAGTCAATAAAATTTGATTAAATTAGTTATATGGTAATTTCCAGGAATTTAAAAACGAAGTATTGTCCTCAACGTCTTATAAAAGTAAGTGGTTTAATAGAAATAAACAAAGAGTATCATAGAAATCGATGGGGGCAGTTAGTACTGCCAGGTAGTGGGGCAAGAGACACGATCACTGAGGTGCAAACTTCATTTGTTTGTTAATTTTATAGGTTTATTCCTAAACTTTCTTAAACGGTGACCACGAGTAATCACTAATTACTAATAAAAAGTAATAAGCAAAAAAGATATGTTTGATACAATTGATTGTTGGATAACTTTATTACAAATTTAATTTTGGTCTTCAGTAGATGTGACTATAATGGTTGAGCTATTGCTTATTTCTCCTTCCAGTTAAAACATTTTTAAAAGTTATTTTAGTGAATAATTTTTGCTTATTGTTGCTTGTTTTGTGCTTGACTTAGCCCATTTAGATAGATTTTATTGCAAGAACTGTTTGGAGGAACCATTTCATGCCTGTCCAGGAAAATCTGTGGAGATTTGATAATCTGGATTCTTTGTATAATCTTAAATCATGAATAAAATGACATCTTGCATAGATTAATCTTATAATACCATACTGAGTATACTGAATGTTATTATAATAGAGACAGGTACAACAGTTAGGCACATATTTGGGGCATGTACTGATGATTTAGATTAGAATAGTGAAAGGGGAGAAGAAGAAAAATGGAATTAAGAAAACGTTAAAATAGGCAGAACTTGAATTTTGACTTTGTTTTGGGGAACAATTTTGAAAAAGATAGTGACCTTATTTCTCTGTCATTCACTTCAATTTCTTTAGTGAATGCTCTGGAAAGCATTAAACATATAGAGATGAGAGAGAATGAAGGACTCAGAGAAATGTAGAGAAACCATTTTGTAAATGGTCTCTCTGGCTCTGGAAAAGAAATAAGCCATATGTCAGTTGTAAAAAGTGAAGTTTATCTTCATCTTCCAAATGAAGGACATTGCATATATCTGCTTCATTCCTACAAACTAATTTTACAATGTGTTTATGAGAAGGGATATATAAATGGTAAATTTGAGAGACCTGGGTCAGGGATGGACCCTTGACTGATGTAGAAGGTTCTGTAAAATAAGGGTACCTTGTCTTGGAAAACTCCAAATACTTCTTGAGGATTTTCTCTGAGTCTGGTGCCTTTGTATAGATTTAATTCTGTTTAGAAATATGGTTTGAGAAAATTAATTAGAAACGTGGAGGAAACAAGCAACCTCAAAGACACTTAAAAGAGTGAAAGAGGGTTAAGTTATTGACATAAATAAGATTTTTAATCAATGTTTACAAGTATTCCCATATTTTCACATGTGGACTTGTTAGGCTGGAGTGATAGGGGAGCATAAAACCGTTATCCAGATTAGAAACATGCTACTAGAATTTGGGTGAACACTTTTTCTTCAATATGTTAATTTACAAGTCAAAAGCATTAGATATGAAACTGAAGGTGGTAAAAATTTAGGCATAAATTTTTCATCTGAAGACAGTAGTAATAGAATTTCCAGCAAAAACGAACTGCAGGGTAGAAAAATCTTGTATTTGTATGGAAACTAAGAAGACAGTGTGTGAATGTGCATTCGTGTGTATGTTTGTACTTACAAACAAAATTTTAAAATATGAAAATGCAAATTTGCTTATGAGCAAAGTACAGCAGGTCCTTGAATAATGTCATTTGTTTAAGGTCATATGGTTATAACGTTGATGAGAAAAAAATTCAGTTCCTGGCTGGGACCACTATCTGTATGGAGATTGCATATTCTCCCTCGTCTGTGGATTTCTCTGGTTTCCTTTCACATCCCAAACATGAGCCCATGAGGTGAATTGGCATGTCTAAATGAATCACTCCCAGTCTGAGTGAGAGTGGGTGTGTGTCTGAGTGTGCCCTGCAATGGGATGGAGCCCTGTTCAGTGTTGGTTCCTGTCTTGCACCCTGGCTGCTGGAATAAGCCCTGCCCCACCCCATGACCCTCAACTGGAATTATTGGGTAATAATTATCTTCCTTGTTTGTATTAATATTTCTTAAATGTACGTATAGCTCACATTTATTTTATGTTTAATATTATAAGTGTTTGGGGCTTTATTTAGAAGTTTCGTGATGTTTTTATTACCAGAAATATGCCATGGGATCTTTACTCTTGTTTAGATATAAATTAACTTGAGGTAAAATTGATTTCCTTATATGTCATTTCACTTAAACTTGCAGTTGATTTTGAATCAATCATCATTCTCAATTGCTTCTTATAATTTTAATGATAAATGACTATTAGTTTAGCTTTATCATTTTCAGTTGTAGTTAAAGTTTCTTAAATTATCTTGAAATGTGGAGTCATCCACATCTTTACATGACTTTTATACCAAAAACCTGACTGCTTTTCAACATTTAAAAGATTTAACTAAAATAGCTGAAACAATATTTATCTTTGAATAATAAATGTTTGACATGACAGATGTCAATAAAACTACGTAACTACTGCTGTACAACTACTCAGTAATGGACTATGTTTTCCCAGCTTCTGTTTTCTGTTTTAAAATGTTCAAGAAAGAAATGCAAAATATCATTGATGTTTAAATTGCTTTATCAGACTTCAAGTTTTGGAAACCATTTGTAAAAAGATGGAAGCAATAATTTGAGTAGAAATTTGAAGGTGATAGTTTAGATATCATAGGCATTACTTATCTTTTTTATTTAACTTTTATTTTAAGTTTAGGTGTCCATGCACAAGTTTGTTATATGGGTAAACTTGTTTCATGGGGGTTTGTTGTGAAGATTATTTCATCACCCAGGTATTAATCCTAGTACCCACTAGTTATTTTTCCTGATTTTCTTCCTCCGCCCAACCTCCACCCCTTCAATAGGCCCCAGTGTGTGTTGTTGCCCTCTATTTGTCCACGTGTTCACATCATTTAGCTACCAGTTATAACTGAGAACATGCTGTATTTGGTTTTCTATTCCTGCATTTATTTGCTGAGGACAATAGCCTCCAGCTCCATCCGTGTCCCCGCAAAGGATATAATTGCATTCGTTTTTATGGCTGCGTAGCATTCCTTGGTGCATATGTACCACGTTTTGTTTATCCAGTCTACCATTGGTGAGCACTGATGGCTGAGACTATGGGTTTGCTAGATACAGGATCATGTCATTAAGTCTGACAGTTTGACTTCCTTCCTACCTATTTGAATGTCCTTTATTTCTTTTTCTTGCCTGATTGCTCTGGCCAGAACTCCCATTGTTATGTTGAATTAAGAGTGGTGAGAGGGCATCCTTGCCTTGTGCTGGTTTCGAGGGGAATGCATCCAGCTTTTGCCCATTCAGTGTGATGTTGGCTGTGGTTTTGTCATAGATGGCTCTTATTATTTTGAGGCATGAAGGACCATAGGAACAGTTCCAAAGAAGTTAAACTTTACCTTGAAAAGTGGGGAGACACTAAAAGAGTCAAAAGAGAAAAATCAAACAGTCATTAATGCAGTACTAAATTAATAGGGGACAAGCACAAAGTAAAAGCTGTTCTTTTTTTTCAAATGAAATAGCATGACCTGAATCTGATGCTGCATTGGAAATTTGAGAGAAATATATGTGGCAAAATCTGGAGGATTTGATGATTGAATGGAGGCTAGGGGAAGGGAGAGAGCAAAAAGGCAGGGATGAAAACAGTGTTCACTATTTACATGCTTATTGTCTTTAGATAACCTTATGTCAATTCATATAAATATTTGTCTCATTTCTATATATTAAGAACATACCCTTGAACATGATTATTTATATTAAAAATGAAATTTATATTAAAAATGAAAATTAACTCTTATTGAGATGGATGTTAGGCACAGGTTTAATGGAATATTTTCAAGGAAATGTAAAATTGTAACATTTATAAACAAAATAGGAAAGCTTCAAGTTAAAATATAAAAATATCTGCAATGTACTAATATATCCATGAGGTTCTTTTGTTTTGTGTTCTACAGATCTTAAGCTAAAACTTTTCCTTTAGAGTTCCATATCTTAGCAAAATGACACAATACAAAATTCATAGGTAGTTTTCCTATATTGAATAAGCAGTTTCTCTGCTTAGAGAAGCTGATTTTGAAGATATATGTGTTTATGCTATAATATAAGGTACTGCAATGATAGGTCATAATTTTTATAAAGGAAGAATTTTTAAAAATAGTTTCAATTTAGATGTATTTTTGTCCTTTACAATATCTCCTCTATAATTTTTTGATTATCCTTGCCTCATATTAGAAGGTATCTTAGTATCCCATTAATGTTAGTGAACTCAGTTAAGTGCTTCTATGTGTTGATATAAAATTATCTTTGGCATGTCAACTGTATTTTGGAGGGAGCATGTTGATGCAGGTACCAGGCCTTAATTTCTCCTTTTGAAAGGGACATACGGTGCTTCTGCTCACACTTTCTTCACCCAAGCAGCCCCTTGACTTGATCTGAGGAAAACATGGGAAAAAAAATGTTCTTCCTTGAACTTGTAAGAAATAAAAGAACCAAATACTTATGAAGATCTCAAATTACTACTAAGTTCTGCCTTTCTGAACAGCAATATTTGATTGAATATATTAATAGTGCATTTGATTTTCTAAAAATATAACCTCAAAAAGATCTACTTTTTATTTGTAGAATACTAAAGGAATAAGAATAAAGATTTGATTCATCTTTTGCAATTAAATGTATTATGTTCTATTATGTGTACATGAGATAGGAAGTGCACCAGACAGAAAATATCCATGATCTCATGAAGCGTATAGTTTGGTAGAGTAGGAAGCAGACAAAAAATTAACGGTTAGAAAGCAATTAATGCTATGCAACAAATAAAACAGACATAGAGGGAAAGCTGGCATCGTTAAAATTCATTCTGTATGCCAAATGATTGAAAATTTGGGAAGGTAGCAGAAGCTGATCTTTACATTTCCCACATGTTCATTATTTTGGGACAATTTTCAAACCATCTTGATGGAAAGTGGACTTATACTTCAATCTGGGGAAAGAAGGAATCTAATTTCAAATAATCAAGCACACTAATTGAAATGAAGCAATAATTTCTCTCATGTTCATTTGACATTTTACTTATTCTTAAAAACTATATGAGGTAAGGTAAATTACCTAAAGATTTAGTGGCTACATTTATAACCCTAAATTATGTTCAGGAGTAAGAAATTAGAAATCTTCAGATCTGGAATACAGTTTAAATCTATATATTTTGAGGATGTATTATGTCTGGTGGATATGTAAAAACCTATGGACAGTTTATAAGACAGATCACTTGCACAGCAAACTCTTGACGAATAAGAACTTATGAGAATCCAGGAGGCATTGTCGTGGAGGCAATTAGTCCTGCTTTGAAAGTGGTTAAGACTCCTAAATGTTTCAATCAATACTACATTTTCATGCTTACTTAAATAATTATTTTAAATTTTCTATCTCAATAATCACAATTTTAAAATAGGATAGAATAATCCTAAATAGCTCCAAAGAATTGATCAGGGTTAGAGTGCCACAAAAGCTAAGAGAGAGGTGGCAGAAGATAAAATTTGGTCCAGTTAGCATATAAAGTACTAGGAAATAAAGAGCTAGAGCTTTAGCTATTTCCATCCCCTTTCAGTCAGCCTACTCTAGGCACTGCAAATAGCTTTTGTTTTACATTTTTAGCTTCTGAAATTTTGAAAGAGGTTTATACCACTCCAAATTGTTAGTTCATATTTTGTAATAAGCACCAGAAATTGTGATTTTAAGGATCATTTTGGTTTTATTTCTGATATGATAGTGGTGTGATGATATGTGTGAGGGTTATTGTCTCTTCGTGGGGACTTATATCAATGTAACACAATGGTGCCTGCAACTCTTTTTGTTGCCTTTAAATTGGTACATAATATGCTAATTCCTAGGACAAAGATGTGCCTCTCATTCTGAGCTAAGGAGAAGACAGAAAGTACCTTAACTACGTACTCAGGAAAAATTCCTACTTTGTGAAACTTTCCTTTTTATTTAGGAAGAAATACTAATACTGTATACAAATAAACAGTTACTGTTGTATCAGGTACTAGTAATATTTTTGAGGGGTAGAATACAATCAGATAATGGAAAAAGAGTAGCATTGCTTTTGTATAAGATATTGTGGTCAAGGAATGCCTCTCTAAGGAGATGGCATTTGAGTAGAGACATGAATGATATGAAAAATGGTGTCACAAAGTAATTCAGCTAAGAAATGAGAGCAACACATAAGTATGCAATAGGAAAATAAAAGCCTAAGCAAATTATACATATGGAAATCAAATACATATGTATAATATCTATTTCTGTAGGCACTGTTTCATCAAAAGTCTCTTGGACAAAATTTACAGTGGTATATTATGAGAACAATAGAGGTCTAAATTCAAAAATGTCATGTGAATCTAATCATTAGAATAATATAGAGGTCAACAGGAGAGAATTGGCATTTTGCAAATTAGATCAGCAGGTATTCTCAAATTGTTAGAATGAGAGGACTGATAGAACACTTGTTAGTGGAAGATGAAAATGCAAAATCCACAACTGATTTGCTAGAAAGCAAGACAAGCAGTCCAGGTGCAGTGGCTCACGCCTGTAACCCCAGCACTTTGGGAGGCCAAGGCAGGAGGATCACCCGAGGTCAGGAGTTCAACACCAGCCTTGCCAACATGGTGAAACCCCAGTCTCTACTAAAAATACAAAAATTAGCCAGGCATGGTGGCATGAGCCTGTAATCCCAGCTACTTGGGAGGCTGAGGCAGGAGAATTGCTTGAACCTGGGAGGTGGAGGTTGCAGTGAGCTGAGTTCGTGCCACTGCACTCCACTCTGGGCGTCAGAGCAAGACTCGTCTCAAAAAAAAAAAAAAAAAAAAAAAGAAAAAGGTAAGCAAAGAATGCAGTGTTGTAATTGAGATTGCTTAATGGCAGTCAATTGGTAATTAATCTATGTATTGGCACATTTTTAATGTGCCATTAAATTTAAATAATGGCACATTTTGTCCGGGTGGGCAAAATGATTTCCTTCTGATCCAGAAAGATACATCTCTCTACTGAGTAATTGACTCTATTATGGTTATACATCATTTTAATAAATACTAGTCTAGACTGTGGGAATATTACAGTGATTCAAACAAAGAAAATTATCTCCCTTCCTAGAGTTGTATTATAAAGGATACATTAACCTATTGTTAGACAGTTATAAAGTGTAAAGTTCTAGCTAACAGATGGCAAGTAAATATATACTCTAATTTATATCAGTGATAGAATAGTGAAATCTTACCAAATTTTAAACAGAACTTGTGCATAATCATCTTTTTTAATTAATGGTTTTACTAGAAAGTGCCATGATAGGTTTTATTTTATAAAACAAGGCAATGACAAGGCTCAGTGTTTCTATCAATATCCAGGTTTATTCAGCATGTCCTAGGCACCTATTTACTTCCAAAAAGAAAGTTCAGTAATTCTGGTCCCAACTATTACTTCCTATTTTAAGTATTTTAGGACTATGAATTTAGTAGCACACAGTAAACTCTCAGTAAAATTATTATTATTATTATTATTATTTTAAGGACTCATCTCATTTTAAGAAAAGTAAGCTTAAGCACTCATTTTGGGGGTATACATTGTACAGATAAATTTATGAAATCATTTCAAAAGCAAGAAAAATGTCATTCCTTTCTGAAGTACATCTCCCTCTCCCCCTGCTTATTCTACAGTACAGTATCTAGCACAGAGTGGCTTAATATGCAATATCAATACTAACTGTATAATATTAATACTAATTATATGCTATTAGTAAATTATTGATGACTCTTTTATATAATGACAACATGCCATTGTAAGTTTTGAAAATTTTATGAGTTTAACATTAATATAACAAAATATTTTTATTTAAATTTTCAACAATTTTATCTATGCAGCTATGCATATTTTCAGTGCCCACTATATACCTGTTGACCCTCAGGGATTTATGTTTAATTTGGTTACTTTTACTACTTCCAGAAAAGATTAACTATGGCTGCTCACCAAAGAGATTTGTGTTTTTTTGTTTTGTTTTGTTTCAGTTATCTAATTTTCAAAGATTTCAATGAACATGCTTTTTTCTTTTTGTCATCATGAATTGAACTTTATGCTTATGAATATTTCATTTTTTTCTGTCACGTAGATCATCAGTCATATTGATGCTCAAAGCATCTAGCAATATAGTAACTCTTTTACAATATTTTTGTAACATATTGGATACCCAGATAATAACTTGATAAATTTTAAGATTTAAGAAACATTACATAGTCTTTTTCAATCTGTTTGCATTTGCATGCATTTCAATATGTGCATTGTTTACTGTGCATATGCATAATACCACAAATTGGTATCAACAATTATGTATGAGATAGTTTGCACGCAATCTCAAAACGACTTAAATAAAACTGTAAAATGGAATTTGGAAGCATAATGAATACACTTGCCAAGTGAAAAAAAAATAGAAAGAAATTGTTTTATTTGTGCTCCTGCAGTGGTTAGTACTTATTTTGTCACAGGTTTCAAGAAGTCCCAACTGCTTAAAAATAGCCTTTTCTAACCTTAAAATTTCACCATTGCAAATTTCATTGAATATCTGAAATACTTTCTGTCCACACCTCTTCTTGTATAAAATGAGTTTTCCAGGACTCACTTTAAGGACTTAACTTATCTCATGGGAACTTAATAATGATATTGTGAGAATGAAATATGAAATAAAAGATAATCATCTAGGTACAGAGTCTTGTGCAACATTAAAAATGTGCCTGGTTGTCTGGTTTGAATAGGGCTGTCCCTGCATGTTCCATTATTTCTGTTTTAATAGAATGTGACTTCCATATCCTTTCTCATAGTTACAGAGATTCCCATTTATTTCCATTGGTTCCACATAGACTACCCTGATAATACAACTTCAGAAACTGGAGGTAGCCTTCTAATAGTACAAATGTGAATTTTCTAAGAAACAAGGATGTTGAAAGCCTGAAGTTGGATATATCAATAGAGAAATCACCTGAGTTTGGGGTTTCTAGTCGAGTTTCATCTTAGGAGTTTAAGGATTAAGAACTATGTAAGTTTTCATTATTTATGGACTTCTACTTCTTTAAATGTAAACATGTAGCTATGAACACGGGAACACATTAGCTTGTGTAGTACAGACATAAAAATGTTTGATAAAAATAAATGGCTTTGGTATGAATTTTCTCAAATATTCTTAGTACATTTGAACAATCATGAGTAATAAGCAACGCTTTTTAGGTTGCTCACGGCTGGATTGTATTAGGCACATAAAAGTACTTAGCCTTATCAAAGCTCTGGATAGCTACATATTCTTTTGTAGATTCGACCCAATTTTGACTGAATTTTCCTAATTAGCACTTCTGCTATTAATGCCAGTATCAATAATAATGGCCATACGAATTATAATTTCTTAATCAAATATTTAAAATAAAATTGGCTTTTTTTTTTTTTTTTTGAGACAGAGTCTCCCTCTCTCTCACAGGTATGATCTCGGCTCACTGCAACCTCTGCCTTTCGGGTTTCTGCAATTCTCTTGCCTCAGCCTCCGGAGTAGCTGGGATTACAGGCATATGCCACCAGGCCCAGCTAATTTTTAATTTTTAATATTTTTAGTAGAGATGGGTTTTCACCATGTTGGCCAGGCTGGTCTTGAACTCCTGACCTCAAGTGATCCACCAGCCTCGGCCTCCCAAAGTGCTGGGATTACAGGCATGAGCCACCATGCCTGGCCCAAAATTGGCCATTTTTATATGTCTTCCTTTCAGTAACAAATGGATACACTGAAAACACCCTTGTTTATAAAGCAATTGTAATTGACTCAACATTGACAATTAAAAATCATCTTCCTTTATAAATGACAATTTTATAATGTGAACTGGATTTGACAATTCAAATTTGATGAACATACAGAAAGCATGAATACATTGTTATATATTAAGGTATTCAATTTTATTTCAACTTGAAAAAACTGTTGCTTGGAAACCAGGCAATCATAATAAATCACACAGTCATTTTTAGTAAATGGGCAAAGGCACAAACCGAGATAAAGTAGGCTTTTTGCCATAGAGTAAAACAGGCATTCCAGTATTCCACATATTACAAATAATGTAACCAGCACATATATTAGACTAATATTAACTTCAACTGGAATTTTTGGAGAAAAATTAAATTATATTGATGATCTATAATAAATAGAGGTATAATAATTAATTATAGAGCAATGGCTCTATAGTAAAGATGAAGAGGGGAAATGCTTTCATCTATTGGAAATAGAATGACATTCTCTGAAGTCAAGTATAGGATTAGACATTTTGGTTAAGATTCTAACATAAGTCTTCTAAATCATTCAAATAAAATTTACTGTTTTGAGGTAATAAAAAGTCAAGGTATATAAGTAACTGTCATTCTTACATTCTGACCTATAAAGGTTACACTAGACTAATTCTGCCCTAACAATAAAATTAAAAGAATGTGCTTCTTGACATGAAACAACCCCATACCCCTTTCTGTTAAAATATATTCTAAAAGGGAGATTAGTGTTGCAGAATTTCTGTTCCTTAGTTCAGCTAAATCTGGGTTCTTGTGTCACAACCAGGAAAAGTTAGGCATGTGGACACATTGAAAGGTGACAGGAACGGAATTTATTGGACGAAAAGAAAAAAACAAAACAACAACAACAAAAACTCTTAGCAAAATGAGAAGGATTCCTGCCAGCGCTCCCACCTCACAGATTGAATAACAGGCCACAGCACAGGAACTGAAGAGGCGCAGCTCCTCCCTGCTGCAAATGGCTCAAACTTCCCGTGGCTCCAACCCATTCTTGCAGTGTGTAGGCCGGTGGGAGATTCTCTGGGGCCCTCCCCCTTTTTGCCTCCTGCATCTATCATTAGGTTATGAAATAAAGAAAAGAAACACTGATTAATCTGTATATTTAACTAGGTCTGTGTATTCCTAGTGCCTTAGAAATTATAGCAAATGAAGCATTGTCACATTAAGTAGTGTAAATCTTGAGAAAATGCTTATATTCTCTACCATAAAATTCTAGATAGCATTACCTTGAACATACAGCAGATTCTTAGACATTATTACTTGAGAGTGTGAAAATATCATGGCCATATATGAAGCAATAAAAGTAGACAAATCGTGGGAAGGAACTCACTGTAGTCCTTGTATTATATACATTCTGCATCAATACAATGCTATGCTTACCTTATTTCAGTTGCTTAAAAAACAAAACAAAACCTTAGTTGTAGAAAATTTCTCTTAGCATAGAAAAGAAAGCAAATATTTTGGAAGGAAATAAGATTTTTTCCTTCAAAGAGTGTAATTTCTATGTATTCAAATATATGCTGGAAATGTATAAAACCATATTTGGGAAAAGAAAAAAAAGTACCTACTGTATATAATTCTTCCCTGTAGTGAGGGAGGGAGGGAACAGGTTTGAGAAAAGATAGAATGTGGGTTCCATATATCTGCAAAGTTTTATTTATTTTGAAAAGAGTTCTGAAGCAAATATACAGTTCCACTGATTACCACTTACGTTAACATTGGGAAGTAAACAAAAATAGTAATAACAATTCAAATGCAAACACTTTCAAAATTGAGGTCATGGTGGTACTGTTGAAAAAAATCAACTAAACTAAAAATAGATGTATTTATATAAAGACATTACACTTATTCTACAGTGGCATATGGTTTGCATAAAACTCCTTCTTGTAAAACAAGGGGAAAATGAGGGCAAATAATAAGTCATGGTTTTATATCCCTAAAAGGGAGGGAACAAGAAAGAGGGGTTCATCGGTGACAACTGCACTTAAACCTAGTGGCATCTGGATATACCTTATGAAGTAATTGCTTAAAAGTCATCCTCATTCCCAAGCAATATTCCTCATGATGATGAATAATTAAGATCTCCACACAAGCCACAGTTTTCCTTTTTGAGTTTACTTTCAGACTTGGACATAGCTCTCAGTTAAGACTGCCATGCCAATGTGGTTCAGAGAATGCTCAGTTTTGGTCACAGGCTCAGCTCACCATCCTTAAACCCTAGCAGGGAGCCTCAGTTGTTAAAGGAAAGGAAAAGGTTTGAACAAAGCTTTCCAGAGTGGTTGAGAAATGTGGAGAGCATTACAGGTTAATTAAATTGCTTTTACAATTGCATAAAAGCATGGAATAAGATATTTTTCTCATTTTATTTTCTGCATTATCCTCAATGTCTGGTACTGTTTGGCACATAGTGGTTGTACAGTAAATATTTGCTGAATAAATGAATAAAATGCATGTGGGATACTTTAGCTGAATAGGTTTGATTTTCCTCTCCTTTAATAGTTTGAAAATATTGTTCCACTGACTTTTGTATGCACAGATGCTATCAAGAAGCATGCCAGTCCGATTTTCCATCCTTTGTGCTTGAATACTCATGCTTATTAGATTTTCCAATATTTTATATTTCTTTGATACTCTTTTTAATTTTATTATTATTATACTTTAAGTTTTAGGGTACATGTGCACAACGTGCAGGTTTGTTACATATGTATACATGTGCCGTGTTGGTGTGCTGCACCCATTAACTCGTCAATTGGCATTAGGTATATCTCCTAAAGCTATCCCTCCCCCCTCCCCCCACCCCACAACAGTCCCCGGTGTGTGATGTTCCCCTTCCATTCTTAAAATTTACTATAACAAGTTTGTGTGTAAGTATTCATGTGTGTCATTTGTGTATCTTTTTCTCACCCTTACATATCCCCTTCAGTACTTTAAAAGCCTTTTCAATAAGCAGTGTTTTTTTTCTTTTTAAAATCATTTATTCTGAAATAATTACAGATTCACAGGAAGTTACATAGAAATGTACAGGAAAGTTCCATGAAACCTTCTCCCATTATGCCCACTTCAAGCCAGAATCCTACACAAACACAAGTACATTATGAAAACCAAGAAACTGACATTGGTACAATCCATGAAGTTTAATCAGAGTTCACCCATTGTACATGCATGCACTCATTTGTTTGTGTATCTGTGTTTGCATGTGCGTAGCTTTGTGTAACCATAATGCAAACAAGATACTCAACTGTATCATCACCGTAGACTCCCTGATGTTACTCTTTTATATCCCTTATCCCTGGAAACCACTAATTTCCTCCTCATCCCTATAATTATATTATTTCACAGTTGTTACAGAAATGGAATTATGCAATACCTATTTGTTTGAAATTAACTTTTCTATTTAGTGTAATTTCTTTGAGATTTATCCAACTTGTTGCATATATCAGTAGTTCATTCTTTTCATGGTTGAGTAGTATTCTAATGGTATGGGTGTCCTACAGTTTGTTTAATAATTCTTTCTTTAAAATACATTTGGGTTGTTCAAGTTTTTAGCTATTAGCAGTAAAGGTACTATAAGCATTCATGTACAAGTTCCTGTGTGAAAATAAATACTTGTTTCTCTGGGATAAATGCCCAGCAGTGCAGTTGCTGAGTGGTGTAGTAAGTCCATCTTTAGTTTTAAAAGAAACTGCCAAACTATTTTATGAAGTGGTTTTATTCTTTTCATTCCCACTAGAAATATATGAGTGAGCCACTTTCTGTATATGTTTATCAGGATTTGTCGTTTTCACTATTTTCATCTCAGCCATCCTGATAGGTGTGTAGTCATATCTATTTAGTTTTAATTTGTATTTCTCTAATGCCCGATGATATTTCAGATGTTTATTTTCCATCTGTATATCTTCTTCAGAGAAATGTCTGTGCATGTCTTTTGCCCACTTTTAAAAAATATGAGGTAATATCCTAGAAAATTGTACCATTGTATTTTCAAGTAGTGACTACTTTGTTTATTTTTTTCTTTTCTAAGTATATATGGATATTGACACATTTCTTTCCTACATATTTCTTTACTTCTTTTGTAATTTTTAAACTATACTGATACTCTACTGATGCCTTCTGAGAGCATTGTTTGACATAATCTGGTTCAAAACCTCTTACGTTAGATCTATTTTGCAATTCAGCCTATCTGTTGGGTTCTTTATTGCAATTAGTATTGCAGTATCCAGTATTTCTCAAAGGTTTTAAAGCTATATTTTGCCAACTAGCAACTTACAAAATCACTTCTGTTTCCTTGAGGATAGTTTTGTTGATTTAAAATTTTTGTCTTACATTTCGGTTAAAAATTTAACATTAATTGCATCCTCAGCTGGTCTAGGTTTTTTTTTTCTATCATTATTTATCATGGTTGAGCTTTTCTGTGAGCCCCATATTCTTGGTGAGTGCATATTCTTTTGGTGAGCACATATTCTTTTGCCCATGTTAATTGTCTTGGGCAGTAATATATTTCTGTGAGATAAGCTAAAGCTCAAATCGTAACTTCTTTCTAACCACCTGAGTTCAAGAATCAAATAGAAAGTGAATGGTACAAATGATTCATCTCAGAGTATAGCCTTTGGCATTGCAGACTGGATTTGACTCCTCTCCATGTATTATCATAACTCTCAGGGAAATTTATTGTAATTCTGCTTTGAAAAGACTCCTTCACATGTAATCATTTTGGGAAAAAAAGGGTGGGGAGGAGAGAAAACACTCAGGTTGCCAGTTTGCCTACAAATTTTATCTACTCCTGACCTATTACCTGGTATAATTAATTTTTGTTTTCTCAGAGGAAAAATCTTCAGTAATGACTGACTTATAAAAATGATGTGGTGTGGGAGAGAAAAAGTAAAATATCATATGCCAACCTATTTCCTGTTTGTGACATAATCCCCTTTCCATTAGCGGCTGCGATTTTCCCCTTAGGTTCAGGAATCTCCCTCTAATTTTATAGTGTCTCCAAGGTTGAGTTTGGGGAGGGGCAGAGATTCTGTTAGTTTTTCTTGTGTTTTCTTTTTAATTAATAACTGCAGTGTGGACAATTAAATACTTTCTTTGCTTATCCTAAGCTAATATTTTTATACTGTTTCATTATTTTTGTTGATGCCATCTATATGATTAAAAAGATTGACACCCTTTGTTCTTAGTCAGTTGTCTGACCTTAATGAAATATTTCATTTTCCTGCCAAACCTCATGTCCTATCCAGTCTTGTAGTCTTGTTCTGAAGTAAATAAATCTCTTATTTTCCTAACTCCCTTTCTTTGGTTGTGTTCTTTAAAGGAGCCAACACACAATATGTGATTGCCATAATACTTCAAATTATTTGTCAAGTACCAAAGAACATGTTGATGAATGAAGTTGTCAGAGTTTTAATGTTACCTCCCTAGACCTATTTATTTGAAAAACCTGTACTTGGATATCTCAGTGGCCTCCCAAACTTAATGCTTCTATATTCTAACCTATTCTATCTCAAACATTGTCCTCCTCTTGTGATCCCCATTAGACTGAATGGCCATTATCTGTCCCATTGCTCAAGCCAGCAAGAAATGTACCTTGACGCCTTTCTCTGTTTTATTCTCTATATCCAATTAATCAATAATTTCTACCAATTTTATTTTTCAATATTCTTCAAATCATTCAACCCTTATTCATATCTACCACCATCACTAACTTCAATTTCTTACCAGAGAAATTACCAGAGTCTCTTCCAAAATAAACTCTCGTTCTCCAAATTATTTTCCATTTATATTTCATATTTTTAATTGCTAATATTTTTCTTACTGATTATACAGACCCTTTATATATTAAGAAGGATTATGTCATATGTTTTGGAAATAGTCCTCCATGCATTTATCTTTTCATTTATTTGTTATTTTTATTTTTCATATTTTTACATTTTTATGCAATTTTTCCATTGTATGGTCTCTGAATTTCAGATCCTCTTAGAAAACATAATGCACTCAAAAATCTAAAAACATTCTCAAATATTTACTTGTAACACTTTATAATTTCATTTTTTACTTTTAAATTAGGATCTATCTATCATTTATATTGGTAAATTTTCCGATTTCCAAAAATAGATAAAGATTGTCACTATTTCTAAGCAAGGTCATATCTCCATGTTTTTCATATTATATGTTCCCAGATTATTATTATACATTTTGAGTGATAATTAAATTAATTGCTCACTGCACTCTTTCTACACATGTACCAATTGCAACCAAGTAATTTTAGTCATAATGGTAGTAGGAATAGAAGATGTTATTATTGCATTAGCTAACACTTGTATAATTCTTACTTACTGTTAAACATCTTTAAGTGCTTTATATATATTAATTCTTTTAATCCTCAGAATAACTCAATGAGGCAGGTATAGGTTAGACTTTAACATATAAGGAGAACAAAGACTCCGTCTAATTTGTTTAAGTAATAGGCTCTCAACAGATGGCTTTCAATGACTGAATCAATCTACGATATTGTGCAACATTTTCCATTAAAATAGAATGTTGTAGTTATTTGCCATTCAAAATATCAAATGACCTTAATGTACATCTTTGTATAAGACATCACGTGTTTCTCCAACTGTTAATTTCCTAAAGCAATGCGTTAAGAAATCTTTGATAATTAAAAAACATTTTTCTAGAAACTGACAGGAATATGCAGTACAAATATGAGGTTGATAATAAGTTAAAATAATATTTAAACATAGGCACACTTCAGTGGAGAGTGATACTAGATTAGATGCTTAGTAAATATAAGTATGTTAGTAGAGAACAATAATCTAAATATGGATTTCATATAGGAATAAATACGGATATCACATTAGGGCTTTCTGAAAAACATTTAAAATATGTATTCTAAATTGTCATTGATTGGTTCAATTATCGATTTACTTTGTGCCATTTGGGAGGCATGTTTATGGTATCTCTTTAAACAAAGAACCCTACTGGATATATCACTATTTCAATAGTTACTACTGAAAAGATGTAGGCCTTCCCAGAGGCCTCACACAGCACCTACACTTACATGTCATTGGCCAGGACTAGGTCATATGACCACACCTAATTTGGAGGGATGCTCAGAAATACAGCACTGCTAAAAATTGTTAATGAGTAAGTGGAGTGGGAAAAGATTAGCAAGTAGCATTTCTTGTCATATTGTCCTATATATTCATTAAGAGAAAGTTATTGTGTTTCATTGGCCATAAAAT
This sequence comes from Homo sapiens, assembly GCF_000001405.40. NCBI lineage: Eukaryota > Metazoa > Chordata > Mammalia > Primates > Hominidae > Homo > Homo sapiens. The sequence continues at coordinate 46,896,742 of NC_000014.9, read as the reverse complement.
CACTAAAATACAATATTGTATTTCAGGTAATTTTAAATTTTGAATATTCTAAGACTCAAAGAAAACGTATAGAGAGCTTGAAGTTATGTTAAATTATATTTGAATATGTTTTAGATAACATCCTCATGCTCATGTCTGTTCTCCCTTACACTTCCAATTTTAATGCTCATATTAAAATTGGGATTATAAATATCAAATATATAACAGTAATATAAAAAGTTTACTCTGCTTGATCCTCCATTACTTTTTTCGTGCCAACATAAGTTAGATGATTTTAAATGAATGAATAAATGTATCAATTAATGTTGTACAATTTCTATGAGAAGAAAATATTACTGACATTTTAAATCCAAAGTGTAGTAAGTGATGCTAATCTCTATTTATACATTTGTGTAAGTATTCACAACAAGAAGCATTGCCTGTTTTTCTTACTTTTGTTCTTCTATGTCTATAATTTTAGGACACTTTGAGAATTAAATTTTTTATCATTGTCAATAATTGAATTAAAGCTATGGTACATCAGTATGTTTAAATTTATATATCAACATTCTCTACTGTGTAAAGTCTATGAAAATATATTAACCAAAATGACTGCCCAAATGGATATTTAAGAGACATCAAGCTAAAATAGCCTAACAAAACTTAGAAAATATCCATGGTGACATTATACATTTTAACCCAGTTAAATTGAATAATCCATCAAAGTGTATAGTAGCTATTATTATAAATAATTTTACAAAAGAGCAATGACTCAAATAATTTTAGCAGGAGAATAAGATTGAACTTTAGTAGCAATACGTACTATGGACAGTAATCGGTACTCACCAGAAGCAAGAACTTCAGTTGAAAGACTGTGAAAGGAAGTTATCAATGACACATGGAAGGGACAGGCGGCATTGCAGAATCAAAATATTAAGACTATTAGTAATAAATCCAGAATATAGCATATAGCAGTAGTAAAATATCCTGTAGGTTTATAGAAATATACCTAGTTATTCTTTTTTTTTTTTCTTTTTGAGACAGGGTCTTGCTCTGTCGCCCAGGCTGGAGTGCACTGGCGCGATCTCGGCTCACTGCAACCTCCACCTCCCAGGTTCAAGCTAATTCTCCTGCCTCAGCCTCCTGAGTAGCTGGAACTACAGGCGCCCGCCACCACGCCCAGCTAATTTTTGTATTTTTAATAGAGATGGGGTTTCACCATATTGACCAGGGTGGTCTTGAACTCCTGACCTCAGGTGATCCACCCGCCTCGGCCTCCCAAAGTGCTGGGATTACAGGCATGAGGCACCGCGCCTGGCCAACCTAGTTATTCTTAAAAATAATTGAAGGAAGTGATTATGATTCCCCTTATATAAAATAGATACTGTGTTAGTCCATTCTCATGCTTCTATGAAGAAATATCTGAGACTGGGTAATTTATAAAGGAGAAAAGTGCCTAGCAAAGGGGTAAAAGCCTTTTATAAAACCATCAGATCTTGTGAGAACTCACTCACTATCACGAGAACAGCAGTATGGGGGTAACTGCCCCCCTGATTCAATTACCTCCCACTGGGTTCCTCCCACACCACGTGAAGATTATGAGAACTACAATTCAAGATGAGATTTGGGTGGAGACACAGCCAAACCATATCAGATACCAAGATGAATAAAAACTAAAAACTCAAACCCTAATTATTAATTTATTACTACCTCCTGGATATTTTTGTAGTAGTCCTTAGAAAACCTACCTGATGAAGAAAGATGCTGACTGAGCTGCTTAATTCCAATTTATCAGGATTGAAATCTATAACAAAATTAATTTTTAGGTTGAGGTGTCCTTTCACCTGCTGATCCAAGCATGACAAGAAAATAATTAGAATGTGTTTTTTCCAAACTTGATAGGAAGCAAGTTTTTCTTTCATAGTAATTTATCAGAAGCTGCTAAAGAATGATTATTTTTACTGTTACACATGGTCTCTTGGGTGGTTTTCAATGTTGTTTTGCTTTAACAGATGGGAGTAATAAATACATGGTAGGGGGATATGTCAGTAATACATACAAATTCTTTCCTGAGGCAGTATGAAATACCCTGTCATTTAATGATTTATGTAACAGTTATGAGTACAAACTCAGCACAACCAAAGCACACATCCACTGGAGTCTCTAAATAAAATGGAAAGCAGAATCAGAATTCACTTTAACTGTCAGGTCTCACAAAATCAAAAGCTTTTTGTATGACTAACCCTTGTCCTAAAGATAAAAGCTAGATTTGTTATCTTCCTCTGTTGCCCCTTGCTATGTAATTGAGTTCAACATAATTAGGCCTTCCCAATGGTGAAAAAAAAATTTATAAATTTCTAAAGGAATGTAAATAAAGCACACATTTGTCAGGAAAAACTGAAAGCAACACATTTGATATAAGAAGAAGAAATGGAGAATAGTGATTAAGATTACAAGAGTAGCCTGGAAATTGGACAATATTGGGTAATAATATTTATATTATCTTCTGCTTCTTACCAACTGTATGACCTGGGAAAGTTTATTGGTTTAATCTACTTCTTCAACTGAGGAAATGAAGATAATAATACTAACCTCGATAGATTTTTTATAAGATTTAAATTAAAATAATGTGTAAAATATTTAGCAAAATATCTGGCAATAGTGAGTCCTCAAAAATATTAGAGTTACTACTTTTCGTTTTTCTTAGTAAACAAAAATACTTTAGTTGAGTATTCTCAACTGTCACCCCAAACTGCAATTCTAAAAATTGTGGAAAATGAATCAAATGTGCCATTAAAGGCTCAGCCTTTCTGATGTCTGGTGGTGGAATTAAGGGACATATACATAGAAGTCTAAAAAAATTTATAAAATATCCATGGTGACATTATAAATTTCATATTTAGGCACCCTACTGGCTGAAATCACAGTGAATTTAAGGGAGACTGACAGTACAATTTGTACTAAAAACACAGAAGATAACTTTTAAAATAGCTCAATCTCTATGATTACATTTTTAATTCCTATGTAAAGAATAATGTAGTCGTCAAAATTGTTCCTAGAAATTTGTAGTATTAAAATGTGAATACACTATTAATAATTTTTAAATTTGTCTTTTTTAATTGTACATTTTTAAGGTATACAACATGATGTTTTGATATAAATATACATAATACAATGATTACTACAGTCTCGCAAATTAACGTATTCATTCTCTTATATAGTTCTCTTATGTTTGTCAATATGTGGGTATATGTGGTACAAGTACCTAAAATTGACTCTCTTAGCAAATTTATATTATGTAATACTATTAACTGTGGTCCTTCTGTTCTGTGATTAATCTCTATCCTTATTTATCCTACATAACTGAACGTTGTACCCTTTGGCCTCCATCTCTCCATTTTCCTCACACTTACACCCCTGGTAGCCATTTTTCCATGTTCTATTTCTGTGTATTTGAGTTTTTGTTTTGTTTTGTTTTAGATTCCACATATAAGTGATATCATGCACTCTTATTTATTTCTGGGTCTGCTTTATTTTACTTAGCTTAATTCTTCTAGGTCCGCCCTGCTGTTGCAAATAGCAGTACCTTGTTTTTTTAAAGCTGGGTAATATTCAATTGTGTAATTTGCAGTTTCTTTATCCATTCATTCATTCATGGACATTTAGGTTGTTTCCATATCTTGGCTGTTAGGAATAATGATGCAATAAACATGGGTGTGCAGTTGTCTTTATAAGTTGGTGATTTCTTCTGGGTAGGTATCTAGAAAAGAGATTTCTGGGTCATATGGTAGTTCGATGTTTAACTTTTTAAGGAAGCTTCATACTGTTTTTCACAATGGCTGAACCAATCTACATACCCACTAATAGTGTAGAGGTTTCGTTTATCTCTAAACCCTTGCCAACACTTGTTATCTCATCTTTTTTTTATAATAGTCATGCCAACAGATGTAAGATGATATTTAATTTTGGTTTTGATTTTCATTTTCATGATGGTTAGTGATATTGAACACCTTTTCATCTACCTGTTGACCAGTTTTACTTCTTCTTTAAAGAAATATCTATTGTCTTTTGCTTATTTTTGCAGGGTCAGATTATTTGTTTTTTTGCTGTCGAGTTGCATGAGTTCATTATATAGTTTGGACATTACCCCTTTATCTGATAATGTGGTTCACACATGATTTTTACAGTTCATTGCTATCTTTGCATTTTGTTAATTGCTCCCTTTGTTGTACTGAAGCTTTTTAGTTTGATGTAGTCCCAATTGTTTATTTTTTATTTTGCTGCTTATGCTTTTGGTTAAATATCCAACAATTTCTTGTCAGAGCCAATACCAAGGGGCTTCCATCCCTTTTTCTTCTAGGATTGTATAGCTTCAGGTCTTATGCATAGATCTTTAATCCATTTTGAGTTAATCTGTGTATGGTGTAAGATACGAGCCAGTTTCATTCTTTTGCATGTGGATATTCATTTTCCCACACTATTTACTGAAGAGGCTATTCTTGCTTCATTGGGTCTTCTTGGTGGACTTATCAAAAATTTGTTGACTGCATATGCTTAAGTTTATTTCTAGGCTCTCTGTTCCATTTGTCTATATGTCTGTTTTTATGCTAGTCCAATATTGTTTTGATTACTATTGCTTTGTGAACACATTTTTATATTATTTTCTTTAAATAAGCTTATTTAAAAAACATTTTTAATAAAGTTGTCACTTGTATGTTAAGGATTGATGTTTTCCATTAGAGGCTCATTTCCCCACAGATGAGGGTATGTTAACCTGACTGTGACCAAAGTGACTATTATGAGCCAGAATGTCTCATATTAACTTCTACTACATAACACATTTACTTTTGTAAGTTTAGATAGGAAACTTGCAAAAGTTCAAATATCATTTCATTTTTAAGTCTTAAAATATTTATTATGATATTTATTATAAGTATTATAAAAAAGCCTTGTCATTAAAAAAATCCAATAATAAGGAAATGCTTTGGTGATAAAATTGTAGTTACTAGAATTTTATATATGTGCTGGATTTTAAATAATAATAACCTATTCTTTTAGAAACTAAAACAAAAAATTATTTAATGTATCGAAATTTCACCTTCTTAAGTCCTATTCATTAAATGTCAAATGTTTTAAACTCTACCAAATCATGAATATGAACAGTATTATTCAATATAATTTACTTAATCACGATTATAATTCCTTATTAAACGTATTGCTAACTATATAAAACAGGAAATAAATTATATTAATATAATAAGATAAATGTGCTCTGAAAGTTAAAAACATTAATCATTCCCTAAGGTAAGTGTTAGCAATTACCTTTCAAATATTACAAAGGGGCAGGAATAAGAAAGGCTAACAAGATTCATTTGAACATTATTTATTCTGTATGTTTTCTGAGATACCATATTTACTCTTTTCTCTTCATTTTTATCATTTTATTTTTTCTAGAATTATTATATTTAGAAACAGTAATTCTACACATTTTAATAGAAAGAGTTAAAATATAAAAATATAGAAACAATTTAAAGTTAATGAGCTATTTCATTGATTTGCTTGGGATTAAAAGAACATAGCAATCACTCAATAAATATTGGCTATATTTTAAATATTCTCACATATCCCTTTAATATACTTTAAACTGACACATTAGGAATGTAAAGTCACATAAAATATGTACTGAATATTAAAGACTACGTAAAATGACAGTCTTTGTTTTCATCTTCACTTCAGCTTTAGCTACTGTGAAAGGAATAATTTTTTTCAAGTTACTAAAGAACTTACTTTTTTCCAAAGTTCTGTTTTATTGTATGTGTCATAGTTGTTTTGGAACTACATATTTAACTTTATCATAACACCCTTAATTTATGTAGGAAGTTTTAGATTCAATGTTTTTTCAACTTCAATTTCTACTTTTTCTATTACTTCTATTTCTGTGATCGCAGGGCAAGAATATTTCCCTTGGTTGTCACTAAAGACCTTGTTCTCTGTGCTTAATGCTTAGTTTTCTTTAAAAAGATCCTTGAAGTATACTTGCAAGGCCTTTCATTTATTTACTGGTGAGCTTTACCAGAGACTCTGCTTGCATAGCCAGTTCACATCTCTTCAGACAGCAGTGGCTCACTAAGATAGGTGAGGGAAGAAAACTTGCTAAACTGCATGAAAGACTGAGAGACCCACTGATGCTGTGGACACATTCAATGCTGTCTTTACCTGAGGGCTGCTGTGTTCGTTTTGTTTTATAATCAGTAACTGATGCTAAAAGAAATATAAATAAGAAATACTATAGGGAATTATTTTCAAGATACTCAAAGCTAAATGCAAGTTGAAAGTAGTTTGCTATATAAGTTAAAAACTTTTTGAAAAGGTCAGTTGAGAATTTGGCAAATTAACAAATGCATTTTTCTATTCTTGTAATTTTCTTTATTAACTGCTCTCTCATTACTTAAAATTACAACAGAGAAGGCTAAGGCTTATGGCACAAGAATGGGAAGACCAACCTACACCTGCACAAAACAAGAAAGGTGACAAATGAACTTTTAATAGATTGTATAAAGTCCAAGCAAAAACAGTAGCCTTGAAAACCTAGTATTTAAATCAAATAGAGGTCATGGTGGTGGAAGTGAGCAGGAGGTGGCTGGGGGAGAAAAAGCGTTGAGTTCTGAAATGCTTTATGTCAGGAATAAAAAATATCAGGAGCAATTCCCAAAGCAAATACAGAGTTCCAGGCATGGTAAAGAGGATTATTTTAGCATAAGTGAGAGAAGAACAATAGAGTGGGTCCTATATTCCCTGATAAAGAAAGGCAATAGAGTGGGTGCCTATATTCCCTGATAAAAGGCATCTACAACCCACCAGAGTAGGAAAGAAGGATGCATGCTCACTTCCCAACATGTAGTTGAGGAAGATTGCAAGACTTGCCTAGAAGTTCTGAGATCTGGGTCCCACTTGGGGGAGCCCTCAAGTAGCATAGTAGGGTAGACTGAGTCAAATTTTCAAGGAATGGGGCCTGGTATTTCTTTGCCTTACTGTAGTTCTGGGGAAGCTGTCAGGATTCACCAATCCCACACCGCTTCAAAAGAAAAGGGAAAGATAATGATGTTAGGCTCAAGGAACTTGTGATTTGCTTAAGAAAAATGCAGACTGAATAGAACTAGTGACTAAAAGCCAAGACAGTTCCAAGGACATAAAAAATAAATGCTATGCATGCTAGACGCTAGAACACAACTAGAAAAAACTGTTGAAGTTGAGTTCAAACAAGAAGTATTCTCTCCTATACCACACCAGGATGCTTTCAAGGAAAACTCTTTAATTTAGACATAATTCAATTAAGAAAAATAATACAAGATTCCAAAGACCAAAGGCAGATAAAAACTTATAAATTTCTGGATATCTAAAAAATACACAGTCACTTCTAAAGGTGTTAATAGCACGAGCAAAGTATGATAAGCAAAATATTTCTATGATGTGAAAAGTGCCTACTCAGAAGAATTCTTGCTGAATGTAAAGAAGATGATACTCAAATTTGTGGTAATGAAAGAAGAAAAGTTATATAATTAGTTGAATAAATGTTTGCTATTACTAGTAGAAAATAAAAATAAGACTCATTTAACGCCATGTTAGTTATTATCTCCTTTCCCTAAAAGGGGTTATTAAAACAATAGTGCATCTTAAAAATCAGTGTTACATTTTATTTGGGATTATAAGACAATTTGATTTTAATCCATGAAAATGTCATCTTCCTGATTTCTTATTCTGTTGGATAATCATTAGTGTGAGTGATTTAGGGTCTGTAATACCTGGATTTTTAATGTCAGCTATTATTTTTACTATCAGTATGGTTGCTAAACATGAATAGGAGTTTCCTATAAAATGGATATATCAATCTTTTATAGAGTTACATAAAAATAAATGAAATAAACACACATATATGCCTTGTATTCAGTTGTTGCATTTCCTCTTCTATTTTAGTTTTTACTTACCTGGTACTTTTCAATGGAGCTCATTATAGTGGTTAAAAAGATTTATAGTCCAAGAAAAAAAAAAAAGAGGAAAACATTACCACTTTTATTCCCTTCACATTTCAGAATCTGTTGCAGCCTTCTGCTTTTAAGTTAGTCAATTTTGTTTCTTATAAAATTAAGAGAAAAAATTAACATGTTTTTTCCTCCTGAGACCTTTTCAGCAATAGCTTTTTAATTATCTTCTGTGGTAAAAATAACAAATTATAGTTTTTAATAAAAAGTCTCACTTTAGGGTACTTGGGAGGTTTTAGGCTAACCTCTAAATCATCTGAATGGAATATACCTCCTGGGGATAAAAGAAAAAATTAAATGGATTTTTAAAATTGACATGAAGAAAATGGTTTAACACTTACTTACATATCATCATGCTTATAAGTATGATCTGGGATTGTCATCTGCTGTATTGTTTAGAACCCATCTTCTCTGAGGGTTTTCTGGTATTACGTTCAATCAGTGGAATAATATTGCATCTCCTTTTATGTATGTGCAAACATTGCATTTAGTTTTCCATTTTTACATTTTGCACAGCTCACTGAGATACAATATGAAGTATTTAATTGCTTATTCTGCCAACTGCTGAAGTATACACTTTCATTACAGCTTAAATTAAAGACTTGGAATCAAAGTTATTGCTTTTTTAATACACATATGAAGTTATGGACACTGGAGTTTGTAATAAGTAACAACATCAACGTATCTCCTGACTAAAATTACTTGAGTAGAACACTCATTATAACAAGAGGATACCTGCAGTGTCCCTTTGTAATGTACTACAAATTTTCAGTGGTATTAAACTCTTATTTAAACTTATGTTAACATCAAGGAAAGTACACCTTGATTAAACTTGTGTCTTTAGGTAAAAGTAAAATATCAAATAAATTATTCTGTATATATTTTTGTGTGTTTAAATTGATTTTATCTATCTTTTAAAATCATAGCACTTTGCCTATTGTTCATATATATATAAATCTAAAATTAAGAGACAGTAAAAGTGTCATCATTTATATTATGTTATAGTATTTTAACCTACCAAACTAATAGAAGCTTCATAATACCTAGTATTAACTATGCATGCTTATCTGAAAGATAAGTGCTTTCTGTGGAATTAGGATTTTTATCCTTCACCACTGTATGTAAATTCAGTGACTGTATGCAGTTTTCACTGAAATAACTTTGATTTTCTGCCGTACTCCTTGGAGGCCAGTTAAAAATACATTGTATGCTGGCGTTTAATTTCATCATATTTTTATCAAGTTAATGACCAGACATAGTGTATTATAACTAAATATATAAGGGCTCTGGTAAAAACAATTAAGGGAGCAGTATATTCAGGGAAAACAAAGGAGGAAGTGATACCAAAAAGAGTCATTTTGGGTCTAACCACATTCTGAAGCTGCCACTTAAAAGAGTTACCTTAACCTGTCTCTGCCTCAGTTTTTTCATTCATGAAATAGGGCTAAATATAGTTACTACCTGCTAGGGTTTGTGGGATATTACATATAATGATAGGTATAAGACAGTTAAAATAGTGGCACATGGTAAAGACTAATAGATGTATTTTTTTTCTTAATTTTCTGAGCTGAAAATACAAGTTAGGAAGTTATCAATGTAGAGATATTAGAAGAAGCTACTAATAGTAATGAGGTGGTTTAGCAGGACTAATCTGTGCCTCACTAAATGTAGCCTCTGGATTATTTGTGTCCAAATTACTATGTGGGAGAGGAGATGCTTTTTAAAGATCGTATTTTTAGATCTCATTGAACCATAATTGCTGATGGTTGAGACTTAGAATTTTGGTTAACAGTGTCATCTAGTGATTCTCATGCATGCAGAAATATGAGAACCACTAATACAGAGTACCACAAACGCCATATACAAAATTCTGGAGAACATCAACATTTAGAACACAGGAAAAGAAAATAAGGAGTAGCCAAAGATGCTGATGTGGGAAGCAATATGAGAGAGAGCACTGTCATAGAATTCAAGGGGGAAAGAGTTTTAAGAAAATTCAGAATTCCTTCTCTCTCTTATTCTCTAATTCTCTTTATTAAAAACAGAGAAACATTTCAGGCCTACACAAAATAACATAATCATAATTTTTACATCTACCATTAATCTAAAACAAAACAAAACAAAACAAAAATCACCTGGTAGAGTTGAAGTCCTTTCTTTACCCCTCACAACTGCATCATCATCTCTTGCACTCTCCTAACCTATTTAAACAGTATCTTCAACTCAGTGTTTATTATTTCTCTTCATTTCTTTATTCTTTAATATGTACATAGCTATACATCCTCTTTAAAATGCATAGTTTAAAACTAAATTTTATAACATATCTACTTCAAAATTAATTTTAGTTCAATATTTTGTGAAAATTTTCCATGTTGATGTATGTTGCATAGGTTCCTTTTTCATGCTATATTTTATATTCCAGTTTATGAAGAGTCTACAATTTCATTATCACCTCTTAAACGATTGAGGTATAGATCATTTTCCATTTTCTATGCGATGAATATACTTGTTTCCAAGTATAAGAATTTATCTGTTCTCATTGTAACATGGCTTTTAATGCAAATTACTCTCCAAACTTATACCAATTTGCATTTTCATCAAGGACACATGTTTGAAAGACAATTTTTCATGGATTGCTTATATTTCTTTGTGTCTTGTGCCCAGAGGCACCAGTTGCCCTTTTATTACAACCTGTCTTTTCGAGTCATTAGCATAGCAAACGTCTTTTGAATGTAGTGTCTTCTTCTGGAACAGAGGGGAGGTTTGTTTGATGTCCTGTGATGTCTCCTTTCTGGGCAATGGTTGGACACATTTGGTTACTATCAGTTATAAAGACTAAGGTTTCTTAAACTCAGAGTCCTTCAGATGTGACGCACAATCAAGGCATGTGCAGCGTCCTCCTTGGCACATCTGCAGTACTTCTGTGGAACTTCAGAGGTAAGGAGGATCAATGCTAAAATAAAGCTTGGGATTTATGCTGAGTCATGAGTCATTTTCTCTGACCAAGTAGTCTCCAGTCTTCTGCTAATATTCATGATATTGTGGCAGGCTAACTTGTTAGCTTATACGTAGGATAAAAATCTCATTTGTTTCCCACCCCAATCCTCTGGTTCTGACATGCACAAAGATTCTCATTGTTTTACATCTATACAAAGCCCTAATAGTTAATCTTTAAAAAGTTTCTGCCTACTTGATGGTGGAAAATAAAGTTGTGGTTTTAATTTCCATTTCCTTGATTCATTGTGAGGCTAAGCCTCTTCTTTAGTTACTTACTTATTTGGATTTCCTCATCTATGAATTACTTGTTGTTATTTGGCTCAATTTGCTACTGAATTCTTTTCCTTGTTATCAAAATGAGTTTTTAATAAAGTCTAGTTAATTGTGTATATTAACATGTGTATAATATCTTCTTCAAACCTCTGGCTTGTATTTTTCCTGTTTAATGGTGAATACTGATGAGAACAAATTTTTTAACTTGAAAGTTTATATTTAATTAATTTTAAATTTGGTAGACAAATTTCTCAATCTTTTTCTTCATGATTCATCCTTCCCTATTCTGTTTAAGAAAGCAATATATTGGCCAGGCACGGTGACTTACGCCTGTAATCCCAGCACTTCAGGAGGCTGAGTTGGGTGATCACTTGAGGTCAAGAGTTTGAGACCAGCCTGGCCAACATGGTGTAACCCTGTCTCTACTAAAAATACAAAAAATTAGCCAGGCGTGGTTGTGGATGCCTGTAATTCCATTTACTCAGGGGGCCGAGGCAGGAGAATTGCTTGAATCCTGGAGGCGGAGGTTGCAGTGAGCCGAGATAGCATCATTGTACTCCAGCCTAGGTGACAGAGCGAGACTGTCTCAGAAAAAAAACAAAAAAGAAAGTAATGTATTACCTGAGATCATAATAACATTTTTTCTGTATTTTTCCTAACTGATTTAAATTGTATGTTTTAAATTTAATTGTTTAATACTCCTGAGACTGAATTTTATGTATAAGATATAAGGTTCCAATTCAAGTGGTTTTTTTCCATATGCATAACCAATTGAATGGTATATATTTTTCTCTCTTCTGTGCAGACACTCTATATATTTTATATTTGGGCTTTCTTCCCATGCCATTATTTAATTTGTCATTTGTGTAGGACTGTGCTGTAGCACACATATTGTAGTTTTTATTTCCAGAAATGTAGCAGTCAAGACTGTATAATTAGGACTAACTTAACCTTCAGAAAACAAATACTTATGAACATATAGTATGTGCATATATGTGAACATATGTGCATATTATGTGATATGTGTATGTGTGTGTACCTGTGCATATAATGTGTACATGTGTATGTGTGTGTACATAGAGAAAGTACTACGTAAAAATCCAAGGGAAAATGGCATTCAAAAGTAACAGAATTTCTGCCCAAACTACTTTTGCCCTCAGCTGTTTGCCAACCCAGACAAACTTGAACTTTGATTCTTAATAGTTTGGCACCATTGAGGCAGACAGCAATGAAAACTCAAGGCCTTCTCAAAGCAAGGGATCTTCTCCACTCTAATTTGTGACACCAAAGAGTTTCACAATCAAAGTAAAAGTAGGCCATGTTGTTGATGACCTTAGGAGCATGTCAGAAACAATGGTACATCTATACAGAATATGTCTTTGTCATAGGCCACAGATAACCCCCAATAATAGAATTTTAAGCCATATTATCAGCACCAGTGAAAAATAACCAAGCAAATAAAAGGAGAAAAGCCCCATGAAAAAGGATACCATAGATTTCAGCTAAGAAAAATATCAGACACATATTACAAGGCAATGATGCATACTATATGTTTAGATACATATAGAAAGAGGACTGTATTTGTCATATATATATATCTGAATTAAGGAGAATAAAAAAATCTGTCACAATTGTATAAGCCAGCAAAATATTAATAGCTTAAAAGTTACAATTTACAATAGCAAACAAAGCTGTGGATTACCTGTTATCTCATCTAATAAATTATATGCATACATTTAATAAAGAAAGCTTCAAAGTGCTTGTAAAAGACATTCAAGTGTATATGCATATGGAAGGATAGAGTGAGAGAAAAGGAAAGAGAGAGATTCCTACGTAGACAACTCTATAGATCTATTTTGGTTTTGTTTTTCCAATTATTATACACTTTATTGTTACTAAAGTACAATTTTAAATAATGTTGAGCATTCTCACTTGTAATTCTAAAAAAATTTCTAATATATAAGCATTAAAAATAAAGCATCCTCTACCTTTTTGTTGGATCTTCTTTATCAGATTAATCAAGTTCCCTTTCATTCCTAGCATGTTCATAGTTTTATTATAAATAGGAGTTGATGTTTCCCAAATTTTTCTCCATCTAGTAGAAATATGTTTTTTCTTCTTTTGCCAGTTAACTATGTTAACACATTTTCTAATGTTAAGCAATTCTTGCATCCTTGCAAGAGAAACAATACTGGATGTAAAACTTGATGAATTTGATAACAGTACTGTATGATGAATTTGGAAACAATATTGTATGTTAAAACTTTATGAATTCGGTTTGTATACATAAGTTTTTCTTTCTTGTACCATCCTTTTTGGTTTAAATTAAATAACATAGCTGGAGAGTTATTGTTTTTCTTTTTAAAAATATCTGCAAGATTTTGTAAAAGATTAGAATTCTTTCCTGAACATTTTGATAACTGTGCTGTGAAATTATCTGAGCATTGTGATTTTTTAGTGAGGGAAGCATTGTGAAACTCATTCTTCTTTTAACATATTACAATCACACTTTCATCTTCATTACTCTGACACCATTTATTTCAAGGAGACCATCGCTTCCATCTTGCCAAATCCCATGGTAAATTCCTACCCTTCATCTTAACTTCCTAACATTCTTCTTATGGAGATGTCCTCTGATTTAACTAAAGAGTGCCCCTTTCCAGCCTTCCCACTATGACTTTCAATCTCCTTGTGATTTTTTATTTTTCTCTATTGTACATATGACTAACTGAAATTTTATATTATACATTTGTTTATTGTGCCTCTCTTTTTAATAAACTTGAAAAGTTAAGGATTTGTCTTTGTTTTATACTTTTAATGCCCATAATATATGGGAACAGTTATATATGCAATGCATATGTTTGCTAATGTGATAGAGTTGTAAGTATTCAAGAATCTCGTATGCCATTAATATGTTAAGCAAGAAGTAGCTAAACTTTGATCTCTCCCGACTTCAAGATCAGAGACACTTTGGAATTTTCTGACTCTTACTAAACATTAGATGATATATTAAATCTATTAAATACCTCTGATCATTTGGCAATTACCTGCAAACATATGCATGCAAACATCTCAAAATTTGTTTATCATTATAGAAACTTGAACTTTAATAATACGTATTCATTAATATACGTACTTTTTGATTTAATAAAATTTCAAAATTTGTTTTCAATTTTCTTAGTACCTCTGAAGAACATACTGGGAACATTATTCTATTATTGTTTTGATTTCAGGCTGGACAGCAGCGCTGGTGGGAGCAGGAGATTAAAATAAATGGGAATATTCAAAAGGGAGAATTAATTACATATAACTTGACAGAGCTAATTAAACCAGAAGCTTATGAAGTCCGACTGACTCCTCTCACCAAATTTGGTGAAGGAGATTCAACAATTCGTGTGATCAAATATAGTGGTAAGTAGCCTTTCATTTAAAATTATTTATTTATATATTTAACTATATGGAAAATTTTGGTTGCTGCTATCTACCAAATTTAGACACAAAGTAAAACTTAGCATATTGACTTTCTGGATCATTAGCCAGTTAACTAAACAAAAAAACAAAAACAAAAACCTTAATCACCATAAATGTGACATTTGATTACAAATGTAGAGATATAGAATAATTTAGTTAATTGTGAACCTATGTGATATAAGCAATGTTTCTTTATTTTTGATCCTACAAGTTATAATACAATATTTGTCTGCATTTTATCTTTTCAAATTCTTGATGACTTTAAAACTTTTTAAGAAGTAAAAAAAGATCAAAATTCATTTTCTGTTTTTTAAATAAAATTAATAGATTTCAGTTTTTGAGCAGTTTAAGGTTTACAGAAAATTGGCAGGAAGTATACAGAGCCCCGTCTCCCTGACACAGTATCCCCATTATTAACGTCTTACATTATTGTGGTACATTGGTAAAAATTGATTAACAACTACTAAGAAATTATTATTAAAATCAGTATTATACATTACAGTTATTTGTGTTGTGCAGTTATATGGATTTTGACAAGTGTATATAATTTCTCCACCATTACAGTATCACACAGAATAGTTTCACTGCCTGAAAAGTTCCCATGCTCTACCCATTTATCTCTCCTTTCTCCAGTCCGGGCAACCAATGATATGTTTACTCTGTCTATAGTTTCTCCTTTTCGAGAATGTTGTAAATTTGGAATCATACAGCATGTAGTGCTTTTTAGACTGCCTTATTTCACTTAGAAATACATAAGATTTCTGTATGCCTTTTTGGGACTTCATAGCACATTTCTTTTTATCATTGAATAATCTCCATTGCATAAATGTACCAGTTTATTTATATACATATCAAAAGACATCTTAGTTGCCGGATTTTGGTCTTGGTTGTTGGTGGCCATTCATTTTTCATATTGCTAATGTTAAAAAATGCTAAATGTTTGTGTGTGTGTGTGTGTGTGTGTGTGTGTGTGTTAGTGATAGTTTTCTTTTTATTAACTATATGCATAAAATATTTCTTCACTACTTAAATGTCCTATTTGGAGAAAAATAGAAATTAGTGCAGAACTTTGAAAAAGTTAAAAGTGGATCTAAAACTTTTATCTAGAATTAATATCTCAAAGAGAAACAATGGCAATTAGATATATTTATTCTTTCTTTTTTTTTTTTTTTTTTTTTTTGGAGACGGGATTTTGCTTTTGTTGCCCAGGCTGGAGTGCAATGCCGCAATCTTGGCTCACCGCAACCTCCACCTCCTGGGTACAAGCAATTATCCTGCTTCAGCCTCCCGAGTAGCTGGGATTACAGGCATGTGCCACCATGCCCTACTAATTTTGTATTTTTAGTACAGAAGGGGTTTTTCCATGTTGGTCAGGCTGGTCTCGAACTCCCGACCTCAGGTGATCCACCTGCCTCGGCCTCCCAAAGTGCTAGATTACAGGCATGAGCCACTGCACTCAGCCTAGATATGTTATTTTACTGTATACTAAAGAGATAAATATTTCAAAAATTGAAATTTGTGTGCATTTTAGAATTTTAATATTCAGTGTTAGCTGTAGAATTTTCAATGTATTTCAGGTTTGAATGAATCATTATTTAAACAGTTCATATTTATTGTATTGCTTCAGTAGAATATTATTATTACTATATATATATTTTTGAGATGGAGTCTCACTCTGTCTCCCAGGCTGGAGTGCAGTGGCATGATCTCAACTCACTGCAACCTCCGCCTCTTGAGTTCAAGTGAATCTCCTGCCTCAGCCTCCCCAGTAGCTGGTATTACATGCACTTGCCACCACGCCCAGCTAATGTTTGTATGTTTAGTAGAGAGGGGGTTTCTCCATGGGCAGCCTGGTCTCAAACTTCTGACCTCAGGTGATCCACCCACTTCAGCCTCCCAAAGTGCTTGGATTACGGGCATGAGCCACAGCACCCGGCCAAACGTGATTCTTTTTATCACTGATTATCAGAGCCTGAGTTAAAAAGATAATAGAATGCTTTGTTTGCAGCTGAAGTACTCCATTGTGTTTACCCTTAAGTATACGTTTCCTGCTTAAGGGGAAAGTAGTGAATACTGTCAAACGTGAAATATGAAGTAAAACTATTAACAACTCATTAAAGTTGTTTGTACTTACAGTTTTTACCAAATAAATAAGATGTATAATGTAGAGTGCATTAATATCAATATCTTTAAAAGATGAAGATATTCGGACCCAGAAAGTTTCAGTGTCCTGCAAAGTTAAATGACTGTGAAATGACAAACCTGACTAGAATTAGGGTTCACCACTCCATTAGAGAAGATCTTTACTTCTTTGCTAAAGTTAATTGATCATTATGACTTTCCTTAAGAGATTTTAAAAAGTTAATTAGCTTAGTAGTGGTTATTGAAAACTCTGAGGCAACAAACTAAAATGAAAAACACATGCAGGAAATAGATATTACTTTTAATAATAAGTTTTCAAAATTGTTTTTACATACTTAGGCATACATATTCAGATCTCCAACATTTTTATTAAAATTATTTTTATGTGATATAGGTTTGGGCAATGTATACTTTAATGGTTTAGAGGCAATGTATTAGTCTGTTTGGGCTGCCATAACAAAATACCATAGTGGGAGGCTTAAACAACACAAACTTATTTCTCACACTTTTAGAGGCTGAGAAGTCCAAGATCAAAGCACTGGCATAGTTAGCTTCTGGTGAGAGCTCTCTTCCTAATTTATAGATGGTCACTTTTTCACCATGTCTTCTTCACATGGCAGAGAGAGCTCTCTGGTGTCTCCTCCTCCTCTTATAAGGACACCAATCCCATTGGATTGGGGCCAAGATTAATTTAATCTTAATTACCTCCCTAAAGGATTTATCCCCAAATACAATCACATTGGGGATTAGGCATTGACATATGCATTTTTATGGGGACACAATTGTCTATAATATGCATTTATAAAAAAATTATACATGCAAGTTCAAATGAAAGAAGAAAAAACTGGACTCGCTGAACTATTTAGAAGTTTGTGCAAATTTTCACAAAGTTAACTGCATTATGTATAGTGAATTTGGTGAATTAAATGTTGGAGGCAAAGTCTCAATTAAAATTCAGTCTGGTAAGAGCTTTACATGTACATACAACATATCTTAGAACTAAGTTATAATTCAAGGACGCTTACATCTTTGAAAGATAGCACATAATTTTTTAAGAATTTCATATTAACTATGAAATAATTTTAATTTTTACTAATTTTAAAATTAAAATACATGGATATCTTGCCAAAAAATTAAATTGTTATTTTTAGTTCACTTTCAGTTCCTTTTCTGTTATTCTTTTCATAATTTGCAATGTGGAATGTAGAATCAGAAAAACAACTACAGTAATGGGAATTGTCTTCTGTATGTAGGAATAGTGGAAATCATTGAAAAAGTTACTCTGTTAAAATTTATCATTTGTATACTAATGTTGCAATTATATATGAATATTTTTGCCCGTCAGAGTTTATTACTGTTGCACAAATTTAACAAAAGTGGTTAATGACAACCACTAAGAAAATGACAAATCAGATAAGTTCTGCACTGTAAATTAACTGCCAATTGTAATCCTGGGAAACTACATTCTGCCCATTGTAATCTTGGGGAATTACATCAATGCTGTCCTTCATCCAGATTGGAATATTTTCTCAGAGTGATAAGTGGTTAATTGATATATACAGATACAAATTTGGCCCTTAGATGAGAGATATTTTTGTTGTTGTGTTAGTAATATTTAAAGTATTCATTTCTCTTTGGGTGGAAATTCATTGGCACTTGTATTGCAAATATAATTAGTTTTAGGGGAAAAAAAATTCTTTTGGTACCCCAGAACAGAAAATGTATTGCTCATCATTTTAAAATTCTGTGTGCATGCACACGTGTATATGTATGTGTATATTTTACTGTAATTAAACAAAAAGGCATTGATGTAGCTATTCATTTTAGTACACATATTACAACATGATATCAGGATTGCTTTATTTTCATCTGTGCCATGAACTTTCTACTTTACTCTCAGTAGAAGTAGAAAACAGCAAAAAACAAAAGTGGAAACTCTGCTAGATAATTGTTTTCATTTTTAAATCACCTAGATTATAGATTGGCCTAGTTTCAGCCTCAGTTTTGATATCTGAGTATTTTTGTTTAGCACTAGTTCAGATATTTAAGAGGTCAGAAACTCTATACCTTGAAAAGGGAACATTTCCTGTGCTATTTAGCATTGGTCTTTTTGGTAATTTGAGGCTGTTATTGCTGAGCTCCAAAGCAGATTATATTCAATCCTCTAAAACAAAATGGATTGCAGATATAAATCTCAATGGCCACAGTGGGAAAGATCATTAAGTTTTGGTAAGGAACTATGAGACACTGATTAGACTTTTATTTATAAAAGACATTCAAGCCATGCTAACATTGTTTTTTTGTTTGTTTGTTTCTTTTGCTTTTCTTGTAGCTCCTGTAAATCCTCATTTGAGTAAGTATATTTTAACTTACAAAATGGCACTATATTTAATAAATACAAAAATATAATGTTTATAAATATACAAAAATTGTTTAGTAACTATTCTTAGTTGGTTTAAAACACAATTGTTCAGAATCAGTAAAATTGGCATTAAATGTAGATTTTAAATTTCAAAGGATAGGAGTATAAATACAATTTTTTAATACTGATAATTGAGGTTTATAGATTTTCCTAAATATTGAAATATGGAGCCATTTACCAACCTGCTTAATATTTGCTATTTCTGCAGCTGTGGGATTATTTTTTTCTTTTGTGGGATTGCATATCATTTTTATCGTTGTTACACGTTTCTTTGATTTTCCTTCTTTGAATGTCTATATTCCACTTATAAAAGAGTATGGTTACTTAGAAAGTTGGTATTTGATGGGTTTAATTGAGACTTTCTTTTATAGAACACTAGTTTACACTCCAATGTATTTGGTCTAATTTAGGTTATGAATTCTATAAAATTGTTAAATTTGGGGACTTCTGGAAAGTTTTTATTTTGTTTTATATTAAATGTTATAAGATGATATGTATCTACCTGAAAAATATTCCCATATATGAAAACTTCTCTCTCCCTGGAAAATAATATTAAATCAACAGAGGATTTACTATGAAGACATATTCTAAAATCAGAGCTATTTATTTGTAATTTAAGGTTAGATTTCTTACAAGTTTAAGGACTAAAGAGCATCGTCTCTGGGTGCAAAAGGACCACTGGGTATCAGGATTCTTGTTCCTGAGTTTTTTTTTGTTTTGTTTTTTCATCATATTGAGAAGGATTCAGGGAAAATTCTGCAGACCAAATAAAGCAAAATTTTGAAGACCACGTAATGGAGAATATTTAAGATATGTTTAATTATTTCTATGTAGCCCCAGAAACTCTGCTAAAATCATGTTGTAATTAGAAAACCAGTGGAAAATTCAAGATCCACTTGATTCTCAGTTCTATATCTTTGTGAAAATCCTGGACTTTATTACTTATTTATACTTATTACTCTTTTAGTATTTTATATTACATTGACTTTTGAAAAGTTTGTACAGCTCATTGCGTTATCATTATCTATCAGATATTCTTTATTCTAATAAACTTTTTAAATGAATAAATGTATTTGCACATATTTATAATTGTCTCTTTTTAAAGTGACAGGACTATCATAAAATTCTTGGGTTTTGACTAGTGAGTTTTATTTTCATTTTACCTGCCAACTTTTTATAAATTTTCTTCAGTAATAGGCTTATTTATTGTAAAGATATATGTCCTTAGAAGGAATCGAGAGCTATTGATGTTGCTTAAGTATCTTTGTTTGATTTGAATTATTACACTAGTTATAATATTATAAACAACTTACACCATATAAAATAACCTAAACGATGAAAAATTTTAGGCACAACTGACATTTTTTGTAGTTTTCATAAGCTGCATTATTGCTTAATTTTACTATGAAAGACTTAAATATTTAGGTCTCAAAAATTATTGTATAGATTTTTAAAGACAAGATATTTTCTCTTTTTAACCAAGTTTAAATTACGAAAAAAAGGTTCAACAGTGTTATAAAAATTCATTATACATAATTTTAAATAACATATAAAAAGTAAGACTTGGCAGTAGATACATAAACTGAAATCCTTTATCTTTACATTTGTTCTGTGACTCTTTTTTGTGCATATGTAATATATAATTAAATAACTGAAAACATTCAAAATCAAACATTGCCTTTATGGTATTCAAACCGCCAGAGTAGCAACTAATGGAATTTCATGTCATACCTAAAATATCTTTAAAGAAATACGTGCATGTATGTAAATGCATACACTGCTACACTGCTGTTACCAACATTATTTTTCCAACTGATAGCATCAAAAGGTCATGTCTTGTTTGGTACAAGGTCTGTGACATAAATATGTGTCTAATAAATATTTTATGTACAATAATGTTTATTCAGAAATTTATTGAGTTATTTATTTAGACTCCCTTAAATATGTATATTTCCTGTAACATTACCTACCCAGAATATAGAATATAAATAAATACAAAGAGATAAAGCAAGTGTTTCGTCTAAAAAACAAAAACAAAACATAAACTCATTCCCTAAATTTAAAGGAAAAGCCTTCTGTTTTATTTTTATTTGTAAGTACCAAAAATTTTCAATTAATTCAGGTACATGATCTCAACCAGGACTCCATTTCCAAGGATATCTGATAAATCTAACCCCTTATGGGTAGGTCGGAGAGAGACTAAAATGGAAGTCTCTGTTCTTTAAGTGTTTATATCTCTATGAATTCCAGGGAATTTGGATTCCATTTGACATTATCATTTAATAGCTGACCTTTGCCAAAGTTTTCTCCTCTGTAAAGCCTCATGAGTAAGGATTATTGTGATTTCACAGAGTTGTTATGAGGCTGAGTGAAATAATATACATTATGTTTATTCTTTCTCAAGGATACACACTCTTTAATAATGTGTCTAGTGGACCTTACCAACTTATTTATACCTATTTTTTTCAAGCAGTAAGAAAACCTTTGATACCTAGAAACATTACTACTACCACCCACATTTCAGGGATAGTTGAAAAAGTCTTTCTCTGAACTTGTGTTGGCCCTGAACTCAACATACGTTAGGCATCCGAGAAATCACAGTCCTTCAAAGTCTTTAAAAGGTCTTTTAATTACTTCATTTCCATACTGAAGTTCAAGTATCTGGGAAACCCACATTCAGATAAAGTAGGAAGGATAAATACTTTTCAAAATAATTTGCTATTAGCTTGCCCTAAACACACTTCCATTTATGCAAATGGATATTTAAAAGCATCTCTAGACATGCATGAAAAATTATAAACTTAAAGTATACCAATTTAAAACTACCCTCAGGTAAATTAATAAAGGTAATTTTCCAATTGACAGTTTTGTTTTGATTGTTTCTATACTGACAAAATGAAAGTTGGGAAAATTCTTCAGCAATAATTCAAGCATAAATTATATTCTTTAATTTCAGTTATCTGGATATTTTAGAGAAAAATTGTTTGAGTCTTAATTATTCAATAAGATATTAATTTACATGTAAAATTCTTTTACTTTTTCATTAAAATTAGATTGGTTTTATGTTTAGTTGTAATCTTCTGCACCATTATGGCTCTCATGCCATTGTCACAATCTTGCATTATTATTGCTATGTAATATTTTACATTTTTCTTATGAAAATATTGCAGTATGTGTATTAATTTAATTAATATTAATTTAATTAAAATTTACCAACAGGAGAATTTCATTGTGGATTTGAAGATGGTAATATTTGTTTGTTCACTCAAGATGATACAGATAATTTTGACTGGACAAAGCAAAGTACAGCAACAAGAAATACAAAATATACTCCTAATACAGGACCTAATGCTGACCGTAGTGGCTCCAAAGAAGGTATGGGGGTATGACCTTTTGTGTTCATAGCAATCAGAGACTTTTAAAAACTGCTATAAATATGAAATACTAATATTTAGCCATATATTTGAAGATTATGGAATAAAATATTAAATTTTCTGTACAGTATCAATTTAGATATTTACAAAACTTTGTAGACATTAATTTTTTCTCAGACTTCACTGATACATATAGTAGAGAGAATAGGAATTTTTTGATAATTCAAGTCTAAATTTCAACTTTTTATACATTTTATCTTTAATTTGGTAGATCATTTATTCTTTGTGTTACAGCCACTATTAGTTACATATACACATAGAGATTTTATAAATGAGATGCAAATCTTCCTATCCATCTTTATTTTGTATGAAAACTATAAGACTTCTCAGTGATTTGAAATTTCATTATGCCTAAGAATAATGTGTTTAAACACTTTATTTTGTCTGTTTTAAGGTTTTTATATGTACATTGAGACATCACGACCCAGATTGGAAGGCGAAAAGGCTCGACTTCTCAGCCCTGTTTTCAGCATAGCTCCCAAAAACCCTTATGGACCCACAAACACTGCATATTGTTTCAGCTTCTTTTATCACATGTATGGACAACATATAGGTGAGATAGCAATAATTACTGATTCTTACAAAATTAATGATAACTAAGAAGAAAAAGGTTCATAAACACACAGCATTAAAACAATTTTTGGTCAAAGAATGCTATAATTCACTTTTTAAATGATTTATCTGCAAATTGCAAAATAAGATAGTAAGAATTTTTTCCCACCATCTAATTTAGATTTGGAATTTGACATTTTAGATCATCACCTACCTCCCTTTGGAATCCTAAATCAGGTAGACAATCAATGAGTTAAATTCTTTACCAGGTCTCATGGAATTGACACAGCATAATTTAGGCTGCTTCTTTCCGAAGAAACATGCTTCGACAGTGACTGAATGCATATTAATCATGATGAAAAGTAATATTGTCATGTTGCTATATTGACAGTTATTTTTAGCACCATCCACATATTTGAAACGTTGGTGTGATTTTTTTCATGTTTTTAAAGTATGCCAAACACACCCAGTAAGATTTAAGAACATTCTAGGTCCTGCACAGCATACAAAGATAAAGACACATTTCCTTCCCTTGAGACCTTGTACAGTAATAGAGGATAAGATCAGATGCACAACTGTGCTAGATAGAGCATGACATTACACTGAGAGTAGACCTAGTAAACTCTGTGGGGAAAAAGATCATGCAGGTCTACCATTCTTTATGTGCAATTCTAAAATCCTGAGAACTGAATATCAATTTTTAAAATTTAATTATTTGACATTACATGTTAGCCTGATATATAACCTGAACTGATATGAACCTATGTATAGTCTCTATCCAAATGAATGTGGACATTTATACCATTTGCAGCAAAAATATTACTGTTTTTAATAATATGATTCTACTCGAGACCATTCCAGAAGATATCACATGATATAAGTGATATAATCTCTCACCTTTCTAACATAAGACAAAATTCTAAATAATGAAGTATATCTAACCCCATAGAGCTTGAACCAGGGATTGTGGATCTTTATCTAGTTGAGGAATGAGTCACTGCATCAATACAAACAAGAACATTTCTCTGGTATGCAAAAGAGGTATGTTTTCAATACGCAGAGATTAGCACAGGGAGGGTTAAAGCACTGGTAATAAGGAAGTAAAATTTGAGAAGTTAGGATTACATTAGTGTCTTTATATAAATTAATAAAGTGATAGTATAAATATATGTGATGTAAACTAATACAATTGGACACATAATATGTATCAGCCACCATATTATTTAAGCTAAGTAATACTCTCAATTAAGTTTGTAAAAGTGAACGTCACTGTCCATCTTTTACCGTGGAGAAAACTGAACCTCAAGAAGTTTGTGTGAACTGCCAAGTAAATGGTTGTGCTGGGATTCAAACTCATACCCAACAGTATTAACTAGTATTCTTCACAGTATACTGACAAGCCTAAATGGATAGCACTTGGGTTTTTTTGTTTTGTTTTATAATTTATTTTTATTTTTATTTTTTATGAGACAGGCTCTTGCTATGTTGCCCAGGCTGGTCTCAAGGAATCTTCCCACCTTCGCCTCTCAAAATGCTGGGATTACAGGCATGAGTCATTGTGCCCAGCCAGAAAGCTTTTGAGAAGTTAAACTACTATAAACTTGAAGTCAGGAGACCTGGGCAGGAACTTGGCTGTAGCACTTCATCACTGTAATACTTCAGAGAAATCACTTAAAATGTCTGAACCTTGGTTTCCTTATCTGTAAAATGAGAATAATAACTCTTATTTCAGAAAGCTGTAGTTTAAGTTAAATTAGGCAACATACATAGTATCTTCAACCAGATGGCAGACACTCATAATCTTAGGTTACTTTGAATCTGAAATAGCAATAATAATAGCAATAATAAAATAATAGTTGACATTTATGGAGTACTCATCATGGGCTAGGATACTTTGTGGATTATTTCTCTTAATTTTCACGATCAACATTTGTGCTTATTAAAATCATTATCCTGTTTCATAGATAACAAAATTGAAATACAAAGGACTTTAGTTACCATGCCCATCACCTGGCTAAGTAGTGAAGCCATAACACAAACATGGGAAGCTGGACAGAGTCTGCCTGTTTTATTACTGTGCAGGAACACTTGTTGGAAGATTTTGCAAGCCTAGCTAAGTATGTGACAGTTACTTAGTAGTGGTGTGAGTTATTAGATTTTCTGCAATCAAAAAGCATAATGAGATATTTGATTTAGGAAAATAAACATAAAAATAGGTAAAATCATTCAGAAACAGAATCTAGACTGGGAATCACTTAAAGAACCAATGAAAGGAAACAAATCGCATAATTGCCAAGCCATTTTATTTATTGTGGGATTACTATATTATTACTAATGTAGGATTAGCTCAACTCTAATTCTTCCTTTTTGTTAATAATGTATACTCTGTTTCCTCTTTGTTTTGAATATGTGTCATGTACTTTCTTTCTCCTCTTCCAATTTACATTGGATCACATATTTTAATTGATTTTTAAATAAATATTTCCAAGACCAATATTCTGAATTACTTAAAGTCATAAAATATGTTCACCTTATTTATGAGACTAGATTTTAGGGCTTTACTTTAAAATAATTTTAAGATACTTTAAAAATACTTTTAATACATCATTATAATATACTTTTAACTTAATAGTTGTTAGTCTTATCTTCTTTATTGTCAATGGATGTCCAGTTGACGTTCTGCTAGTTTTATTCTGATTATTTTGGGATGAGGGAAAATTAGGAGGACAGTTCTCCATTTCTTGGCAAACATTTACATTTTGACCCCTATGTCATTTCTTTGCTTCATCAGACTGAAGGTTGCAGGCTGGGTATCAGGTCTATTACTTGAGTTCCTCTCAGCAAGCTGCAGGCATGCTGCTTACTAAAATCTAGGCAAAAATACCTGGTCCAGACATTGAGTAATCAGTTAAAGCTAGATGAGATAGTTCATTAGAGAGATCTGCTGGTAGTTAAAACATCCCCTCTTTGCATATATTATTTTCGGACTTTCATTCATCTGTAAACTCAGGAGGCATTTATAGCCACTGGTTTTACAAATTGTATTTTCAGTTTTAGTCATTCTTTTGGAAATCCAGATTCAAAGATGCCTTGTCCTGAATTTCTAATAGCCTAATTAAATTTATAACTTCATGAGTAATTGTAAATAAATCTTGAACTTTTAACTGTGACTAAAGGACAGTATACCATTGAGAAGGTTCATAATTATCTAATACAGAAATGAGCAATACCCTACTAAGAAAAGAGATTCCTCTTTGAACTAAAGTTAAATATGTTGCATTACTTATTATTTGCAATATAACAAATTTCCCCAAACTTTTGTGACTTAAAACAACAAATATTTATTATCTCACAGTTGCTGTGGGTCAATACAAGTATAGCTCAACTGAGTGCCTTTGGCTCAAAGTCTCTCCTAAGGTTATAGTCCTTCCAGAAAAGGACTCCACCATAATTTGAAGACTCAGTTTGGGGAGGATACACTTCCAAGCCCACTTGCTTGATTTTTGGCAGGCTTTGCTCCCTTAAGATATTGGACTATAGATACTGATTTCTTGCTGGCTGTTGATTGGAGGCCTCCCTCAATTCCTCACCATGTGGACATCTCTACAGGGCTGTCGCATAACATGGCAGCAGGCTTTCTTCAAAGCAAGTAATCCATTAAGAAGAGAGAGAGAATGCATGCCCAGGATTTTTCATAACCTAACCCCTGAAGTGATATCCCATATGTCTGTCTGGTTCCATTTAATGTGACTGAGTTGATAATTCAAGCCCATACCCAAGGGGAGAGAAATGCCCAAGAGTGTTCATGCTAGGACCTAGGTTGAGTTGAGCTCTGCCACATTGGTACAATTTCTTTTTAGTTAAATGTTTCATCAAAATTGATTGAAGAAAAAAACATGTTTCCAAATGAAAACTATAATGTTATCCTTAAAGTACCTGCTGATTTATATGTAAGTGATACAACATCTGGCCATGATAATAATAAAAGATTCTTTCAGCATTCCTGTGACTACTAATGGACATTTCAATTCTCGATGAATCCACTGAATTTCTAATGTTCTTGCAAAAAAAAAAAAAAAAAAGAATCTCATAGGAGATCACTAGATATGACAAAAGTGTATTAAAAATAAGTTAAATGCATCATTCATTTCTTTAAAAAAAGAATGTGCAATGTAAAGGTCATATCATATCAGGAAATTAAGGCACTTATGAATACATTCATTGTACTTGATACGAATGGTTCAATAAAGTTGTGTCTCTAGAAAGCTAATTCCACTATGGAGTAAACAGGGGGAAAGCAAAGGAGTTCATTAATGAAGAAGCAGGAGACTGTAAAAGAACTGATAAATAGAGATGTGGGATTGTAGAAGGGCTTATTTTAAGAGGAAAAAGAGGTAATAAAAAGGGTAAGCTTAGATGGGAATTTAGAGCTCTGGCTGTGGAATGAGACTTTTAAGAGAGAAACTGATGCCATTTCCACTAAAGCGGTAAAAAAAAGAATTCAGTATTAATAGTAACATGGCTTCTGATAGATTTCTAGCTGCAATAACAGCAAGCTGACATGGAAGTTGCCTTCCTAACAGTCTCCATTTTCTCTGCAAAACAGATACAGAGGTACATGTTCAAAGAGGAGATAGCTTTAGGAGAGTGGTAAATGGGAGCACAAAGTAACTGACAATATAGAGACAGCTGGAGAGGTTGGAGATGAGGACATCAATCTGTAGGTTTCTGAAACGCATTTTGGAATATAATGGCCAGTTTGAGTCCCCATCTGTGCGTAGTACTGCATTTCGCTTGCTAACTGATTTTCTTGCTGTCTTTTTTAAAAAGTCCATAGCTTCCAGGGTAAAGATCTTTCTCTAAAAGCAGTAACAGGACCTCAAGGATATATGCCCCTCTGGCTTTTCCTTGGGGTAGCTTCATAGTCTGTTCCAGTCATACTTGAAGTTTTTCGGGTAAAGCTCTCTTGTGCCTGAAGCCTCTTCACAGGCTGTCTCTTTTGTCCTGCTGAACTGTAGGCTTGATGGGAGTAGAAATGATGTCTCTTCTGATGACACCCTGCCCTGCATGTAAATATTCAAGTACTCCCCCAAAAAAATTAATAAATATTTGTTTATCTAATTGAATAAGTACTTTTTCTCCTGTTTAATCATCTAAGTCATGCATAACCTTCCTTAAAAAAGCAATTCAGGGATATATGCTGAAATTCTTTCCTATCTTCTCTGCTCCTTTTGTTCCCAAAACTCCTGATATGTATACCTATCATAATGTTTATCACACTGACCCCTGTAAAATTGTAAACTCCTTGAGAGCAGTAACCATGATTTATTTACATTTGATTCTCGGAAACAACATTTACACAATAGATTTAAAGAATGATCCAAACTAGATTCTTTTGCTTCTGGATATACTAGAATAACAAAACAAGGGAATTGAAAGTATGCAGTTTAGTTTGGAAATAGAAGGTAGTTTCATTAAGACATTATAGATTGTAAAAAAAAAAACAGACAGAAGATGAAGTTTATTATTGACTTAACTTGAATTTTCATCTATATGCTCTGGCAACTAAAGTAAAAAGAAAAGCAAAAGTGTCACATATTCTTAACAATTAATGCAAAGAGAAATGCATATTATAAAAGTACACTTGAGTAATGTTACCAGCAATATCTTTACTTACTAAGATATTCATATAAAGGATAAAGATATAAAACTTGTTCAAATAAAAATTTAATATATTGATAAACCATAATACAGGATAAAATAACATTTTTGTTTTCAGCTGAAATATTAAGGACCAGGTATGTCACCTTATGATGATCTAACTTAATGTAGAGAAGGAATGTAAAGAATCTGAAATTAACTAATCATTAAGTTTCTCTTTTTTTATTATTATTATACTTTAAGTTTTAGGGTACATGTGCACAATGTGCAGGTTAGTTACATATGTATACATGTGCCATGCTGGTGCGCTGCACCCACTAACTCGTCATCTAGCATTAGGTATATCTCCCAGTGCTATACCTCCCCTCTCCCCCCACCCCACAACAGTCCCCAGAGTGTGATGTTCCCCTTGCTGTGTCCATGTGATCTCATTGTTCAATTCCCACCTATGAGTGAGAATATGCGGTGTTTGGTTTTTTGTTCTTGCGATAGTTTACTGAGAATGATGATTTCCAATTTCATCCATGTCCTTACAAAGTACATGAACTCATCATTTTTTATGGCTGCATAGTATTCCATGGTGTATGTGTGCCACATTTTCTTAATCCAGTCTATCATTGTTGGACATTTGGGTTGGTTCCAAGTCTTTGCTGTTGTGAAAAGTGCCACAATAAACATACATGTGCATGCGTCTTTATAGCAGCATGATTTATAGTCCTTTGAGTATATACCCAGTAATGGGATGGCTGGGTCAAATGGTATTTCTAGTTCTAGATCCCTGAGGAATCGCCACACTGACTTCCACAATGGTTGAACTAGTTTACAGTCCCACCAACAGTGTAAAAGTGTTCCTATTTCTCCACATCCTCTCCAGCATCTGTTGTTTTCTGACTTTTTAATGATTGCCATTCTAACTGGTGCGAGATGGTATCTGATTGTGGTTTTGATTTGCATTTCTCTGATGGCCAGTGATGGTGAGCATTTTTTCATGTGTTTTTTGGCTGCATAAATGTCTTCTTTTGAGAAGTGTCTGTTCATGTCCTTCGCCCACTTTCTGATGGGGTTGTTTTTTTTTTTCTTGTAAATTTGTTTGAGTTCATTGTAGATTCTGGATATTAGCCCTTTGTCAGATGAGTAGGTTGCAAAAATTTTCTCCCATTTTGTAGGTTGCCTGTTCACTCTGGTGGTAGTTTCTTCTGCTGTGCAGAAGCTCTTTAGTTTAATTAGATCCCATTTGTCAATTTTGGCTTTGGTTGCCATTGCTTTCAGTGTTTTAGACATGAAGTCCTTGCCCAGCCTATGTCCTGAATGGTAATGCCTAGGTTTTCTTCTAGGGTTTTTATGGTTTTAGGTCTAACGTTTAAGTCTTTAATCCATCTTTAATTGATTTTTGTATAAGGTGTAAGGAAGGAATCCAGTTTCAGCTTTCTACATATGGCTAGCCAGTTTTCCCAGCACCATTTATTAAATAGGGAATCCTTTCCCCATTGCTTGTTTTTCTCAGGTTTGTCAAAGATCAGATAGTTGTGGATATGTGGCATTATTTCTGAGGGCTCTGTTCTGTTCCATTGATCTATATCTCTGTTTTGGTACCAGTACCATGCTGTTTTGGTTACTGTAGCCTTGAAGTATAGTTTGAAGTCAGGTAGTGTGATGCCTCCAGCTTTGTTCTTTTGGCTTAGGATTGACTTGGTGATGCGGGCTCTTTTTTGGTTCCATATGAACTTTAAAGTAGTTTTTTCCAATTCTGTGAAGAAAGTCATTGGTAGCTTGATGGGGATGGCATTGAATCTATAAATTACCTTGGGCAGTATGGCCATTTTCATGATATTGATTCTTCCTACCCATGAGCATGGAATGTTCTTCCATTTGTTTGTATCCTCTTTTATTTCATTGAGCAGTGGTTTGTAGTTCTCCTTGAAGAGGTCCTTCACATCCCTTGTAAGTTGGATTGCTAGGTATTTTATTCTCTTTGAAGCAATTGTGAATGGGAGTTCACTCATGATTTGGCTCTCTGTTCATCTGTTATTGGTGTATAAGAATGCTTGTGATTTTTGTACATCGATTTTGTATCCTGAGACTTTGCTGAAGTTGCTTATCAGCTTCAGGAGATTTTGGGCTGAGACAATGGGGTTTTCTAGATA
The DNA here is from genome assembly GCF_000001405.40 of Homo sapiens. NCBI lineage: Eukaryota > Metazoa > Chordata > Mammalia > Primates > Hominidae > Homo > Homo sapiens. The sequence continues at coordinate 46,865,628 of NC_000014.9, read as the reverse complement.
TACAATCATGTCGTCTGCAAACAGGGACAATTTGACTTCCTCTTTTCCTAATTGAATACCCTTTATTTCCTTCTCCTGCCTAATTGCCCTGGCCAGAACTTCCAACACTATGTTGAATAGGACTGGTGAGAGAGGGCATCCCTGTCTTGTGCCAGTTTTCAAAGGGAATGTTTCCAGTTTTTGCCCATTCAGTATGATATTGGCTGTGGGTTTGTCATAGATAGCTCTTATTATTTTGAGATACGTCCCATCAATACCTAATTGATTGAGAGTTTTTAGCATGAAGCGTTGTTGAATTTTGTCAAAGGCCTTTTCTGCATCTATTGAGATAATCATGTGGATTAATCAAGAGTTTTGCAAGAATGGATTAATGCTTTCTAACAGATATGCTGGCATTCAAGGATTTTAAACTAGGAACTTAAATATTTTTATACAAGATATTGAGAAAGCAAAGATGGTATTTTGCATGATTTTATGAGTTTGATTTTTATTCTCATTTTGGTCAAAGACTGTATTTCTTCTGATTAGAATTCAAAATGTCAAGATTCTTGCTTACATATCAAATATATTCTCAAATAGGAAATCAGCTCACATATTGGGATTTTTTTTCCCTTGGAGTTAAACGCCATATGAGAAAGAATGTTAAGATAAGGAGCCATTATTTTAAAGCCTTGATTTCACTGACTCTAGGAGAATCTCAGTGGAATAAATATAAAATATTAAGGTACTTGCATTCTGATAAATTCTCAGAATTAAGTTCCTTGAAGAAGACAACTCTTAGGTGGCTGAGGGGATAGATAAGGCTCCTTAGTGTTCTCCATTTAGATATTAGGGAATAACTACCAAACTGTGAGCTGTTTGATAATAGTTGATATTAAGTCACGCTTTCTGTTAAGAATTAGTCTATGCTCTCAGTGAAGTCCTGTTGGTATTTAATGCTGATAATGCCAATGCTGTAAATGTGAAAATAATGCTATAGATGGAAGACATTCATTCAGTAAACTGCTTTTTTTTTTTTTTTTTTTGACACAGGGTTACAACAAACCTTTAATTTGTAAAAAAAAAAAAAAAAAAAAAAAAAAACAGCAATATCTGCAAAGCGCAACAAAACAAGATATGTCAGTATTTGTGTGTTTACAACTCTCAATTTGGAGTCTAGTACATCCTTTTACAGAAAGCAATAAAAACCAGACTTATAGGAACTAAAATGTAAAGAACTAAAATGTAAAGACATAAAAATAAGGCAAAATAATTAAGTTAGAATGTTTGAAGTATTAGATTGACTAAGCATCACTTCTAGTTTTGTAAGTCAACATTATTTAGAAATAATTTACATATAACAAAAGGTACAAATTTTAAGTGAAGTGTGATGAGTTTTGACAAATGCATACACTCATTTAACCACCCTCACATCAATGCATACAATATTTCTACCATTCCAAAACTTTTCTGTCCCTTTCTCCAATCTCCTCCCACCACTCTCACCCTAGGGAAGCACTGGACTGTTTTAACACTATTAATTAGCTTTGGCTTTTCACTGTTGTGGGGTGGGGGGTGGGGGGAGGGGGGAGGGATAGCATCGGGAGATATACCTAATGCTAGATGACGAGTTAGTGGGTGCAGCGCACCAGCATGGCACATGTATACATATGTAACTGCTTTGTTAAATGAGATGAATTTAAAATTGAGGAGGTGGATAGAATCTAGCCATGACTTATGACAATGTATAATAAAACTCTTTTTACAGGTACTTGTTATAGACCTGCTAGTAAAACTATATGTAATCTTTAATACATTTATCTTTTTAGAATCCAGGTTTGAACCACTAACTACTTCTAAACTCATTTTTTTTCTATTCTTCATTGATGATGGTCCCTTAGACAATGTATGTAATAAAATCTAGTGTGTTTAAGCAAAATTAATGATATGAACTGAGTAAGGCTGAGAACACAGTAGCTGAGAAAGGCTGCTACTTCAAACCATATAAGTCTAATTTTCAGTATAATTAATAGACAATATTATTTCATCAATTGAATTGATGGTAAGCAATTGAGTTAACTGCTTCTGTTTCTCATCCAGTGTACCAAACTTTAAAACTAATTTCATTGACATTAAGGATTTATTACAATGGGTATTTTTTACCCTTAGGTTTGAATTCACTCATTTCTGTTCAATAGGATGAATTGCACAGGCTGTGTGCCTAATCCTAGTGTTTAGAATTCTATAGAGAATAAATGACAAATATGATAAAAGTTTTTTATTCATCAAATAGTTCATCATCTTTTTGAGGTAATAAATTTCTGAATAAAATAAAAGTCAGAAAGTAATATGTATCAAAATGTAGGACAAGCCCATGGCGTGGGTGAACAAGGGAGAGAAGACTGAGGGGTACATTAAAATAAAAGTGTCTATGGAAGAGAAGAAATATAAAGCATCCTACAAAAGAGGGAATTATATAGGAGGTGGAGAACAAAGGCCAAAGAATATGAGAAATGGACAAAGCCAATGTATGACAATGGAGAATACTGTGCTTATGGAAGAGTAGAGAAAGTGATAGAACTAAAGAGGGAAAAGGTCAGCGTAAGGGATCTGACTTACATCAGAGAAATAGAAAGGAAAGCTATAATTTAAAAACATTTTGGACTCTAATGTACAAATTCACCTGTGCACCAGAAGGAATGGTAATAACTGTAGAAAATAAACTGGCATTTTTCATTTAGGATAGCACTGCAATTATATGTTGAAAAAATATCAATGGACATGGGCAGCTGTTTTTATTCAAGCAGAAAATAATGATTTTATAATTTCTCACTTTGTATGTATGTATAAAACAAATGATGCTAGCAATTACCTATCAATATACATAGATCTTGCCTAGAGCTGGATGATTTTGGCACATCCTCATTTTACATGAAATGTGAAACTCAGTAAGTCTGTGTTACTGATTATAACAATGCGATTTGTATGCAAGTGATCTCCAGACCTCAGAATATACCAAATTGCAAATTAATTCATGTAAATGTGGCAATTTCAAGACTCTATGGGGAATATGTATGCACATTTTAGGACATATACTTAAATTATTTATCTAAAATATATAATACATATTTATAGTACAATAATTAAAAGTAAAATTATGTTAAGAACTTAAGAGAACTAGGTTAACAGTAGTGATAAATATTATTTATGCAAATTATAGTTTATATTATAATATATATTAAATAATATTAAAATAATAATCAGGCTATTGCATAATGCCATGAATAACCTCAAAGTTTTGGCCATTATTCGTGAGATAAGACAGCACTTGTGTCATTTAGCCTTTTTGCCTGTAGTCTTTAAACATAAGAGCTGACTAAAGTCCTCTAAGCTCTAGCACCTGATTTTTGGAGAGTGGTGACCAAAAGATGAGAATTAAGAAACTAAGGAAAAGAAAAAGTTTGAGTTTTGCTTAGCTTCTGCAAACTTATATTCTAGAACTATAGAATTTGAAAAATCCTATAAAATTGAAAATCCTTGGAGATGATTAAATTTATATGTTTTGGTATCTGATGTCTACTAAAGCATGAACACAGTGTCTCTGGGGATTTAAACTTACTTTTAAGGAGTATTAACACAATCCATCATATTCACTTCAGAGTTTTTTTTACTATAATACTATAATGTGCTGAATCAGCTTTGCTGAATCTAACTTCTCTTGAATAGCTTTATTCTATTTCACAAGTTCTAATTTTGTTGACCAAGATGACTTGACATAAGTTTAAATATCTTTTGGCACTGATTTCTCTTTTATAAACTTAAGAACTAGAAACTTCCTGGGAGAAAAGTTCCAAAATCATTTGTTGATTAACACTGCTTTTCTCATCACCTCTAAAATATATCAGTAATAAGTAGTTTGCATTCACTGACTGGGATAATCATATAATTATTACTATATATGTAAAACATTGAAATTATATTTGAAAGATTTATTTCAATCAGTTGTAGTTCTTGTGTCTTTTTCTTATCAAACAAGTAAAATTTACCTTTTTAAATAACATCTAGCCACAATTGAATACACCTTGTTTAGCCTATTCTCAAACCTAATAAGACCTCTGGGATAATTTACACCTGGCTTCTTTAAACCTAGGCAAAATATTTTTTTACATATTATGTATTCAACAAACATAAATAGAAATAACTCAAGTTTGAATTTATATTACATATGTAAAAAGAAAATGTTAAGAAATATAAACATAATTACAGGCAAACAGAATTCCCTTAGTGAGAAACAATATTCAGTACTGGCACGATACCCTATAATTACTGATATAAGAAAGATAAGTCACACATATTAATATGTTTTACTAAATCATGTATTTATTAAAACGCATGAATTCTGAAGGACATATAGTATGCACTATTTTGTTAGCAAACTATAATAGGTCTTAAAAATATTCTTTTAATGTTTTTTAAAAAGTGCATTTCTTGATTGGATGTATTTCCTGTCAATTAAATCAAAATAAAAGGTCATGCAACCCAAGAGAAATAAAACTCTATATGAAAGGGTATAAGAGAAGCCTCAAAAATTGTCTGGTGAAAAATGCCAAAGGATTACTTCTTATTATTCAAGAATGAATAAAGAGGAAGAAAATGGAGAGAGGAAAAACATGAGGTTCTAATGAAGATTCCATAGAATAAAAACTGGCTCACATGGCACATAGTAGAAGAAACATATACTGGTGAAAAAGACTTACTGAATTACTTCAAGTGAAAGTAAAATGTGTACAGCATATGCTTTATATATTTAACAAAGCATATAAGAATATGAACTTTACGAAAGAATATAAGAGAACAGTGGACCAAGAAAAAGATGGAACTGGATAAAGTCTAGATATAAAGGAGAATTCTGTGAGGTCACAAAAGAGTGATACACTTTAAATAGTATAATAGCAGAATAAAGATGACATTGGAAACAAAACAACAGAAAAAAACAATATGGTTTGGAAATTAAAGTCAGTTCTGTGGAAGACAAGTTTGAGATTCTTTCTTACCCTGAAGAGGAAAAATGATAGAAGGTAATTTTGAAGCAAAAAGTGAAAATGCAACACTGAAAGATAAAATCAAAAAAGAAAACTGGAGAACCATAAGGACAAATATCCATGAATTATTCCAAAATAAAATACTAGCAAATTGATTCAGCCTTATAAAAAAAAGTCAGTGGTCTATTATAAAGTACATTTTATTTCTGTAATATACGATTAGTTCAACATTATGGAATGCATTAATATAACCTAACACATCAATAGAGGAATAGAGAAACCTTAGTTGAATATTTTATATAATAATAAATGTGCTGATTATATGAGAAATAATATATGGTTTACATACTTTAATTCTCACTAAAAACTTATGCTAGTTATCATCATTTAGTTACCATTTGCCTGATGAAGAAGTTGAGGGAATGAGAGATTTAGAGATGAAGCCAGAGTCATCCAGCTGTGATATAAAGAATGCAGTTTTTGCTTAAAAAGTGGATACCCATATTTATATACTTCTATTATATGCATACATGTGGTCTTATGTGTAAATAATTAAAGAAAATTTCTTTAAAAAGTTGAAGGATAAGCTACTCTATATCATATAACGATACATAAGCAGGTAAATATTTTTTAAAGGCTAAAGCAACATACACCAAAATGTTAAGAAGGCTACCCTCTGAGTGATTTAATGATAATGTTATATTGTCTTTTCTGTTCATTAGAATTTATGTAGCATATTCATATAAATAAGTTTATATACTACATTATATGTAAAGTTTATATGTATATTGTGAAGCGTATATATTAACATATTACTAATTTATATCATTATCTGTAATCAAAATGAGATCATCTAAAGGCCAAGGAGTAGTAAATGATATCAGATAAGTCCTGTTGCCCTAAACAAGCATAAAAATGGGCAAAATATATTAGAAACCATTTTTTAGAGAATAGACCAAAAAACAGGGTAGGACTGCAATGGATGAGAAAAGAGAAACTAATGGAGTGATCTCCATGACAGTCAAGTTCTCTGCCTGAGGAAAATTTCCTGACCTTGCCACAGATCCCAGAAATTCAAGCAGAATGTGAAGATCCCAGTCAGTCAGAAAACAAAGATTAGTGTACTGTACAATTGATGTCATTGGAATCTGTGGGTCAGGGTAACAGAAAGAAAAAAGATATGCAGGGTTGAATCCAAAAGTCTGTATGGGGTTCCCTCATGACTATTTGCTGAAGGCTAGACTGTACATGTAGAAAACTAGAAAAACCAAGACTTATAATACAGCAACCTTTGTGAGATTGACAGCACAACAAAGGTGGGGAGAGCAAGGAGACCTGAGAGGAGAGCAGCATGGAATATTGAAGTCTCAGCCATGAAACTTCATGAGAGTGTAGAGATCTCATAAAACCCCTGGCAGCACAATGAAACCAGAAAGGCTAGAATCATACTTGGGAGAAAGGCCTTCTCTAGACATTCTCCAAAACAGCCTAAACTAAATGCAAGCCCCAGTAAGATTCATAGGTAAGACAGATTTAGAGATTGAGTCCCATAAAGTTAGAGAATTTAGGGCAACAATTTTGGCTTTTCACAGATCTGCATTAGTAGTGGAAAACCAAGCCTATACAAGTTCAGCATGGTCAATTTATAACTGAACATTTTGCTATAACAGGAGCCAATAGCCTTCTGAGAAAGATTACAGCTGAAGAGTCTCTATAATGTTCTATCTACAATGCCCATTACTCACTGAAAGTAACTAGATATCCAAATAAATAGAATATATGATTCATAGCCATAAAAAGTTAACATCAGTTCGTAGAAACCAAACTTAAGAAAGTTAGACTTTGGACTTAGCAGATAGAGGCTTTAAAGAAGGTATTATAGGCCGGGCACGGTGGCTCACGCCTGTAATCCCAGCACTTTGAGAGGCCAAGGCTGGTGGATCACGAGGTCGGGAGATCGAGACCATTCTGGCTAACACGGTGAAACCCCATCTCTACTAAAAATACAAAAAATTAGCCGGGTGTGGTAACAGGCGCCTGTAGTCCCAGCTACTCGGGAGGCTGAGGCAGGAGAATGGCGTGAACCCGGGAGGCGGAGCTTTCAGTGAGCCGAGATCGCGCCACTGCACTTCAGCCTGGGAGACAGAGCGAGACTCCGTCTCAAAAAAAAAAAAAAAAAGAAAAAAAGAAAAAGAAAAAGAAAAGAAAAAAAGTATTATAAATGTGTTCCGTGAAATAACAGAATGTGCTGAAAGAATCAAAGGAAATAAAATGCGTGAATGGATAAAGAAGTTCAGCAGAGAAAGAGAAACTATACTAAAGGGCTAGGACTAAATAAGAATTATACTACAAAGTACAATAAACAAAAAAATTTACTGGGTGGGCTTAACAGAAGACTGGAGATGACAGAAAAAAAAAAGTCAGTGAACTTGAAGACAAAGAAAATTTTCCAATTTGAGAAAATAGGGGAAAATATTGAAGAAAAATAAACAGAGCCATAATGACCTATACAAGAATATCAAGTTACATTATATATAAGTACTTTTATATATATGTACTTTAATATACATATATATTTAAGGATTTATATATAAGTTAATTGTGCAAAAGAGAGGAAAGAGACATGTGGCAGAAAATATTGTTAGAAATAATGGGACCAGGCGTGGTAACTCAAGTCTGTAATCCCAAAAACTTTGGGAAGCCAAGGCAGGAGGATTGCTTGAACTCAGTTGGAGATCTACCTGAGTAAGATGGAGAGACCCCATTCATAAAAAAAGATAAATAAATTAGCTAGGCATGTTGGGGTGCCCCTGTAGTACTAGCTACTTTGGAAGCTGAGGTGGGAAGATCCCTTGAGCCCAGGAGTTTGAGGCTGCTGTGAGGTGCCATGGCACCACTGCACACCAGTCTGGGTGACAGAGCAAGACCCCATCTCTTAAAAAAAGAATAAGATAAAATAAAACAAATTTTAAAAAGAATTAATGGAAAAGACTTAGAAGAAACTCAGCATAACCCTGAGCAAGATGAATCTAAAGAAAACCGTATTTACATTCATCACAATCAACTACTGCAAACCAAAGGGAAATTCTCTAAAGCAGCCTGAAAGAGAAAGAAAAGCATACTATATACAAGACAAACAAAAATAAATGATGGTTTACTTCACATTAGAAATAGCATGCAGAAGATAATGGAACACCTTTAATACGTGGAAAAAAAACCCGCCTGAATTCTAAACCTCACAAGAAATATGAGAGAAATGAGAATATTTTTACTTAAAGGAATCAGAGAAATATTGTCCCTAGAAGCTCACCACTGCAAAAAATGCTAAGGGATGCCCTTTGGGCCATGGGTGCCAGATTGTAACTCATATCTACAGGTAGAAATGTAAACCACCAGAAATGGAAATAAGTGGAAATTGAAACGCCATATTTCCTTTCTTCTTATAATTTATAGAAAATATATTCATATCTGGCTCTTAAAAAATAGTACCGGAAGGTAAGGTTTACAATGTAAACAAAAGTAAAAGATATATTTGAGTAAAGAAATGGGGCAGATAAATGAATTATAATGTTGTGTAAGGTTGTTACATTTGTGGAGTGAGATATAGAAAGTGAAGTGAATAGGATAAGGTAATAGTGGAACATCTGAAGGGAGTTTGAATTATGACTTGTAGATATGAAGAAGTAAAATATTGACTCTAATTAGACTCTGAGAAGTTATATCTTAACTCTAAAATAATCACTAACGCATAGTAAAAGGAGATAAAGTTAAGTCAGTAGAGTAAATAAATTGAAATCTTAAATTTTTATTTTTTTATAAATCCTGAAAAAAATCAGTTCCTGATAAAAAGGAATGGAAGGAGAGAGGGAGAAGGAAAAACAGAAGAAAGAAATGCAAACCAACAGGATGGTATATTTAAGTATAAACACATCAATAGCTACATTAAACATAAGTAAACTAAACATTGAATTTAAAATGACTAAGAAAACAATAACATAAATATCATCAATATTACGCTTAGGGAAACTCACCAAACACACAAAAATTATATAATGCCTAATTCCATTAATATGACACTCTATAAAAGAAATCATTGATTAGTGATAGAAGCCTGATTACTAGTTATCTAGCAAAGGGAGGGTGGCTGGGAAGATAAACTACAGAGGAAAGTGAGAAAATTGTTTGAGGAAATGGAAATGTTCTGTATCTTGAACATTGATACAATCAAGATGCATTGATTTTATCTTGATCAAGTACTAACATTATAGTAGACATTAGTCTAAAACTATTGGCCTGAACACATAGAAATGAATGAATTTTATTGCATGTAAATTTTGCCTCAATACAGTTGATTTTTAAAATTATCTAGTAAAATATTGATTGCCTAGTGATTAAGATGTAAGACTCTGAAACTCCCTGAGTTCAAATCCTGCTTGTGCTATTTTCTTACTGTATGACATAGAGCAAATTGTTTAACCCCTCTAAGTTTTCTCATCTATAATGTGGGGATAATAATAATAAGTACTTCATAGGATTGTTGAGAGGATTAATTCCTCATCTGGAGTAAGTGTTTGATATATATTTATTGTATTAATATCATTATCATCATTAATATCATTACTGTGTACAGCACATTAAACTATTGAAAGAGAGATATCAAATAATGAGATAAAAGCTATCTTCATTTTATTTTCCAATAACTCTTTTAGAAGAAAAATGAGACAGGTAAAAATCAAACTGAAAAAATAAGATGCTAAATGATAATATAAGACGACAGAATTAGAGTCCAACTCTGAGCAAGTTATTCAGTACATGATTACATGCTATGTTAATTTCCTCTTGCTACTGTAACAAATAACAAATGATCACCAACTTCATGATCTAAAACAACACAAATTTATTAGCTTATCATTCTGGAGAACAGAAATTTAAAAAAAGCATTCTGGGCCTAAAATCAAGATGTCAGCAGGGCTGACTTCTTCTGAAGCTCCAGGAAAGAAGCCCTTTCCTTTGCCTTTACTAGCTTCAAGAAGCTGCCAGTAGTCCTTGTAGCCCCTTCCTCCATCTTGGAAACCAGCCATGTAACATCTCTATCTCTCATGGCCTTCTTTCCTGTATCAAATCTCCCTCTGCCTCTGTTTTATAAAGCTATATGTAATTGCATTTAGGACTCACCCTAATAATCTAGAATAATCTCCCCATTGCAAAATCCTTAAATCCCTTTTGCAATATCAGGCAACATGCACATGTTCTAGGGAATTAGGAGATGGTTACTTTTGGATCAAATGTCAAATGTCATAAGAGCAAGATAGGAAATGAGAGGAGAAGAGAGGACAAGACACTAGAGTGTTCTGTAAAATTTCAGTTTAAAAAGTTTACAAGTGTTTGGTCAAGGAAAAACAAATTTGAGGTGAAAATGAATATGCAAAATAAAATTTTATTGTCATTTTTAGGTGTCTTAAATGTTTATCTACGTTTGAAAGGGCAAACAACAATAGAGAATCCACTGTGGTCTTCAAGTGGGAATAAAGGACAAAGATGGAATGAGGCTCATGTTAATATATACCCAATTACTTCATTTCAGGTAAGAAAAGTAGTTTTGGCTAATTAATTGCTGTAAATGAGCATAATATTAAAGGTGGATCTTGAGCAAATATTAAAATATGAATATTCAGAAATTCCACGATATAAGCATCACAAAAATTATATGATTAGGTTTTGCTTTAGTTCTAAAAGCTGTTTTATAAAGATAAATGCGCTTTTCCTTTATTCATTAATACTCATCAAGTAATTGGTTTGAATAATACTTTATCAAAATTTAAATGATTTTCCTGGAAAAAATGTAATCCATTTCTATAAAATCACATGCTTATATTTTACTCCCTGAAAAAAAAATTATTATAAGTTTCTATAATAATGGAACTTGGTAATCAATTCTCAATCTGTTTGAATTTTTCTTGATTAAATTTTATATACTTACAACAAAAAGTTCCTTCTGATTTAATGCCATATCAGTAATTGATCAGTGATTATTAAAATTAAGATGACTTTAAATAAGTTATTTTTCTTTGTTTCTATATAGAAAAGAAGTAAAGCTTAGAGAGTTAGCTAAGAGAGTTACCAGTAAAGATATAGAAATTGTAAAGACTGCCACACTGGCCATGATAGCTAGAGACAACAGATCATTAAGCTATTTCAGTGGAGTTAATATACTGTTTAATGATTTTAATGTGTATAAACATATATACATATATAAATATATACATATCCAAATATTTTTATATTTTAAAAATATGGTAAAATATCTTCAAAGTCTATGACATATATCTTATACAGCTCTATGCTTTATTTCAAAAGAATTCAAATCTATTTCATGACATTATATTTATAGCATTGAATCTACTAGTGATTTTTTTTATGCATTTCATGGCATATGTTGTAAGGGTATAGAAAATCGTGCCAGTTTTTAATTGGTGGAATGACCTTTTCTTGTAATCTAATCTATAAATTCTAATTGCTTTGGAGATTGCACTTCTAAATCAAACCAGGATGATAAAAATACATAGTCATTCACAATGATAAACAATCAGAGAGTAAGACTGGCTAATTATCTACAGATATATAAAAGATTTATTCCCATATGATTCTGAAAAATAATCATTTTGTTTCTATGAAGATCAATACAATTGTGAAAATGAATGACAACATATCATCAAACTAAATTAAACTGGGAAGACAGGATTCCAAAGTATTACTGATAGAAGTAACCTTAATATTAAGATGTATATACTGATATTGTCATTAAAAAGCAATTTTTTTCTAAAAAGTTGATATTATTATAGATATACTTTCACTTTCCACATGACTGCCTCTCCAACACAAAATTCCAGCAAAGTTCACAATAAACAAAAATACCAAGGTCATAATATACCACACATTTTTTGAAAGATTTCCACTGATTATAGCATCCTTGTTGTTTTTTTTTTAGAACTTTTCAGATATTGTACCATACTCTTCTTGTTTGCATTGTTTCCAGGAATAAATCTGTGGATAGCCTTAAATTTATTCTTCTGTATGTAATGTGACTTTTTCTCTGTTTGCTTTTAAGATTTTCCTTATCATTCGTATTTATAAACTGTATTGTGATGTGCTTTGATATATTTTTCTTCCTTCTATATGTGCTTTGTGTTCACTGAATTTCTTGGATCTGTGGATTTATAGTTTTCATAAAATTTGAGGTTTTTCTCCTCTTCTCCTTCGAAGATTTCAATCACACATACATAAAATTGCTTGAAAGTGTCACACAACTCATTAAGGCATTTTCATTTTTTTCTATTTATGTTTAATTTGTGATAGTTTTTATTATGTCTTCACATTCAACAATAGTTTCTTCTGCAATGTCTAATTTACTTTTAATTTTATTCAGTGTATTTTTCATCTAAGTCATTGGATTTTTCATCTCTGTAAGTTCAATTTGAATCTTTTAAAAAATATTTGTATGTCTTTAGTTAATATTTTGAATATATGAAATCCAGTTATAATAACCATTTTAAATCATTATTTGCTATTGCTAATATCTGTATAAGTTCTTGGTTGGCTTCAGTTGATTGATTTTTCTTCTCATAATGGATCACTGTTTTCGTTATTTTTTTTACAAGTCTGGTAATTTGATTGGGTACCAGATATTGTGACTGTTACCTTGATAGGTGCTGCATATTTTTGTATTCTTATAAGTATTCTTGAGCTTTTTCAGGGAAGATAGTTGAGTTACTTCAGAAGAGTTTGATTATTTTAGGTGTTGCTTTTAAGATTTCTTAGGCGAGACTAGAGTAATGTTTGGTATAGGGCTAATTATTTTTCATGATGGAGGCAAGACTACTCTGAGTCGTCTACCAAATGTCCCATGTATTATGAGGTTTTTCCATGTGGTGGATGGGAACAGTCACCATTCCCAGTCCTGTGAATGCTGGGCACTATTAACTCAAATTCACCCCTCTGTTTCTTTCCCAAGTATTGGGTAGATTGCTCATTTCATGTCCTGATCAGTACTCTGCTGAATACTCAAGGAGGACTCTCTGCAGTGCTCTATTTCTCTCTCTCTTTCTTTTTCTCTGCCACTGTTTTTCTCTGGTATTCTGCCCTGAACATTCCAGCTTCCCTTGTTTTTTTGAACTCTCATCTCCTCAACTCAGATTTTCTACCAGGTTTCACCTTCTTTTCCTCTACTTGCACCATGGCCTAAAACTTTGTATTGGTCAAGAGAATTCACCTTATTTGACTCCCATTTCCCAGGGATCACACTTCTTCATTATCTGATATCTAGTATCCTGAACACTGTGGTTGGCCCAGTTATTTGGTAATTTAAAGTAGAAATATAGCCTTGTTCCTGTTACTCTATTTTTCATGGAAACAAATGGAACAATCTGTATTTGTAAATAGTTTGAATTGATGCATTTTTAAGCTATTTAAATTACCAGTGGAAAATAAAGATAGATAAAATCATCTTTTCATTTTGATCGACGCTCTTTCATTTCCCAACATATTTCTAGGTCTATTGGCTAAGGACTTTATTTCATTAATCTTGATTGTTCAAGGAAACGTGAAACACAACTAAACAATCCCATGCCACTTTTGTTGTTTTTGTCTCGTTTCATTTTAGAGAAATTTGTTTTGAATTGTTTTATAAAAAGTTTTTTTTTTTACCCAAAAATCTTTTATAACTTGTCAAACTTCTCAAAAATACTTTATTTGGTATGTAACGTCTTCTAGGAACTCCTGATAACAACAATGATACCAATATATTACTATATAAATTAAGGTTTGAGAGGTTTTAATATTACTCAAATGTAACTTTCTGGTATTTGAGGATGTATTTACTTCAAGTGGACGGCACAACTTTTACCTCTTGAAATTTTACACAGAATATAAGTGACTTTGAGTCTCTTTCACTAGCATTTACACTGTTTTATTTGTTTTGAGTTGCATGACTTTAAATTAATTTGATCCATAAATCCTTTATAAAATTACTTGGACAGTCCTTTGTTTGAGTGTGTCCAATTAGTTTGCTTAGCTGAAAATACAATTATTGCTTAGTACTTTTCAAGACAAGTAGAAGTTTTATTCTATTGAAATTTATGTTGGGTTCATTTACTAGAATTAACTTAGCATGATCAGTGCTTGGGATGAAAACAGATTTTGCTACATTGGGAAAAATTAGGGCAACAATTCCAAAGAAGCAAAATGGATATATTCTTATAATGTCAATGAATTTTACATCATATACCAGGGAAAATATTTAACCATCCCCTTTTAATGCTTTACTTCTTTCATAGTATATTTCAAATGTTTTCCAGGGGTAAAGTGTACAACTAGATTGTGAGACACAAGATGCTCTTTACGTTTTCTTAGTTTAAGAGAAAGGGATTCTGGAAACCTCCTGCTCTTACATATTCATTTAAAGACTTAGAAACAGGTTTTGAGAAATTTTTGAGAAAATTAAGATACAAATGCTTAACACTGTAACAGGGACTGGAAAAGAGACTATACTGCTCTCCTTACATCATGCTGCCTTATGTTCCAACTAAGAATAATAATAAGCTAGAAAATATTGTCCTCATTAGTAGACATTACATGCTCATGTAGCATATCTGGCATTCTAAGCCACATTCCAGGGCAATTATATGGACACAATGGTGGCTCCTGACTTAACCATTGAAAACATTTACCAATTGCAGCTCACAATTTGATGCATTTCTTTGTCTTTCCCAACAGTCGACTCTCATGTTATTATTTAATATTAGAAATGTTGACAACTAATTGACATTTGTCCCACAAGATGAACTGGCAGAGTATTGTTAAGTTAAACTCACTGTTCATATTTGGGTAGTTTCCCCAGGGAAAAAGCCAAGGCTACCCACTATGTCTATTATGCTGTCTCTCTTCAAATTTGTTTTGTAATGGTTGAGGATAGTTCAATTATTTGCTAAACCAGTGATAAAATAAAGATAACATTATTAATGCTAATGGTTATTTTTAAATATATTTATATCCTGAAGTTTTTCAAAGTGACATATACTGTCAATTTTCAAACTGCAGTCTTAGGGTTTTGCATTTGCCTTAGCAGTAATGATTAGAAGTGATTTGCCTTTTGTCAGGAAGAAACTATGTTGTAAATATTTGCAGAAGTCACCATTAACAATGAAGGCAAATCATCAGAAGTGCATTGTATTATTTAATTCCCCCATCTACTTTTACACATTCGTGATTCATGTAGCTCTTCTTTTCTTGCTGAGAAATTACATTTGACACATACTTTTATAGCATCATCTATATCTTTATTTTGACATCTATATTTATATGTTTTAAAGCATTATAATGTATGTAAGAAACTGTCAATTAATGAAACAATTTTGTGAGGTACAATTCTAATACAGAAATCCACATTAATTTTTTAGAATTCCCGTTTGAATTTACTTACCAAAAGTTAATTTTCTGATTAGGCAATATTTTTTGTATGTTAAGGTTGCGAAGTTGCATGAACACACTGTGAAAACATTTCAGTTTTAAACTTGTCATTTCAATTAAGGGAAATAATTTTAAATAATAGTGCTATTGTGCGGGAGGAACAGGTTTTGCATAATTTTATCCCTCTTTTAGGAGACCTAAACTTTCACATTTTCTCCATGGGTACCTAGTTGCTGTTAGTTCCTTCTTCAAGTTAGTTAAACCAAATGCATTTCAGAAGTACTGAAGAGGAAACGAAAATGGTTTTATCTCTGTAATGTAATAGTAGTCAAAATAATGATGGAAATAAATGATGGAAATGATGGAAATAAAAATATGACAATTTAACTCTTTAAACTAGAGAGTCTTAATTCTCGAGATAAATATAATTAAGATTTTTTGTTGTGTAAAGATCACATCTTCTATGGCTAAATACATCATATTTTAATGCACTTATAATTTCTCATCTGTATATTCTAGAAAACGTCAGCAAAGATTTATTTTTACAAATGCTTAAAAGTTTGGCTAAGGCACATTACTTAAATTTAATATCTACACTTTATATTTGTCTAATCTAACTCACACAGAAACCATGTCAAGTAAAACATGCTCTCTCTAGATCTTAGTCTAGGAGTCATTTATGAATCTGTTTGAATCTATAAAATTTAATTAAAGTAATTCAGAAATATAATTGTAGTCAAGAGCTCAGAGCATAAATAAAACAATGCAATAAATATTTATTGGTGAAATTCAACCTGTTAAAAAATAATCTACATCTTTGTAATAGCAAAACTGTGGAAATTAAAAGGAAACAAATAAACATGCTACACAGGACCTTTCTTTTCCTTTCTGTTCAAAAAGGTCCTTGTGGAAGACTGCAGATTTCTCTGGCCTATTAAAATAGATTCTTTATCATCACAAGATTACAAATAAATATTAAAAATACAAATTATGACTGTACTAAGAGTTTTATTGCTAGAAATTATCTTTATCATACCAATAAATAACTAGATTTATTTAAACAAAATGTCTAAAATTCCTGCTATGCTTAAAGAAATTACCTTGCTTTATCAATGACAAAATGTAGTATCAATAATTGTAAGTGTAAATGTAAATAATATATTTGCAAATCAGCCTACTTTTTTTACTGTACCACTTCATTCATTCGGTATCACCAAGGGGTGAAATATTCATATAAGGTAATGTTCTAAGTATAGGAAGCCCTCTGGACACGTGACGCTTTGATTTTTGTTGATTGCTAGTTTTGTTGTTCAGCAAACCACAGACTTACAGTCAACATATTGCCAGTAGGTAGGTAGCACACATATTAAATTACATTAGTCAATCCGCTTCCTGATGTTTACTACAGATGGTTTCCCGACACAGTCTCTCAATCTGACTACAAAAGGGTCTGTCTTTCACAATTTCACTGCTCTGGGACTTTTTTTTTTTTTTTTAGCACAAGCCTAGGTCCAATCTTTTGATTTTGATCAAGCTGCACAGGGAGGCAGGAGGACAGGATGAAAAAGAAAATTAATATAAAAAGGAGGATTGTTTAATCCTTTAAAGGCAGTAGTAGGAGAAGTTTTGAAATGCTTTGAAGTAATGGCAGGATCATTGTAATTAAACTATGGCTTTCCCAGGACAGCAGCTTTGAAAAGTTCAGAAATGACTTTGACGACATGTATGTTTTAGTTTTGATTTTTAAAGAAATCTCACCATTTTATATGACTCCCATCTGGAAGTAACAAGAACTTACTAAGTGAAAGCAATTGTGTACTTTGAATAAGAAAAAGTGTATTTTCTTCAAACTTTTTACCTTTACATAGCTAAGATAGGAAATCCATGTACTGCAATTTTGTTTTGGCTTCAGTGATACAGAACACTGTGGATGTTTTTCAAACATCCTTCCTAATAAAAGGATTTTGACTTCAGCTTTATCTGTGTAAATTTCAAGTGCGAGCAGGTGCAGAGCATTTTAACCCACCTTTATTAGACTCTTCACCACATCTCACTTCCCCACATAAAGCCCATGGGAATGCAAACCCCTTATCTTTGCTATGGCTACATTGTAAACCCTGTATTGCACTCTACAAGCAGTATTTAATATTAACTATTGATTTACTCTAACATTGACTCTCTATCAGGTAAGGGACACATATCAAAGAGGGAAAATATACCCCAAGACTTAAAAACCTACTTTTTGGAAAAAGGAAAATATTTTCTCACAGGTAGTTTGCTCATACGGGCAATTTGTAAAGGCTTTAAAGAACAATGTGCTTTAAATAAGTATGAATAATAATTATTTGAAACGTAGTCACCTCAGCCTTGTTCATAATAGGAGACAATAGTTTTAATGTCTAACGATGACTATAGGGTACTGGTTAAATAAATTACATCCATAATGTGGAATATTCTGCACCTTAAAATGACTTCCCTTTCTTCATATTCAATTCTCTCAAATGTTCATACCGTTCATTTTTTTCTAAATCCTTTCTCATAGACCTTTTAAATAAAGGACTGTTAAAAAGTCTTCTGAGACTTTTTAAAGCCACTTCCCAGTTACCTTTCCAGACACCATCCTATCTCAAATGGAAGTCATCATTTCCAAGCAGCCAAAATAATACTTCATTGTAAATTCTATCTGAGGACTGAGAATTTGCTAAACTGCTAACTTGGTTCTAAATATTTGAACTACAGCTGCCATTTTGTTTTGGCTTCAGTGAAACAGACCATTTTAAATGTCTTTCAAAGAGATGGCTTTGGAGAATCTTTAAGAACATGCTTATCTTAACATAGATAAGCAGGAAACTCCATATTTATCATATCTGTATATCAGTAAGAACTCAAATTTTTCTCTGCTATCAAATCATGAAAATTATTATTTGTTTGATGAACTACATTTAAGTGAAGGACAGGGTCTCAATACAAAAGTTGACAACTGATGCCTCTGGTTACTACCTGGAGATTCCCACTGATAATATTATGAGAGCATATCAAAGAACATTGGATAAATTTCTCAAAAGTAGCCTAAGTTCTCTCAAAATCATCATAATTAAGCTATGGCTTTCCCAGGACAGCAGCTTTGAAAAGTTCAGAGATGACTCTGATTTGCCTTTGAGGAGATGTTTTCAAATAAAAACAAAAACAAAAACTTTGGCATTGATAAAAATAAACATTGTCAGATTTGTTGTGATGACATAAGTCTAGAAATGTTATTAATAAAGCACATTACCAGATTGATGTTAGAAACAGCTCTTTATTAAACTATTCTTTGGAATGAC
The DNA here is from genome assembly GCF_000001405.40 of Homo sapiens. NCBI lineage: Eukaryota > Metazoa > Chordata > Mammalia > Primates > Hominidae > Homo > Homo sapiens. Next base: position 46,846,820 of record NC_000014.9, on the reverse strand, counting down.
CAAAGCAGATATTTCCTTTTAACATGTAAATATTTTTCTAGAACTGTATACCCACCACTAAATGCATGAATTGCCTTACAGTATCAAAAAGATTAAAGTTTTGCTGAAAGCAAGGAATAATTTGGGAGCCATAAAGAAAATTCTAAAAGAGTCCTGTTTCTGTAAAAATAAAAAATATATAAATTTGCTAATTGTGCTTCTATTGTCATTGTTTTAAGTATTTAATAATAAAGGATTCTGATTGTACTCATTTATTCTTTCAATATTCATGCACTGAGCCTCAGTGACCACCATTGTTATAGACACCATAAATTCAAAGGTATACCGTGAGATATTCAACATAAATAGACTGATACATATCTTCAAGTTTAAAAAAATGGAATATCAGCAGTGAAATCATGGAGGTAAATTATAAAGTCAACATGGGAATATGACGAACCTATTCAATCTATTTGTGAGAAATCAATGTCAGAGATAGAAACACTTTGTTCCGGGCTTCAATATACATATTACTGTTGTAAAGAATTCAGAATTGATTCATTCTTTAAAATATTTCTAGAAAACTAATGTTATGAGTTATGTTCAGATAAAACCAGAAAGAATCTATCTCAGAGAAAGACTTTTCAAATAAAACATTTTTTCTTATCCTTAAAAATTAAAAGAGGATGTGTAGTCATTTTTTTTAATTGTATTATTTAATTAAGTTTAGTTTTGCTTTAAAATCGACACAGAGCTTTTGATGTGAAAAACTAATACAATGCAAGGAAGATTCAATTACTGGTTTTGGGATGAAAGTTTATGTTTTCTGCAAGTTTTAATTTTGAAAGCCATCAAATATAAAAGATGCCAGGATTACTGACAAGTTTATTTTTGTCACCTTGATTTCTCAAGAGAAACTGATCTGCAAATCAAAGCTCCACATTTAGGTTTGTTTCATTCATATTTGTAGCTCATTTTTGAAGGTATCCGAGGTCCTGGAATAGAAGGTGACATTGCTATTGATGATGTATCAATTGCAGAAGGAGAATGTGCAAAACAAGACCTAGCAACTAAGAGTAAGTATCTTTGCTTGAGATTGGTTTGTTGTAACGTTAAAGTAACATTACTATTAAATTAACATTTAATTTAATTAATTTTAAAAACGGAGTTATTTTTAGTTGGTTTATTTAGAAATTTCTTATATGTAATACCCTAAAGTTTGTTCAGTTATTTTTAAAGTATTAAATTCAATTGTAGACATATTTGGCCTAAGATAAAATAGAAGTGAGATTTTGATTTAGATCTACGTAAGGCAAGTACACTTTGATTTTTAATTAAGATTTTAAAACACTTTGATATTATTTGTTTTAGAAGATTTAAAAACTTGTATTAAAATATTTGATGAACCTATATACATAGCACATATTTACAATGTAAATTGTATTAGTCAATCTTCATACTGCTATAAAGAACTGCCCAACACTGGGTAATTTATAAAAGAAAGAGATTTAATTGACTCACAGTTCAGCAAGGCTGGGAGGCCTAAGGAAACTCACAATCATGGCGGAAGGTGAAGGGGAAGCAGAGTACCTTCTTCACAAGGCAGCAAGGAGAATTGCTGAGAGAAGGGGGAAGTGCCCCTTATAAAATCATCAGATCGGCCGGGCGCGGTGGCTCACGCCTGTAATCCCAGCACTTTGGGAGGCCGAGGCGGGTGGATCACAAGGTCAGGAGATCAAGACCATCCTGGCTAAGACGGTGAAACCCCGTCTCTATTTAAAAATACAAAGAAAAAATATTAGCCGGGCGTGTAGTCCCTGTAGTCCCAGCTACTCGGGAGGCCGAGGCAGGAGATTGGCGTGAACGCGGGAGGCGGAGCTTGCAGTGAGCCAAGATCACGCCACTGCACTCCAGCCTGGGCGACAGAGCAAGAGTCTGTCTCAAAAACATAATAATAATAATAATAATAAAAATCATCAGATCTAGTGAAAACTCACTTTCATGAGAAGAGCATAGGGGAAGAGCCCCCATGATTCAGTTACCTCCACCTGGTCTCTCACTTGAAACATGGGGATTATGCGGATTATATTTCAAGATGAGATTTGGTCTCTCCCTTGAAACATGGGGATTATGCAGATTATATTTCAAGATGAGACTTGTGTGAGGACACAAAGCCTTACCATGTCAGCATAGATGCTTTCATTCGTCCAGTTTGTGAATATAGTGAATATATTTCCTGATTTAGCCAATTTTTTTTTTTGAGACGGAGTTTTGCTCTTGTTGCCCAGGCTGGAGTGCAACAGTGCAATCTCTGCTCACTGCAATCTCCGCCTCCCGGGTTCAAGTGATTCTCTTGCCTCAGCCTCCTGAGTAGCTGGGATTACAGACTCGCGGCACCACACCCCGCTAATTTTTTGTATTTTTAGTAGAGACGCGGTTTCACCATGTTGGCCAGGCTGGTCTCGAACTCCCGACCTCAGGTGGTCCACCTGCCTCGGCCTCCCAAACTGCTGGGATTACAGGCGTGAGCCACTGTGCCTGGCCTTTTGCCAGCCATTTTAACAGATTCAGCATTGTAAAGAGCCTAAATACATATATTAAGTAATGAAGTAGACCTCATATTTATGGTCTAATCTCCTATCTGCACCACAAGCTTGTTTAATAATTTGATTTTCACTTTATACCCTTTTTTGAGTATTATGGTTTAATGATATATTTAATTTTATTTTTTTGTCACAGGTCCATTTTATAATAGAAGAGATATAAATAAAACATGATGAATAATGCACAAAGATTTAGAATTATGTATTTAGCTGCTTCTTAAAGTCCTCATCTCCATATTTCACATTCGAAGCTATGAAATCTAAAATCATTCCTGTTAAAAATGACTGCAATTGAAGGATTATCTTAGACTCATCTGGAATCTTTTATTTTGTGGTCATATATAGAGAAAGTAATCAAACTAAATTTACACAAATTACTCATCAATTATTTAGCACATACAAAAGCATGAAAATCTATGTTGTATAAATCTAGAGCAAATCAGAGTCTTTGGTAATTTTCTATATTTAGTGAGAAACTGTACCAGTCTAGATGTTGAAAGTTGAATGTGTACAATTGTCCACTGATTACTCATATGAACTGAATTGACTCAATTCTTAAGTATTGTCAAAAGACAAAAACTAAGATTTTTATATAACAATGAGCCATTTTGCTCATTGTTATATAAAATGAAAATATATTAAAAAGTCATAAACTTAGTATTTCAAGTAACATATTTAGTAAAAATGTATCCTTGTGTCTGTCTAGTTCTGCTTTAGAAAACCAGTAGCTATACTCAAAAGAACAGTTTTTCTAATGCACAGGAAAACATGTATTCTCCTCAAAGGAGAATAGGATTTCTTTTGAATTTCATAGTATGACTGAGTGGCAGTAACATTTTATTAATTGAAGGCAGTTACAACTATATACAGAAATTTTACATTTTCATAATGTAAGCACAAATATTATAAATAAATTCAATAAATTGAATTAAACTTTTCAAAGGAAGAAAGCAAAGGAAATTATTTACTCCCTAGTGCAGAAAGAAAGCATAACTGATAAAACTAGCCACAGTAAATGCCTGTGAAAGCCCATAGGGACTTCATTACTGTACAAGTTCTATTACAATAGAACATTTTTATAATTAGTTTTTTTTTTCTCTTAAACTAGCAAATCCAAGAAATGTGTGGCAGTTTTAAATATGAAAACACCCCCTGTATGTATTGGGTGTATTTATATTTAAACTCTATAAATTAGGGGAAATAAATAATCTTAATTGAACACAAATAATCTATTTGGCATCAGAAAGTTTTCTGTTACATTTGTGTCATTTAATTACCATTTATTAAGTTCATTTTATGACTAGCATTTGATTGATTGATGATTATTAAATGAATATTATATTCTAAGTACAGACCAGCCTGAAGGCTGAAAGCCTCTTCCTGATTCCTCAGGCTGCCAGTTCTTTCCAGGCAATAAATGGAACTATGGTCCACACCATGCAGATATAAGATTGTATGTCTCAATTTTCAAACTCAATTCTCCCCTAGATACAAGCCACTTTGCAACTTTAGCTAGTTTAATGAATTATATCTGTGTTATCCCTCCACAGTAAGGCATGCATTCTAAGAGGCATCAACTGGACACCAGGTTTTAACAGAAATCCCAATTACAGTAGGACTTTCCAGGCCGATTGGTGGAAGGGATTTTTTAGTTTGAATGGACTTCATCATGCCTCTAAAAGTTAAAATAAAGAGAAAATTATTTGTATAATTTATAGATAATGGACCGATCTAAACATGGATCATCTACTAGTTGCAATAGTTAATTTCTGTACACATAACCATCCCTTTCTAGTTTTCATTAAGATAGATTTTCTTTCAGTCTTCAAGCTTATCCACTTCGGGAAGCTTGAAAAAAAATCTACTTTTTGAAGTATTCTGATAATTTTCTCCATGTTCCTGCTTTCCTGTGGCTAGCAGAACTCTTAAGATTGAGCTCAACCACAAACCTATGTGAATATGTTATGAACAAGTTTTCATAGCATATTATATCAATTCAAAATCTGTAAATCTTTTTATCAAGTGCCTTAACCATATATTCATTTTCCTTTTCACTTCCCTTAGCAATGAAGCTGATAAATAAAACAAAATAAAAATAAATATTTTCCAGAAATATTTTCCATATACTTGTTTTATTATTCACCAAGGTTGTGTTAGTAGCTACGTGGAATGCTTATTATTCTTCTTTTTTTGTTTGCATTTATTTTCCTTATCTTTAGATTCCGTTGATGGTGCTGTTGGGATTTTGGTTCATATATGGCTTTTTCCCATTATCGTCCTCATCTCTATCTTAAGTCCTCGAAGGTGACCTTATCCTGGCAGAGGCTATAAAAGATTCACCAGGCACTGGCATGAAGAAAGAGTCTTTGTAAATGGACATTGAACAAACAAACTACCAAAGATTCCTCCACTGACTACTGACTCAAAAATAAAATAATAAAAACAAATTTTTTTAAGCACTGGGGATAAAAAGACATCATGGAAGTATAACTTATTCCAGACTAAACATAAAAGATAATCTTGACCTGAGTAGAGAAGAGACCTTCAGGTGCTTTTGTGGCTAAAAAGATTACAGCGTCATCTGGTTGAACTCTGGAAAAAAAAAAAAAAATGAAAAAAAGAAAAAAAAAAGAGCTATAGAAATCCTTGTCAAAGCACAAAGTCATGGCTGGTTTTGTTTCAAATGAATAGTTTGCTTGTTACCATGGAAACCTAATGGCCTGCCAACAAAAACCTCACTGTAAACAGGGTACGTGAAGAGCTGGCATTTATTTTCCTTACGAGAAGGTTTTCGTAGAGAATTAAATAAATGTAGGCCCTTTTACCTTTGGCTGTTACCCTTCCTTGAAAATAACCCGAACTCAGAATTATTTAAAGCATTCATGTTTCTCCCCACCTTATCCCCATCCCACCTTTATTATTATTATTTTTCTCCCATGGCTAAGCTAGATAACTGTATGCTGTCTCTTTTTGCATGCACTACTATCCAGGATGGTAAACCTGGGCTTACATGTTACACAGGCTTATCGGAGTTTGCTTGCGGCCACTTGAACACCCAAACTACGTCATCTGTTCCAATGAAGAAACCAAACCACCATCTTTTATAAATTGCCATGGAAACCAAGTGCCTTCAATGAAACAAGCCTGAATAATTTTCAACTCAGAAGCTTGCACTGCTAAGAGTGGTTTGTGTAAAACTATTTTATAAACAAACTACAGAGCCTAAATGTGCAAATTACAGGCAAGACAACAAAGCCGCTTCTGAAGAAGAAAGGACCGAAGCTGCTGCGTAAGCCCATGCAGACAAGATATTTGTTGTTTAACCTCCTAGACAGCCATGGCCTTTCGGCTTATTGTCCATTAGAAAATCACTTCCATTGAGACCAGACATGGAGCAACACTTTTTTTCTTCCAGGTTATTAAATGGGTCAACCAGAGCAAAAGGTTATTAAGAATACTTAGTGCAGAAGGTGGTAAAACACAAAAGTGATTTTTTTACTCTAACCTCCATTTGAAATGAAATTGGCCCTAGCTTTAGAGGGAACAAGAAAATGTTTGGGATTGCAGTGCATACTAACTCTACAGTGGAACTGGGCCTGAAAAATCTGGCTTTATTCTAAACTCTGAGGGTAATATGCCTCTGCCCTTTAGTCAGACTCTGTGCAAATTGTGAAATATTATTTTATTATTTTACCAAGATTATAAAAACACTTTTACAAAAAAACAAAAACCTGTAAAAATAATTTTGAGCTACCTGACGACAAATCATATCTTTAACCAGCCAGTTTTCCAATGCATTGTAAATTTCACTTAAACCTGTTGGTTATGAAAATTTGAAGATCATTTTCCTTAAATTATCTCAGCTTTTAACTTCATTTAAAAAGACTTTTGTCTAAGAAGAATATTATTATTATATGTTCTTTCAACACCCCAGGATTAAAAAAACTGATTATGCAAGCAATTGGAATATAAGTATTAAATTATAGCATTTGCAAATATTAATATAAAAGCACAACAAAATGTAGTGGAAAATGACAAAGCTTGTTTTTTAAAACAATTCTGTAGAAATGTTTGTGCAAATTCAGTAATTCAACTTAAAATATAATTTTACAGCTATGTTCAATAAAGCCTCTTTCCAGGTAAGGTATGACAAGCAGTATGTGTGTTTGTTGAGCAATGTTCACTTATCACTAAAATGAAATTAGTTATACAATTTATTGGTTACCATGGGATAAATCTTCAGTGCTCCACATACCTTAATGTCTGCAGAAAGAAATTTTAATAGGAACTCCCTGATGCACTCCCCTATATTGTAATACATGCAGAAAGCAGTTAAACCTTTGAAGGTAAAATATGAAACATATATGAACCTGGAATTTAATGTCTATTTTCAGTCAGTTCAAAAGGGGACCAGTTTGAATATTTAGGTAGTGATGGAATTGATCTGAACCAAGTCCTTTAAATTAAACATAATAAACAAATGAGTTTCATAACTTATTTGAATGAATTAGACATCTTAAAATTTTTTCAGAGTTTCACAGTAACCCATATACTTTATCAGACCAAAGAGATTCAAGTACACAATATCTGGGGCATTTCTTTTACGTTTTACAAAATTTCTCTTCACCTTGACTTCCATTTTGTGGCAACTAGCCCCTTTTCTCCACTATCTCTTATCAGTAGATCACCCTTTTTAATTGATTTTCAGCACTCTCATTCCTGATAATAGCAATGAAAATGTTTTAGATCTAAAAGGAGACTCTTAACTCATTGCCTCTCCCTCCCTTGATCTTTAAGTTGATTTCAGTGAGGCTTTTGCAAAAAAATAAAAAATAAAAAAGACTGTATTCAGAATATTTAAATATACATGTGTCCTTTTCAGGTAAACAATCAAATGTCCTGTTATTCTAAGTAATCCTGCACAAAGAAGTAACTGTAAGAAAAAGTTTCAATCCTACTACTAAGCATTTATAAAATACTAAAATCTTTCCTACCCTCTCAAACAGTAAGAATACACAATGCTTCAGAAGTTGATGAGAACTGGCTGGTACCACAAATTAATTTTGATTAAATTTTTTAAAAGTTGCAGATGAATGTGAAGAACAAAGGGGCAATCAGAAGAAGTGCAAAGCAATCAAACTTATTGAGATGGTAATAAAACGTATATCTCAAGTGGGTTCTGGATCATTCACGTAAACCAACAAACAATTTGAATCAACGTTTTTCACTACAGATCATATGTTCAGTTGCTTTAATTGAAAGTAAATGGATAAAATGCAGAAATTTTAAAAGATTGGGATAAGTGAAATGTAAATTTTGTTAAGTAACCTCTTCTTTAATATTAGTAAAAATAATGAAACTTTTAAAACACTCATTTAGCAACTGCCTTCCTTTTCCTAATATTTTTTGTATTTATTATGAACTGGACTCACCAACATATTTTTCCTTTTCCATTTTGATAACATATTTAAAGTGTAATTGATGCCAATATTTTTTGTTCTTTTATAGAGAGGCACCAGGCAATGGAGTTTTTAATGTTGTGGAAGAAAGAATATACCATGTAATCTCTTATTGCCAGTAATTGATCCCAATTAATTTGGAGTATTATTCTATTTCATGAGTTCAAGAATGCTTGTCTCTCTACATGTTAACATCTCTGCAATTGGGCCTATTTTAATTGCAATTGGCAGCATTTCTTTGTAGTGATATATAAAATGCATCATAGATATAATGAAATTCACTAAAGTCACTAACATTGCCAGAAGTGCCAAACTATGCCTAATAGTACTACTTTTCAACAAGCCCTAAACTGAGAAGAAAACACCCAACCATATTTGTAAGATTTACATCAAATGCTCATTGACTATGCAGTATTTAAAAATAATGCAATTTTTATTTTGTCCATTTTAAAAATCTGAGTCCTCTCTTAAGTACATTATATACATACCTAGGTACACTCTTTTTTTTTCTTTTTCCTGCTACGTGTTTTTTAATTCCACCACAAATCACAATATGCTATATATCCCCGTTTAAAATGTTTCCTCCTTCCGTGTTATTCACAGTACTTTGTCACAAGTTTGGCCTGCCATTAACTTTTCTTTAAGAGATTTGAAAGATGCATGGTACACCACAATGTCATGCAATAGGCTAAACTAAAGGTATTTTATTTCACACATATCACAGAATTGACTTCGGCATGGCAATGAATTATGATAATTATAATATTGAGAATTACAACCCAGCTAGTCAGTTACATCATGTAATAGAGTAAAAGCAATTCAATTCTTTTGTATTTTAAAATATGATGAAATACAAATTACAATTGTATTAACTTCACCAAACATGCATTTTTATTTTAAAAACTTTATAATAAACATATATGTCAATAAAATGTGTAACTTGAAGAACAATTAATTCATTTAGTTATGTAATTAAGACTGTATGAACCTGGCTGTGGTGTTTTACATGATCGATTTTTCTTTGCTCTGATTAGTGATTTGAAAGATGGTGATGGAATAATCTGATTTTTATAGACTGATTTCCAAGTATTCTTGTGAATGCGTATTATTTACCACAAAACTTTTTTTTTAATGTGCCTTTCAAAGATGAGGGCCAATCAACAGACATTTAAACTGGAAAATCTTTACCCCAAATTAATTTGCTTCTTGGTTGATGACTACTGTTTACTAATTGTGTCATCTGTGTCTCACCAAAGCAGAAGGTACACTCTTCTTGCAACTGGGTAGTTGATGTCAATGAGGAGTTATTGCATTTTCTGTGAAAACAATAAAATCATAGGGTTCAATCCCAAGCTATTTCCTTTCCTACAATGTTCCCTTTGTGGCTAATCAGTTTATTAGTTTTCTTAGCGCTTATTTTTAAAAAGCAATGTCTGGCATTTTCTACTTCTGTGTAGGAGAAAAGCTACCACAGAATGATCGGAACTTTTTTCAAATCTAATATAAAATGTTCTTTGCCGAATATCCACAATATTTATCAGTAAACATGTATGTTGTTATTACACAGAAAAAGAAAGACTAAAGACTTGAAATCTGTATGTGAACTATGTCAGTTCTGAATCAATCCATATGTTCATGTCTGCTTAGAAAAAGAAGCGAGGCTTAGAAAGGGAGAAATATTCCATATATTTGTATATGGATGACTTTATTAATATATTAATTTAAAGCTTAATAAATTATGAGTGGTGATATCACTACCCTGAACCTACATTGAATATATTGAAATTAGGGAACTGGAATTCAAAATGTTGAGTAGGGCAGAGGTTAAACTCTGGGTAGAAACTGAAATAGTTTTCTCGAGGAAATATTTACAACTGATTGAATTTAATTTCAATTGTACTAATTTTCCATGAGTTGAGCTAAAGTGTATTCTTATTTTTCAATAAAACAATGGGAAATTCTATAAAATAGGGATTAGCTTGTTAGTTTCAGTTCGTTTTTGTATGGCTCTTAATTGTTGTCCTGGGTTTCCAGGATATCATTTTTATTTCTTGAGTCTTATCAATATATTTAAATGTGTAAGTTTAATCAAATATACATTGTGTTAAATTTATATTGAATATTAGTTTCATTTGAAATCTCAAAGTTTAGTTTTAATTTCATTCCTTTTGGTATTTTCTTCCTGCTAAATAGTTTCAGATAGCTGTATGTTATTTTCCCTTGGATTTTTTTTCAATAAATGAAATTATGTTAAATACTCTATTAGTGTTTTGGGGAAATTTCTGCTCTCAATAGCATTTAAGTTAGAAACAAAAAGATATTTAGAAAAGCAATTATGTTTGCAATTTAAGATGAAAATGCCATCATTTCTTTCACTATTGAAAAGCTTTTATAGACTCAACACTGCAGTGAGCACAATTAGCCCATTAAGATATGTGTGGATTTTTACATCCTTTCTAAGGGATTATTTATAAGATTGTGTTAAACAAACAGGCATTAAAATCTTCCTGAATTAATGTCATTTAAGAATTATAACTCAGTTTAGTAACTCTGGGCTTCTGTATGATATGTGAAATAATTGCGGTTTAATGGTGCTAATGTAATTCAGGAAGATAGTTTTAATCACATATTTCATGGGGACACTAGGATGAATGTGAGTTTTCTGGGAGAAACAAATAATATTGCTTGACAGTGATTGAATGAACCAAAGTATAAAGGGTATTCTAAAAATTAACTTGCTTATCGTTGTTTCCCTACTGACATTTTAGCTTAATTTTATCTTTATTTTTGGTATTATATATATAAATAAACCTAAGAAATTTTGGAAATGCAGATACAATTAACATTAACAGATTCATTAACAGTGTTCAAAAATCAGCCCCCCAACTGCCTTCTAACTATGTTTAATTGCTGTTTATTTTTCATTGTATTTTTTAATTGCTATTTTATTTTATTTTTTAATTCTATGTTTATTTTTTAATTGCTGTTTATTTTTCATTTCATTGCTGTTTATTTTTCATTTTATTTTATTTTCCTTCTAACTATGTTTAATTGCTGTTTATTTTTCATATGCTATTTTAGTTGAATTAAGGATCTTACCTAAATTTGTATTTCCCGTAGTCTTTAGTTGTCTACATACTTGCTTCCCAAATGAAACAGTAACCTCTTCCATCGCAAGGATGTGTCATTCACATCTTCAGTAGTCTTTATTGAACCTAGGTAAATTGTAAGTCACGGTTCTATGGAGACTACTGAATTAGTGATTATCGAAATAATTTATGATTTAGAGCCATATTTAGACCAGAACTTACTCAGTTAGCCTAGAAATGAGCACCAACTTCATCTTTCACTAATAAAATCAATGTAATTTCATAGAAGAGATCTCCTATATATTGAGAAAAAATGAGAAGCCAACTGAAGAAACAGTTTAACCATTTGCAACATAACTTTCTAGCACTTCTTAGTTTTACAGAAAACAATTGTATTTCTTAATAAAAGAGCAAATGTTAATGTTTCTGCAAAGAAAATCATTATATGTTTAAACTAAGGAAAATTAGACAAATTCTGTATATTTTGTGTTAGATATCATAATTATACATGAAAATAATACTAGGGAATCTCTATAACTAAAATGTATTAATTATAGAATATTATGCTTCATTTTACATCAGTAGGATCATATAAGCTCCAGCTAAATTCAAAATCTTAGCTCCTTTCTAGAGTTTGCTGCAGTATATATTTCTTGGGATCTAAACTTGAAGTGTAGTATACTCAGACATGCAAATATTTTTCAGAGTTGTATGATAATTTGAATTGTAAAACAAAATTTTAAAATTAAGACTATTTTAGGTAATAGTTCATGTAGCAGAAACTAGATTCTTACGAATGGAACAAAATAATAAGAAACAAATTAATTTTCAAAATTGGGAACAGTATTGAATAGAGAGGACTGTTAATTTTTATTATTTTAACTTGTTTCTGCTTTGAATTACATTTTTTAATTTTCAAAACTAACACAATTTAACAGGCTGTTGAGTCCAAAATATAAGGATGGTATGGTGCTAATATATGGCAGCCAAATAATAATTATTAAGTAAATGAAAAATAAGTACTACAATGTCTGTTGTAAATTTTTAATGAAAGAAACATACATCTTTCTTTTTTCAGATTTTGGTAATATCTTGTACAAGACTGAGATTTTGAATGTATCCAAAAGGCTTTTTCCAATGCAGTCATATCTGGGGGTGCTGGAAGGGTACCCATTCTGAATTAGTCCCCCCACTCTAGAATATGATGCAATTATTCTGCAGTTTGCCATTCAGTTATCCATTCCTTCATCCTTAGTGCTACTTTTTTCCATTTAGTATTCCTTTAAACTACAAATACTTTCATAAGAGAAATATATTAGTCCCTAATAATATGGGGTACATTTTATCCGATCAAAATCTTCCCAATAACTATAATAATAGGCTGAGATAACTTACCAGAAAGCACTAGGAAAAAGAAGCAGAAGCATGCTAAAAGAAGATGTATAGGACTTGAAAGACTACATTCATTTCATAATTTTCCTGAGAATAGGTTCAGCTTGCATGCCCAATACAGAAAACGTAGATAGAATGAGAAGAATGTCCAACTGTCAGATACATGCAGTGGATCAAAGAACAGAATTGCAGAGTTTATAGAACAGAATCATAGACAATGAAGTCACATAGATGGGGACAATATGAATAGATATGGATAATGTAGTTAAAATGAAATTAGTTAAATGAGTGCTCACATCAGTACAAGAGAGACAAAAGGAAAATTTTGTAATCAAATTCATTTGGTAGAGACATAAAATCTAGAAAGTGAAAATAAAGTGTTCAAATAAAGTAAGTTTGAAAAGGAGTTGCAATAAACACATTTGCAAATATTTTACCTCATGTTCTTCTTGCTTTCTCCTCTTTCCTTTTCAGTGACTATTTACATCTTGGCTTCTCTGTCCACTTTCTCCTTCCTGTGTTATGTGAAGTCACATAATGTAGGTTAGTTTACAGTAAATTTTACTTTAAGACATATTTCAACAAGCAAATTCCTGTCTCAGAGTGCTTCTGCTCACACTTTTACTCTAGCACTTTCTCATTAAGTAATTTTAATCAACTTATTTAATGTTCCTACAACTCAGTTTTTTTCTCCTGTAAAATAGGCATAATAGCTACAGTAATAATATGGTATTTTACAGGATTCATGGGAGGCTCAAATGAGATAATCTGTGAAAAGCACTTAAATAATTTCCTAGAGTATAGCAAGCATTAAAGAGCACTCTTTACTGATATGCTTCCTATTATTAGAGAAAGAAAAAGAAGAATGTTGAAAATCATGATGTCTGTTACAATGCACATGTGCCAAGTTTGGAAATGAGCATCAAGTTATTTCTACTTTCTCTAATAATATTACTTCAAGCCCATGCTTATGCTTACATTCATACACACACAGCATTTACATAATGATTTATCATTTTCAAAGTGTTCTCAAACTCATTATTTTATCTGTTCATGGGTTAGTGACTTACACGTAGTATATGTGATTCTACATATGATGGAAGACTTACGATTTTTTTTCCAGAACCCTGACTCTTACGGCATGTAGAAGGGCACCCTTTCACATGTGACCCAGGAGCAAAAAAAAAAAAAAATATATATATATATATATATATATAGTGCTTAATAAGCAATGTCCCTTGTATTTTAATACCCAGTGAACCTGCATACATTAACAAATCTAAAGCAACATTATTTTACGTAGCATGAAGAAGAAAAAAAAACCTGTTTTTATTGTGATTACAAGAACCACCAGTTTTAACAGTCAGTCCTATTTCAGAGATGTTAAAGTGTTCTTAAAAATTAAACATTAACTGGCCAGGCATGGTGGCTCACGCCTGTAATCCTAGCTCTTGTGTAATCCTAGCTCTTTAGGAGGTCGAGATGGGTGGATCACCTGAGGTCAGGAGTTCGAGACCAGCCTGGCCAACATGGTGAAACCCCATCTCTACTAAAAATATGAAAATTGGCTTGATGTGGTGGCGGGCGCCTGTAGTCCCAGCTACTCAGGAGGCTGAGGAAGGAGAATCGCTTGAACCCAGGAGGTGGAGGCTGCAGTAAGCTGAGATTGTACCATTGCACTCCAGCCTGGGCAACAGAGCAAAAACTCCTTCTCAAAATAAATAAATAAATAAATAAATAAATAAATAAATAACATTAAAATTGATAAAATATGGCATCATTTATAATTATTCCAGATATTTCATTTGAATCTCATAGGAAACCTGCTTTGTGTATTAGAATGCAGCCAGATTGGGAATTTAATGTTAATCAAAACCTCCTAGGATGGTTATTGACAATTGAGATTCCAAGGTTTTGGCACCAGAGGTTTACGGTCAATAGAGATGGTGGAAGGGAGAGGGCCTAGGTTTTAAACAAGCTGCTTAAATAATTCTGGTGTATATGATCAAAAAATCAGAATTTGGTAAACATTGGTGTAGTGGAAAGAATGTACGTTCAAATCGTGATTTTACCATTAGTAGCTGTGTGACCTTATGTAGATGGTTTAAGTTCTCTGTTCCTTAGTGTCCCTTGGACACACCATAGAGCAGTCTGGAGCCAGACTGCCTGGATTCTTCCTATACAATTTCCCTCCATTCCTTCATGTGTAAAAGGAGGTAGTATATTGCCTAATTTATGAGCTAATATATGTAAAACACTTAGAATATTACTGGTAAATAAGAAGTGCTACGTAAGTGCTTACTCACCTGTAAAAAAAAGGCGCAGCAATAATAATACCCATCTCATGATGCCATGATGATTAAATGAGGTAAGGCATATCAGGTATAATATTTAGCAAAGAAACCATTTTAGATTTTTTTTTCAAAATAATGGCTTAATGCAGTAATCTGTCTTCTAAATAATTTTAAATTTTTTTCATGAAAAACCCTTTTTTTAACCTTGTTTTATCTTGAGGATAGACAAGGAAGAATTTTCCACAATATTTTAATGATGCAAATATTTTAATATTGTTATGTAACTGACATAAATTGTATTAGCCCTCAAATGAAGTAAGTTCTCTGGTATTACTTTCTAATATAAATGACTTTTGAATAATCATGCTTATTTTAGAATGTAAACAATTAGAAAAATTAGACATTTTTTAGTGAATAAGCACAAGTTTGGCATTCTTCAAAAGTTAATCATTAATATTTATATATGTACATATATTCTAGACAGAAATGTTGCTAATTTGTAAAAATTTAACCTTTTATTTTGACATAGATTTACATGCAGTTGTAAGAGATAACACAAAGGTTTCATATACACTTTACCTGTTTTCCCCCAATGATAACTTTTAAGACTGTAGTACAATATCACAAACACATCGACATTGATACAATCCACTAATCTTGTTCCCCAGTTTTATTTGTGCTTGCGTGTAAGTGTGTATTTAATTCTGTGTATTTTAAACACATCTATAGGTTCATGTATCCATCACCACAGTCAATACACAACAGTTCAATCACCACAAGGATCGCTCTAGTGTTGCCTTTTGACAATACATCTCCCTTTGGCCAGCTAATTCTACACCACTGGCAACAATTAATCTGTTCTCCATTTCTACAGTTTTGTCAATTCAAGAATGTTACATAAATGGTATTATACGCTACATAAATATTGGGGAGTTGCTTTTTTCAGCCTAATTTCTTGGAGATTTATCCAAGTTGTGGTATGTATCAATAGATTGTGCCTTTTTATTGCTGAGTAATATTGTGTAGTATGCACGTACTACCTTTTGTGTAACCATTTATCCATTGAAGGACATCTGGATTGTTTCCAGTGCAGGGCTATTATAAATAAAGCTGCTACAAACATTCATGTACACATTTTCCTGTGAACTTAGATTTCCATTACTCTGAGATAAATGTCCAGGAGTATAATGGCATGCAACATAGTAGTTGCATGTTTAGTTGTATAAGAAACTGCCAAATTGCTTTCCAGAGTGAGTATATCATTTTGCATTTCTGCCAACAATGTATGAGTGATCAAATTTCTGTACATTCTCACCAACATATGTTATTGTCACTGTTTTGTTTTTGTTTTAACTATTCTGATAGGTGTATAGTGATATCTCATTGCGGTTTTAGTTTGCATTTTCCTAAAAGCTAATAAAGTGGAACATCTTTTCATTTGCCATCTGAATCTCCTCTTCTGTGAAATGTCTAATCATGTCCTTTGCTTGTTTTATAATTGCATTTTTAAATGGTTTAGTTTTGAGAGCTCTTTTTATATTCAACATCAAAGTCATTTGCCAGATGTGTGGTGTTCAAATATTTTCTCCCTGCCTGCACCTTGTCTTATCATCCTTTTCACATGGTATTTTGCAGAGAAAAAGTTTTTAGTTTTGATAAGGTCCAATTTATTTATTTTTCCTTTATGGATTGTGCTTTTTTGATGTAAAGTCTAAGGATGCTTTGTCTAGGCTTAACTACTAAATATTTTCTTGCCATTGTAATTTTCAAATCAACGTTGCCCTTAAAATAGAAAATAAAACAAATTTTTAGACTTGTATTATGTTAGGTACATTTATTTTAACTCAAAGTACTGGCTTTTTTCATAGCAATGATGAAATATGTAAAATTATCAAATAAATGTGGCTAAAAGTTAGATATTTTAAGTATTAAATCTAAATTTAGAAGGTAACATTTAAAGTTAATTATATATTATCTGACATTCCATAGAAACATTCATTTAAGAAGAAGAAAGTTGCCTCTCTTTATCCCAAAACATACCCACAGATTACAACCTTGAATTTTTTGTATTACCCTTTAATATCACTAATAGGAATTATATCATGTAAAAAATCAGTCATACAAATAATTATATATAAGGATATTGTGGTAGTTCATAATGTTGAAAGAAATGGAAACGATCTAATTGCCCATCAGAAAGGGAGCATGACATAAAGCATTTGTGCTCTTATATCTACTCCAGCTTTAATAGCACAGTGCATCCTGAGGACAGCTGATTGCATGTGAGATTTTTTCAGGAACTAGGACCTATCCATGATTGTCATTCAAAAGTGTCAGACATTTAACACCACCACAACCACTCTCCTGTTTCCCCACCCTGCACCAGCAGCCTTGGATCAACTCCTCAGCTTTCCATCCCTGAGGGAGAATAGCTCTGAGGAGCCTGTTTTATAGACACCCAGAGTTCTCCAGTGAGACCGAGTTTATTACTCACCATGGTCCCTGGATCAAGAGCAATCCTTTATTGGTTGTCTTAACTTCCCTTTCTCATTTCCTCACATCTCAGAATTTACTGGCATCACCATCCAGATAAAACACTGCATTGAAACCCTTGTCTCAAACACTACTTATGAAAGAACTGAAAAATGATTTATTTGTGGAAGAGAGAAGCAAGAATCTGTTTAAGAAAATGGGCTCAAACTCAACATAGGATATATGTATTAACATATAAATATGTACACTATATGTTGTTAGGCTAAAAAAATACATAAAGTTAAATGTCATCTGATATATTTATAAAAACATGTATACCCTAAATTGCTAGGATTCTTACTGCCTGGTAGATATAATGAAGCAGTTTCCTTTTTTATTCATTTTCTATTTTCTTTCTGGGTACTTTTTTTTTTTTACATTGAGCATATGTTAATGTTGTTGTCTTAAAAAAAAGAAGGAAAACACCTGATGAGAGAAAAGGAAGAAAATGGTTTAGTGCAAGGAAAAGTTTTCTTTGGGGGTTTTATTTTTCAAAAGTGGATCCTTTCTAGATTTGGCCTAGAAAATAAAGCTTTAGGCATTCTACAAGGGAAGTATAATACAGTAAGGAGAACCACGTCTGCCTAGTGAAGTCCTAGGGATGTGCTGGGATACTGAAAACAGGATAATTATCAAAGGCAAATATTACTTAATGGCGCACATTGGCAGAGGAAATCAAGTAGGTTGAAGAGTCAAAATATGCTCTACTTGGTGAAGATACTTAATTCAAAGTTTAGGCTGGGAATATTAGTTGGAAGAAAAGAAAAAATCTTGATTGTGAGTTCATGAAAACTATAATATATGTATTAATGATTGGTAACAATGATGAGTTTAAATGCCAGAAGAAACATGCAGAATTTCTGTGTTGGAATATAATGGACATGTGCTTTAAGACTTTTCCCACTTTTATCCCTTCTTTCCAGTACACTAATTATTTGTTGATCTTAGTTATAGTCTCTCAACTGTATTTATTTGTTCTGGAAAATAGTGCACTGCATATGAAAGTAATCGCCGTCACAGTGAATGCATTTCTTTTCATCTGTCTGGCCTGGCTAGCCCTGTTGATTTGGGCATGTGGTAATGAGGCCAGTGCTGTAGACTCAAACCCCATACTAATTAGCTGTACATGGAGAGACGAACTCCATGGACAAACCTGCTACTCTCAACCAAACATCAGACCAATGCTTATTATCAGTCAGAAATGGGACTAAGATTATGCAGCTAAATTGATGGTTTTCATTACCTTTATTGAATAAAAATGTTAAAACTTTGTTTTTCACTCGTGTATTAATACCCTATGCTTCTCTAGTATTCCTCTTGTATGGAATGGCAGCAACAGTCACTAAAATTTAAGCCAGAAAACTGGGAATCAACCTTGATACCTCCACATTCTTCACTCCCTCTATTCAATCAATCACCACACCTATTTGTTTTGCCTCCTGAATATATTTCAAATCTATCTTGTCATGTCTAATGTCCCTACCCCAGACTAGGTTACCATGTACTCTTGCTAGGATACTGCAATAACTTCTTCTTGTAGACCTTTACATCCAATCCTGCTGTCTCTAGTCATTCTCTATGTTATAGCTTATGTGATTGTCTTAAAATGCAAGTACTATACACATTCTCCTTCTTGCAGCCTTTTAAAATCTCCCAGTTGCTCACCAAATAAAGACAGAATTCCTTAAAGTAGGACATAAAGCCTGCATGACCTGGTTTCTTCTCACCAATCCAGCCTTACAGCTCCTGTTTGATGGGCACTGGTACTCCCCAAGACATATCATATTTCATAATCTATCATCAGATTTAAATAAAGAAATGAATGATTATCCTACCACCTTCACTCACATTGCTTCAGAACTTTTTTTTTTTCATTTCCCCAGTGCCATCTCCATACTCAGGGTTGTGTCTGCTTTTGTTTTGTCTCTTAATGCTCTAAGCCCCTCTTCCTTTGTCCAGTTCATTCCTGATCTTAGCTTATACATACACTCCTCTGAAAATCCTTTCTTTATCATTTAGGCCAAATAGGTTTTCTCTATTATATTTACCCTTTTCCTTAGAACATTCCTCAAAAGTTTAATTGAATATTTGTGTGTTTTATTATTGTCAGTTAATTACCAGCCTATTACACTGTAAGCTCTAGGAAGCCAGGGGAAATATGCTTGTTTTGGTTACCTTTAAAAAAAATTCATAGGAGGGTCTCAAATATTTGCTAAATGACAATGAATGACTATATTTCCCCTCTATTGATCCCTTAGAAGCCAAGTCAAAAGATTTCCCCGAAGATTCATTCTCTTCAGCCATTTTGTATTGTTCATCACACTTTTTAATTTTGAAATTAAAATGTGTTGGTGTTACTGTGTTTGCTGGTTTTTCCTAATTGTTTTGAATACTATCTATCTATTGCTTCACATACCACCTATTTCTTCTTTTATCTTTAACTGTAGTTGTTTTCCATAGGTCTATGTTCATCCCACCCATTATAAGAACTACATCTCAATGGATGATATCAAACTGACTTCAATCTCCCAGACTATATTTGTCATATAGATTCAAAATGTATGATGAATCATACACTCTACAGTCCAAATCAGAAATCAGTTTCCACTTCATCACTAAAAAACATTTTTTCTCCTGAATTATGATATTCTTCTGAATTCTCTATCTTGGTTAATTTGGTCACCATTATGCTCCCATTTTTCTGGTCAACTATGTTCAAATATATTCAAAACCCATAGAATCATCTTTGCCTCCATGTGTTGTATCCAAAACTTAATCAGTATTGCTTCCTTATTCTGTCATCTCTAAGCCTTTTAAGATTTCATTCTGCTTTCAAAGAAATTCAGACAGAACCTGTCTTGACATTGTAATACATACTAACTCATGTCATTACCCTTGTACCCGAGATTCATCATCATAACCATGTCAAATTTGTCTTCCTAAAGATAACTGTACTCCTTTACAAGAATGTGGAGCCTCAAATATTTTGGTCCCCTGCTCAGGGATCCTTAGTATCTACCTATTGTATGCTGACAAAGGTACAAAATCCTAAGTGTGTACCCAAATATTTTTTAAAATGTTTATAATATATCTTGCCAGATTACTATGCATTGCAATTTTACTGAAAAGCATACTCTCCCTAGAACGTATTCACACTTTCTAAATTCTTTAAGCTTTACCTTACTATTCCACTTGACTTAAGTGACTTCTAGCTTATAATCTTGAGGTAGGAGTCCTACTCATTCTTGAACATTCGTGTCAAGTGCTACTTTTTATTCTGATTAACTTCTTGGACTCCATAACACCTTTTGGCACCCCTTTTATGGATATTTTGCTTTATATCATAACTATTAGGTCCTTGTCTTACTTCCTTAATGGAGACTGTAAGCTCCTTAAGAGCAGGTATTATTCCTTGTTAGTTTTATGTTCCCAGTCATGCAATTTCAAAGATTGGCATATACCAATATGCCAATATTTGTTGAATTAAACTAAATATGTAGGAAACCAAACTAATAAAAATGTATATATATAGAAAAAAATTCAAGAAATCATTAAAATTTGTACATCAGAATGTATAGAATAAAGACTTTATTATTCCTGCTGTATCATGTGTTTTATTACAAGATTTAATATTATTAATGCCTATAGGATTTAATTGTCTTCAAATTATCTAATAAAACCTTAATGTGATATTCCCAAATGTTCTGTGAGATAGTCAGAATAAATAATAGAATATTCATTCTAAAGATCTGTAAACTGGAGTACAGAGATTTTATAACAGACCTACTAAGACTTCATAACATAACACACCTAGAACTAAAACCAGGGTCTTTTAACATTCATCACCATAATACACTGTCTCATAATCCCAGTAATATTTGTTTGCAAATATAAAGTGAATTAATGTATTAATGGTGTTTGATAGTTTAATTTTTTTATCTAAATGCATAATATATGTAAACATATTCTGGATATTCTTAAAGATGATGAGAAGACTGACAAAACTAATGAAAAAATAGGAAATGACAATAATTAGAACTTATAGTTACTTATAATTATATATAGACACACATGCATAAAATTATGAATACGTTTATGCATCTAAATATATGTACGTGTATATGAATATATATACACACACAATTTGTTATATATGTATGTAGATAGACACATAGATCAGCACATATACATATATAGCATATGACTGAAAATTCTAGGTACATAATTATTTCTCCCAAATATCTTATAATTTAGAATAAATGTTGTGGGGATGAGCTCTCAGAAGCTAAACTAATCTCTTGACAAGGAATCATGAATCTGTATATAATATAGAAGTTCAAAGGAGAAAAAATTGGAAAAGATTTACATTCTCATCAAAATTTAATCATGTTCATCCTAGTCTGAAATTATCTGTAATGTATCAGCATAAACCAAAGTTCATATAACTGCAGCCACTTCAATTATTTTAGTGTTATTTGTACACAGCAGTCTTCACATGAATAATCCAGATTCAGATCCCTTGTGACACTTTGCATTTTGGATTCAGAGTCATGTTGAAAATTGTATAAGGAAGACGTAATGTTTAAACTTCAATAGTCTTCTTCATTCATCCTTAGCACTGAATACAGGCTCTATAGTAGAACGGGAATTTCCATGGTAATAATATGAAATGTTTTGATATCAAAAATATATAAAAGACTTTTCTGACACGCTAAGTACTTGGTGTGACTAAGAGGTTTAAGTGCAAGTGCACTGATATTGCTAAAGAAACGACATGACTTAGTTGTAAGGAAAATCTATTTGTAATTTCCCCTTCACCCCTATAAAAGAGTTTGTTGAGAAGTACTATGACTGTTTCCAACTGGCTATAAATATTAAGAAGGAATTTCTAGACTGTTAATTCTATGTTGAAATTGAGTAGAGATGAACTTCATAAAGGCAGAATTCAAGTAAGTCGGTCAAATAAACAGGATTATTGTTTATATTTATAATGAATACACAAAGGAGAATGTCATGCCTCTTCTGAAAAGATTTCCCAGTAATGCTACTGCCAATTTATTTGAATAAATTTATTTTCTGTCCCAAAGAATAAGCTTAGAAAAATAACAGTTTTGCAACTTGATAGTATAAGAGCAGTGTCCTACATGAAATATAATTTCTGTTAGAAAGGAAAAGTTTGTTCTAAGAAATACTTGCTGACAAAAGACACATTTAGTTCTTTTAAAAGTAGTTTAAATGATATCATTTGTCTTGTCATATTTCTCTGAGATTTTTTGTGGGTTTTTTTTCCACATTTGGATTTATATTCTTTTTAATTGTGAGTTGGTTGGGTGCTTAGTATTGAGGGAAAGGCAGATGTGTTGCCTGTACTAACTAGAGTATAGGCCTTACAACTTAGTCATGCTGGAGTTAGACTATTCTGCTTTCTTTTTACTTCTGAATTCATTTCTTCAAGCATGCATGAATTCCACAGAACTATAGAGTATGCTATTACAAGGTAGGTATGCTGCTTAGAACTGGGAATGCAATGTGAACAAGATGTATGACACTGCCCATTCTCAAGTTAGTATCATCAATTTAAGTGAGCTTTTGCTTTTCTATATTTAAGGCAATCTAGCCTCAGTCTTCTTGGTGGGAAACAGTAATAAGTCTTGAATGAAATATTTACGTGCCTACTTGCAGTAGCTCTATTCAATTCTCAGTAAATATTTCTTAAATATATCCCACCCACCCAGTATTTGTGAATGTTGGTTCTACTCTTGGTTTTGCATTGCAAAATTAAGGAGAATCACGTTGAAAATAAGATAACACTCTGCCTCCACAAACTACTCTCAGCCCATGAACCCAGTATCCCTTTGCTTTGTGAAACTGCTGTAGTGACCAAAATATGGTGGTCGTGAATGGAGAGAATGCAGACACTCTGGAGAAAGGATGCTGTGAGGCTCTGTCAAAATCAGTTACTCAGAGCCCTCACTTCTCTCAGATCTGATATTTTGCAAAATTATTAGTTACAGCTATAAAGCAAGTGTCTTAAAAACTCTGGGGCTATAACATAAGCAAACTATCTTTTTGTGAAGTTAGCTCTGACCCAAAACCTAAATTTAATTTAAAAAAAGAAATATACTTACCAGGAGCTTAACAAAATCTGTGATGCTGTGCAGTCAATTGAGAAAGAAGCTATATTTAAAGAGTCTTTGGGTAAATATGCCCATTTCTAAAGAAGCTATTACAAGCCTGACTTTCTTTATCCTTAAGTAAATTAGTACTTATCTGGTTAGCTATTGCAAGCAAACCTTCCAGGGTTGTGTTGCAAGTATAAAGGAAGAATAACCTAGAAATAACATCATTGGATTTAGAGGATTACCTGTATTTTGTTTCAACCATATTCTGTCCCCAATCAATAGAAATTTCCGCAGATTGAATGATTCTGTAAAACGACAACTTTCATAGTGATATTATAGTTAAAGTTGTTTCATTTTTGTTTAATCAGTTTCTAAGTTGTAATAAGATGTTTCTATTCACAAATGTAATGGGCTTTTTTAAAGCCATGGGTTCAAGAATGTATCTGTCTCTCTATTCATTTGATAATAAGAACAACAACAAATCAGTGACATCTATGAGCCAGGCATCGTTCTATGTATTAAGAACACAACACGATAAACGACAAAAATACCTGCACTTAGGTAGCTTATGTTCTAATAGAAGTATAAACTGCCACCACAAACAAAACAAAATAAACTGCTTTATACGTTGAATTGTGACAAGTGCTATGAATAAAAAATAATAATAAAGCCAGGGAGAAGGAAAGCATTGGAATTGTAAGATGTTGTAAGATGATCTGCTCTTCATAGGTTTAAGAACAGTTTAGGAAATTAATTGAAATGATGTATGCTAAAGAAACAAAGAGAAAAAAAGCATTCATTTGTATCAAATGAAATGAATGAAAATTACCTAAAAATTAACCTTTTTTCTTTCTTTCTCCCCTAATAGGAGGAACAGAAAAAATAAAAATCAAGAATTGCACATGTATGGAATTAATTCAAAATCAGATATCTCTCAAACAATTATGCTAGGATTGAAAACTATAATTGATTTTTAATAAACAGAATTTTAAAATATAACAATTGTGATATTAAAATTCATATGAGGTGTGTTGATTATTGTACACATCTCATTTCTCCTATGCACCACATTTTGTTTTAGAAGATGGATGAAAGGGGCTATTTGCAGATAAGGTCTCACATTTTGGCCGTAAAAAAAATCGGAGATGTATTTACCATTATTTACAACTTCTGATATGTCAAATACCTTTAGAAAGAAGAAAATCATTAAATCAAAAATTGAATTGCTGTCTATAATAAGTAGCATGAACATTATAGTTAATATCCAAGCAATTACCTTACATTTAGAATATTTAGATCTTTATATTTCTGTGTGGGTTACTTGCAAATTAACTCAGTTTTTGTTATATATTATTTATCAATTCAAAGCTGGGTGTTCAGATTAGTTACTTAATCTGACCAGTGTTTTCTGATTTTGACTCCTTGTCTCTCTCTCTCTAAAAGGCACATACATATGAAAAATAAGTTTCATAATTTAAACTCTAATTGACTTCTAAATACAGAGAAGTCAATTGCCTTACCTTTAAACTTTTATCCAATCTATATTTCCAGAGAAAACATCCAAAATTTTAGAGTCCAACTCCTATCTTTCTTTGCTTGATTATCTCTCTTGAATCTGATCAGTAAGCAAATTCTACCAATACCTTCTTCTTCCCACCTCTTTGCATTACTGATTTTATTAATATATCCTTTGCTCTCTTGACTGTATAATTTTGCTCATGATGTCTTCCTTTCCAAGATATCTTCTTTTCTTTCTGCACAAAATGGCCTCATGCATACTTTACTCAATGTTTTCTCAAATTCTAGTTTTTCAAGATGCTGTCTTTTGCTGTTTTACACTAAAATCTCTTTATTATTTTATGTTCATGTGGGCTTGTTCCCTCATCACTTTATTAGCATGGCTTATATTATTTTGTCTTGCTCTAATTTAATATTATGTTTTATTGATTTGAATCTTGGCAAATGCTGAACATTTTAGGAAAATAAAGCCCTGGAATTCTTCCTGTCCTCTGAGATGAGTGGGCATTCGGGGAGACAGCTATTATTGAAGGGGTCAAAGTTCAAGCTAGCAACTCAAAATTTAATCACCCTATTGATAAGACCCATTTATGTGTTCCCTCTTCCATGATACACTTCTTAGCTGAGTTAGTTTTGGCTTCCTCAATCTTCCCCAAATATACTGTAACTACCTAATTTGTTTATAAGTACTCTTTAGACATCTGTCTTCTCTCTCAAACTATGAACTCCTTATTTAAATTTATTCCTAGTACATAAAGTGTCAAGCACAAAGCATTTACTAATTAATTGGTTATTAAATTAAATTCCATTGAATTACAGCAAAAACAAAGATCCAAATGGCAAGAATGTTAACTTGGGGCTAAGCCCCAAAATTTTGAGTCAGGGTTCCTTACATCTTTCTGTCTAATATTAGCTTCAGATGGGGCTGAGTTTAGAATTAGTTGTTTTCTGTTGTAGAAAAAGGGGACACTCCAGAGCAGGTATTCTAAAAAATATGAGAAGCTACAAAGTTGGGAAAAATATTGATGGTAACAGAAAGAGAAAAAGCAGTTCATAACGTCTGAGAGAAGAGAAGATGTGGGGAGACATGCTATGTCATATAGATGATAGAACCCCACATATTTCTCAGGAATGGTGGGCTGCAGGTCCCGAGCCCTGCCCCGCGGGGTGGCAGCTGAGACCCGGCGAGAAATCGAGCGCAGCGCCGGTGGGCCAGCACTGCTGCGGGACCTGGCGCACCCTCCACATCTGCTGGCCCGGGTGCTAAGCCCCTCACTGTCCGGGCCAACAAGGCTGGCCGGCCGCTCCGAGTGCGGAGCCGGCCAAGGCCACGCCCACCCGGAACTCTAGTTGGCCCGCAAGCGCCGCGCGCAGGCCCGGTTCCCGCCGGTGCCTCTCCCGCTACACCTCCCGGCAAGCCGAGGGAGCCGGCTCCGGCCTCCGCCAGCTCAGAGAAGGGCTCCCACAGCGCAGCGGCGGGCTGAAGGGCTCCTCAAGCACGGCCAGAATGGGCGCCTGGACGAGGCCGGGGAGGCACCGAGAACGAGTGAGGGCTGCGAGGGCTGCCAGGTCCGCCAGCACGCTGTCACCTCTCAGTTTGAGAACCGTGAACTGAAGGTATTGTTCACAGCTCTTATTGATGAATAAATAGGGCCAGGTACGTGGCTTATACCTGTAATTCAGCAATTAGGGAGGCTGAGTTGGGAGGATTGCTTGGGCCCAGGAGTTTGAGGCTGCAGTGAGCCACTATTGGGCTACTGCACTCCAGCCAGGGGGACAGAGCAAGACTCTGTCTCTTAAAAAAACAAACAAATACACAGACCAGAAGAGTGAATAGTTAAAAAGTTTAGAAGCATCAATCAACCAGAGAAGCACACACCTGAGGGCTGTGAGGTGTCATTTCAGCCAGGATAACTTAATAATACTGTGAGACTGACTAACTGAAGACTGTCTCTGCAGCGTAGGTTTCTGAAAGGTAGTGAAGATAGATCTCTGGTGTTTGTAGCCCCCCAGATGTGGGACATAAGAAGTAGGTGAAGTTTCTAGAGCAAGTTTGCCTCACTTATTGCAACATAGAGCAATAGGATCCACACAGTGGAATGCAATGTAAAGCCCCCAAGCTGGGGAGGCGACTGAAAGATGCAGCCCAAGCCAAAATGAATTCCCCATGCCTAGAGAGACTATTTAAAATAGTGTCTTCTCAATGAAGTTTTTGCCTTTCTTCTCATTGATCCTATAAACTACACAAGAGATTGCTGTAGGACGACTTTCTTCTTGCTTCTGCTAAAAGCTGGGTTCTTGTCACACAACCAGGAAAGATTAGGCTCACGGACACATAGAAGGGTGGGAGAAACGGAATTTTTTGGGCGAAAAGGAAAAAAAAAAAAAAACAACACAGCAAAGCCAGAGAGGGGTTCCTGTTAACAGGACCTCATCTCACAGACTGAATCCCAGGTTCCCATCCTGGAAAAGGAGCGGCCAGGCTCCTCCCCACTCCAAAGGGCACGAACTTCCCGCAGCTCCACCCGGTTCACCCAGTGCACAGGCCGGTGGAGGATTCCCCAGGGACCCCTTTATACTTGACTGTCTCAAGATAATGACCACCATAGAAAGGACCACAACCTTATCATCTCCAGTGTGTGGCTGCTTGTGTTACGTATGATTGATCATAAGATTTAGATAAATTGCCACAGGCATTAAAAAACAGTTATCTTTCCCTCTTCCTTTTTGTCCCACCCTCTGAGAGCAAGGACAGTGGAAAGGCCAGTATGAGAGAAGCAGACCAAGTTTACCCACCCTACAATGCAAGCTACTGGGCTTTACTGACCCTGGTAGGGGGGGAAGGGTAAGAACATTAAGTAAACATGAATCTACGTTTTTAAATCTGTAGGATAGAATCTCAGTAACTGAATTACATTGTTGTAATAACCCAAGGTGAGTAACAAGTCATGGAATCAGACTAAAATATTCAAAAGTGATCTTGATACTCAGCAAAAATAATGGTAACAGAACAGAGTGGGTAAGAGTTACAGGTAAAATAAAGCCATTTGATGTTTATACTTGACAGAGATGAAACTCTTCACAGAGTACAGCAGAAAATTTACAGAAGCAAAGCATAAACAAAGTGGTTTCATTATCTGGCTAATAAGCTGACTTGATCAATATCAGCTCATTGAATGACACCAGCATGATGGAGGGACACCATATATTTAAGGATAACAGCAATTTGCGAGTGATTTTAAACGTCCAATTAAACCCTGCCCTTACATCAATTCCTCTCAGGATTATAGAGCTTGGTTTACCTCTCACTAACTAATTAAGAAGTGAATGCCAAGAAATTAGGATGCCTGAAAACACATGGTGAATTCTGCTGAACTTTTAGAATTGAAACATGGAGGGTGAATTAGATCTTCTGTAACATGTGCTTATGCTTTGGAAAGTGCATCATCTTAGAGATGCTGCTTCTCTGATTGTTACATTGACAAAGGTGAGCGGCACCATAGTGAGAGATAATGGGTGGCTTTAAATGAGCCATAAAGGAAGTCTATTGACTAAAGCTAATTGCTTGTCACCCATGGTTGCCTTTGAAAACTAAGTAGTCATTTCATGCAACATAGAAAATTAGAAATATGTGATTATGCCTTCAATTTGGATAAAAACTAGCCATTGTTTTTTTCAATAAAAAATTTTGATGCTTACAAGAAAAAAAAAATCCCTGTAGAGTTTTAAATGTGGGATTCTGCATTATGGTTGGGAAGCTATACTCTTTCAGCTATTGGAAGGATCTGCCTAATTCCTTTTCATTCTGTGATATCATTTCCCTCTAACCTTTAATAAGGTATAATTGACAATGAAAATTATATGTATTTAAGGTGAACAGTATGACTTTTTGATATACATATATTGTGAAACAAATATCACTATCAAGCTAATTAACGTATTTGTCACCTTTTTGTGTGTGTGCTGAAAAGATTTAAGATCTACTCTCTTAGCAACTTTCAGGTATACATAGTGTTATTAACTATAGCCATCATGCTGTCAATTAGGTCTCCAGAACTCTTTCATCCTACATAACTAAAACGTTGTACCCTGACACTTCTGTTTCCCTCCATAACATAGAATATATTACTTTTACATGAGGTTTTTTTTACAGTGGTGATGCAGTTAAATATAAAGACAAAATGCAAATATAGCACTGAGTTATTTACTAGAGTATAGGTATGTGGCTTCTTTTATTGCATGGAGGAACATATTTTGCATTTTGAGAAGAAAAAAAATCTGGCAGCATCTTCTGAAGTATCCATTATTTAATATTAGATGGCAAAGGGATTTATTATAAATTTTAAAGAGCCTATATAATTCTAATGGCCAATCATGTAATTCTTTGGGCACAAATTCTTTTTTCATAATAATTACTATGAGAATCTGAAAGCAAATGTACTACCATCACTGGCAATTACAAGTGCCAAATTATTAAGTGCATTAACAATTTTAGGCTACTGGAGTTCCACTTAATGCATTGGAGTAGCAATTTACTAAATGGACATAAGTGGCCTGAAAGATCTAATGCACCCCACAAAGGTAAGCACTCAATCACTTCATTACCATTGGATCATCTGTGTATTCAAGGATTGCGGGAATGAAAATTATCATTAAAAATGAAAAAGGGAAAAATGCACCAAACATAAGCAGTTTAGGTATTGCATGTTCTTAAGAAGTTAGAAATTTTAAGAGCCTTTTTGGAATATTAAATGGATTAAGTTTGATGTGACAAATTGTAGTCCACAAAGTTAGTTTTCTGTCAATACTTGAGATTCAAAGTAAGAACTATCCTGAAATCTTACTGCAAATGCTAAACACTATGTTGTGAAGCTGTTCAAAGGAAAAAGGGGAAAAAATCTGTTCATGAGTAGAGAGCTAATTATTCAAGGTTATTCAATTAACAAGCAAAAAATGTATCTGACCTTATAGACATAATGTTAAATTACACAAGGACATGAAGAACACAAGGGTATAAACATGGTACATATATTGAAAGGTTAAAGAAGTTTTGAGTAATTGGTTTATTTTATTTTCGTATTTCAGCCTGGCTTCAAAAAGAACACCACATATAATAGCCCCTGAGTTTGCTTTTTTGAATAAAAATAAGTTTGCTCTAAGAATTATTGATTCTGAATTTTGCAACTAGCTATCTTTATGCAAGTCTACTTTAAAATGCTTTTATAATGGATGAATATTAATGAATAGATTTAATAATCAAGTCTTTTATGTGAATACTACTCAGTTATAGATATTAAAAACCCATGATATATTGAGAGCCGAAATTATTTTGAAACACATTTTGTAGATGCTTCGTGTCATAGTCTAGGATATTTTTTGTTTGTGTTTTTGCTTGGCATTGTTGATCACAGTAACAGGTTATTTCAGGTAGTGCACGGTAGAAGTAAGGATTTGCATGGGTTTAAGAGAACCTGACTTTTACAACATCGATGAGGAGGAACTGTTACTGGCTGGAGAATAGAATTCTTTTTACATCTAAAGCTTGTATAAGCAACAGAACATTAAGAATGCGCATGATACAGCTCCCCATTTACAGTGCCTCAACTGTCTCTGTATGTTTATTTCTATCTGAATCTATTTTCCTCTCTTTCTGTTACCAGTTGGCTTTCCTATGCTTGCAATAAATGTTTACTGAGTGCCTACTATGTGCCAGATTATGTTCTTCGCATTTGGAACTTGAACCTCAGTGAACAAAACAGATACATATCGAGATTTCCTGAATGTTTCTTAGTTGTGGAGAGACTGATGATAAACAACAAATATAATTTTGAAAGTAAATTATGTTAGTTGGTGATTCGTGTTATAAGGAAAAAATAAAAAAAGTAAAGCAAAGCAATGGTAATTTGAAACCGTAATTTTTAATTTTAAAATTAAAAGAGATTATAATTTTAATAAGAAGTTTCTGTTGATAAGGTGAAGTCTGAGCAGAGACTTGAAGGTGGTGAAGACGTTAGCTCCATGAAAGTCTGGGGGAAAAATGTTCCAGAAAGAGAGAACTGGTAGAACAAAGGTCAGAGGTGAGAGTGTGCCTCTTATGTTCCAAAAACCATAAGGCATCCTCTGTGGCTAGAGCATGTTGATCAGGGACCTTAGTAGGAGGTAAGATCAGAGAGATAATGAGGGAAAGAAGAGGATGTAGGGCCTTTTGTGTTTCCTGCTGAGTGAAGCATATTTTGAAGACTTGAAGAGGATACGATCTACAATGTTTGTTTATTTATTTATTTATTTTAATTTTAGATTCAGGAGGTACATGTGCTTGTTTACATGGGTATTACATGCCTAATGGTGGGAATTGGGCTTCTAGTGGACCTATCACCCCAATATTGGACATTGTACCTAATAGATAATCTTTCAAACTTTTTCCTCTCCTTCCCACCCCATTTTGGAGTCTTCAGTGTCTGTTCTCTTCAAATTTATATCCATGTGTGCCCTTTCTTTAGCTCTCACTTATATATGTGAGAACATGTGATATTTGATTTTCTGCTCCTGTGTTAACTCACTTGGTGTAATGGCCTCCAGCTCCACCCATGTTGCTGGAAAGGATATTGTTTCATTCTTTTTTTAATGGCTGCATAGTATTCCATGTTGTATCTATACACCACAGTTTACTTATCAAATCAACTAAGTATCTTTTGGTGGACACTTAGGTTGATTCTATGACTTTGCTATTATGAATAGTGCTGTGATAAACCTATGAATGCAGGTGTCTTTTTTTATATAATGATTTTTTATCCTTTGGGTACCTACCCAGTAGTGGGGTTGCTGGGTTGAATGACAGTGCTATTTTTGGTGCTTTGAGATATCTCCATATGTTTTTCCATAGAGGTTGAAGTGATTTGCATTCCCACCAACAGTGTATAAGCATTTTCTTTTCTCCACATTCCTGCCAACATTTATTTTTTTGACTTTTTAATAAAAGCTATTCTGACTGATATAAGATAATGTATCAGTGTGGTTTTATTGATTATTGATGTTGGGCATTTTTTCATGTGTTTGTTGGCTGTGTGTATTTTTTTTTTGATAAGTGTCTGTTCAGGGCCTTTGCCTAGTTTTTAATGTTTTTTTAATAAATTCTGAATATTAGTCCTTTATTAGAGGCATAATTTACAAATATTTTCTCCCATTCTATAGGTTATTTGTTTAGTCTGTTATTTATTATTATTATTCTTATTTTGCTGTGCAAAAACACTTTAGTTTAATTAAATCCCATTTGTCATTTTTTTTGTTGCAATTGCTTTTAGGGTCTCTGTCATAAATTCTTTGCCTCGGCCAATGTCCAGAAGATTTTTTCCTAGGTTTTCTTAGATTATTTTTATAGTTTTAGTTCATACATTTAGGTCTTTAATCTATATTAACTTAATTTTTTATATGGTGAGAGATAGGAGTTCAGTTTCATTCTTCTGCATATAGCTAGTTTTCCCTGCAACATTTATTGAATAGGGTGTTCTTTCCCCATTGTTTATTTTTGTCAACTTTATCAAAGATCAGTTGTGAGTAGATATGTGACTTTATTTCTTGTTTTTCTATTCTGTTCCATTGATGTATCTGTTTATTTTTGTATCAGTACAATGCTGTTTTATTTACTATAGCCTCATAGTAAAATTCGAAGTCAGGCAGTGTGATGCCTCCGGATGTATTCTTTTTGCTTACTTTGGCTATTCAGGCTTTTTCTGGTTTCATATGAACTTGAGGATTTTTTTTTCCAACTCTGAAAAGTGGCATTGGTAATTTTATAAGAATAGTTTAGAATCTGTAGATTGCTTTGGGTAATATGATCATTTTAACAATATTGATTCTTCTGATCCATGAGCTTGGTATGTTTTCCATTTATTTGTGTCATCTACAATTTCTTTCATCAGTGTTTTGTAGTTCTCCTTGCAGAGTGATCTTTCATCTCCTTGGTTAGCTGTATTCCTAGGTATTTTATTATTTTTGTAGTCATTTGTAAATGGTATTGAGTTCTTGATTTGTTTCTCAGCTTGAATGTTATTGTATAAAAATCCTACTGTTTTTGTACATTGATTTTGTATCCTGAGATTTTACTGAATCAGGTCTAGGAGACTTCCAGGAGAGTATTTAGGGTTTTCTAGGTATAGGATTCTGATATATAAAATCCACCAGGAAATATTACCACTGTCTTCAAAATATGTACGAATTCAATCACCCAACACTATTTCCAGTGTTTCTGGTCACGATTATCATTTAGGGTTTTCTAGGTGTATGATTATGTCACCAAAAAGAAATAATTTGATTTCCTTTTTCCAATTTGGATGCCTTTTATTTCTTTCTCCTGCCTGATTTCTCTGGCTAGGACTTCCAGTACCATTTGAATAGGAGTGGTAAAAGCAGACATCCTTGTCTTGTTCCAGTTTTTAGTGGAAATGCTTTCATCCTTTCCCCAGGCAGTATAATGTTGGCTGTGGGTTTGTCATAGATGGCTCTTATTATTATGAGGTATGTTCCATCTATTCCTAGTTTGTTGAGGAGTTTTATCATTAAGAGATGTTGGCTTTTATCAAATGCTTTTTCTGTGTCTATGGAGATTATCATATGGTTTTCGTTCTTAGTTCTGTTCATGTAGTGGATCACATTTATGATTTGTATATGTTCATCCACCCTTGCATCCCTGAATAAAGCCTGCTTCAACATGATGAATTAGCTTTCTGATGTACTATTATTGGATTTGGTTTGCTAATATTTGTAGAGGATTTCTGCATCTATATTCATTAGGGATATTGGCCTATAGTTTTATTTTTTTGTTTTCTCCCATGTTTTAAGTGGATCGTATTGACCGCTTTATTGAAAACAGACTATAAAGAGCAAAGGTGGAAGTAGAGAATCAAATCACAAGGCTACTGTAGAAATCCAGGTAAAATATAGTAGTGACCAGAACCACTGGAAATGGTGCTGGGTGGTTAAATTTGTATATATTTTGAAGATAGTGACAATATTTCCTGATAGATTGGACATGTGGTATGAAAGTAAGCTAATAGTTAAAAAAGACTCCCAGATTTTGGCCTGGGCAACTGGAAAATAGAGTTGCTAATAAAACATGAAATTATATAGGTAGAGCTTTTTGGGGTGCAGGGCTGGTTTGAGGTCAAGGGTTCTTTTTTTTTGCTATTTTGTCTTTTAAAATTTTAAGATATATCTTTTTAAAATAGCAGATACGAGCCTAAACTTTGGGAAAGAATTCGGGTTATAGATCCAAATGTAAAACTTCTTAGATTCATTTGCCTACTTAACAACATAGGTAGTTCTAGCACGAGTTTGGTCAGGACTCATCTATGTTTTATTAAATCTATATATTTATCATATTTATTTATACACGCACACACTCACACATACAGTTATACCTATGGACTTACAGATATATCTGTATGTCTCTTGTCTAACATGGTGCTTTGAAGCACTCCCAATAAGCAAATTGAATGCATGAGTGTAATGAAATAAATGAAACAAACTGAATGATTTCTGGGGCCTTAGCCTTTCTGTCCTTCTAAAAGAGCATGACATGGTCCTCACTTCACAAGATGCTTTGAAGAATAAAAGAGGTATAAATATTATAGATCCATAGGGTACTATTAGACTTGCTTGTGGACATTTATTGATTCTTCTATGCTGAATTATGACCAGATTGCTCTCCTGTATTATTTTAGCATGACTGCCACCACTTACTGACACATTCTTGCCATCATTCCCAAGTCCATATGAGCATTCTGAGAGTTTGAGAGATTAGCATAGCTTCTTCCAAAGGTTTATACCAGAGCATGTCACAGAACTCCATCTATCATGTGGATACACATACGGAAAGGTATATATAAATATATCTATCTTTACTTGATAGCAAACCAAGATTTTCTTCATTCTATTCTCATGACCATGAAATCAAGAACACAAGATGTGCTAGTTATGTTATAATAATAATATTAATAATAATAGCTATCATTTACTGAGGTTTGCTGTATATCTGGCACTGTGCTAAGTTATATCCAATGACTCATTTACAATATTATCATATATATGTGACTGAGATGTATTCAGTCTTGTTTACTGTGTGCTAGTTAGGATGAGAGTTTATCATATGAACTGAACAGGACAATATGCGAGCAACAATAGGCATGCCAAAATACTGTATACATACTCTCTCCAAGGCCTTATTTAAATTTTCACTTCACTTTATAAGGAGAGGTACCACTAGTAATAAGATTACAAAGTATGCTTAATCCTCAGCCCTTACTGAAACAGCAGTGTGAATCTAGACAGAGAAATATTCCCAAAAATAAGAAGAGGAAGCAGAATAAGATATCTAAAAGGATGACATGGGCAAAAAGGCCAGAAAAGAAAATACAATAAAAAAAATCTTAAAAGGAGAAAAAATAAAAACAACTAAAAGGGATGTTTCACTGAAGCCTTCACTATACCCCACGAGGAAGCAAAACCACTACAAGCAAGAGCACTACAATTATTTATTTTTCTTGAAAATATGTGCATCTGAGCATTAAAACCCAGTTAGGTCTCCTCCCCTTTTATCAGTGGCAAAACTCCTCTTCCAGACCAGAACATTAGTGGCTATGGTGGTGGTGGTACATTGGTTGGGGTCAGTAGATAAGGACCCTTCCCTTGGGGATAAGGTGTATTGCATAACTAACATACCTAAGCAGGATTCCGTTGTACAGGACTTGTCAAATAAACCTATTGTAATAGAAAGGCTAACTCAATTTTAAATGTTAAACTGCAGACAATTTCAATCCTCCCCTCTCCCTCTTCTCTTCTTGCCTCACATTTGGGCAAACCAATCAGAAAGCTATATGCTATTTCCTGTGGCACTGGCAAGCAGTTCAAATCACATGGTCCCTGGATTTCATGAGGAAACCATCACATTAGCCCCACCCTTAACCCCAGTAAAAGCCCAGACTGGTCATTTCTCCTTGCTCTATCCAGCCATTTTAGGACATGCTTGGGAGCCTCCCCTGCTTCTCTCAAAAGCCTCATTATGTTATGGATAAATCTATTGATTCATTTTGGTATGTGTGTTGTGCCATCAATCTTGATATTCTAACCCATTTTCAATGAGGATTCATTACTTCTCCAAAGGGTGAACATATCATCTCTGTTCAACCAGGAGCATACCCAAGACTCTCATTTTGTGAGTCACCTTTTCTTTAATTTCAGACAAATTAGGTATTTATGTCATTATGAATATCTCTGATCATCCCCAAACCACTGAACATGATCAGGGCATTACTTTGATTATGTCTAATAACTGTACTCTATCCTAGTAGAAATTATTTTCTACTCTTTGGCCCATGTTAGATTATATTTGGTAATGTTATTAAGGCGTAATCTTTAGGGGGGGCTATAAAATGTGCTAAACAATGAAAAACTGGCAGTGTAATCTGCTCCCAAATATATCCCCTACTTTTAGCAGCTTCTAACATTTCTATAGCTTGCTCCCTAAGAAATATTAACATCATAAGACATTTGTAAAAATCATTTTATTTCATCCATTTTCTTTTCAATCTCCTGAAATGGGAGACAAAAGAGAGATTTCTTGGATGCCTGATTAGAGTTAAATTTTTTGTTCATTTCATTATTTGTTTTTTTGTTTTCCCCAGTAGTTGAAGAATAAGACAACTGCCATGAAAACTGATGTTGTCCCTTCAACATCTCCCAGGCTGAAACAGTCCAGTCTTAAATTTCATGCATTTCAATTCAACATTGCAGATTTCCAAGGAGAAAATGGGATACAGAACAATACTATATAAATCTACCATTCACAGCTGTAAAAAAAAGAAAATCACAGCCACATATGTAACAGTTACCATGTACCACATAATTGATTGAAAAACTTTATAACATGCAAGTGTAAATTATTTCATTAATAAGAGTAATGCTTTGCTAAATTATAAATTTTTCACTATCTGGGAATTGAGAAAAAGAAACCCGAAGTATGTATTCTGCCAAAAGACTCAAACTAACAAAAATAAATTAAGCGAGCTAAAGTCATATATATCTTAAAATATAATTTTAGAATCATTTTGGAAGTTTGCCTATTGCATATATATGAGTATAATAGTTAACAGATATTTTAGGAAGTGAGTCAACTCTGCTTTAGGAAGCACTGGATTTTTTTTTCTTTTTTTATTTCCTCCAAAACCCAGTATAGTTCAATATTTAAAGACAAGTTTATTATTCAAACTCTCCCTCATTTATGACCATATGATATAATAAAAACTTCTTTCCTAGTAATTATCATTTATTATAAACCATTCTAACCACATTTTAAAATTCCATGCCTGTGGCACAATAAAGAAATATATATATTTGGGCTTAGTTCCTGTTTACTGGCACCTAGCTTCTTAAACCCATTGAATCTCCTGAGTGAGGAGTGACTTTCATAGGCTAATGATACGACTTTTTGGCTGAGGTGCTTCTAGATAGCTTTAGGATGGAGTTTCGTTGCCAGAAAGACCGTCTTGATTTGAAGCTTAAAAATTTTAGCCGCATCCTATAACTACCTATAACTACCAATGGCCATTGATGTAATCAATCATGCTTATGTAGTGAAACTGTCGGTGTCTTGTGAATCAGAACAACTGCATTTTGAATAGGAGCTGGGTAAAATGAGGCTGAAACCTATTGTGCTGCATTCCCAGATGGTTAAGCCATTCTAAGTCACAGGATGAGATAGAAGGTCAGCACCAGATACAGGACATAAAGACCTTGCTGATGAAACAGGTTGCAGGGAAGAAGTGGCTGAAACCCACCAAAAGTAAGATGGCCATGAGAGTGACCGCTGGTTGTCCTCACTGCTATACTCCTATCAGTGCCATGACAGTTTACAAATGCCATGGCAACATCAGGAAGTTTCCCTATATGGTCTAAACAGAGGAGGCATGAATAATCCACCCTTTGTTCAGCATATAATCAAGAAATAACCATAAAATGGGCAACCAGCAGCCCTCAGGGCTGCTCTGTCTATGGAGTAGCCATTGTTTTATTCCTTCACTTTCTTAATAAACTTGCTTTCACTTTATGGACTCGCCCTGAATTGTTTCTTGTGCAAGATCCAAGAACCCTCTCTTGGGATCTGCATCAGGGCTCCTTTCCTGTAGCAAAACGTCCAAAAAACAAAAACAAAAACAAAACAAACAAACAAAAAAACACCCTAAACAAGGGTATTTGTAGAACTTCAGAGCTGGCAAACACATCCACATGCCGGGAGTGTGGCACACCCAAACTCCTGTGTTCAGGATCCTTCCAGACCTAGCCCAATGTACCTCTTAATCTGGCTGTATTTGATTGTATTCTTTATAGTAAACCAATGACAGTTAAGTAAAGTGTCTTCCTGAGTTCTGTGAACCATTCTAGAAATGATTGAACCTGAAGGAGGAGGTTGTAGGAATCCTTATCATTACAGCCAGCTCAGACAGAAGTGTGCGTACCCTAGGCTTACGATTCTTGTAACTTGTATCTGTAATGAGGACAATCTTGTGGTATGGATCCCTTAAACTGGTGGAGTCTGACAATTACTCCGGGTAGTTGATGTCACAGTTGAACTGAATTGTGGCACATCCAGTTGGTGGTCCAGAGAATTGAAGAAGTGGTTTTGGTATGGACAAAACCCACACATATGATGTTAGTAATGTTGTGAGTAAAAATAGATTATAGTGCCATTAAAATAGTGTTAATAATTTTGTTAATATATAATTTTCAATCATGTGTAATTATATAAAATATAATTTTATTAATATTTATTGAAGATTTATTATGTTATATCCTTAATATAAGCACTGGGTATAAAATGGCTGCAAAGAAGATGCCTTGAAATCCTGTGGGGAGGCAGACATTTATCAACTGAGCCAAAAAAAAAAAAAAGAAAAAAAAGGAGTAATAGGAATATGTAATCTGGTTGGGTGGTCATAAGTAGAGGTGTCTTGAAAGAAATACTGGTCAGGGTGAGATATTCTCAATGAATAGGCAAAGGGAGGCATCCCAGGTGGAAAAAATAGCATATACAAAATCCTCAAGCAGGACAGGATATGGTATATTTGAAAGAGTGAAAGAACTGTGGGCTGAAGTTTAGAGAGTGAAAGGGAGGGTGGCCTCCCTAGTCTACTTTAGGCAGTGACTGGCTGATTATATTATAAACTGTACCTTTACCCCCTTAAACAATTGGAAATTATAAAATGGCTTTATTGAGGAAAATGTCATAACCAAATTCATAAAATAATTTCATAAACATTATTCTTCTTTCAGGATGCAAATACTTATAAATAACAGGAAACCTAAATAAAGTTGGCTTACATCATTGAAAGTGCAGATATAGAGTGAGCTTCTGGAATTATCTAATTCAGTGCCTAAATGGTCACTAAAGAATCCCATTTCTTTTCTTCACTATATGGTTCACTTTTGTATAAGGCTCCTTTCTTTCATGATAACCAAATGACTACAGCACTTCAAGGCTTCATATCACATGTACCATCAGCCAAAAGAGAAGAGGGAGTTATTCTTACAGAATATTAAATAAGATATCTGAAATTCGTCTTAATGATTTGGTATATATCATATATCTACCTCAGAAATAGCCACTGAAGTTAAAGGAATGAAATCTAATGTCTTAAGTAAAAAAGTCCAGCCCTATAGGTCATGCTGGGATCAGTTTCTTCTGAAGTGCATTAACTGGTGGAGGAGAGATGGATATGATGTAGGAATAGTGCTGTATGGTAACAGGACGATGGAAAAACCCAAATGACAGTTGAAACAAGAACTAGACAAAGAAACCATAGGATAACAGAAAGCCCAACATAAGGGAGAGAAAATGGCCAAAATCCCGATCAGGGTGACATGTCCATGACTCAGGCAAACCCAAAGAAGGGGAAAAGGGGTCAGCAACTGAGGGTCCTTGAAATCCCCTCCTTTTCTAGAATATCTAATGACTATTCCACCCCCTAATTAAAGAAACACCTATAAAATAGGAATGCTGGGTGGTCACAGGAGAAGTGGGAAACATATCAGCAGTAATTTCACATAACAGCAAGAAAGGAGTTGTTAACATTAGCTACAAGGACGACGATGAGTTCTGGGCTGATATGATCCTAACAAAACAGGGTGGGGCCTAAGCTAGTTGAAACTGGCTGGGTCCAACATAGTGTTGGGTTTGACCCATGCCATATCACAGACTTAATTATGTGCTTATTACCATACTAAATCACACATCCACCAGTATCATGACAGATCCGAGCATGCCTATATTGAGTATAAGAATTAGTGGCATCTCAATTGTAAGAAATCTCCACCTTTTCCCTAGAAAACCTCATGATTATTCCACTCCCTAATTAGAAGAGCCCATAAAATTAGAAACCCAAACTCCATTGTGCATGACTTACTCTCCCAAATACACCTGCATTCCCACTCTTGAGTGTGTACTTTCAGTTTGCAATAAACGCTTCTTGCCTTTTGCTTCATTCTAACTTGTCTCTGAATGCTTTCTTGGGGCAGTTTCAAGAACCTGGAACACCACGCTGGGGTTAGTGATCTCACCAGTACCTGGAGACGCACCTAAGCCCTCTGGCAACATATACATGAAACAAAATCCCTAAGTTAGTAACAAGGAAGGAGATAATGGATGCTGAATAACATACCAAACTACATGTCAGTGCATTTGATAATCACAACACTCTGAGCTGGTGTTTAAGTAAACTAGTAATAGTAATTTTAAAAACCTACTCACTTAGTTAAAATGCTTTATTTTTAGCATTTTCCTTACTTAGTATTCCTAAAATATAACATTGAATTCCCTGAATTCCCTAGCAACAGAGAATCATATCTTTAGTATTAAATAAGTAATGAAAATTGGAATTTATAAAGCTTACGGGTTATTTCTTTTAAACAACTTTGTATGACATAAGTGACACATTGCTGATTAAAGGAGTTTTTGATTTTGGCAAAGGTGTTGCCCTGTTAAAGCTTAAATATAAGTCTAACATTAGAAGAGAGACATGAAGTTCAAAAATAAATTATTCAAGAATGATAAAAATATATTATAAGAAAATATAACTACAGGGTATATAATGGACTTAGACACAAAGATTACAAACAACATGTCAGGAAGTCCAATCTAGCAATGTATAAAGGTGTAATACATCCTGACAAGTGGGTTTATATAGGAAATGTAGAGTTGATTCAACATGTGAAAAACAATATAATTAAACATACAAAAAAGGAAAAAATAATAATTTCATTAAATGCAGAAAATGTCAATATCAACGTATTATAAATTCCTTCACCTGATAAAGGCTATCTATTAAAAACAAAGCTTATAGCTCACATTATAGATAACAGTGAAACCCTTTCTCCCAAAAATAGTAAACAAGGAAAGAATATTCAATCGCTCCACTCCTATTCAACATTATCCTGGAGGCTCTGGACTGTACAATAAAATACGAAAAAGGAGTAAAAGGCATACATTTGGAAAGGAAGATATAAACTGTTTCTATGCACAGGCAAAATAATTGTCTGCATAGAGAAATCCAAAGATACAAAAATTAGTTACTACAAATATTGTGAGCTTAATGAAGTCAATATATTTAAGATATATATATGACAATCAATTATATTTCTACATAATAGCAATGAACAACTGGAAATTAAAATTGAAAAAGCAATAATATTTATAATAGTACGGAAAAACATGAAATAAGTATACATAGCACCAAAAATGTAAACATCTCTATGCTGAAAACTACAAAATATTCATGAAAGAAATCCAAAAGATTGAAATTAATGGAGAGATTTGTAAGTTCAAAGATAGGAAGACTCACCATTCTCGAGAAGTTGTTAAGAAACTAAATTTTTGTACAAATTTAATG
Source organism: Homo sapiens (assembly GCF_000001405.40). NCBI lineage: Eukaryota > Metazoa > Chordata > Mammalia > Primates > Hominidae > Homo > Homo sapiens. The sequence goes on along the minus strand of NC_000014.9, from coordinate 46,804,898 downwards.
CATTACAATCAAAATTTTAGGGGGACTTCTTTTGTAAAAATTTACAAGCTGATTCTAAAATTTACATGAAAAATAAAAAACTATAATAGTCAAGACAATTTTGAAAAAGAAAAAAATGAGAGCACACACTACTTCAAAACAGTGTTAATCAAGACAGTGTAGTATTGGTAAAAGTATGGATACATAAATATGTGTGACAGAATAGAGTAACCTACTATAAACCCACACATATAAAGTCAACTGAGTTTTGACAAATATGCCAAGATAATTTAATAAAGAAAAGACAAATCTTTGCAATATACAGTGCTAGCTTCTGGTGATAAACTATTTATAATCCTATCATATGCAAAATACATTCATTTCTTTCCAAGTTTCCAAAGTCTTATCCCATTATATAACTAGCAAAAAGTTCCTTATCTTGCCATTTATATCAGTTCCATATGGAGAAGCTGCTGCCTCACTTTAGTTTCTTAGATACAGTTACTGAAGTATGACCTAAGGTATAAACAGACGTGATGCCCACCCACTCTCCACACACAGTAGTGGGACAGATATACAATAACTATTATAGACATTCCTGTTCACAAAGGGAAAAATGGAAATAACAAAATCATTAATTCATGCTCATTTTGAAAGTCATCCAAACAAGTGTTAGAAGGTCCTTGATTATAACTCATGATAGTCTTTCTAAGAAATAATGCTTCCTGACAATTGTCTTTGCCTTCTGGGGCTTTTTATTATGCTTTTTGGGCTCTTGGTTTCTCCCTCTCAATCATCCTTCTTTTCTGTAAAAGTAACCCATGTTTGCTGGTGCATAATTTACTTAGGCTGCTTCCTGCTGGTCAAATTTTGGGAATCCAAAAACTTTTCGCTTTTTACCACCTTCATGTCTTAATTGTAAATTCACAGTGTTTAGTGAATGTAATTGTTTTCAAATTTCGTAGGTCCCAGATGAATAATACTGGGGTTCACTTCATTCTCAAAACTTATACTCACAAATTTCTTCAAGATAAGTCTTCTCTACATAGGACTTCTACTGTGACAGCAAGGACAGTGCCTTTAAGCTTCTTAGAAAACCTATCATTTGTTTGAAAGGATCCATGAGATGATTAATTAAATTCTTGAATGGATCTTTTGTTTGAGGCAAGACCATTGATATGTCTGAGATCCTAACAACACATTTTACATTCATGCCTTTGGTTTCATATTTAGACAATGATTTTCTTACAGTGAACTGTATTTGACCATTTCTTGGAAGCCATTGCTTGATTTTTAACATGTTTTGCTTTTTGGGAAGTCTGATAATTTTCAATGCTATTAAACCTCTAATTATTATTGTTTTAGAGCATTTCCATTGTTTATCTCTTTCCTCTCACATTTTACTGTAAGCAGTAAGAAGCCACCAGAAAGCACGTTCAACACTGAGAGTGGGAATGTCCTTAGCTAGGTAATCCAGTTCATTAGGAGTGTTTTTTATGTTAAATATTATTAGAGAGGACAGTATTTCTAACTCCCACCATGTAACAAGTATCCAGTCTCCTCCAATTTAAAATTTTTCCCACTTTCCTTTAAGTCCTCACTTATAGCCTCCCAAAAGTCCATGGTGCTTCTACAGACACTTTATTCTAGGCTTTTTCAGCTTTTATAAACCCTCTCAAATGTTCCCAGCTTCTTCCCAATGTTCAGTTTAATAGTCATTGTCACAGTATAGAGTTATTTTGTGGCAGTTCCTCACTTTTAGGCATAAAAATGTGTATTAGTAATCTATTGCTGTATAACATGTTATTCATGTTATACTATATCAATATCAATTATAAATTCCTAAATATATTATAAATTCCCAATATATTATAAATTCCTAAATAAAAACTAGCAGCTTTAATAACTGAATATTATATCATTGTTTCTGTGAGTAGGAATTCAGAAGAAGCTTACTGGATAGTTCTGAATCAGAGTCTCTCATGCGGTTATAGTCATTTGTTGGACAGGGCTGCTGTCATCTAATGGCTTATCTGGACTAAAGAATGTGTTTAAAGGTAACTCACTCACATGACTGTTGGCAGGATGCCTCAGTTCCTCAATTCTTGTTGGCAAAAGGCGTTAGTTTTTTAACAGGTAGGACTATTTTTACAACATGGCAGCTAATTTCTTCTCAAATGTGAATGACTGAGAAGAAAGCTATGGTACCTCTTATGACCTACTCTCCAAAGTCACACTCCATCATTGTCACTTTATTCTTTAGAACCAAGTCATAAGTCCATTTCACATTCAAGAGCATCAATACAAGGCTCCATATATTAAAAAAGGAATATCAATGAATTTGTGGTTATATTTGAAAACCACCACACAGCCCTCTTGTGGAGACTTCAGTTGCTTTAATTATACACATATTAGTCTGCTTGAAGTTGCCCACAGCTCAATGATAGTCTATTCGTTTTTTCTATGCATTTCCTTTTGGATACTTTCTATTGCTATGTCTTTAAATTTGTTACTTTTTTTCTGCAAAACATAACCTTCTATTAGTTCCATCAAGTGTATTGTTTAATCTTAAATATAGTTTCATCTCTAGAAGTTGATTTGTGTCTTTTTGATTCTTCTATGTCTCCATTTATGATATGGTTTGGCTGTGTCCCCACCCAAATCTTATCTTGAATTCCCACATGTTGTGAGAGGGATCTGGAGGGAGGCAGTTGAATTATGGGTGCAGGTCTTTCCCATGCTGTTCTCATGATAGCTAATAAGTCTCATGAGATCTGATGGTATCATAAGGGGAAATTTCCCTGCCCAATCTCTCTCTTTGCCTGCTACCATCCATTTAAGAGGTGACTTGCTCCTCCTTGCCTCCTGTCATGATTGTGAGGCTTCCCCTGCCATGTGGAACTGTAAGTCCAATTAAACTTCTTTCTTTTGTAAATTGCCCAGTCTCGAGTATGTCTTTATCAGCAGCATGAAAACGGGCTAATACAACTTAACATCTTCAATCTTTCTCTAGGTTCTTGAACATATGGAATATAGTTACAGTCACTGTTCTAATGTCTTTTTCTATTCCTTTGATCATAATTCTATTAATTTGTCATTTGTGGGTCAGTTATATCTGATAGATTGTTCTCTTTATTATTAGATAACAGCTTATAATACCTCTCCATCATGGGTAGTAATTGATTCCTATAAATTGCTTTCTGAGATGTTTTTATAAGTGATTTCATTTTGGAGCGTATTGATTGCTGAGGAAATGAATTACAGCTGTCAGCACTAGTTATTTAGCTGACTTCTTCACACCTTTTAGTAAACTGATGCCATAAATTTTGTTACTATGAAAGTAAAAAAAAAATTTTATCACAAAAAAATGAGGGTAATGATAAGAAAAGAGTGACTCTTAAGAAGATGAAATAGGAAAATTGTTATTTTTTCTCTCCTGGGAGCAATTCCAAAAGTAATAATGGTTTGCAAATTGATCAGTTCTATGTTGCTCGTGTGGAAGAGTATTGCATAAAATTAAGCACTAGACAAGTGTTCTTCATATCAGTATCGTTCCACAGCAAATGTCATTAGTACAAAATAGAATAAATGGGACACAGCATAAACAAAACCCTCTGATTCTATGACACCATGATTTGGCCAATCATGAAAAAATATTTATATTCTTTTAAAGTAAAGCAGAGCTAGAGAAAGAAAAGCAAAAGTTTCTTTGAAAGAGGAGCCAGCCTGAAGTTGTTATAAATTAAAACTTCACCATATTTTAGAAATAAAGCTATTGTAGCATGAGAAAATTGACTATTCTTGAACTTCCCTCAAAATCTTGAAACAGAGTATGGGGACAACCAAGCTTATTTACTATTTTAAAAACATGTTGGTAGAACAGAAGTGAATACCCTTTAAAATAAATAAATAAATAAATAAATAAATAAATACATTCTAGGCTGTCAGAAGTATAGCATTGACAATATATAGCATATAATATAGTTAACACAGATGTTAAAACTAGCCAACAAGGAATTTGAAGCCAATTATAAATGAAGTTGATGATTTAATTAAAAAAAGATGAATATGATGAGTTAGGAGATAGGAATCTCAGCAGAGAAATGAAATAATGTAAAAAAGAACCGACTAGAAATTATAGAATAAAATTATTATCTATAAAATAAAGAATTAGTGAATATGCTTAACAGTAGATTAGGCACTACAGAAGAAATGATAAATATATAAAAATTATCTTAATTGAAGCACATAGAGAAAGAGTCTGTGTGCAGACAGTTATTCTAAATTGTTCTAAACATGTTTAGATTTTATAATTACTTTCTTCTTTTCCATGTTTTTCACATATATACACATGTAAGACCAATTCTTTAAAAAATAGATTATATCAAAGAAACTAATAGATTTTTAATGGAAGAGAAGAAGAAAACTAAAGAAGATAAAAATTGAGGAAGAAGAATATTTGAAGAAATAAGGTCCCAATATCAATTTTTATCAAGAATATCAACTCATATGTCCATGGAGCTCAGCAAATTTAAAGCATGATAAACCCCCCAAAATTATAACTAGGTACATAGTAGTCAAATGTTGAAAACTGAAGTAAAAAGGCAAACCTTAAAGTCAGCCAAAAAGATATATGATACATTTAAAAGAGATAAAACTTTAAAAATCTTGCTTATCACAATGATGCAATTAAGGCAAATATGAAAAGCTATTCTTAGAATGTTCAAAGGGAAAAATAAACTGTCAAAGGAAAATTCTACATCCAGCAAAAAGATACATCATTGGTAAAGATATAATAGTTTCACTCTGTTTAGGACATGGAAAGACCCAAGTGAATGTCATTATTCCAGTAGCAGTAAGAAAATAGCTAAACAACATACAGAACTGTGTTGTTTGTTTTAAGGTAATCAGAGATATGAAGTCATATAGCAATAAGTATTTTGAATTCCAAAGGGTGACAAATTTCTCTTGGAAAACATGGAACACGGGAACTGTTTCACCTTTGGCAAAGTACTGGAAGAAAAAATGAGGATAATAAAATCATGTAAGAAAAAACAACAATTTTAACACATTCTTAAAGAGCAGGCCTGGGTGTGGCAACTCAATCCTGTAATCCCAGCACTTTGGGAGGCTGAGCGGGGAGGATTGCTTGAGCCAACAAGTTCAAGACCAGCGTGGGCAGCACGGCAAAACCCTGTCTCTACAAAAAATGCAAAAAATTAGCCAGGCATGGTGGTACATGCCTGTAACACCAGCTACTTTGGAGGCTGAGGAGGATTACCTGAGTCTGGGAGGTCAGTGTTGCAATGAGCCTAGATCTTGCCACTGCACTTCAGCTTGGGCAACAGAGCAAGACTGTGTCTCAAAGGAAAAAAAAAAAGGAAAAATTAAAAGAGCAAAAATAAGGTAGCATGGCAATTTAGAGAACTGTGAGTGTTTTGTAACAAGATTATTTCACACACACCCTCAAGATCTTTTCCATGGGTCATCACTAGATGCTCTTGAGAAAGATTGGGAACTGAGCATGGAACAGGAGAGGGATATTCCTGTTGCAGGCAAAATTATGCAGTGGGTGATTTACTGCTTTGGGGTTTGGCCTAGAAATCTCACACAGTTTTCCAGAGTATTCTCGCCTATGAAGCAAATATTAGCCACTAGAAGAGAGGCAGAAAACCTCCATAATCCCAGGTTTATGCAAAATCCATCACCTAAAGAAACTCCTTTAACATTCTTAAATTCTAGACCTATTTCTGATAAATTATCTCAATTTTTGTTTACTTAAAAAGACTTCTTAGGCTAGACTTTAAAGAGCAACACAGCATCTCTCCTCCTTTCTCTCAGTAGTATTGTCCTGGGAACCCAGTCACTGCTGTGGAAAAGTCTAGATCACATGGAGAGATTTCCAGCATCATTTGCCTTACATATGGATGAGGATGACTTTGCAATGATTCCAGTCCTGGCCATTATCTGACTGTAACCTTATATGGGATTGTGAGCAAAACCCACCCATCTGAGCCTAGTCAGCCCCCTGAGCCATATGACCTAAAAATAAAAATAACTTGTTTGTTATTATAGCAACCCTGAGTTTAGGATGGTTTGTTAGGCAGCAATAGGTAACTAGAAAACTTATCTAGTGTGGTTTATTCCAAAAATGTATGCTGGGTTAGCATTTAACAATCAATCTTATTCACCACATTAATAGAATAAAGAGCTAAATTCATCATCATCTCAGTAGATACAGTAGTCGAAAATACAAACATATACCTAAAGCAAGAGACATAAGAAGACTTCCATGTCTTCTTATTAATGTTAAATGTTTCCTGGGAGAAAAGCAGTATTTTATCCAGATCAGAGTTGCGAGCATGCAGTCCTATTGATACAAAAGTAAATGCTTCTCATTTTTTCAAGAAATACAGTTAAAGAGAATACAGACAAATATAGAAATAAGAATTAGAGGGTGAGACCTGAATGCATTTTAATCTGAAGTTCTCATAACCATTATCTTTCCCTTAATTTTCTTATGTGCAACAATATACTATTTCTATAATTTTGTTTCTCATCAAAGACATCTCAGGTCAAGTCTTTGCACTTGCAAACAAAACTCATTCTTTCCTATGAGCCTCTTCTAATTTTAATCTTATGTTTTAATAATGAATCTACTGAAAATAGGGACCGAGTAGGAAACTGGAAAAAGGACAAGTAACAATCATCATGACAGTGTAAAGTAGTATTGTTACATAACCAAAAGATAATATTAGACGTGTAGACAAAATATACACAAAACTAAGGAAACACAACTTATAGTTGTTTTGTTTTGTTTTAGGGTTTTTGTTGTTGTTGTCGTCATTTTGTCTCTGAGTTGAAAGAAGCCAAACTAAAGAAAGTGCTGGGCCCTGAAAAGATAGCATCTTTAAGGTTGTTCTTCTTGAAACTGAAAAAAAGAAAAAAAAATATGTAGGAATGTTAGACATATTACAGCACATTTCTAAAATAAACATAACCTTTATTTTTTCTCCCAAAGATCAGCAAACACAGATTAAAGAATAATAAATTTGTGATGGCAATAATAAAGCAAGAGAATGATGAACAAAACAAAGGGGAAGAAAAAGTGCCAATACTTCAAGAGTCTCGAAAAAATGTTGCAGTAAAACTTAGTATTAGAAGGAAAGTAACAAGTGCAGAGGTTAGAGACCTCAAATGGCACATTCCTTAAGATATACACTCAAGAAGGAAAGTTGAGGAAGGCCATCTCAAGTCTGAGGGAACTCCAATGGATTAATCTTAATTGCTGTGTATTAAAGCATGGACTTTTATTTTTGTTTTTGCTTTTTACAGTGTTTCTAAATTTTCAATTGTCTGCTTTCCTTAATTTTAAATAGACTCATACTTTGTTAACTTTAATGAATTTATTTTTAAAAAATGCTTTATTAATCTAAACACTTCTGAAGTTTTTTGACACTTCTGAAAGCAAAAGTGAATAGTACTCTTAATACTTATTCATACCTTTATCTCATATTTGTCATATTGTTTTATAATTTATTTTACATGATTTTAGTGTGTCTGACTGTGACACACTATGAGCCAGGAATTTGTCTCTTTCCCTTTCTCCTTTGTTTAAATCATTGCAACTCTAATGCCTATTACTTCTAACAGAATTAATAAATAAATTACTTCTAATAGAAATAAACAAAAGCAATGACTGCATATCCTTGCAATGGATTGTTAGATCATGTATTATAGATACTTCTAGGAATAATCTGATTCAAAAATAATGTGAATTATGATAAATTTCAACATCCCTTCATGTTAAAAACTCTCAATAAACTAGGTATTCAAGGACTATACCTCAAAATAATAACAGCCTTCTATGACAAACTCACAACCAACATAATATTGAATGAGAGAAACCTGGAGGCATTCCCCTTGAAAATGGGCACAAGACAAGGCTGTCCTCTTTCACAACTTCTATTTAACATAGTATTGAAATCCTAGCCAGAGCAATCAGGCAAGAGAAAGAAATAAACGGCATCCAAATAGGAAGAGAGGAAGTCAAACTCTCTCTGTTTGCAGATGACATAATTCTATATAGAGAAAACACCATAATCTTGGACCAAAATCTCCTTCAGCTGATAAAAACTTCAGCAAAATTGCAAGATACAAAATCAATGTACAAAAATTACTAGCATTCCTATATACCACAACAGCAAAATGAAGAGCCAAATCAGAAAGGCAATCTCATTCACAATTGCCACAAAAAGAATAAAATACCTGGGAATACAGCTAACCAGAAAAGTGAAAGATCTCTAAAATGAGAATTGCCAAACCCTGCTCAAAGAAATCAGAGAAGACACAAACAAATAGAAAAACATCCCATGCTCGTGGATAGGAAGAATCAGTATCATTAAAATGGCTATACTGCCCAAGGCAACTTACAGACTCAATGCTATGCCTATCGAGCTGTTAATTATATTCTTCACAGAACTAGAAAAAACTATTTTAAAATTCATATGGGACCAAAAAAACAAAAAGAGCCCAAATAGCCAAGGCAATCCTAAGCAAAAAAAACAAAGCTGGAAGCATAACGTTACCTAACTTCAACTACACTACAAGGCTAAAGTAACCAAAACAGCATGGTACTTGTACAAAAACGGGCACATATACCAATGGAACAGAATAGAGAGCCCAGAAATAAGGTTGCACATCTGAGACTATCTGATCTTTGGCAAAGGTGACAACAGCAAGCAATGAGGAAAAGACTCTCTATTCAATAAATGATGCTGGGATAACTGGCTGGACATATGCTGAAGATTGAAGCTGGACCCTTTCCTTACACCACACATAAAAACTAACTCAAAATGGATTAAAGACTTAAATGTAAAATCCAAAACTATAAAAACCCTGAGAGACAACCTAAGGAATACCATTCTGGATATAGGAACAGGCAAAGATTTCGTGATGAAGACACCAAAGGCAATTGCGACAAAAGCAAAAATTGCCAAGTGGGATCTAATTAAACTTAAGAGCTTCTACACAGCAAAATAAACTATTAACAGAGGAAACAGACAACCTAGATAACGGGAGGAAATTTTTGCAAACTATGCATCTGACGGAGGTCTAATGTCCAGCATCAATAAGGAACATAAATTTACAAGAAAAAAACAACCCCATTAAAAAGTGGGCAAAGGACCTAAACAGACACTTCTCAAAAGACAACATATGTGTGGCCAACAATAATATGAACAAAAAAGCTCAATGTCACTCATCATTAGAAAAATGCAACTCAAAATCACAATGGGAGATCATGTCACACTAGTCAGAATGGCTATTAGTAAAAAGTCAAAAAATAGCAGATGCTGGTGAGGCTGTGGAGAAAAAGGAACCCATATACACCGTTAGTAGGAGTGTAAATTAGTTCAACCATTGTGAAAGGCAGTATGGAGATTCTTCAAAGAGCTGAAAGCAGAATTATCCTTCAGCCCAGCAATCCAATTACTGGGTATATACCCAGAGGAATACAAATCATTCTACCATAAAGATACATGAATGCAAATGTTCACTGAAGCACTATTCACAATAGCAAAGACATGGAATCAGCCTAAATACCCATCAATGAGAGATTGCATAAAGAAAATGTGATACATATATACCATGGAATAGTATGCAGCTGTAAAAAAGAATGAGATCATGTCTTTTGCAGGAACATGGATGGAGCTAGAGGCTATTATCCTTAGCAAACTAATGCAGGAACAGAAAACCTCATGTACTCACTCATGTACTCACTTACAAGGAGGACCTAAATGATCGGAACTTATGAACACAAAGAAGGAAACGACACACTGGGTTCTACATGAGGGCAGAGGGTGGGAGGAGGGAGAGGAGCAGAAAAGATAAATATTTGGTACTGGGCTTAATACCTGGGTGATGAAGTGATATGTACAATTAACCCCCGTGACACGTGTTTACCTATGTGACAAACCTTCACATGTACTCCCCAGTCTAAAATCGAAGTCAACAAAAAGAATGTGTATCTTTTGTTATTTTGACCAGGCTATTTTACATTCCTGAGTGATAAAACAACTTAGTTTGTTGTAGAAAATTGATGGGAGTGCAAATGCTTCTTGTGTTTATTAATGCAAGTATATAATGTCCAATGTCCAATAGATAATATGTATATATAATACAGGCATACCTAATTTTACTGTGCTTCACTGATGTATTTTTTACAAATTGAAGATTTTGGGCAACTTGTGTTGAGCAAGTCTAGTGGCACCATTTTTCCAATAGCATATGCTGACTTCATCTGTCTATTACATTTTGGGAATTCTCAAAATATTTCCAACTTTTTCATTATTTTGATATTTGTTATGATGATCTGTGATCAGTGATTTTTTATGTTATTATTGTAATTGTCTTGGAGCACCATAGGCTGCACTCATAAGATAGCAAAATTAATTGACAAGTGTAATGTTAGTGTTCTGACTGCTCCACCAACCAGCAGTTCCTCTCTCTGTCTCCCTCTGTCTCTCTCTCTGTCTCTCTCTCTCTCTTTCTCTCTCTCCTGGCCTGCCTATTCTCTGAGACACAGCAATATTGAAATAGACCAATTAATAGTCCTACAGTGACTTCTAAGTGTCCAAGTGAAAGGAAGAGTCTCATATCTCTCATGTTAAATCTAAAGCTAGAAATGATTAAGCTTAGTAAGGAAGGCATGTCGAGAGCTGAGCGGCCAAAAGCTGGGCCTCTTGCACCAAACAGCCAAATTTTTAATGCAAAGTTGAAGTTCTTGAAGGAAATTAAAAGTACTACTCCAGTGAACATACAAATGATAAGAAAGCAAAACACCCTTATTGCTAATATGGAGAAAGTTTAGTAGTTTGGATAAAAGACCAAATCAGCAACAACATTCTTGTAAGCCTAATATAGAACAAGGACCTAACTCTCTTCAATTCTATGAAAGCTGAGAGAGGTGGGGAAATTGCAGGAGAAAAATGTGAGGTTAACACATGTTGGCTCATGAGGTTTAAGGAAAGAAGCCATCTCTATAACATAAAAAGTGCAAGGCAAAGCAGCAAGTGCTGATGTAGAAGAAAGTGACCCAGAAGATCTAGTTAAGGTCGTTAATGAGGGTGTCATTAAAACAATAGATTTTCAACGTAGATGAAACAGCCTTCTATTGAAAAAAAATATGCCACCTTGGACTTTCAAAGTAGAAGAGAAATCGATGCCTGGCTTCACAACGTCAGAGGGCAGGCTGACTCTCTTTTCAGGACCTAATGCAGCTGGTGACTTTAAGTTGAAACGAATGCATGTTTACCATTCTGAAGAGCATAGGGCCCTTAAGAATTATGCTAAATCTACTCTTCCTATGCTCTATAAATTAAACAACAAAGTCTGGGTGACAGTAAATTTGTTTGTAATATGGTTTACTGAGTATTTTATGCCTACTATTGACAGCCATTGCTCAGAAAAAAGATTTCTTTCAAAATATTACTGCTCATTGACAATGCACCTGGTTACCCCAGAGCTCTAATGGAGATGTACAAAGAGATTAATGTTGTGTTCATGCCTGCTAACAAAATATCCATTCTTTAGCCCATGGATCAAGACTTGACTTTCAAGCCTTATTATCTATGAAATACATTTCATACAGTATTGCTGCAATAAATAGTGATACCTTAATAAATCTGGGCAAAGTACATTAAAAACTTTCTGGAAAGGATTTATTATTCTAGATGCCATTAAGAACATTCATGATTCATGGGACAAGGTCAAAATATCAACATTAACAAGAGTTTGAAAGAAATTGATTCCAAACCTCATGGATGATATTTTAGGGATTTAAGACTTCAGTGGAGGAAATAATTGCAGATGTGATCGAGCAAGGGAGTAGAATTAGAATAGGAGCCCAAAGATGTGACTAAATTGTTATAATCTGATGATAAAATTTTAACTGATGCGGAGTTTTTTTTTTAATGGATGAGGAATGAAAGTGGTTTCTTGAGACACAATGTATTTATTGAATATTCAAAATCTGTTGTTGTCATTTCAGTAACATTCACAACCTGGTGAAGTTGTCAATGTTGTTGGAATGACAACAAAAGATTTAGAATATTTAATCAATTTTGTTGATAAAGCAGTGGCTGAATTTGAGAGGACTGACTCCAATTTTGAAAGAAGTTCTACTGTGGATGAAATGTTATTGAAGAACATCGCATACTACAAAGAAATTTTTCATGAAAGGAAGAGTCCTTTGATGGAGCAAAAACTTCATTGCTGTCGAATTTTTAAAAATTGCCACAGCCACCCCAGCCTTCAGCAACCACCACCCTAATCAGTTCGTAGCCATCAACATTGAAGAAAGATCCTTCTCCAGTAAAAATATTACAGCTCTCTGAAGGCTCAGATGATCATTAGTTTTTTTAGCAGCAAAATATTTTTTAGTTTAGTTATGTACATATTTTTAGACATAATGCTATTGCACATTTAATAGACTAGAGTATATTGTAAACATAACTTTTATGTGCCTTGGAAAACAAAAAAAAATTGGTTTTAGTGAATGAAGCAATCACCTTATTTCTATACTCACTTTCTTGTGGTGGTCTGGAATACAACCTGCAATATCACCAAGGTGTGCAAGCATATATTGTATATGTCCAATTTTTATTTGAGTCAAAACTGGTTCCCTCAATAAGTATGTATACAATCTTTGACATGCATTAATTTTATATCTGTATTAGAATGGTGCTTTTACTTTTTTAAAAAGCATATTTTATCAACTCATATACATCACAAGGAAGAGCATTCTCTGTGAAGGCCATTAACTTCAAACAGAGGCAAAGGGGGTTTCTTATTAAGGGAAAGTCCAACATATTTTATCAGAAAAAGTGATTGTTCTGTTAGTCAAGTCTGTCTTTGACAACTGAGGATTGGTTGGCTGCCAGGGAGTACTATGTTGGCTGATTGCTGATCTATGAACTAATTTAAGGAGTTATTTCTCTTTCTGTACACTTTAGGGTGGCTAAATCAAATTGGCACAGTGAATCAAACCAAGATGGAGTACAGTAAGGTGGTCAAATATTTTTTCTCATAACTCTTTCTAGTAAGAGTTCTCATAATACAACTCATCTACCATTGTGAAAAACTGTTGTGGGAGAAAAAATGTAGTTTGAACAACTGAAATTTTGAAATTTCAGCATAAACAGTATACAAGGATAAATAATTCGATAAGTACTTTATACTTTTGTATTGAACTATAAGGAGTTTAGGAATCTGGAGGAAAATCAGCATTTGTGTTCTTTGGCAAAGTTTTTTGCAAAAGATAGACTTTAATTGAATCTATAAAAGTAAAATAGACAAAAGAAAACGGGAAAGCATTTTATAAAAAGAAACATCAATAGGGGTATGAAAGCAGAGGATGCAGCTGGTTTGGAATAGCAGAAGCAAGAGCTAGGAGCCTGGGAAGAAGGGAAACACTGAGGAGTAGAAAATGGGTGGTGGCGAGGCAAAGGAAAGGAGCTAAGCATGCGGGTATCAGGCAAAGGAGAAAAGGAGATGTTGGGGGAAGAAACCTGGACTGATGGCTGGGATATCAACAGTTAGAAATCCCAAGAGGCTTTCTGTAAAAAGCAGGGCAGAGATTTTTTTTTAATGAAAAATCTCTGGAGACATTTAAAAGTAGAGTCACAAAATGAACGAGGCATAGTAGAAGGGAATGCTAAACAGCTCTAGGTAAACAACAACCATAACAACAATCTGAAAACAAGGTTGTTATATATATATATATATACACACACACACACATATATACACATATATGCACACACATATATATATATACATACACACACATATACTTGTGTGTGTGTGTATAATTTGAAATACATAATACACTTTTCAGAATAGGGAGAATATATACTTAACGGGCATATGGTTTTGAATTCCAAACATTGTTAAGACAGATGATTATATCTGTGAATAAATTTTCAAGTTAAATTAAGTCATTTCTTTAAAAATTTTAAGATAATTATAAAAGAGACATGCTACTTTTCATCTAATTATGTTGTTAAAGTTGATGTAATTTTTCTATTAAATTATTTTAGAAAGTGTATGTATACGACCCTTTCTCATTCAAAATATCAGAATAATATATTTTGTTTATCTCTTAATGTTTTAGATATGCACATGTTTGTATAGAGTAATTAAATATATTAATCTGAAAGCAAAGGGTCCAAAAACATGAAGGAAAATTAAAAATTTTTTGAATTAATATCTGGGTGAAAAAATGCTGGCTTCAAAGGTTTCTTTGATGTTCAAATATTATATTTGCATCCATGAACACAAGCCAGTGCTTCTAAAAGCTGTTAACCAAGCTTTTCTGTTTGTGATTGCCTCTCTCTATTTCTCATTAAAATAGCCATGCAAGTGTCAAAAAAGTTAAGTGGCAAACAGATAAACAAACTGTGGAAGTCCTTTTTTCAAATAAAGATATCTGTTATAATTCTACAAATGCACGCTTGAAGCAGGATTGAGAAAGAGCCATAGCACCTGTAGTACATGTGAGTCTCTGGATTGGTAGGAGGACATTGACTGCACTCTAGGGACAAAACTGACAAAGTCCTGATCTCTTACCACATTCTCTGGAAGTATCTATTAGGTGGCTGTGTGATGGTCAGGAAAATAAAGACATTAGGATGATTATAACTTTTCCTTTGTACCCTTCTCCCATGCCACTTAGGTTTGGATATCAAACGATGGTGAGATTGGAGGACAAAACAGGCAGAGGTTACACATAGCTGTGATGCATATATTTGAATCCACTATTCAAACCCCAAAGTGGTATTTAGTTTATTACAACTTCATACTTTTCCCCAGACCACAGACATGAGACACTGGCCTTGAAGGCTTCAGATTCAACATTATCAGCCTTTGGCACATCTGTTTTCCAAAATAAAGAAATCTCTTTTAAGTGTACTGACAAAAAGCATCATTAGTCCTTGAATGAAATGGACCTGCTGTCAGTTATTAAGAAACAATAAGGTAAATTGCATGAATCAATATTTACAGAATACAAGATGTGTGGTTGCAGGATCTTAATTTAAAGTCTTTCATTTGTTAGCTACAAAACCGGCCTAGGAAATTTACTTAGAATATCTGTCCTTCAGTTTCATCAATTGAAGGGTGGGTGCAATGACATAAATTTTTATAGAGTTCTTTTAATGTAATAAAATAATGCATATAGATTACTTAGCACTTAACCTGATGCATAGTATATTAATATACCTAATTTCTAATAAGAATATAACTGCAAAAAAAGCAAAATGAAAAATAAATTTATGAATCTCCATAAAATCATCTAATATATTTTGTAAAATAAAGAAAAAAAATGTAGAAAAATCTCAGCCCATAAAACTCCCACAGGGAATTTATGAATATTTAGAAAAATTAATTATTTGTTCATATACAAATAAAAAAAATCATGAGTTATAAAGAAATAGGTTAAATTTTGCTTCAGAATAATTTGGTGAATATAAGAAATAACAATTGAAACAGTAAAATTTGATTTGTAAAACAAAGCAGACTTGCAGAATGTAGAAGGCATTAACAAAGGGACAAAATTCAGCTAGACTATGACACACTGAAAACATGCTTGGCAAAGAATGGAGGTATGCATGGTGAATAATAGAAATGCTTTTACAGAATAGCTAAACAAACAAAAAATGCTAAGTCATGGAATAAATGAAGTGTCTGGAGGCTACAGAATGAGACGAGGAATGGGAAGGACTAATTGTTTTGGGTAAAATTAATTATGAGAAAGCAATACTGAGACATCATCTAGATAAAATTCAGTTCACCATAGCAAACATTTATTAATTACAAATCATTTCCTTATAGAATCAGTCATCATGAAAACAAACCTCGTTCATTTCTACATGTTAGTAACTCATCATTTCCAAGGAATATCAGGTTCTATTAAAATCACTTCAAATTTGTTTTGATTTAAAGATGGAATTGGCCAGGCACGGTGGCTCATGCCTGTAATCCCAGCACTTTGGGAGGCCGAGGTGGGCAGATCACGAAGTCAGGAGTTCAAGATCTGACCAACATGGTGAAACCCCATCTCTACAAAAAATATAAAAATTAGCCAGGCATGGTGGTGTGTGCGTGTAGTCCCAGCTATTTGGGAGGCTGAAGCAGGAGAATTGCTTGAACCTGGGAGGAGGTTGCAGTGAGCCAAGACCGCCATTGCACTCCAGCCTGGTGACAGAGTGAGACTCCATCTCAAAAAAAAATAAATAAATAAAAGATGGAATTAAGTAAAAATGCCATATATATTATAAAAATAGTTCCTCACTAAATATCATCGGCTATAAACTGTTTTAGGATTGACTGCAAAATACCACTAGGAACATGTCCTGTTATTAATGATTTTATTTCTAAGAAAGAGCTTGTGTTTAAAACTTTGGATGTTGAGTACTTGTTTTTTGTCCTCATAATACTTTTGTTGAATAAATTCCAAAAGGACTTGATTGTCAGGCCTATATTAGGTTCTTACCCTTAATGTCACATATTTGTACTTATTAATAATTGTTTCAATGAAAAGTGCATTAGCAGTATGAACTTCTGGTCCAGTTGGAAGTTCTTCCATTTGAAAAAATGTGATATTTACATGGGACTGTTTGAATCTTTTCTATTTTCTAGTCCTCCTCCCCTACACTGGGTAGAATTTAAGCTAGAATTTTTCTCTTTTGATAAAAGAATGAAAAATGAACATGTTATTTGTAAATTGATGTTTAGTAACTTGTGATAAGCTTGAAATACGAGAATACATTATAAGCCTTAATCGTAGGTAGTCTTATGAGAACGAATCTCTTAACTATCTTTTGAACCTATATTCACATTGGTTTTCAAGATATTTTAAGTTGATGGGGTTGTTTGTTTTTTTCTTGTAAATTTGTTTGAGTTCATTGTAGATTCTGGATATTAGCCCTTTGTCAGATGAGTAGATTGCAAAAAATTTCTCCCATTCTGTAGGTTGCCTGTTCACTCTGATGGTAGTTTCTTTTTGCTGTGCAGAAGCTCTTTGGTTTAATTAGATCCCATTTGTCAATTTTGGCTTTTGTTGCCATTGCTTTTGGTGTTTTAGACATGAAGTCCTTGCCCATGCCTATGTCCTGAATGGTATTGCCTAGGTTTTCTTCTAGGGTTTTTATGGTTTTAGGTCTAACATTTAAGTCTTTAATCCATCTTGAATTAATTTTTGTATAAGGTGTAAGGAAGGGATCCAGTTCAGCTTTCTACATATGACAAGCCAGTTTTCCCAGCACCATTTATTAAATAGGGAATCCTTTCCCCATTTCTTGTTTTGTTTTGTCAGGTTTGTCAAAGATCAGATAGTTGTAGATATGTGGCATTATTTCTGAGGGCTCTGTACTGTGCCATTGGTCTATATCTCTGTTTTGGTGCCAGTACCATGCTGTTTTGGTTACTGTAGCCTTGTAGTATAGTTTGAAGTCAGGTAGCGTGGTGCCTCCACCTTTGTTCTTTTGGCTTAGGATTGACTTGGCAATGTGGGCTCTTTTTTGATTCCATATGAACTTTAAAGTAGTTTTTTCCAATCTGTGAAGAAAGTGGTAGCTTGATGGGGATGGCATTGAATCTATAAATTGCCTTGGGCAGTATGGCCATTTTCACAATATTGATTCTTCCAAGTGGGCAAAGGATATGAACAGACACTTCTCAAAAGAAGACATTTATGCAGCCAACAGACACATGAAAAAATGCTTATCATCACTGGTCATCAGAGAAATGCAAATCAAAACCACGATGAGGTACCATCTCACACCAGTTAGAATGGCGATCATTAAAAAGTCAGGAAACAACAGGTGCTAGAGAGGATGTGGAGAAATAGGAACACTTTTACACTGTTGGTGGGACTGTAAACTAGTTCACCCATTGTGGAAGTCAGTGTGGCAATTCCTCAGGGATCTAGAACTAGCAATACCATTTGACCCAGCCATCCCATTACTGGTATATACCCAAAGGATTATAAAACATGCTGCTATAAAGACACATGCACACATATGTTTATTGCGGCACTATTCACAATAGCAAAGACTTGGAACCCACCCAAATGTCCAACAATGATAGACTGGATTAAGAAAATGTGGCACATATACACCATGGAATACTATGCAGCCATAAAAAAGGATGAGTTCAAGTCCTTTGTAGGGACATGGATGAAGCTGGAAACCATCATTCTCGCAAACTATCACAAGGACAAAAAACCACCACATGTTCCCACTCATAGGTGGGAATTGAACAATGAGAACACATGGACACAAGAAGGGGAACATCACACACTAGGGCCTGTTGTGGGGTGGGTGGAGCGGGGAGGGATAGCATTAGGAGATATACCTAATGTTAAATGATGAGTTAATGGGTGCAGGACACCAACATGGCACATGTATACATATGTAACAAACCTGCATGTTGTGAACATGTGCCCTAAAACTTAAAGTATAATAAAAAAAATAGAAAAGAGAAGATATTTTAAGTTATATTTTTTCCTCTGTTCTTCAGAGCTACTTCTTATTTTGGGGCTACTTTTTTTAATTGTGTAATTCACAAGGGACTGCATTTTTAAAAATAAGGCTTTAACCATGGCTGGATGTTTTGCTCTAGTCTTCTAAGAAGGGCCATTTTATTTTTTATAGTCACTTCTAAAGTCATGTGGTCATTAACTTTGGAGACTGTTTTGCATATGAGTGCTAATACAAGTTAAAACCCAAGTAGACCTCATTACATGTCACCCTATGAATGCTGACAATGGAAGGAATACTTTGCCTGTAGTATACTGTCATTTCTGGACTGAAAAGCTGAGGAAGAAACTTAATTTTCTTTTATGCATGAGTCAGAAAATCTACAGTTAATGTTCCCAGTTTCCTGACTGACCTCAGCAGCTGAAGTGAACAGATAGTGTTAACTCAGATTGAAGAAATTATCTGAATCTTGGTTTGTGTAGATTTACAATCTACATGCAATATTAACTAAATCAGATAGCTTTTAGAGTTTCACATGTGTATATAGGTTCCCTCCCAGTCCCTTCCATACCCATTAGTTATTGAACTTTCTAAACTGGCATTAAAACATTACAACAATTTTTTGTTGTACCAATTTTACAAATTTATGCAGAATATTACTTGTTATTTTTCTGAGGCAAACCAGTGGTAAATTTCTCAAGGTTCTTGCTGCCTTCTTTAGCAGCATTTGATGGAGGATCTCTTATACATTTGTAATAGACAAAAATAAACCAGATTGCAAATCCTTTTTAAGAATCTTAAACCATGTACCAAGTTTTTGGTCCAAATTTTGTAGGATAAGTTAAACTTAAATTTTACTCTATTAACCAATATGAGTGTATTTCTGAAAGCATAGTTACGTTGAAATAAAGTTTTAAAAAGCGAAAATATGAAAGAAGAATCAGTATGAAAAATATCTATACTTTATGTATATTTTATATATGCATGGCCACTCTAGGAATGTTTTAATAAGGCAGAATTTTGTTTAATCATGATATGTGTTATGATAAAATATTTGCTCTCAACCAATTCTAAAACATAAAAGGAAATTTCTCACTTTCTATATTAAAAGTCAAAATATAAAATAACAAAAGAAAGAGTTAAAATTAAGCAAAAAATATGATACATGACCAAACCGTGTAACAATTATATATACCCAACTTTAGTAATATATTTGTTTACATTTATTGTGCACTCTCTATGTGTGAGAAATTATATGGAAATTATATGTTCATTTACTTCTCACTGTTTCTTTGCTTTGCATGTGGTAGTAACTGTCTATAAACTTGAGGGTACACAAACACTTCATTTATAGCTTTTTAATTTAAACTAATTTTAGACTTATGAAGAATTGCAAAAGTAGCACAGAGATTTCTCTTATATCTCTGACACTACTTCCCCTAATGTTAACATCATTCAAAATCATAGTACAATTGTTAAGAAGTGTCTGAAAGTAAAAAAAAAAAAAAAAAATAGTCCCAGACGAATAGACCAAAATATTTTTTCCCAGTTTTATCCTTAGAAGAAATTAGCATTCCCAACAAAGTCTTTAAATATTTTCTGATAACTTTTCTTGTAATTAAGATATGCTCTGTCAAAGAGTTACCCACTCAGCTTATTAAGTCTCAATTATCAGGTCTTTAACCATTATTTCTTGTGTGTTTAATCTAATCATGATTAAACACATGATTAAGCTTCTCTTGCCTTGTGGAATGCCCTATTAATAATATATCATTATTTATTAATTGATGTTATATTATTATAATCTATTAATTGTAAATATTTTAATTGTTTTTCTATGGCTCTTATCCATTGAATGTAAGATTGTGAAAAACTTGGACACATACCAATAACTAAATTTCTGAATGATTTTTCTTTATTAGAAGAAGGGAAATAATTTTCCAGTTCTTCTTTTCTATCAGTACCATTTCCTGGATTTATATGCCTTAGGAATCAAGGCAAGGCAAAAGAAAGAATAGTGTATATGTTTCCTCTAGGTGCAAAATCTCTGAGATGGCCAAGTTACTGAGTGACGAACATTTTGCAAATCTAGTAGTTTCTTAATCTTTGCTTTTAGCAGTATTGGAGAATCAGTTTTGTTGGATAGTCAACCACTAATGATAATTTAATAATAAATGGGCTTTATTAATTGTATAAATATGACAATTGGTTAATATAATAATAGATTACTATGTTATTTTTGACAACTCTAAAGCAGTTAAAACAGAGAAAAATGTTGATTTAACAAATCTCTTCTTTAATGTGAATGAGTTTTCTAAGTTATTACATCTATAAAAATATACAGGAATAGAACTGATGGTGAGCTTAGTCCCATTTGTGCAATTATAACTTGTAAAATGTCAAATTACGACTCTCAAATATAAAATGAACACTTGTCAATTTTTTTCAACTCATTAATTAATGAGAGAGCCAGTAACACTCTTCACTTGAGAGTTTGACTAAAAATATTTATGTTCTTTATGAGAAAACATACTTTTTCACCACTTTGGACACAAATTGTTTGCATTGCCATCATTTAAAAAATAATTTTAACTTCTGACCCTACAAAGCTGTAAAATAACCTAGTTAATAAAAGCTATACAAAGTAATACACCACCATGGAACTAGACAATAACTGGATGATTGGCAAGAGAACAACATCTCTCCTTTGGTAGAACGGACAGTAATCTCTTTTGCCTATTTCTAAGTCTTAAGAAAGTTTTTTATGACAGATGCTTGCAAGAAGTAATATTATATCAATAGATAATGATCTAGAAAAAAATACCTCAATCATTTAAAAGATATATTTCCAGTAAAATTTTGCTTGATCTCTTTTATAATTATTTATCAAACAATATGCCTATGTTGCTTTGATCAAATAATTTTTTAAAATTTCTGACTAATTTTTTTGCCATCCAAGAGTTACTCAGGAGCAAGTTGTTTAATTTCCATTTATTTGGGTAGCTTTAAGAGCCATTCTTGATTTATATTTATATTGCACTGTGATCCATAAATGTGCTTGGTATAATTTTGATTTTTTTAAATTTATTGAGACTTGCTTTATGATAGAACATGTGGTTGATATTACAATATGTTTAATGTACAGATGAGAAGAATGTATATTCTGTGGTTGATAGATGGAGTAATTTGTAGATGTTTATTAGGTCCAGTTTGCTCAGTGTCATGTTTAAGTCCAGTATTTCTTTGTTAATTTTCTGTATTTGATGATTTCTCTAATACACTCAGAGAGATGTTGAAGTCTCCTACAGTTATTGTGTGGCTATCTAGCTCTTTTTTATAAGTTGAGAAGAATTTGTTTAATGAATCTGGATGCTCCAATGTTGGGTATGAATATATTTATGATAGTTATGTCTTCTTATTGAATTGAACCCTTTATCATTATGTAATGCCCTTCTTTGAGCTTAATTGTTGTTGGTTTAAAGTCTATTTTATCTGATATAAGAACAGCAATTCCTGCTATTTTTTAAATTTTCATTTGCCTGGGAGCTCTTTCTCCATCCCTTTACTTTGAGCCTCTGAGTGTCATTGCATGTGAGATAGGTCTCTTGAAGACAGCAGACAGTTATGTCTTGTCTTTTTATCCAGCTTGCCACCCTATGCCTTTTAAGTGTGTCATTTAGACTGCTTACATGCAGAGTTAGTATTGATATGTGAGATTTTGATCCTATCATTGTGTTGTTAGCTGGTTGTTTTGTAGACTTGATTATACAGTTAGTTTATAGTGTCTGTGAGCTATGTGCTTAAGCATGTTTTTGTGACAGCAGGCATTGTTCTCTTTTTTCTATGTTTAGCATTCCTTGAAGGATTTCTTGTAAAGCTGGTCTAGTTATAACAAATTCCCTTAGCATTTGCTTATCTGAGAAGGATTTTAGCCCTCCTTAACTTATAAGCTTACTTTGGAAGGATATAAAATTCTTCGTTGGAATTCCTTTTCTTTGTGGATGCTGAAAATAGGCCCTCAGTGTCTTCTGGCTTGTAAGGTTTCTGTTGAGGGGTCTGCTGCTAGCCTTTATGGTTCTATTTGTACATTACCTGACCCTTCTCTCTAGTTGCTTTTAAGATTTTTTTCTTTCACATTAACCTTGGTGAATCTGGTGACTATAGGATGGTCATTTTGGATTGTATTTTATAAGAGTTATCTGTATGGCTTGAATTTGCATGTCAACATCTCTAGTGAGATTGGGAAGTTTTTCACGGACTGTATCTCCAAATGTGTTTTCCAAGTTTCTCACTCTCCTCTCTCAAGAATGCCATAGAAGTCATAGATTTTGTCTCTTTACATAATCCCATATTTATAAAAGATTCTGTTCATTTTGTAAAAATTAATTTTTTCCTTTATTTTTGTCAAATGAGTTTATTTGAAGAACCAGCCTTTGAGCTCTGAGATTATGTCCTCAGTTTGGTCTGTTCTGCTGTTAATGCTACCAACTGAATTATGAAGTTCTTATAGTGAACTTTCCAATTCCAGAAGTTCAGTTTGATTTTTTCTTAAAATGGCTATTTCTTATGTCAGCTCTTGGATCATTTTACTGGATTACTTGGGTTCCAAGGATTGGGTTTCAACTTTTTCCTGAATCTTGATGAACTTCTTTGTCATTCAGACTCTGAATTCCATTTCTGTCGTTTTAATCATTTCAGTCTAGTTAAGAATTATTGCTGGGGAGCTACTGGGCTCATTTGGAGGTAAGGGGGTACTCTGGCTTTTAGAATTGCCAGAATTCTTGAGCTGATTCTTTCTCATCTGTGTGGATTGATATTCCATTAACTTTTGAAATTGATATTCTTCAGATGGAGCTTTTAGCTGTTATGTTTTTTTAATGCTGTTAAGAGTTTGACTGTGGTATACCTTGGGCTTAGTTGATTGTCTTTGTTTCTGACACTGATGCTTTCAGAGGAACAAAGCTCAGTTCAGCCTCCCTAGGCAGAATTCTTTAACTCTGGGGTACTGGGACTGGGAACACAGCTTTATTCTCTGTCCCCTTAAGATCAAGCATTTGCTGCACTGGGGGTGTGGGAGGATATGGTGCTCCCAGCCTGCTGGCAACAGTGCTCTGTTGGAGGTTTCCAGCAGAAGCACTGTTGGGGCTGTTGAGTGGCCTTGAACAAAACCTCTCTGATGGGTGTCTGCCAGCAAAAGCACTCCAGTGGGATGGCAGGGGTGGCCAATGAGAGAGCTATGGTGGTGGCTCTGGTAAAAGCACTACAGCAGGTTGGGTTTGGGTTGCTGCAAGCAAGTGTGCTTCAGTCAGGCAGCGGGCAGGCCACAGGCAAAAGTGCTCTGGCATGGTGGCTGAGGATTCATGGACGAAAGGACTCCAGCAGGTTGGCAGGGTGGCCATGGGTGAAAGATCTCCATTGCAGCAGCAGGGACACTGCAGATACTCTGGTGTGAGTAAGCACTCTGGCAGGGCAGTGGATAGGTTCCAGGCAAAAGCACTCTGATATGGGTCCCCTATTTCTTTGCAGTAAACATTTAAAAAAAAACTTTGGGGGTCAAAGGAAAGGTATACACTATAGAGTTTTTAGTGGAATTTCATTGTTTTATTGTATATTGTTTTATATAATATATTTTCAAATACAAATCTTCATAAAACAGAAACATACAGAACAAAATAAAATTATATGTAACAGTGATAACTAGTGTTAAAATTTTGATGTGTCTTTCAGAATTTCCTTTCCAAATATATATGAACACTTATACTTGGATTAAGTTTTAATTAAAAATCATCCAAAATATTTTTAAGAATCAATTATATCCAACAATATAACTGAGAACAAAACAGAATTTGTGTGGGGCTTACATCGAGAATAAAAATAATAGTTAACTCTTATGAGTGTTAAGCACAATTTGATATGCATTTGCTCATTTGGTCTCAACATTCACCCCATAAAGTAGAAATAACTTGCCTAAGTTTACACAACACAGATGTGGAAGATGAAGAATAGAAAATAAATGAACCCAAGAATCCTGGGCTTGACGTTTTGCCCTTAACTCTGTACTATGAGAGGTGCACACCACATCACTATTCACATTGTATTGTATGCGAATGGTGCCTCTGAAATATTGTAAATCAGTGGTTTTGAGTGTCTCTTATACTAAGCATAGTGCCTATGTGTAACTTGATCTTTCTCTAATCATACATAATAAATATAATCCTGTAATCCTGCATCAGTTTTGATGATTTTAATGTATTTCAGTTTAATATAATTTAATTAAAAATAAACACTAAATAATTACGTTTGGTAGGAACCATGCGTGTTATACATATTTGAACATATATATTTGTACTTGTTTTTTGTTGCTTCCTTAGGATAAATTTTTGCAAGTAGAATCGCTGGGTGGAAAGATATATACATTAAAACTTTTATACGTATTTTTATTTTTCCTCCAGAAAAGCATTAATATATAGTCATCAATAGAATATTACAGCAGCAATATAACAAAAGCCATTGTAATACTGGATATTATAGATCTCTTTAATATTTTGCAAATATTTAAAATTTGATTTTACTTCACAAACATTTCTTAAATGTCCCATTTTTATCAGAAAGTCAGTACCTACTTTTGTAAATATAATATTCCTGTGATAGTTACATTTAAAAATACAATTATAAGGATATGGTTGCTATTACTTAGTAAGTAACAGCATGCAACAATAATTTTGATACTTTGTTTACACAATTCCATCAAGCTTTTTGAAGATGTTAAACCAATGAAAAGTTTACGTATGATGAAATGAACATATCTTAAATATTTTTATTATCTTTTAAACACCTGTAGGATGTGTAGTAATGTCACCTCTTTCATTTCTAATAGAGATAATATCTGTTTCTGTCAGTGTTAGTAGAAGCTTGTCAACATTACTAATATTTTAATATTTCAACTTTTGTGTTTGTTGATTTTGTTTGTCTATTCTACTTGATTGCTACTTTTATTTTCACTGTGCCTTTTATTCCTCTTATTTAATGTCTTATTTGCCTGTTGCACCCTTGCATTCTTTGAATAGATTCCACTTTTGGTTACGTTGTTGTTGTTTGTTGTAGTACATTGTTGGATCAGTGTGCTAAAATTGTATTTAGCATTTTTGCATCATTATTGATACATGAAATTGGTCACAGCAGTAAGCATACCTAATACCCATATGCCAGTTTCTACAATAATTTTTCAGTAAAATACCCTAAGTCTTGCATAAATGGCTGCTGATAAAGCAAACATGGCAAAATTTAACAATATTTGAATCTAGTTGAAAAGTGGGTGGGTGCTCATTGTAATATCCTTCAAATTTTGCTTTGGTTAAAAATTTTAATATAAAGAGTTTTTAAAGTGTGCTCTAATTTTATCGGTTTGAAAATATGGTAAATAATGGTAAGAATTATTTTATTACATTGTGCAAACATAGCTTAAAAAGAGTCAAAAATTTCATCAGGGCAATTAATTCACTAGCTATTGTTTTAATTTCTGATATGCATACCAACAATAATTTTAACATGATATAAAGAATTGGCTCTATTCCAGTATTACTTACGTATTGGTTATTTATATGCAAGAGATTTTATAAAATGTAGATTCTGTTCTCCAGTAGCATCAATTTCATCCAAAGCTGTCACCAATAGCCTGAGAATCATGAAATGGAAAATAAGAACTTCAGTTGCCATGACTTGTTCCAACATTCATCTGTGGGATTTATTCATTTATGTTTATTAAATGCTACTATGAACAGGCACTGTTCTTAGTGCTGGGAAAATAAAAACTAAAAAGTAATAAAATTAAAAATTCTTGCTCACAGGAGCTTATATTTTAGTGGAAGGAGAGGCAAGTTAAATATTTTAAATGAATAAATTATATTGTAGCCTCTGTGTTAATAAGTGCTCAAGAAAAAAAGAACAGAGTTAAAAGAATATGAAATTCTGACGGAAAGTGAAATTGAGGTAGGGTTACTATATTAAGTAGGAAGGTCACAAAATGACTCATTAAAAGTAATTTTATAACAAAACTCAAAGAAGGAGTATTATAGGATATGTTTATCAAGGAGTGAATTGGCCTGTTAATCTACCTGTCCAGGTCTTTGTCATCTCTATGGAGTTTATGTGGTAAACAGGTGTGCAAGTATCTAAGTGACAACGTTTATTAGTTGTTTTTTAAAGTTCTGCCTTTAGAAAAAAATGTAATGCTCTTTAAATTCTTTAAAATTCTTAAAGAGAAAATGAAAGAAATGCATGCTTGTGGATAATATGTTATAACAAAGGTAATTACAATAAAATCTCCAAACTTTTCAATATATTTTTAGATACAAATACAGAACAAATATTGCTTCCCCTCTTTCAATGAAAACTTTTTATTTCTGTGAAAGTCTATTTCAGAATTCTCAATAGAAGTCCACTTTTTACTTAAAGTATGTTCACAGGATGTTCACAGCATGCTGAAGAGGGAAATTTTTATGAATTTCCCTTTTCAAACTGAACAACAGTGAATACTACTAGCAAATCCAGTGTGCTCCATTGATGCATCAATCCTCTTAGCAAGCTCAGGTAATAATTTTAAGCAAAATAAATACTTTTGAAAAGATTGTACCACTTGCCCAGTATTTCAGAAACTCTATAACAATATTGAATTAATGTCCTTCTGTGTTTCTAGTTTGAGTTATCAAAAGTAATAATAAATAAAACGTGAAGGGCCATTCACATTTTTGCATGCATTTTTATTCCTTTGGAATTCTGCTAATGAAAATTAGTATTAAAAATCAAGTTTCACTGAAACTCTTATTTCATTTGTGAGTCTTTGTAAAATTCTGTAGATTCACTTATAATATCAGTATTCTGAAATAAATACTACCTAATTTCTATTCACTTGAAAAGACATTTACAGGTTGTAATGTGCTTGAATCTAAAAACTGAAATTTGTTTGTATACATGTAAATTATTATTTTTCTCACGGTGCTGTCCTGAAATGACAATTCTTCTGAAAATGTGGCAGTTACAAGTTTTCTTAGAAATGTTTTAAAAATGTAAAAAATTTTCTTTCCACTCCTAAAAGTTAAAAAGTTTTCAAAAAAATTATTTTTTCACTTTAAGAAATACAAAATAGATTCAACCAGACATCATATGCATCAGACACCAACTATGAAGTAATCTTGCTGAACTATCTGTACTATCCATGAAGTAATCTTGTGGAAGTATCTATATTTTCCATAAATAACAATTTATAGAAAATAAATTTTAGTAGGCAGAGAAGCCTACTAAATACCACTTGGAGGAATGCAATAAACAAAACCTAAACTGTGAATAATTTGCCAGAGCAAAAAACTATTTCTTCTACCAATATTTTTCAGAAAAAAAGAGAGAGATGGGAGAAATTATATTAATAGATTAGTAGAAGACTTACTCTGAATACTTTATATGGATCATGATCCAAGTGAACAAGCTGTAAAAAAAATGACACTTGTGACACAATTGGAAATTTGAAAAACAGAAGCATATTTAATGAAATTATTAATTTTGGTAGCTGAGCAAAATGTATTGAAATCTCTTTTTAGGATTTAGAGCAACTTATTGAGATATTTACAGTATAATTATATGAAATCTGAGGAAATAGGTGGAGGTATACAAGAAGAAAGATTAACATTACTTGACAATTGTTGAAGATAGTGATTTGTTCATAGCATTTATGATGCTATTTTTTTCCCTTTGGTATATAGCTAACATTTTTATAATAATTTTAGTGTAAATTAAAGCCTTTAAATGAGAAAACTATGCCATGTCATTGTAATTTGAGAAACTCTCACAATAATTGAGACTCTACTATGTTATACATGCCGAAATCAAACAATTCAATAGTAAATGCGTATTTAATATATGTTTATTTAACATTATTGACCAAATGGAACTTCTCTTTAGGAGACTGCCTGTAGGACAATGCATCTCAGAAATCCCTATTATCAGATGAAAAACTTCCTAATTATTTGTTTTTGAATATAACTTTGGATTGGTTACAAGTAGTTGTTTACAACATATATTTTTGAGTGTTATAGATTATAAACTAATTTTATTCATTACCTATGTGATTTATTTATACCACATGTGTATTTTATTGTCTAATAAGAATTCATAAGAATATTGAGTTCTATGGGTGTAATAAATTTATGATTACATAAAATTAGCTGCATTAGTTATCTGTTGCTAAGTAACAATATTATCATAAACTTCATGACTTAAAACAATGCATATTTATTACTTCACAGTTTCTATGGGTTAGGAGTCTAGACGCTGCTTAGCTGGGTCATACACAAGGCTGAAATAAAGGTTTTTCCTGGGCTAAGATCTCCTTTGATGCTTAATGGGAAAGGGTTTGTTATTTTACTAATATGTTTTTTTTACAGCATTCAGTTATTTGCAGACTTCCAGACTGCACTGGGAGGGAGCAAATTAGGGTGCAAACATCAGAAAGTGAAGATCATGGATATGACCTTAGAATCTATTTACCTTATTAATAAAGTCAATAATACTTACAAACTGTAACAACAAATTTATAATAAGGTATAGAACATACTAGCCTCTTTTTTTGCTAATTAGATGCAGTTATCCAATGTTTCACATTAAATTGACAAAGTAATTTCACATACTCATATATTACTCAAATATTTTATGAAACTTTCTTTAATCTTTTTTCTTTGATTTTATTTAATAGAAGTGAAGAGAGTTGTTACACATCTTGTTTTTTGTTTCCCAACAAAATTATTGTATTTTTAAATGAAAGCAGTCTCATTTATATCTTTTATCAACCTGTGATCAGGACCATGAATTCTTGGTTGTATTCGGATTATGCAAATTCAATATTAATCTTAGATATTTAAAGGTGAAATTAAATGCTCTCTTTCACAATATGCCACACATACTTAGTTGTAAAACTCTAAGGAAAACAAGCACATATTGTATTTGATAAAATAATAACTTCTCACTCTTTGGCTACATCTTCATAAGGAAAAAAAACGGAAAGAATAGCCATCAAATGTAGTTAAATTTTTCTGGAGGGTCTGCAATCCTCTGCTAAATGTTTCATTTCAGTTTGTCTATCAGATAGCAAATGTCATTCTATTGTGCCTTTATATAAACCCACAAGTCACTTTCTATCAGAGAAATTTGGAATAAAATGTTTTATGATGAAAAGTCATTCAATGACACGTAGGTATCAAAATACATATTATCTCTGAATTGCTCACTTTTCAGAAGATGTCAACAAATCCACTCTAGCTAGTGTTAACAAAAAATTATGCAGTATAGAAAATTAGGTGCTTATGCCATCATTTAAAGGCATGAAGTAAAAAACTTAGAACTCTCTAAGCCATTTTGCTTTTGCTACAATTGGGGAGGTTTCAAAAGCTGTTGAATTGGAAGCTACCTGTTGAAAAGGAAGTTATTGCTACAGATTCTTGCTTTAGAACATTATCACCTTATTTAGAAACTACATTCCATATAACTCACCTATTTTTCCATCTGACTCAGTCTGCTTGCATCAACATCTCTTATAGATATACGTATTTGCTGGATAAGGATGGTAATTGCAAAAGAAAATTGAGTAAATGTAATTTTTAAGTTATCAGCTAAGGGAATTTCTATATGCTAGAATGGAATATTGAGTTAGCTAATTTACATACAAATATATATCAATATCTTTATCTATATATGAACCAATTCAATGTAATAAGAAAATAAACACTAGTTGTGTCTTGTATTCCAATTTCAAATAGCCTCACTTTTCATTGACAAAAACCTTGAAATAATTAATTTATATAGTTAGACTTGTTGAGAATTGTCTAGGGTTCCTTGAAAATAGCAATCATTATTTATGTAATAATACCTTGTATTATATGTTAACTTTACATTTTAAAGTGACTCTATCTTAATTATCACTCATTTTTATCACCATTTATAAAAGTCATGAAGTTTAAACAGTCACTATAAAATCTATTCTGAGCATGGGAATAGATAGGCATCAAATCACCCAAAGTAACTTGCCTAATCTACTTGTAACCTAGTAGGGCCTGTATTACAAGACTCCTAAAACACTACCCTTTGTCTTAAAATGTGTTCTCTCATATGGAGAAAAGTATCGTTAGATACTAAAGTCCTGCTGACCAGATGACCTTTGTCAAACAGGGTTTCAGAATTCGTCTACATGGGCAAACTATATATTAAAAAAAAGACTGCAATAAACAGTGTTACCTCAATACAGTTTCATAAGTGAGGCAAATATAAGGATAATATCATTATAATTATGATGAGTATGAAATTTACAATCCAAATCTGAGGAGAGCAGGTGTAGCTTTCTTAATTTGTCTGTAACTGAATTTCCCTTTGCTCTGGGGTCCCCCTTTCTGCCAACTGAAAGAAAACACGATTTTGGTACTTTTATTTAACCCAGCAATTTGAAGTTTAAAGATTAGCTGATCTATAGGCAATATTCAGTTAAAAGTTTATTGCCTATCCGCTGTCATTCCTGACTGGAGCATTATTTTCTATGATGGTCCTGTGAGCCAAGACATTGTTTCTTAGATGCTCATTTACCTTGGCTGTGTGGTGGCTCTATTTCAATGTATTCGAATTAAGACATGAGTTGTTGGGAAAGAACAAATAACAGAACCTTTGCCCCTACTGAAGCATCAGCTGATTTTCAGTTTCATCTGGTAACCAGGAAGGTTACCAGATATTCAGTATTGTAAAAGGGAAAGCAGTTTATTTATTTGAAATATTATTATTTTCAAATGTTGGCTCACTATTTAAAAAAAAAGGGTATATGCAAAACATGTAAAATCTACATGAGGATTGCTATTGGTGCCCAGGATACTGGTTCACAATATCTGACACTTTATTGCATTTTCAGGTATTGGAACGTTAATAAAGTGCTGCAATATTTTTTCATTTAACACTGAAAAAATTAACTTCTTTGTGATAATATGAATGCTACGATTCCTCTTACAAGCTGTAGTACATGTTTCTTGAGTTTCTATTATTGGTCTCACTAGCAGTCATCTGTTATAGTAATCTGTTAATTAAGATTAAATGGTTCTGAGGAGTGACTTTCATTTCCTCCCATCTATAGCTGTACTTTCCTGGCAGAATCTATAGCTTGTTTTTCAATGAGAAGATTTTTTTTAAAATACTATTCAAATTTTCATTCAATCATGATAGATTTAATCCATGGACATCCCTCTGTTCTCTCTAAAATTCATCACAGAAACAGCAATGGAATAATAAAAACATTTTGATCTAATACAGAAAGAAAAGAATAGTGGACAAGAACAAGAGAGGTCAACATATTTTTTTGGAAGATGAAAAGAGGAGCATGAATGTAATAATTAAATAATTGACACAGCAGAACAAGGAATGAAAGCAAGTGCCTGTAGAGGAGAAGCCAATTAAAAGCCAGCTGCTCTGCCTTACAGAAACTAAGAAGGAAATCATTGCAGGAGGAGCCAAAGTAGGTAGGGGTGAGAGTAGGGGCTGAAAACTGGCATGATGGTTTAAAACATTACAAGGAACAGACCTCTAGTTTCCCTTTGCAACTCTTTGTTGGCCGAAATCACCAATATCCCATTTCTTCAGGAGAAACTGAATGTGAGACTCAGCAACATAAGATGTTGAGGAACTTTGCTGCAAATGATGTGTAAGTGAAAGGCAGCATACTGAATGTTGATACCCTTCCTGCAGCGCTGTCCCTGGCCCAGTCCATAGTAATCTAATAGTTAAAGATGCAAATCTTCAGATAAGAGACTATAGGACTCATCTCTAGAAAAACTGAAAGGCCCTTGGTGGGGAAAAGATGTGCAAATAGCGTAACTTTGCAATGTCTTAATGAAATACAAGGCAATGAAATACATGGTAGCAAGCTACCATGAGCTCTCTCACATACATATCTATATCAATAATCTTTTCAGAGTCTCACTTGAAATGCAAATGTTAAGTATCATCAGATACTTAAAAGAGAACACCCAACATAAAAAAACAAAGGAAATTAGAAGGGACAAAAAACAATGCGAGAAACAGGCAAAAATCTCAAAAGGCTGTCATTAGTGTGCTTAGGGAGATAAAATAATGAATACTATGAGAAAAAGAACATTTAGAGCATAGAAAATAGCCTTTGAAAGTTAAATATGTAAGTCAGAAGAAAAAGGGATTACAGAAAGGTGAGACAAGAAGTTGATGAAATTTTCCACAAAGTATAGCCAAAAAAAAAAAAGAGATTGAATACTGAATTGAACAAAAAGATAATTAGAGCCCAAGTCTAGGAGGCCAACTATCCGATGATAGTGTTCTCAGAAATGGAAAACAAAGAAAATGAATGGGGGTATAATGTACAAATAAAAACAGAAGAATGTTTCTCAGAATCCAGGTAGAAAGGTGTATGTATCATTCAGAAAAATCATTTAAAAAACTAAAGAAAGAGCACAACTGTGAAATATCGGATAGCCAAGGACATTTAAACTTGTTTGTGTATGTGTATGTGTTGTGTGTGTGTGTGTGTCTCTGTGTACCTGTGTCTAAAAGAGAGACACAGAGGCAGAGGAATTAGAATACTGAGCTTCTCAAAGGAACTCTCTGAAGGTCACTGTAATGACACCTTCAAAATTCTGAGAAAAATATTATAATTAATCTATGGAAAATATTAACCTATATAGAATTCTTTGTGCAACCAAATTATCAAACATGGCAATGACAGAATAAATATATTTTCTAATGTGTAAATTTTCAGGAAATTCCTCTCTCCCTTGTACTGTTTCTCAGGGAGCTCTTAGATGAGGAGCTTAATTTTGAGAAAAGAAATCTGGACTGTAAGAAACATGGGATCAAGCACACAACAGAATAGAAGGAATTCCAAGAATAAAGATAAAGGAGCATTCCCATATGGAAGATTTCAACATGAGAAGCAAGCAACGTGGCTAAAATGGATTGACAGAATGGAGAGTTTCAAGAGGTAGCTGTTGTGGAGAAAAGTGTTGGTGATAGATTATCTGATGCATTTTACAGATTGAAGATAGTATTGAAAGCAGTTGTATCAGTTAAGAAGTGGCAGGTTTACATAATTTTAAAAAACCCAGCAAACAGCAGCTTTAAGTAATAAAGGATTATACGTCTCATGTCTCACACAACAGTACTGGATAGGAGCTAGACACTCTAGGTCTCAGTATCATCAGAGACTCATGCTTCTTCCAGCATTATGCCCTGATGTTTTAGTTTGCAAGGGCTACCATAACAAAGTACCACAAACTGGGTGACTTAAAAACAGACATTTTTTGGTCTCAGTTCTAGAGGGTAGAAGTCCAAGATCAACACTGGGTCTTTCTGAGGGCTGTGAGGGAGAATATGTTCCATGCCCCTCTACTAGCTTCTGGTGGTTTGCTGGCAATCTTTGTCAATCCTTGGCTTCTGCTGTATTACTCTGATCTCTGCCTTCATCTTCACATGGTGTTTTCTCTCTATGTGGGGATCTATGTCCAAATTTCAACTTTTTATAAGAACACCAGTCATATGGGATTAGACGCCCACCTTTAACTAATTTTATCTACGATGAGCCTGTCTCCAAATAAGTTCACGTTCTGGTACTGGCAGTTAGGAGTGAACATATGAATTTGGGGGTGGGGTGGGGAAGGGTACAACTCAACCCATAACACCTGACATCCCAAGAGTATAAATATTGATCTCCTTATTGTCTCATGGTTACAAACACAGTCAGGCATCTAATTCACTGCTTTAAGCAGGAAGACAAAAAAAAAAAAAAAAAAAAAACCGTTTGCTTTAGACAGGAAGGTAAGAAAGCAGAAGGTCAAAGAAGTACAAAAATCAAATCTCACATTTTACAGAAAATTCTTGGAAGGTCTACCCAGTAAGTTCCACCTACACGTCACTGCCAAGGACTGGGTCATATTACAATGTATTCTGTGAAGATGAGAATTTGTTTTCTAGACTCTAAATTAAAGAAAGCGTAGGAGGAGAGGACTTAAAAGAGTTTTGGTGTATTCTATCTTTAGTGTCCTCTACAAAATTTTAAATTTTTTACTGCCAATTTGGGAAAAAATAGCATTACATATATAGAAAATTAAGTCAATGAAAGAATGATGACAAACTATTGACTCTAGGGAAAAATGATTTTACAAGGAAATAAATGTAATTGTAGTGCACTACTTAAATTCTAGTTACACATTCATAGTTATTTTAAATTAAATATTGACTTGATTTTTGATATAACTTCAGGAGATGGTGCAAGAAAAAGTGCAGCATACATATGACTTTGCTTAGAGTTCTAAATCTTTATCTTTCACAGGATAAATAGGTAAATACTCAAAATTGATAACTTGAAAAAATAGCAGCATAAAAATCATGAGAAATCTGAAGTTAAATATTTGAGGAAAAAAGAGTTTAAAGAGTTAAAAGGAGGTGGCTTTATGGGGACAAACTGTAGAGGTTGGTGGGGGAAGGCGCCTGTGTATTTCTGTAAGACTTGTGATTTTTATATTACATATTTATGGATTACTTTGATGAAAATAAGCTTCATTTAAAAACCGTCCTAGTTAAAATACTATGTGGGGTGGGTATTTGGCTATTGTAACCATAATCCTTCCGTTAATTTGCACAGCTGGCTTGTTGAGGACCCCCTTCTTTATCCCCTCTTTCATGGTTTCTGCTTAGGTACTGGAAGTGGAAACTTTCACCCTTTAAAAGTTCTGAATAGGGTTTTATGTTTGGGGGAATCAGAGACATTATGCAGACCTTGAAATTGAAAGTGGTAAGTTTCACTATTACTCAGAACAGCAAACCTGGGCTTTCAATAGGAGTCCGGGTTAGAGAAGTCAACTGACTGTTTTTAACCAGTGAAACTAGGCATATGAATTTGTATAGCATCAAGTGGGAAGAGAAAGAAGGAACAAACAGTCAATGCTTCATAATCACATCAGGACATCCCCTGTAGAATCTTAAAATACTTCAATCTGTATCACTACTCAGCAGAAATAGCATAGTGATTCTAGAGGGAATGAGATAAACACAGCATGGCCTTATTACATGCCTTAAGCTATAAATCTTTCAAAGAAGTCTCTTTGCATGGGATTCTGCTACTTCAACGTAGAAGATAAATAGCCAAAAGAAAATATGCTGCTTTAAGTTAACATTTACATAACACAAAGTCAAACAATGAACACAATTTATTCATTTTATTTCATTTGATAAAAAGAAATTCTTCAATGTTCTGCGGTTTGTTAATTTATTCTAGAACACCACAGGCAGAGGCCTTCAATTTGTGTACTATACTTCTATACATTTATTAAGTAACAGTTATAAAATTATAGCTTTATTTTATCATAATATAGCTCACAATAATCTGAGACCAATCAAATGAAAAAGCTATAGATATTTTTGTCATGATTTTGCTGCATTATTCCTTCCAGCACCATTCCAGAATAAAGTCATGAATGTTTGTGTATTTATTTAAATATTAGAAATTTTTATATTCGAAGATATTTCTCTGCAGTTTCTGTTTAAACAAAACCCGACACTAAAAATAACTGCCCAAGGATACTTGAAACTATTATAACTGAGACATCAAGGTTGCTTTCCCCATGAAGAACACAATATATACTATTTAAATTGCGTAAGATTTTTAAAGGAATATTTTATATTTTCTTCTATTTAAAGAAGATTGAATAAAACATAATAAAACAAAGGAATTCTATTTTATTTATATTTACATTGAGCCTTACAGAAAATTTACTGTATAGTTAGTCAGTACAGTTATATTTTAAAGGTTGATTTTCTTTGAACTCATACCTTGGATTGTTTGATCAACTGTATTTAATGAAAGACAGACTCATTCATTCATCCATTCATTCACTGAACAGGTGTTTATTTTACACCCACTATATGCTACACATAAATTTTATATAAAGTTTTTGAGGAGGTGAATATATACGTTATTTAATTTAATCCTGAACACAACTTTTGCTAAATGCCTGCTGATTGCTAAGCACATTGCAAGCCACTGAAGATACTTTCCTGAATTTACAGCATTGGGAAGACAGACAATTACAATAATTTACTGTGAGAGGAAGGTCAGGGTCCTAAGAGAGAGCACAGAAGTAGTAGCTGAATTCAAGGAATTAGTGAATGCTTTCCTGATATAGTGATGTGTAATCCCTGAACTGGCAGATTGCTAGGGTATAGCCCAGCAGAGACACGTTTAGAAAAACGTTTTCTAAGCAAAGGACACCATAAGTGTAAAGATAAGTGATGAGAGAATGCTGAAGGGTAGTTTAGTGCTCAGAAAAAAAAAAAGTTTGGGAAATCTGGAGCATTTAAGTTCATGGGACACAGTGTTAGAAATGAGGCTGATGTGGTGGGTAGTTGCTGGGAAAACTTAAAAGAATTTGATGTTTATCCTGAGGGATATGAGAAACCCATTTTCTTTGAAGTGTTTTAAGTTGAATATAAAGATAAGGAAAATGGCACATATTTTTTAGAGGCCTATCACTTGCTACATGGCAAAGTGATATTTTCTTTAAGGCTGACATACAATGATTTTGCCCTCTGTGCTTGCCACCAGAGGTTTGGCTACAACTCAGCTTCATGTCTTCCCTCTGCTCAAGAAGTCTTCAACTCCTGTGTGTTTCCACTGACCCTCTTGCTCCACAAACTGAGCAGCTTGGGAACACTTGACAGGTTAGTTCTCACATAGAGGCAGACACTTCCAAGAGAACACTAAGGAAGATACTTTCTGTGTTTTAAAACTCTTAGATACAACATTGAAACCTTCTCTTTACTTAGTTCCCCTATGTAGAGTGGACAACAAGACTTAATTTTAAAATTTAATTATTTATTTTTGAAAATTTAAAAGAAAGCCTGTTATCTCAGCACTTTGGGAGGCCAAGGAGGGAGGATCACTTGAGCACAGGAATTCAAGATCAGCCTGGGCAACATTGGGAGACCCTATCTCTACAAAAAATAAAAAGAATTAGCTGGTGGCACATGCCTGTAGTCCTAGGTAATCAGGAAGCTAAGGTGGGAGGATCTGCTTGACCCGGGAGTAGAGGCTGCAAGTGAGTTGTGATCATGCCGCTGCACTCTAGAATGGGCAACGGAGTGAGATCCAGACCCTGTCTCAAATAAACAAACACAAAGAAAATTTAAAGGAAGTACAAACGCAGAAAAAGACTGAAATAAGATCCCACACATTCATTTTCAGCTTTAACAATTATCAATGAATCACCAGCTAGTTTTACCTATACCCACCCAACGACTTCTTGCCATCCTGCATTATTTTATAACTGATTTCTTCAACAACTTTATTAAGATATAATACATATATACCATAAAATTCACTTGTTAAAAGTATACAAATCAATAATTTTTAGTTAATGAATAGAGTTGGGGAACCACACCACATTCTAGTTTAAGAACATTTCCATTATCCCCAGAAGGTTCTCCAAATTCATTTGCAATATTCTACACTCACTTCCAGCTCTAGGCAACCACTGATCAGCTTTCTGTGTACATATTTGCTGTTTCTAGATATTTCATGTAAATGGAAGAGTGCAACATGCACTTCTTTGCACTTGGCTTCTTTTATTTAGTATAATATTTCTGAAATTAATTCATGTTGTAGCATAAATGAGTACAGCATCTCTTTATTGCTGAACAGTGTTCCATTGCAGAGATATATAATATTTTCTGTATCTTTTATTAGTTGTGGACATTTGGATATTAAGAATAATGCTCCTATGAACATTCACATTCACAACTTTGTGAGAGAATGTGTTTTCATTTCTTTTGGGTATCTTCTTAAAAGTCAAACTACTTATTTGTATGTTTATTTAACTTTATAAAAACCTGCAAAATTGTTTTTAAAGTGGCTACATCCTTTTACATCCCTGAGCAATGTTTGAGAGTTCTAGTTTCAACATGAACTTGCCAACACTTGGTATTATCTCCCTTTTTAAATTATAATCATCCAACGCATGTATAGTCGTGTTTTGTAGAGTTTTACATTTTTATTCCTCTAATGGTAAGTATCTTTACACTTAGGCTTAGCAGTCATTTATATATCTTTTCTGATGAAATGCCTACTGAAATACTTTGCTCACTTTAGAATGCTTGATTGTCCACCAAATTTCTTCTCTGAAGAAAGTGCTCTTGCTAGTCTAAATCCTTTGAATATTAATACAAATGTTACGAACAGTATACCAATTTCTACAAAATACTTTGCTGAGATTTTGATAGAGGTTTCACTATATTTTTGTTTCTTTGTTTGTTTAGAACAGTAGTAGAATTTATTTACAGTCATGTACAGCATAATGATGTCTTGGTCAAGGACAAACCACATACATGATGGTGTTTCCACAAATTTATAGTAGAGCTGAAAAATCTATATTGCCTAGCGATGTCATAGCCATCTTAATATCATAGCACGTTTGTGCTATGTGTTTGTGGTGATGCTGGTGTAAACAAACCTACTGTATAACACATACAGTTATGTACAGTACATAGTACTTGATAATGAAAATAAACAACTATGCTACTGGTTTATCTGTTTACTATACTATACTTTTATCATTATTTTAAAGTGTACTTCATGTACTTATTTTTTAAAAAACTGTAAAACAGTCTCAGGCAGCTCCTTCAGGAGGTATCCAAAAGAAGGCCTTGTTGTCACATGATATGAAAGTCCCATGTCTGTTATTGCCCCTAAACACCTTATAGTGGGACAAGATGTGGAGTGGAAGACAGTGCTATTCATGATCCTAACCCTGTGTAGACTAGGCTAACGTGCTTGTGTCCTAAACTTTTATTTTTTATTTTATTTTATTTTTTATTATACTTTAAGTTTTAGGGTACATGTGCACAACCTGCAGGTTAGTTACATATGTATACATGTGCCATGTTGGTGTGCTGCACCCATTAACTCGTCATTTAATATTAGGTATATCTCCTAATGCTATCCCTCCCCCTTTCCCCCACCCGACAACAGGCCCTGGTGTGTGATGTTCCCCTTCCTGTGTCCACGTGTTCTCACTGTTCAATTCCCACCTATGAATGAGAACATGTGGTGTTTGGTTTTTTGTCCTTGCAATAGTTTCCTGAGAATGATGGTTTCCAGCTTCATCCATGTCCCTACAAAGGACATGAACTCATCCTTTTTTATGGCTGCATAGTATTCCATGGTGTATATATGCCACATTTTCTTAATCCAGTCTATCATTGTTGGACATTTGGGTTGGTTCCCAGTCTTTGCTATTGTGAATAGTGCCACAATAAACATACGTGTGCATGTGTCTTTATAGCAGCATGATTTATAATCCTTTGGGTATATACCCAGTAATGGGATGGCTAGGTCAAATGGTATTTCTAGTTCTAGATCCCTGAGGAATCGCCATACTGACTTCCACAATGGTTGAACTAGTTTACAGTCCCACCAACAGTGTAAAAGTGTTCCTATTTCTCCACATCCTGTCCAGCACCTGTTGTTTCCTGACTTTTTAATGATCGCCATTCTAACTGGTGTGAGATGATATCTGATTGTGGTTTTGATTTGCATTTCTCTGATGGCCAGTGATGATGAGCATTTTTTCATGTGTTTTTTGGCTGCATAAATGTCTTTTGAGAAGTGTCTGTTCATATCCTTTGCCCACTTTTTGATGGGGTTGTTTGTTTTTTTCTTGTAAATTTGTTTGAGTTCATTGTAGATTCTGGATATTAGCCCTTTGTCAGATGAGTAGATTGCAAAAATTTTCTCCCATTTTGTAGGTTGCCTGTTCACTCTGATGGTAGTTTCTTTTGCTGTGCAGAAGCTCTTTAGTTTAATTAGATCCCCTTTGTCAATT
The DNA here is from genome assembly GCF_000001405.40 of Homo sapiens. NCBI lineage: Eukaryota > Metazoa > Chordata > Mammalia > Primates > Hominidae > Homo > Homo sapiens. The sequence goes on along the minus strand of NC_000014.9, from coordinate 46,764,460 downwards.
TTGACTTTTGTTGCCATTGCTTTTGGTGTTTTAGACATGAAGTCCTTGCTCATGCCTATGTCCTGAATGGTGTTGCCTAGGTATTCTTCTAGGGTTTTTATGGTTTTAGGTCTAACAGTTAAGTCTTTAATCCATCTTGAATTGATTTTTGTATAAGGTGTAAGGAAGGGATCCAGTTTCAGCTTTCTGCCTATGGCTAGCCAGTTTTCCCAGCACCATTTATTAAATAGGGAATCCTTTCCCCATTTCTTGTTTTTGTCAGGTTTGTCAAAGATCAGATGGTTGTAGATATGCGGCATTATTTCTGAGGGCTCTGTTCTGTTCCATTGATCTATATCTCTGTTTTGGTACCAGTACCATGCTGTTTTGGTGACTGTAGCCTTATAGTATAGTTTGAAGTCAGGTAGCGTGATGCCTCCAGCTTTGTTCTTTTGGCTTAGGGTTGACTTGGCAATGCAGGCTCTTTTTTGGTTCCATATGAACTTTAAAGTAGTTTTTTCCAATTCTGTGAAGAAAGTCATTGGTAGCTTGATGGGGATGGCATTGAATCTATAAATTGCCTTGGGCAGTATGGCCATTTTCACAACAGCATGGAATGTTCTTCCATTTGTTTGTATGCTCTTTTATTTCATTGAGGAGTGGTTTGTAGTTCTCCTTGAAGAGGTCCTTCACGTCCCTTATAAGTTGGATTCCTAGGTATTTTATTCTCTTTGAAGCAATTGTGAATGGGAATTCACTCATGATTTGGCTCTCTGTCTGTTATTGGTGTATAAGAATGCTTGTGATTTTTGCACGTTGATATTGTATCCTGAGACTTTGCTGAAGTTGCCTATCAGCTTAAGGAGATTTTGGGCTGGTATTATAGATCAATTTTGGGAGAATTGCCATCTTGACATTTAGAGTCTTCCAATCCATAAACATGTAAAGACTTTTTATTTATTTAGACCTTTAATTTTTCTCAGCAATGTTATGCAGTTTTTAGTGTACCTGTCCTAAAACTACTTCTTTTATTGAACTTGTCCCTATATAGTTTATTCTTTGTCATATTATTATGAATGGAATTGTTTTATTTTCATTTATGTACTAGTTGTTGTAATATATAAAAATACAACTGATTTTTTAATATTGATCTTGTATCAAACAACCTTGCCAGATTTGCTTGTTACTTCTAGTTGATTTGGGGGAATTTCTTTTGATTTTCAATATACAAAGTCAAGTCATCCAAAAATAATAATTTTACTTATTTTCTAATTGGTACACCTTAATTTTTTATTTGTGTGTTTTACCTTATTCCATGGCTAAGATCTCCAATGCATTGTTGAAAAGAAGTTGTGAGAATGCAAGCATTCAGTCTTTAACATTTATGTATAATGTTAGCTCTGGGTTTTCTCATGGTTGTTTTTCATCAATTTGAGAAAATTCCCTCATATTCCTAGTTTATTAAGTTTTTTCCATGAACGGATGTGAGATCTTTGTCAAATGCTTTTTCTGAGTCTTTGAGCTGACAACCCCTAATTACTTTTGCTGCTTATATATGTAATGATTTTATCAGAAATATATTTTAATAATGTTATTTTACTAATTATTTTAGATGTATATTTTGATTTACCTGTATATTATAAATTTGTATTGGAAGGAATACCATCTTATGCTTTTATACCTCCTCTAATTCTAATCAAAGTGTTATTTATAAAGTTATGCTCAGTTACTATTACTTAGAAATAATACTGTGGAATCAATATTTAGAGTTGAAAGAGAATTTGAATATTAGCTAGTTCAAAGCCACACTATCTTAAGATGAAACTGAAGGTCCAAGATTTAATTTTTTTCTCTCAAATTTACTATTAAAATTAAGATCTTATTGATTAGTATCCGTTAGTTTTATGCTCCCAAATCTTTTAAGCTTGGTGTGTGGGGTTGAATTAACATTAACTTGAAATAATTAATTTAGAATTCTTAAATTAGTTGATAGCTGGTTCTTAGGAATTAGTATAACAGTGAATAACTTGGAAGTAGAATTAAGAGGTATTTTTTTTTTGATAAGGTTTTGCTGTGTCCCCACCCAAATATCATCTTGAATTCTCACATGTTGTGGGAGGGCCCGCTGGAAGGTAATTGAATTATGAGGGCAAGTCTCTCCCCTGATGTTCTCATGACAGTTAGTAAGTCTCATGAGATCTCATAGTTTTAAAAAGAGGAGTTCCCCTACACAAGTTCTCTCTTTGCCTGCTGCCATCCATGTAAGCCATGACTTGCTCCTCCTTGCCTTCTGCCATGATTGGGAGGCCTCCCCAGCCACATGGAACTATAAGTCCAATTAAACCTCTTTCTTTTGTAAATTGCCCAGTCTCAGGTATGTCTTTATCAACAGCATGAAAATGGACTAATATAGTAAATTGGTACCAGTAGAGTGGGGCATTGCTGAAAATGTAGAAGTGATTTTGGAACTGGGTAACAAGTAGAGGTTAGAACAGTTTGGAGGGCTCAAAAGAAGACAGGAAAATGTGGGAAAGTTTGGAACTTCCTAGAGACTTGTTGAATGGTTTGACAAAAATGGTGATAGTGATATGAACAATAAGGTCCAGGCTGAGGTGGTCTCAGATGGAGATGAGGAACTTGTTGGGAACTAGAGCAAAGATGACTCTTGTTATGTTTTAGCAAAGAGACTGCTGGTATTTTGCCCTTGCCCTAGAGATGTGTGGAACTTTTAACTTGAAAGAGATGATTTAGGGTATCTTGTGGAAGAAAATTCCAAGCAGCAAAGCATTCAAGAGGTGACTTAGGTGCTGCTAAAGGCATTCAGTTTCATAAAGGAAGCAGAGTATAAAAGTTCAGAAAATTTGCAGTCTGATGATGCAGTAGAAAATAAAAACCCATTTTTTTGAGGGGAAATTCAAGCCAGCTGCAGAAATTTGCATAAGCAATGAGGAGCCAAATGTTAATCCCCAAGATAATGGGGAAAATTGTCTCCGGGGGATGTCAAAAGGTCATGGCAGCCCCTCCCATCACAGGCGAGGAGGCTTAGGAGAAAATGGTTTCGTGGGCCAAGCCCAGGGTCCCAGTGCTGAGTGCAGGCTAGAGACTTGGTGCCCTGTATCTCTGCCACTCCAGCGATGACTAAAAAGGGCCATAGTACAGCTTGGGCTGTTGCTTCAGAGGGTGGAAGCCCCAAGCCTTGGCAGCGAGTCTGCGGGTGCACAGAAGTCAAGAATTGAAGTTAGGGAACCTCTGCCTGGATTTCAGAAGATGTGTGGAAATGCCTGGATGACCAGGCAAAAGTTTGCTACAGGGGTGGGGGCCCTCATGGATAACCTCTGCTAGGGCATTGTGGAAGGGAACTGTGGGGTCAGATCCCCCACACAGTCTGTACTGAAGCACTGCCTAGTGGAGCTGTGAGAAGAGGGCCACCATCCTCCAGAGCTCAAAATGGTAGATTCACTGACAGCTTGTACTGTGTGCCTGGAAAACTCACAGACACTCAATGCCAGCCCATGAAAGCAGCCAGGAGGGAGGCTGTACCTGGAAAGCCACAGGGCCAGAGCTGCCCAAGACCATAGGAACCCACCTCTTGCATCAGCATAATCTGGATTTGAGACATGAAGTCAAAGGGGATCATTTTGGAGCTTTAAGATTTGACTGACCCACTGGATTTTGGACTTGCTTGGGGCCTGTAGCCCCTTTCTTTTGGCCAATGCCTCCCATTTGGAATGGCTGCATTTATCCAATGCCTGTACCCCCGTTGTATCTAGGAAGTAATTAACTTGCTTTTCATATTACAGGCTCATAGGCGGAAGGGACTTGCCTTGTCTCAGTACAAATACTTTGGACTCTGGACTTCTGACTTAATGCTGAAATGAATTAAGATTTGGGAGGACAGTTGGGAAGGCATGACTGGTTTTGAAATGTGAGGACATGAGATTTGGGAGGGGTCAGGGGCAGAAAGATAAGGTTTGGCTGTGTCCCCACCCAAATCTCATCTTGATCCCACATGTTGTGGGAGGGACCAGGTGGGAGGTAACTGAATCATGAGGGAAGTCTTTTCCCTGCTGTTCTCATGACAGTGAATAAGTCTCATGAGATCTGATGGTTTTAAAAAGAGGAGTTCCCCCACACAAGCTCCCTCTGTCTCTTTGACTGCTGCCATCCATGTGAGACATCACTTGCTCCTCCTTGCCTTCGGCCATGATTGTGAGGCTTCTCCAGCCATGTGGAATGATAAGTCCATTAAACCTCTTTATTTTGTAAGTTGCCCAGTCTCAGGTATGTCTTTATCAGCAGTGTGAAAACGAACTAATACAGTTATTTTCTTGATATGCTTCAGCATTGTTTGAATTTGATAAAACAACCTAGAATATTTTGGGATTTAGTTAATAAGCATATTGTTTTAAGGGAGGAGAAAAAATAAGATGAAACACTATATTTATTTAGCTACATTTTGCTTTGAAAATCTGTCCAGTGTGATTCATACCAGTGTTCATTGACTTCAACTCTTAGGGAATTGGGAAGTCTAGATCTGTGTATAAAAACTGGTAAAACCAATAGGAGTCTTTAATATATCTTGATCAAGACCTTCAAGTTCCCAACTCAAACATTTTTTTCCAAAGTGTTTTGAAGTGAACACGTAGATTCATGTGTTTTTTCATCTGTACATGGGTCTAATCTATTACTTTCACAATTGATTTGGAGCCTAGGTATGTAGCAAAATTTAATTAATTAATTAATTAATTGGAATTTAAAATAGCATAGTTGTCCCTAGAATGTTGTTCCTGTTATATGAAGGGAGATATCTGAGGTAGTGTTTGGTACTGGTTTTATTTAAACATAGTTAATAGTGATTTTCTTCAAAATTCAGGGAATGAAAAGGATAAAGTGGCAGAGATCAACGTAAATTTGCAAAGAGCAGAAATGCTAAAATCAGGAGATTAATAACTGATGTGTATCTGACTTGATTTTGTTTATTTACATAGAAACAGAGGGATAAACTCCAGTTAAAAGGGGAAAGTAATATACGTTTAAATCAGCATAAGTTTCTAAATTTCCCCAAGCAAAGTATTATCTAGAATTATTTTGATAGTCATTGAACTTCTTTATCCTACATGGCAATTGAAATGATCAAGGATTTCCAAAAGGATTAGAAATATACTTGAGTTTTCAGTTCACACCATTGATTCCAGATTTGTCATTCTTTCATGGTATATTTTGCTATTTTTAAAATTGGGATGAACAGCTTCAAGTATTTGACACAATGGTTTTCATAAAATGCAATTATGAGGTAGCAGATCGGCTGTTGAATGAATCAATAACCTGATTTTATTTGAATACTTACATTTAAAGTCTTTTATCCCCAAAACATGATGTATATTCAAAAGGTACACTGGTACATAAAAGATGTTATAAATGTACCTTGCCTTTTAAAGTAGCTGATGCTGTATATAAATCTTTCTCAGAAAACCCATTAGTGTTTCCTATTTTGGTTAGCTAGATAGTGATAAAATCCCACGGGACATTTATACTAACAGTGGTTTTTTTTTTGACGATTTTGGCTGATAGACTCGCAAAGAGTGAAATTTAAAAAGGAAAGTGATCTTATTTCCTAAAGGAATGGAATTATCATTTATATTTCTTATTCAATTTATCTATGCTAAATATGAATCATTTAGTAGATGCCATATAAGGTGGTAGCTTGTAGCGACAAAAGAAAATGTGTATAATTCCCACTGATAACTAAAAAAAAAAAAAAGAAACTTCTCACATCATAGGCAAATATGGCACTTTTAAATTTTAAATTGTAAAGTATTTATAAAACCAACACACATGCTCATCAGAAAGACAAGATTATTTACGAATGTAAAAATCCTAAAATGCATTTAATCATGTAGTCATTATTATGTAGAAGAGGGAAAAATAGACTTATGGGTTAGATAAATGTAAAATTTTGAAAGCAACATGTAAATGTTTTTAAGAAGAATATGCCTTTAATGTATATCTTCAAGACCTTATCTTTGTTTTCCAGCATAGCATAACTTTATTGTTTAGTACACATTTACTAATTCATTATAATAGAAATAAGCCAAGAAAATTGTGATATTAAATGATCAGAGACCATGTCTCGTGTATTTGTTTAGCATAACATATTTTTAAAGGATTTTAAATTTTATGCATTAGGTTATACACAACTAACCTACTACAGTTCCCATCATTCCCTGTAGTTTGTTAGCCTTTTGCTTCACTTCTTTTCCATACCTACTGGTCCTTAAAAGTATTTGAGTCTGCACTATTGCAGAAGCATGTTCCACCTTGCAAATATGGTGCCCCTAACTTTGGACTATCTAAGTCAGGTCACAAGATCAAGTAGCAATTCACATACATGGTAGTAAAATTAGAATTTTTGGTAAATAAATATTATTCATTTATTTAATTGTCCTTGTCTTTGAATAAATTATAAAAAATTTAAAAATACAATTATGATGATAACATCATATAAGTTCAATTGTTCTATTCAACAAGAAAAGCTCTGAACCAAATACAATCTGATTTTATCACAATATTTTTCTATTTCCTCCACAATGTAACAAAAATGTAAGGTAAGCTTCTATCCTCAAAAATCAAAAGCAGTTTCTCCATGTCCAACCCTCTCAGTGAAAATAACTGGTACTCAAATGTATAGGTATTTGTATGCCATTTACTTACAGATATACACCAGCAATATGTAATATTGCTGTGGGCTGAATTGTGTCTCCTTTAAATTCATAAGTTGAAGTCCTAATGATGAGTGCCTCAGAATGTAACCATACTTGGAGATATGTAAAGAGGCAATTAAGTTAGAATGAGGCTATTAGGATGAGTCTTAATGCATGCTTGTTGGTATCCTTATAAAAAGAGGAAATTTGGATACACTGAGAGACAGCAGTGATGTCTATGCTCAGAGGAATAATATGTGAATAAGTGGACATTTGCAAGCCAAAAAGAGAGGCCTCAGAATATCCAAATCTGCCTATATCTTGAACTTTGACTTTTAACCTCCAGGATTATGAGAAAATAAATTCCTGTAGACTCACAGTTCTACATGGCGAGAGGCCTCACAATCATGGCGGAGGTTGAAGGAGGAGCAAAGTCATGTCTTCCATGGAAGCAGGCAAAATAATGTGTGTAGGGTAACTCCCCTTTATAAAAACATCAGATCTCATGTGACTTATTCACTATCAAGAGAACAGTACAAGAAAAATCCACTCCCATGATTCAATTACCTCCCACTGGGTCCCTCTCATGACATGTGGGGATTATGGGAGCTACAATTTAAGGTGAGATTTGGGTGGGGACACAGCCAAACCATATCAAGGACCCTTGTCTTTGTCATTCCTGGACACATGGCACCTGGGTTCCTAATACTTTTCTTAATGAATGGATGGATGGACGAATGCAGGTCTGCCAGATGAAGCTTCAAGACTGGCTGATTAATTTACCTGGGATAAAGCAAATGTTTGTGGAATTAGTGAAACTTATAAACATGATAAATAACATAGGCTAATATTTCATATGTCTTGATGTTATGGGATAAAGCTTTTAGCCTAAAAATGATAAAGTATGTGACTAGCCAATACTTTGTAATAATTAACCACTTTGAATTATGCCCTTACCAGAATTCCTTCACTTATCCTGGTAAGCTTCAATGCCATAGCTACCACCAATCCATAGGAGTTTCTTCTAGAACAAGAATTTATTTGCCACTCATAGTCGTATAAAGGTTAACAAACTTAGATAAGACTTGAGCTTTTGTTCAGATTATCAGAATCTAATAGTTTATTTCAAGCTAAGACAGTAGCTTCAACAATAAAAGATAGTGACTCAAATGCATTGTGTATAAATATATAATTTAATAATTATGTGATTCTAGGTAAATCTCTTTCAAGAATTAAAAAATTCCGTTTACTTGACTGTTGATTAGAGAGTGAAACTCAGAGGTATTGTTACCTATGATGCATGTACAACAATTTTGTGAGATATTTGAAATTACTTTTTTAAACAACAAAATACTAAATATATGGGCATGCCATTGAGAAATTTACAAAAATATGTAATAGACTTTATGCCTGATTAAAAAAAGGCAAAAGTACTATTTTCACTGCTTAACAAAATTGTCCAATTTAAAAAAGATTTGATATGATAAATTAACAGTACATTCATTAATAAAAATTAGAGGAAAAGCTAGCAGGTTTTTGTGAAGAGTTGCTATGTTTTTACTAGTTAAAATATACTTTTCAGGAGACAGTGGGAGGAATTTGTAAAACAAGATGTATAATCAGAGGTCTAATGTATCTTTAGCAATTTTATGTTTCTGACAACATGATAGCTACATTAAAAATGCAACAAATTTTATGTAAGTGACGTGTCTCAAAATACTTTTTATTAAAGAATTATTTAATAAAAATAATAAAACATTTGGGTATTTAAACATTATTATAACACTTTTAAAACCACATCTTGTGGTCTATAGGCATACATATATTTATGCCACAAAGACGGTAAGAATATGCATTGTAGAAAATAATTATATAAATTCAAACTGAAAAATGAAAGAGATCTTGATACCACCATAGATAAAAAAAACAAATGTATGTCACTGACTTTTGCAAAACCATTCCATTTAAAATGAATGTTTTAAGATAGGAAGAGAAAGAACACCACCTTCAGTGAAAACACATAATAGGTAAAATCTTGTCTAAAACAGTTTACCTCTTGAATTTTCCCAAAGAATTTGATTTTTTTCACTTTATGTTACTTCCTGACATCCAAACTAGTTTGAGCAAAACAGTTTTAAACAATTGTTGCTTTCATTTTCTGTCTTCAGATTCACATCCCCCCTGTTCACTCATCATGCTATGGCAGACTTTTAAAAAACAGAGATCAGGTTATATTATTCTTTGCTCACTAAGCTGTTTCTCCAATGCCTAGAGGATCAATACCCAATTCTTAAACATGAAAAGTTAAGGATTTTTGCAGTTTGGGCTCAACTTGCCTATCTAATTTATTCTCCCACCTTTATCTCATTTGTCCTCTACTCTGGCACACTGGATTAGCAGTCATTTCCTGAGCCTGCCATAGCCCTCCAGCCTGCCCCTTGGAGGATTGTAAAGTGACCCTGTGCTAGCCTGCGGTCCAACATAAATCCACGGGAAACACTCTGGAGATGCATACTACATTCAATTTATTCTCTCTCAACCAACTGTCTGTCTCCCTTTAAGTTTGAATCAGACCCTAGTTATATGAGTCCACTAAGTTCAAAGAAACATAGCAGACTTATCAGTGGTCTCTTTAACATCCCTCTCTAGACAGAAGTGAAGAGAGATGTAACATATCCCTTCACATGAGTTGGGAAGTGGAGACTGATTATCATGAGTAGCAATCAGGCAGTTCTTTCTCATTATTCTCTTCATAAATCCTTCATTACCAGATTTCACTGAAACTGAGAAGCCATTGATTGTAAGAGTCTCTAGTAATTTATATTTCACGAAGAAAAACAATACGCCACCAAAAATAGATCATGTACTATTGATTTTAAGATATATTCTGATTTCAGAGATGTCAAAATAACTATGCATGCTTCCTCTTAGTTAGGGATATGGACTTAAAGGTGGGACTCACAGCCCACTTTTTTCTGAAGCAACTCACTTCCCTAACTCAACAATTCTCGACCCTTTTCATACCCTGGATGGAGTTAGGGGCTTGAGAATCATCTAATTATCTTTTGTGGTCACCTATTTTTGCTACAGTCAAAACCTTGATTTTAACATCTTATTACATATACCTTTTCACACAACAGTACTTCATCCATACTTTCATCTTTTAAGACTCAGCTAAAATATGTCTTTTCCTAGAAAGCTTTCTCTGATCCTCATCTAGCAAACTTCTCACTGCCAGGTAGAATAATCATTTTTTTTAACTTTCACTATTTTTGATAATATTTGTTATAAAACATTTTACTAACTGTGGTTGTGTTCATGTCTGCCCATCCTGTTTTGTGTTTTAAGTGTAGACTACTGCCTAGAACACATGCTCTATATTTGCTGAAAGAGTGAATGCATCAAAGGTTAAAAAAGACAGGAAGCCATCTTGCTGTCTCAGACAAGATCCAAGAAGCTTTGAGTACTTTCTTGTGATCCATACACATCTAGTACTTTAAATGTGCAGATTCATAAAATTGATTTTAATTCATCCAGAAGTGACTGTGCTGTGTGACTACAGACATGGCAAATTAAATTCTAAATGTTGTTTTTTTAAATCTTAAAAATACATTAATTTGCACTGCTAAGTATAACTGCCAAGTGAATAAAAAATTTCACATAACATTACCAGGTAATTCCTTCACTTTTTATAATCTTTACAAGAGAAACAGTTACTACCAGAGGATGTTTGCGAAGCATCAGTATCATTTTTTGACCCTTGTGATTTGGACTTGGTATTTTCTACCATGGATCTTGCTGAAGAAATAGTAACACTTCTAACTAACTAGGTGTTTTTAAAATGTAGATTACTAGTTCTCTACTAGGTCAAAATAACAATTATCCAATTTATTATTATTATTATTATTTTTTCATTTTTTTTTTTGACATGGAATTGTTTATTTTATTTTATTTTATTATTATACTTTAAGTTTTAGGGTACATGTGCACAATGTGCAGGTTAGTTACATATGTATACATGTGCCATGCTGGTGTGCTGCACCCATTAACTCGTCATTTAGCATTAGGTATATCTCCTAAAGCTATCCCTCCCCCCTCCCCCCACCCCACAACAGTCCCCAGAGTGTGATGTTCCCCTTCCTGTGTCCATGTGTTCCAACGATTTTATTGGTTACAGCATTTCAGAAACTCAAATTTAGCAGTTGTGACAAAACCTTCTTGTTAAGAATCCATTTAAAGATTGTTTTTCAGAATCTGATAATGCTGCAAATCATGAGTATACTTCCTTTTATGTTGATTTTTATAGCTGTTAGTTTTAAAGAGAAATCTTTACATTGATAGTTTTTGGTCCTAAATGGAAGGTACATGAGAATACAATGAGTGGTAATTTAAAATTCTGCTCCACAGAGAAGAAAAGAAAAAAGTTTACACTGTTAAGACAGGGTTGCAATATAATTGAGTTTATGGGGTAAAATGACTAAGTACATATTTATACTAAGTAATGGAATGTATTTCTTCACTAAGAAATTTATTGGACCATAGAATAATTTCTCTTAGGAATTTCTGTAAAAAAATTGACTATATTTGCAGTATTGATTTTCTTTCCACCTAAGCAAGTGACTCATTGAATTCTATATTAAGAAAGAAGCAATCCAAGAAAAGCTATGATAAATTTAAAATGTGATTGCATCTTTGTAGGAATAAAAATGATTCACTAGAAAATAAGGTAGACTATGATAAAAATTCTTGGCCTTGTTTTGTTATATACATTCTGTTTTTCATCCAGCCAACCAGATGACCATTCCTAAACCAAAGTAGCTAGTTTTATATTTAGTTATTTATGAATATGTTTGTTATAATTTGAAAAATTGGACCTCAAATAAAGCCATAAAGAAATTTGACCAATTAACTTCCTTGGATGTTTGAATTGAACAATACTGTTATTTTGTTTTAATATTTTAATACATAGGTCAAATCACCATTAAGTTGTGATATTCTCACCAAAAGGCAGCTACATCATGACCTCTTCTCCCCTCCATTAAAAAAAATTCTTTTAATTAGGTTTATAATATATAGATGTTGCTATATATTTTAGATATACTTTGTTTTTGTAAAAACTCATTGGAAAATAAAATTGGATTGCTTCTGAGGTTTTAGACAAGGATGCTATTTTATGTATTTTCTAAGTTACAGCTAAACATATGCCTCCAGCTCGAAAACTCCTGTGGTGACAGCTAGAGCTGGGTAACAGTTCCCCTTACGAAATGAAATATCTTTTGATTGCCTCTGCATGGATTCTCTCTACTATTCTCACATGAGAGATTTTTTTCTTAACTGACAATAAGTATATAAAATTTTACAAAAAGCAAGTTTCTACCATTTTATTTTAAATGAAATTTCAGGAGAAACTATTTTATTGAAAAATGGTAGACTGTATATAAATGAATTGCCATAACCTTAACATCTCTTCCTTTCCCTTCTCCAATGTTTTCATGTTAAAATATCACTGTTTTTATTCCTGAGTGAAAAAGTAATTTCTTCCACAAATGTGTTTCTTGTTTTCCAAAAATGTATTAAATGTATTTTTAAAGATAAAAGGGATACAACATGAAAAAGTCAGTAATCTTGTTGATGAAAAAAATACATATATATACATACACACAAACACATACACACAGACAGAGAGAGAGAGAGGGAGACACACAGTCTTATATACATTCCATCATTGAATTTGGTTCATTTTATTTTGATATAAAAAGTATCAAACCTGTGGAGGCTAAAGCAACTCAATCTTAGATGTTAATCCATGATGTTAACTTCTGATTAACCCCAGTTCTGAGAACATCCCTCAGATTTCTATTTTATCTACTCTTCCTGTGTAAGAGTGCATGCTTACCATAAATCCTGCCCTTACATCAAAACAATCCTGGATGTTATTGTAAATTACCATAAATCCTGCCCTCAAGCATTGTTCTACACATCCCTTCTGAAGCACACGTACCATTTCCTTATGGTATAAGCCCTGGATCCGAGGGGCAACCACACTGGCTTTTGCCATCACATCTTGCCACAACCTGAGACATGGCCTCTGTTCATGAGATCGTACTAAATATTTCTTTCCAAGAAACTGGATTTGTCAGACTCTTTCTTCAGCCTCTCAGCTCCCTTGGTCTCCAGGAAGTAAGTTTCCATAGATCTGCTTACTGTGGGACGACCAACTCTCTCTTTCTGTCCCTGGAGTCACTGTTTATAGAGATAATGGCTTTTGTTCATTATATTTTCTTTGCTTACATGAACTTTGTCTTTCATAAAGATCACATCTTCTTGAAGGTCAACAACCAATCTGTTTTAATACAATATATTACTGACATTCTTGGCCAGTTAAGAAAAAATATGTTCATTCCCCAAAAGTTACACCCTTTTAAAGTAGATACATTTTATATATCTAAACATCTATTTCTGTTCTATGAATAAAACTAGTTGTCAGATATGTAATGTAGTAAGATAATTGTGAGGCACCTTATAGTTTTTAAGAGACCATAATTAAATTAGTACATTTTTGTCTTTTTATTCTCTTATTTTAAAAAGTCTTATTGTCAATATTGTTGTGATAAGTGGATGGAAAACTCTCAATTGTAGACTTAAAATATACAAGAAAATGTTGTAATCCCAGCGCTTTGGGAGGCTGAGGCGGGCGGATCACGAGGTCAGGAGATGGAGACCATCCTGGCTAATATGGTGAAACCCCATCTCTACTAAAAATACAAAAAATTAGCCGGGCTTCCTGGTGGGTGCCTGTAGTCCCAGCTTTTTGGGAGGCTGAGGCAGGAGAATGGCGTGAACCAGGGAGGCGGAGCTTGCAGTGACCCGAGATCGCACCACTGCAATCCAGCCTGGGCGACAGAGCAAGACTCCGTCAAAAAAAAAAAAAAAGTATTGGGGCCGGGCAAGGTGGCTCATGCCTGTAATCCCAGCATTTTGGGAGGCCGAGGTGGGTGGATCACGAGGTCAAGAGTTAAAGACTTGCCTGGCCAAGATGGTGAAATCCCATCTCTGCTAAGAAAAAAAAAAAAAATACAAAAAAAATTAGCCGCGCCTGGTGGCAGGCACCTGTATTCCCAGCTACTCAGGAGGCTAAGGCAGAGAATTGTTTGAACCCTGGAGGCAGAGGTTGCAGTGAGCTGAGATCATGCCACCGCACTGCAGTCTGGGCAACAGAGTGAGATACCGTCTCAAAAAAAAAAAAAAAAAAGAAAAAAGCTTTGGGATTTCTCAGATTTCTATTATGTTAGACAGATGTTTGTTTGTTTTCTGCACTTTAGTGAAAAAGTAAAAGCAGATGTCAGCATGTATATTGTAATTTTTACAATGAATATTGTTATGATTTTCTTCTCATGAAAGAAAATTGAAAGTCAAATACTGTGTTTAGAACTCAGATTGCAGATGTGTTGAATGTCTTCCATTTTCCCCTCCAGATTCATCCTCCACTCTGCTCTGTGTCTTAGGAATATTTGTGCACCACACCAACCAGCCCTCCTACCCTCTGGCTCCTACTTGGGTTTGACAATTGGGAGGCATAGCAAAAGACTGAATGGCAGTAAGGGAGTAAGTTCATGATATTTAGCGATACTGTGTCAAGTCTGTAGGACTTCTGCCAGGGCCCTGACTGATACAGTCTTGGAAAGCTGGAGTGACTTCAGGACAGCCCCTTGGAAGGAGAGATTCTGGGAGCCTTCATTGAGAAGCATGTGGGTAGCCTCCTTTCTGAAGGGTAATGGCATGTTTGTAAATATGGTGAAATCATTATTATTCAAATTATCACTGATGGTGCATGAGATGGCATGTAGATGAAGAACAAAGTATGGGGATATCAAGTAGCCATGGCAATTAGTCACTATGGTGACAAACATAACTAGACATATCATGGCTTCCTCTGATGGCCCCAGAGAACATACAGTAGAAGAAGGTGAAATTAAAGGCTGCAAGTATGCAACTCAGAAAATAAACAAAAAAAAAAAGAAAACTTTGAAGGTAGCTTGATAGAAGTATCGCATCTTCTATCACAGTAGGGCACATATGACTGAAGATCATACCTATGTTTTCGTTGTTAAGAATTGCTGTTGTAACACTAATTAAATGCTCAACCATACCAGGACCTTAAGCTAAGGTAAGAGAGCTAGAGGGGAAGGAGTGGAGTCTTAATGTTACATGTCTGACTGGGGACACCCTAGACAATATGAATGAGGCTAAAAGTTATGCATTCTCAAATACCATGAAGCTCTTTTGCTAGTAGAAACAGTGCTATCCACACTCACCCTTTTGAGAACACCAGCCTTGCCCTGTATAAACCTTTAAATTACTGCACCTATGTCATTTGCCATATAAAGAGACTTAAACTCACCATTGGAAGTTGTCTTCTGTCTCATAATATAAGAATAAACATAGATAGCATAGTAAGATTCAAAATCTACTTAAGAAGGAAATAACTCATACTCCAACAGAGTTAGAAAATCTTGCCAATCTATTTATATAGAAACCTTGGAAGCATGTGTGGGAGTGGATTGTGAAGGTGTTAGACCAAATGTGATGAGATATAGAGTCGTTCAGGCTGAAGTCATTGACTCCGGTGCACTTATCTGGGATTTGAGTTTTCATATGTTGGCTTCAGCACCTGGGGTCATTAATTAATTAATAATAACCTGATATGCTAGCTATTTGAAACCTGAAACCATCTGTGGCCAAAATAAAGTATGGATGAAGATCTGGAACTCCTCTTTTTACTCCTGTAAAACTGTGATTTTTAAAGATTAATGGGCATTGGAATTAATGAGGGATGTTTTTAAAAATGCAGTTTCTTATTCAGTAGGCATGAAGTGAGGACTGAAATTCTGCATTTCTAACAAAATATCAAAGTCATCCTGATGTTGCTGGTGTGGAGCTCACACTTTGAGAATGAGATTTAAGTTTGCACTTCTAAGGAAAAATAAAAACCTTTTTTTAAAAAACTAAATTCTCTCAGTTGAAAACGAGGAAAGATTTCCCCTCCCACCCTTTTTCTTACACCATTCACTTTAGGAAACTTACAATTATAAGTATTTTCTCCTCTCTTTGACACTTATATAAATCTTTTTGAAAACTATGTAGGACTTTTGTCAACTTTATAAACCAGGGAAGTCTTTCTCAAAACCTGAGTTTCTTTGACATGTAAAACATCAAAGAAGATAGCATCCTTCTCTCTCCATTTTTGTGGGAGGGTGGGATCTAACTTAGGATCTTGTTCCAAGTTGCAGAACTATCTCTTGTAATAAAAATGTAAGAAGTTAATTTTTCCTTTGGTGAGAGACAACTAGCTAACACACATAGTTACCCCAACTACCAAGTGAATTTAGGATATATTGTGTGTAACAAAAGTGTCAAGTCCTCTTACTTGAGGATTAGTTACTGTTAATCTTGAGAACATGTACAAAATGGGTTGTACCTGCTCAGCTATGTAAAAGGGTAAGATTTCTTTCTGTCTTCACAATTTCTTGGTGGATTGCCTGTGATGTATATGAAATTCTGATTTAATGCTTATTTAATAATAAAACTATTTTCTGTCTCTGTTAGCTTTTTGGAGAGGTGTGTTAGTTTGTTTTGCATTGTTATAAAGGAACACTTGAGACTGGGTAATTTATAAAGAAAAGAGGTTTATTTGGCTTATGTTTCTACAGGCTGTACAAGCATGGCACCAGCATCTGCTTGGTTTCTGGTGAGGCTTCACAAAGCTTTGACACATGGCAGAAGGTAAAGGAGGAGCAGGCATCTCACATGACAAGAGAGGGAGCAAGAGAGAGAGGAGAGGCCATGCTGTTTTTTAACTACCAGCTCTTGTGTGAAGCAATAGAGCAAGAACTCATTTATCACCAAAAGGATGGTGCTAAGCCATCAATGAGGGATCTACCCCCATGACTCAAACACCTCCCACCAGGCCTCACCTCCAATACTGAGGATCACATTTCAATATGAGATTTTGAGGGGACAAATATTCAAACCATATCAAGGTTTCCTTTTGTTGGGGGGCAGATTTTGAGAAGATTTTGTTTTTAAATTATATTTCCCTAAAATCCTCTACCGCTCAACCCATGCACACCCCCATTGTTTCGTGTATCTGACCGTTAGCATGTTTAATTTTCATCTATTCCTTTTTTTCCAAGGCAGAGACAAAAAAGCTCCAGTTCAAAGCAACTACATCCAAATGTTCTTGGTGCCAAAATGTTATGTGCCTACACTTTGTCACATCCTTACAGAATTTCTTTCTTTTTTCAAGCTTCAGATTAATGCTTCCAAAACAAAAGCTGCTTTTGTCCATGCTGAGCATATGTTCTACTTAACATCATTGTACTTGACATGCAAGGCATTCTGAAGGAGTGACAAATCCAGGGAAGTGTATACATTTTTAAAAGATCTAGACAAGTGCAAGGTTTAGAATCTGAGGTTATTTCAAATAAAAGGAATGTCAGTGTTCTAGTTTCAGAGAGAGTCATTATTTAATGACACAGAGACTCTGGCGCGCAGAAAGGAACAGGCCAGTAATGGCTGTTAATAGCCAGGTCCAAAGGCCAAGTAGATACAAGAAGGAAAAACAGACATGGCAAGGAATGTTATAGGTCACAAGTTCTGGATGCAGACTTGATAATTCAAATACAGATTTCACCACTTATTGTGTGACAGTATCACTATTGCCTTTGTGAAACGTTCTAAAGTGGAGGTTTCTTCAGCACCCACCAAGATAAAACCCACAATGTCTGACGTCCAATAAAAATATTATCATGCATGAAGGAAGTAGTAAAATATGGCCCAGAATGAGGAGAAAAACTCAATAAGTTGAAGCTGACCCAGTAATGACCCAGACGACAGAATCAGTAAACAAGGACAGTGAATCAGCTTTATAGTTGTATTCCATGCTCAATAAGCTATTTGAATAAGTTAGCTGAGACACAAAAAATATAAAAATGACTCAAGTCAAACTTTAGAGATAAAAAACCTGCAACATCCAATAGGAAAAATACTTTGGATGGAATCAACAACATATTAACCTTGCAGAAGAAAAGATTAGTGAAATTGAAGACATAACAATAAAAGTATCCAAAATAAAACAGAGAGAAAAGAGACTTACAAATGATCAGAGGGTGGTGTAGGCACTCTGAACCATGTGCTCGTACTCAATATTCATGGCACAGACCTCTGGGATTCATCCCGAGATCTGTCATCTTAAACTTCACCCTCTTCCAGAGACAGAGCTCAGGAGACCAGGAAATGTCTCCAGGGTCTCTGAGAGCCAACAGAGTCCCCCCATATTATGAGCTGCTCTATGGAGAGGCCCCAGTGGCAAGGAACTAAGGCTTTTTTTCCAGTGCTTGAAAGGAGCTGAATGAGCTTGAATGTATATTCTCCTGCCCCAGTCAAGCCTTGAGAGTATGTGAGTTTGGTCAACATTTTGACAGCAAACTCATGAAACATTCTGAATGAAAATCACACAGCTAAACTGCGTCCGGATTCTTAGCCCTCAGAAATTTGTAAGATAATAAATGTTTGTGTTTTTAATCGCACTTTAAAATCTACAAGCAGTCAATTATCAAAAATTTAAATTAAATAAACACTATCATTTGCAATAGATTTAAAAAGTTTGAAATACTTAGAGATAAGTCTGGCAAAAAATGTGCAAGATCTATACTCTGTAAAGTACAAAACTTTGCTGAGATATTAAAGGACATCTAAACAAATGGGAAAAAAAAACACTGTTTATTAATCTGAAGACGTTACTTCCTCTGATGCCCTCTCAAGTACTGGGTTTCCCCCACCCTACTGTGTTACTGTAAGGATGGTGCTCCTTTTTGTCACTTGTGACCATTTCCCAACATGTCAACCACACAGCTTTGAATCTCTTCTATTATCAGACTAAATCACTCATTAAGCCTCCTTATCATGGTGATTTACTGCCACCAGCCCCTGCCCTTTAACTCCTTGAAGATTTTCAAACTCATATCTCCAACAGGACTATATAATTCTTGGAATTCTAAAATCAATGATTATTCTAATAGCTTACGTTTCAGTTTCTTAACATTGTTTTGCATCTTGTACTCCTTCCTGTCTCAGACACTTCTTCCCCTGGCAATATCCTATACCTTGTCGTTACCCAAAACTGTCACCAAGAATTACAGCCCCTCTATCATCTCAACCTCAAGTATTTCACTCTCTGACCACCATTTCCTCTCTTTATATATCACTTTCTCTAGTACTCCAGCTCTCACCATCATCTGATCCCTCATCAAGGTTTAATGCCATGGTCAATCATATTCACCATCCTAAATAGACACTCAGTTTTTCTTGAGTGTCTATTTCTTATTTCCTTTGCCTTCTATTAGCTTTATGGTGGGGGCGGGGGGCAGTCACATTCCATTTAGTTTCAGGATTTTGGCTTCTATCCCCAATGTATCACTTGTGAAGTCTTGTCGTGACTTTGAGTGGTCATATCTTGGCAGGTCCTTTCCATCCAAATAATAAAATTTCTCCCAACATGCTAGTCCTCTAAGCCACTATATGAATGGTATTTGGGAGCTCTTACTGGTTTTCACCTATTAGTGGGTAGTATTTGAGAATTCTTAGCTATTATCCTTGGACTAATCTTGAATTTAAGAGATGCTATGAGATTGTATCCAGTGCGTCCACCTAAAGAATTTCTACTGCCACTTTTTCTCTACTATTTGAGTGTAAGACTTGGTGATAATACTTGCAGCTTTTTAAGTAAGCTTTTTAAGGAAGCCAGTTGTTTATGCTCTAGTACCTATGCCCCAAATGTACCTGTGTTGTTTATTAACTCCGTTACTGAACTTGGATTTAGCTAGAGATGTTTTCATGGTTTTCTTCTGAGATAAATATTCCCATGTATATTCTTGACATATGCCTTAAATTTACTTGAACCCTCAATTTCCTTTTTCGATGTCACATACATTTCTATTAAACAATTTCTGACAGCATTCTTTCCTACCCTATGGCTTATATTATAAAGTTTATTTTCTGCAGTTTGCCACTTTGAATTTTGGAATGCAAAGTTTTTTGAGGTGTGTGTGTATATGTGTGTGTGTGTGTGTGTGTGTGTGTGTGTAATTTATTTTCTGAAGAAGCTCAGGTTTTGCATTTGAAAGTAAGAGTTTTCAAAACTATTATTTTCAATCAAGGACTCAATTATATTTTTTACTGGGTTCTTTGTGTCATTTTTAGCTACTAAATGTATTCAAACAATGGGAGATGTACAGGTCAGAAGGATTACCAAGGAGAAAACAAAATAGATGGTATGTATAAAGACTATCCTACTAAACTAGAATTGACAAAATCCACTTAGCCAGAGGTGGGAAGGTTCTCTGTTCCTTTCTGTCAGTGGACAAAGGTGTCTAATCATCTTGTATCTTATTTGCAGAGAATATTCAGTCCTTTTTCCATATCCGCATTATAGACTAAGATTTTTTTATAACTGGACTCAGAAAGGAGCCACTTGGGTTTTGCTTTTCGTTTTTACAGGGAGGTGAGTGTAAATAAAAGATTTTTTTTGATTACATTTCTTGAGCTTGAGTCACTTGGTTTTTAGTTTTGTAGAACTCATACTGGTAACTTTTTTCTTCTGGGCACTCTGAAGATGCCTTTTCTGGGTGAATTATTTCCTGGAAATGTTGTCTACTAGGCTGGCACTGTGATATTCTGTTTTGTGTCTCTCAGAGAAATGTTTGTGTCCCTGGACAGCTTCCTGTAAGGTCTGATGGAGCTACAGAGAAGGGTGAGATTATAATTCAATTTTTTGTGACAGAAAGATTAAGTCCCACGTTGGGTACAACTTAAAAAGAATCTTTTCACGGTACAGAAAGATGAACTCCGTGTTACTTGCTATGTAAGCACAATGACACATTCCTGAGTATAGCAACCTATAGTTTGACCCTTCAATCTCTGTCTTATTGGTTTGTTTTTCTTTACATTGAGTAACTGGTTTTTTTTAGACTTCACAATTCCATGAGGGTATCAAGACCCCAAAAGAATATCTACCTGAGGCTTCCCTCACTTTGACATGGGTTGAATTTAGCTTACTGTAGGTATCAGGGGAATATCTTCTTTTTAGAATAGTACTTATAACAGCTTAACATGTATCAGAATCATCTGGAACCTTGTTAAAACACAGATTGCTGGGCCATCCTCCCAGAGATTCTGATTCAATATGTCTATAGTGAAGCCTGAGAATTTGGGCTTCTGAGTTCAGTGATGACACTGACGTTTTTGGTTGGGGATCACACCTGGAGAATTGCTGCTCTAGAATGTTGCCTCCGTTCATCTTGAGTAACATCATTTTTCATTCTGCCTGGTAAAAGTACGTTTCAAAATTAAAATACACCCTTTCACTTTGCTACAGAGGCATAATTCAAATTGTGTTAAGACTTTTTCAAATCTGAAAATTGGTCAAGAGGGTGCTATTGTGCTATCATTGCTATCATGAGAGGCACCAGTCATGAAGATAAGTTTTCCTTGATAGGTTGGAGAATTTTTATTCTCTATAGTCATTCAGGGATTTTTGTTTCTCTGTGAGTAAGAAAGTCTCACTGTGTTTAAAGCGCTTTTTCAATTCAATAGTAGCTTGTAAAAATAATATTTGAGGTTAGACGTGGGGCGATTTTGTAACATATAAGCTGTTGAAAGTTCAGCAATGAAATATTCAGAGTGAGAAATAAACATTTGCTTTTGTTGATGTGGTTATTCTGAGTGGGAAAAAAATTTGATTCAAATCTTATATGAAACCAGAAGCTATGGATATATTTAGGATATATATACATGGGTGTTTGGAAATGGTGGGATGAAATGATCTCTGTCTGTCTGTCTGTCTCTCTCTATTTCTTTGTCTCTCAAAGGTTGAGAGAAATAGGATAGTCAAGAAAATATGATACAACAATACATTGCTAACATCTGATTTAAAATAATCTTTGCCTAGGCCATTCTTGATATAAGACTATATATTTATATTCTTCAAATCCTTGAGATCTGAAGCAAAGTAAGTATCTTTTGTTTTCATCTACAAGTGAAAGAAGTTAAGAAATTCTAGGGCATGAATATTAATGGAATTTTAAGGATCATGAATTAGAACAGTGGTTCTCAAAGTGTGGGTACACACTAAAAAAAAAAAAAAAACTGGGACAGGGACAGGTAGAAAAAGAAAATATCCATCCTCAAGCTGCACATTCAGATCAGTCAAATCAGAGTATCTACAGATAGGACCTGGACAGCCAATTTTTTCTTTCTTAATCTCCCAGCTAGTTCTAGTCTGTGCCAATGTGGGAACAACACATCCATGGTCTTCAGTGTCTTCAGTTAATTTGCTTTCAATAACTTGGAATATATGTAGTAGAATAAAGAACTTTTGGAGGAAGAAATATTTATATAACAATCCATTTGTAGGTGGGAAAGTTAAAGATAAAGCTGAAATCATTAGTTCTAGGACAACTATTCAAATTCTTGTTTCCTTGTTTTTCTTGAAGTCCTTGTTCAAGTCAGCCTTTAATCTTCTGCTAAAGTGATCCATTTCTATCAGCCTAGAGTCCATACCTTTATTTTGGATGCAATTGGCTTTTCAGGAGGTTGAAAGCTGACTCACTTGAAAACACTCAACTGGCCAATCAGTTCCAAATATCAGGTGCCTATGTAACTCTTTTAAAAGCAATTTATAGAATCACACTGTTTTCCGTAATGTGTTTTTACAATGGACAATTACTGTTTGAGAACTGGTGAGAACTGGAAAAGTACGTATTTTTCAGCAAGTCATATCTGTTCAATCAATTCTTTCAACCATTCGGCCATCTCTAAAAGTTACTTTATTCTACTGGCAATGATGAGAAAGTTACAAACATATTGATAAATGCTTCTGAATATAATTAAAGCTAATTTTCTAACCCCCAAATAGTTTTCTAACTACTAAGAATCACTGAATGTTACCTTTTTATATACCTTGAAACAAATATTTATTAGGTATTTACTCCATGCAGGCAGTGTGCCAAGAATTAAAGGATATTAAACATTGAGCCGGACACATTGTTTTCCTTTCAGTTAGAGAAATATATAAAGGAAATGGCTTTTACCAGGAAAATCCTATAGAATGGAAAGAAGTATTTTCCCACCTGACTATGAGCAGAGCCATAATCAATGATACTACAGGTCATTTTTTGCTACCCTTTTTTTGGGAAACAAGATTGATATTAAGAATGCATACTTTAAAATCATAATTTGGATATTCTCTTGTACCAAAGATTGATGTTTTTCTACCTCAGGCAAAATTATCAAATAATTAAAGCATCTTCCATAGCTCAAAAATTCTGAGTAATAATCCATTTTTATAAAACCTCAAGTTTTATAAAAGTTTACTAACAAACCAAAATTTCTCTAAAGATAGGAGCAGTAAATTAAACAGGCAAAAGGTATCAGGAACTGTAGTAAACTGAAGTCACATGTTGCCATGTGAGAACATAAATGCTATTTTGCCAGATCTTCTACTTTTTATATATAAATAGTAATCTGGATACCCCATAGAAGATGTACTAATTTTTAGAATTTCTTCAGAAATTGACTAATTTTTAAAACAATTTGTAGGCCAAACCAAAATTGTTGAAGGGCCATATTTAATGAGTCCCCAGTTTGTAATATTTTTCCTTAAAATAAATAAATGGCCTATCCAAATGTATAGTGGTTAATTTTATGTGTCAACATGACTGGGACATGGGATGCCCAGATATCTGGTTAAACATTATTTCTTGGTCTGTCGGTGAGAGTGTTTCTGGAAGAGATTAGCATTTGGATCTGTGGACTGAGTAAAATTGATTACCCAGGCCAGTGTGAGTGGGCTTCATCCAGTCTATCAAAGTCCTGAACAAAACAAAAAGATTATACAAGGGACAATTTTCTTTCTCCCTGACTGTTTGAGCTGGGACATGAGCTGGGACATTTGTCTTTTCTTGCTGTTGGACTGGGACTTACACTATCAGCCCTCTGGTTCTGAGGCCTTTGGACTTAGACTAGAAATCATACCATTGGTTGTCCTTGTTGTCAAGCTTTTGAACTCTGACTGGAACTACACCACTGCCTTGCCTGTGTCTCCAGCTTGCAGACAGTAGGTCATGGAACTTCTCAGCCTACTTAATAATATGAGCTAATTCCTCATAACCTCCCTCTCTCTCTCCTTTTGGTCCTGTTTTTCTGGAGAACTCTGAGTAATAAAAAAATCTACTACAAGTTTCTGAGATGACACTGTAGTTATATAATTAATCTGGAAATAGCTATCATTTGCCTAGTCTTTGAAGCATTTTAGTCAAAAAGTAGTAATGTCATTAAGTGATTGATTGATTCAACAAATATGTGTTAAGGCAGTGATCCCCAACATTTTTGGCACCAAGGACTGGTTTCGTGGAAGACAATTTTTTCCATGGACATGGGCGGGGGATGGTTTTGGGATGAAACTATTCCACCTCAGATCATCAGGCATTAGATTCTCATAACGAGTGCACAACCTAGATCCCTCACATACACAGTTTACAATAGGGTTCACGCTCCTATGAGAATCTAATGCCACCACTAATCTGACAGGAGGCAGAGCTAAGGTGGCAATGCTCACTGGTCTGTCAACTCACTTCCTGCTGTGTGTCCTGGTTCCTAACAGGCCACTGACCAGTAACAGTCCAAAGCCCAGGGGTTGGGGACCCCTGCATTAAGGCATTCCGTATCAGAAATTGAGTTGAAAACTGGAGAAACGATGGTGCCTTATTTTAGACACTGTCTCTTTTCTTACAAAATTTATAGTCTAATGGTAAATAAAAACATTAACCATGAATAGTGTCTTGCAATGGAAGTACATTTTGCTATGACAGTGTACTCTAGTAGGTTTTTACTTAGGGATATGATTACAGAAGAGGCTAGGGTGGTCATCAGGGAGAGTGTGTTCAGGACCCTGTAGGCATATTAGGGATTTTCATCTCTATCCCAAGATCAAGGAGAAATTATAGAACTCATTTAAGAACTCAGTCTCTGACCTATATCATTGTCCTTCTCGAAATAACTTTTAAAAATATTTCTTACTATGCAATCATACTAGTGACAGAGTCTTCTGAGTTTTTATTTGTCTGAAAAAGTTTATGTTACTCCTTCACTTAGATATAAAATTCTAAGTTGGTGGGTTTTTTTCAACATTTAGGTATTTCACTCCACCCTCTTCTTGCTTGCATGGTTTCTAAAGAGAAGTCTGATGTAATTCTTAGTCTTATTCCTCTACCTATTAAAAATTGTTCTCCAGAAAAACAGAATCACAGGAGATGTGTGTGTATATGTACATATATACACATACATATATAAAAATAATTTTATGTAAAATATATTTATTATTATATATTATAATATACATTCATTATAATATGGAGTTTCATTATAAGAAATGGGATCACATAATTTGTGGTTATGGAGGGTGACAAGCCAGCAATCCAGGAAAGTTGATGGTGTAGTTCCAATCCTAATTCTGGAAGACTCGAGACTCAGAAAGAGTTGATATTTCATTTTGGATCCAGGGGCAGGAAGAAACTGATATTCCAGCTAGAAGCACTTGGATAGGAAAAACCCTTTCAAAATCAAGGGAGAGTCAGCCTTTTCATTCCATTTAGACTTTCAATGCATTAGATGAGGCCCATCCACATTGTGGAGAGCAATCTGCTTTACTCAGTCTACTAACTTAAATGTAAATCTCATCCAACAAAACCCTCACAGAAACACTCATAATAATGTTTGAGTAAATATATATGCACCACATGATCTAGTCAGGTTGACACACAAAATTAACCAACAAAATAGATAAGGCATTTTTGTTTTCCTCTGAGTTATTTTAAATTTTTCTCTGGGACACAGCTAAGGCAGTGTTAAGAGGAACATTTATAGCACTAAATGCCCACATCAAAAAGTTAGAGAGATCTCAAGTTAACAACCTAGCATCACAACTAAAATAACTAGAGAACCAAGAGCAAACAAATCTCAAAGCTAGAAGAAGACAAGAAATAACCAAAATCAGAGCTGAACTGAAGGAGACAGAGACATGAAAAAACATCCAAAAGATCAATGAATTCAGGAGCTGTTTTTTTGGAAAGAATAATAAAATAGATAGACTGCTGGCTACACCAGTGAAGAAGAGAGGGATTCAAAAAACACGATCAGAAATGACAAGGAGGATATTACCACTGACCTCACAGAGATACAAAAAAAATCAGAGAATATTATGAACACTTCTATACACATACACTAGAAAATCTAGAAGAAATTAATAAATTCCTGGACACAGGAAACAAATAAATAAATTCCTGGGACACCCTCCCAAGACTGAACCAGGAAGAAATTGAATCCCTGAATGGACCACTAATTAATTCTGAAATTGAGGGAGTAATAAATAGCCTACCAACCAAAAAACAGGCCAGGACCAGACAGATTGACAGCTAAATTCTACAAGATGTACAAAGATAGCTGGCACTATTTCTTCTGAAACTATTCCAAAATATTGAGGAGGAAGCACTCCTCCTTAACTCATTCTGTGAGGCCAGCATTATCCTAATACCAAAACCTGGCAGAGATACAAGAAAAAAGAAAACTTCAGACAAATATCCCTGAGGAACATCATTGCAAAAATCCTCAATGAAATACTGGCAAACTGAATCCAGCAGCACATCAAAAAGCTTATCCACCATGATCAAGTAGGCTTCATCCTCGGCATGCAAGCCTGGTTCAACATAAACAAATCAATAAATGTGATACATCACATAAATACAACTAGAGACAAAAACCTCACATGCAGAAAAAACTTTCAATTAAAATCAACATCCATTCATGTTAAAAAACTCTCAATAATCCAGGTATTGAAGGAACATACCTCAAAATAATAAGAGTCATATATAACAAATCCCACACCCAACATCATACTGAAAAGGCAAAAGCTGTAAGCATTCCCCTTGAAAACCGACACAAGACAAGGATGCCATCTCTCAATACTCCTGTTCAATGTAGGAGTACTGGAAGTTCTGGCCAGGGCAATCAGGCAAGAGAAGGAAATAAAGCGCATTCAAATAAGATGAGAGGAAGTCAAACTATCCCTGTATGCAGAAAGTATGATCCTATATCTATAGAAACCCATTGTCTTAGCCCAAAAGCTTTCTAACCTGATAAAAGAAAAAACTTCAGCAAAGTCTCAGGACACAAAATCAGTGTGCAAAAATCACTAGCATTCCTATAGACCTAAAACGGTCAAGCCAAGAGCCAAATCAGTAATGAACTCCCATTCACACTTGCCACAAAAAGAATAAAATACCTAGGAAAACAGCTAACTGGGGAGATGAAAGATCTCTACAAGGAGAACTATAAAGCACTGCTCAAAGAAGTTAAAGATGACACAAACAAAAGGAAACACATTCCATGCTCATGGATAGAAAGAATCAGTATCATTAAAATGGCCATACTGCCCAAAGCAATTTATAGATTAAATAAAATTCTCATTAAACTACCACTGAAATTCTTCACAGAACTAGAAAAAAAGTATTTTAAAATTCATATGGAACAAAAAAAAGAGCCCGAATAGCAAAGGTAATCCTAAGCAAAGAGAACAAAGCTGAAGACATCAAGCTTTCTGACTTCAAACTATCCTATGGGGTTACAGTAACCAAAACAGCATGGTACTGGTATAAAAACAGACAGAGAGACCAAAGGAACAGAAGGCAGAGCGCATAAATAAGACCACACACCTACAACTATCTGATCTTTGACAAACCTGACAAAAACAAGCCATGGGGAAAAGAATCCCTATTCAATAAACAGTTCTGGGATAACTGCCTAGCCACGTGCAAAAGATTGAAACTTGACACTTCCTTATACCATATACAAAAATTAACTCAAGATCAATTAAATACTTACATGTAAAACCCAAAACTATTAAAACCCTGAAAAGCAACCTAGGCAATACCATTCAGGACATAGGCACGGGCAAAGATTTCATGAAAAAGACACCAAAAGCAATTGCAACAAAAGTAAAAATTGACAAGTGAGATCTAATTTAACTAAAAAAGAGCTTCTGTACAGCCAAAGAAATTATCAATAGAGTAAACATACAACCTATAGAAACAAAGATCTAATATCCAGCATCCATAAGGAAGTTAAACTAATTTACAAGAAAAACAACCCCATAAAAAAGTGGGAAAAGTTTATGAATAGACACCTTCAAAAGAAGACATACATATGGCCAACAAGCATGTGAAAAAAAGTTCAACATTACTGATCATTAGAGAAATGCAAATCAAAACCACAGCAAGATACCATTTCACATGAGTCAGAATGGCGATTAGTAAAAAGTCAAAAAAATTACAGATGCTGGCAAGGTTGTGGTAAAAAGGGAACACTTATACTGTTGGTAGGAGTGTAAATTAGTTCAGCCATTATGGAAGACAGTGTGGCGATTCCTCAAAGACCTAAAGACAGAAATACCATTGGACCCAGCAATCCCATTACTGGGTATATACCCAAAGGAATATAAATCATTCTTTTATAAAGACACATGCACACATATATTCATTGCAGCACTATTCACAAGAGCAAGGACATGGAATCAACCTAAATGCCCACCAATGATAGAATGGATAAAGAAAATGTGGTACATATACACCATGGAATACTATGCAGCCATAAAAAAGAATGAGATCACGTCCTTTGCAGGGACACAGATGGAACTGGAGGCCATTATCCTTAGCAAACTAATACAGGAATAGAAAACCATATACCACATGTTCTTACTAATAAGTGGCAGCTTAGTGTTAACACATGGACACATAGAGGGTATCGACACACACTGAGGCCTGCTTGAGCATGGAGGGTGGGAGGAGGGAGAGGATCATGAAAAACAACTAATGGGTATTTGGCTAAATACCTGGGTGATGAAATAGTGTGTACAACAAACCCCCATGACACAAATTTCCCTATATAATACTCTTGCACTTGTTCTCCTGAACTTAAAATATCAGTTAAAAAAGAAATTTCTCTTCTCTCTTTCTCACTGTGGTTTTCTGCACCTTAAATATGATAGTCATAGGTATATCTTTTTTGGTATTTATTCTTTTTGAGGTTCTCTGAGATTCCTGGATTTGTGGTTTGGTTTCTGTGTTTAATTTCAGAATATTCTGAATGATTATTGCTTCAAACATGTTTTTTCTACTCCTTTCTCTTTCTTGTCTTTTTCTGTCCCATACACATATATTGTATCTTAATAATTGTCCCATGGTTCTTGGCTATTCTGTTTAACATGTTTTCATTCTTTTTTCTCCTTGCATTTTAGTTTGGGAAGCTTCTCTTGACATATCTCGAAGATTATTAATTGTTTCTTTTGGTTGTCCACTATGTTGCTGAGCACATCCAAGTTTTTCATTTTTGTTTAAGTGTTTTTTTTTTCTAGCATTTTCTTTGGATTCTGTCTTAGAATTTGTACCCCCTTTGATTACATTATTCATCTGTCTTTGCATTTTTCACTTCACTCATTAAAGTCTGTAGTATATTAATTGTAGTTATTTAAAATTTGCAGCCTGACAATTCCAAAATCTCTGCCTTGTTTTGTCTCTTCACATTGTGTTTTTTTCTTGTAGAAAGCTGAACACGATGCATCAATAATAGGAACTCAAGTGTATAGGCCTTTAGTTTGAGGTTTTATGTTTTCCTGGCTATGAGGTAGACTACATTTACTGTTTGTTGTAGCTGTTCATCTGAGAGATTGCAATTTCCTCTATTGCCTATTGTTTTTTTTTTTGAGATGGAGTTTTGCTCTTGTTGCCCAGGCTGGAGTGCAATGGCGCGATCTCGGCTCACTGCAACCTCCGCCTCCCGGGTTCAAGCAATTCTCCTGCCTTAGCCTCCTGAGTAGCTCGGATTACAGGCATGCGCCACCACCCTGGCTAATTTTGTATTTTTAGTAGAGACAGGGTTTCTCCATGTTGGTAAGGCTGGTCTTGAACTCCCGACCTCAGGTGATCTGCCTACCTCAGCCTCCCAAAGTGCTGGAATTACAGGAGTGAGTCACCGCACTGGACTCTATTGTCTATTTTTATAGTTTCTATTGTCTTGAGTTTCCCTAGAAACGCCTTGTAAAATAGAGTCTGAACTTTGCAATTCTTTCAACTGTAATTCGCTTTTATTATACAGGAGCCTTGTTGATTTAGTGTTAATGTGTAAAGGGAGGAAAAGCTTTCTGTAATCCTGTTAATCTGATACCCTGAGCTGTGCCCTTCACAAATATATAATTCTCAGTACGTTTTCTCACCTTAGATGAGACAGGAAGGGTAGAGGGGACTGGAGTTGGCTAAGTTCTCTTTCTCCAAGTCAGGTAAGACTCTGGTGCAGCTTTTTCCTTTGGTGGTCTGGCCTTTATTGTGGAAAATGCTATGGGTTCATTTCAAAATGGCTATCTTTCAAACCTGAGCATATTTCAAAATAGTTACTTTTTTCCTGCCCATGGTCAAACAAGAGAGTTTTCCTCTGTTCTTCGCCATGAGAACCTGGTAGGGCATCTGAAGGTAAAATCCGTGAATGTATGAGGGCTGCCTTTAACTTAAACTTGAAACCTCCCAGGGGATTTTATCTCACAAGCCTGATCAGTGTTCAAGCTCCAACAGCTAATCAATTATCATTTAAGCATTCTTAGCTGCTCATGCCTCCAGCAGTTTCAAATCCTGGCAAACTATGATTCTGTGTATTTGCCCCTCGCTCCAGTTTTTGGGGCATGAGTTTTTTTCTGTAACTTCTGTTCTCTGATGGATCTCAGAAAATTCATTAATTTTCAATTTGTACATCTTTTCTCTTGTTAGGACAGGAATGATCATTTACAAGCTCTTTATATGTCAGAGCACAAATCAGAAGTCTGTAATAATCCAGAATTGTGTTTTGAAAAAAAAAAAAAAAAAAAAAAAGAAGCAGCTTTCCTGGCTGAATAGTTTGGATCAGTTTAAAGGGACTTATGAATGGAAGCATGAAGTCAGTTAAGAACCAGCAGTAGCTCCTATGGAAGATATGATAGCTTGGAATTAAGTGGTAGCTGCGGAAATAGAGAGGTACATAAAGATTAAGGAAGGGGAACATCACACTCTGGGGACGGTTGTGGGGTGGGGGGAGGGGGGAGGGATAGCTTTAGGAGATATACCTAATGCTAAATGACGAGTTAATGGGTGCAGCACACCAGCATGGCACATGTATACATATGTAGCTAACCTACACATTGTGCACATGTACCCTAAAACTTAAAGTATAATAATAATAAAAGAAAAAAAAGATTAGAGAATACTTTTGGAGGTAAAATTCACTTTGTAATAAACGGAAATGCATAATGAATTAGTATTATCTTTTATCTTATGTAATCTTCACAATAGCCCCATGAAATAGGTGTTACTACTTGGTTAAAAAAAGAGTAAACTTTTAATGGCCAAAACTGCGATAACTTTTGCACCAACCTAATATTATTATCCCTAATTTATAAGTAAGAAATGAAGGCACAAAAAATTTTAAACTTGTGGGTGCTGTGGAGAACTTTGGTAGTCTGAGGAAACTCATGGATACCTTCCCAGAATAGTCATTTTCAAAAGTATAAAATAAATTTAATTGGATTGAAAAGAAAACAATTACACTGAAATATAAGTAACATCATTTAATAAAAATGTAAGATAACTATACCTCTTTATTAATTCATTAAATAAGATGGGTGAAATCGGTGTAATTTCAAGAGTGCTGACCATAGAATATATTCTAAGATGTCTATAACAACTGTCATGTGATATAAAAATACATGATGTGTTTATTGGTGATAAAGTCACAAGGGCTAAATTTACTACTTAAACTTATTTTATATATTGATAATGAAGAAAACACTAAATTCCTATTTAGTATTACTGAAATAAAATTAAGTAACCCAATATATCATAGATACACAAATATATCATCAAATTAAGACTAAACCAGTCAGCTTTCAAATAATGTGCACCTAATTTGGTTGTTAAAAAGGGGGATACATTTTCATTGTGGGATAACTTCTAGGTACAAAACTTTTGACTCTTACTCAGTCAATGTTGCAACTTGAATTTTTTTTTCTCAAAATAACTGCACAGAAAAGAATGAAAATTTTGTCACAAAACCATATTGTCTGTGTAAATCTGGTTTCACATGATTCATTCATTGACTTAATATTTCTATGTGTTCCAAGAAATATTACCTGAAGTGCTGGCTACTGTTGAGCATCCATTTATTCATTCCCTTATTTATTTTTTCAAAATATATAATTACTGCCCCCTAGGAGTATAACTATCCGGACTAATTCAATAAATCATTATAAGAAAACATTATTTACTTAATTCTAGTACTTTGTTTCTAAATCAGCATGTGTGTGTTTTGTGTGATTCAAATTTCTCAGTTAATTCATTTATTTGCTATGCTTTGTCAATTTCAGTCTTTCTTCCCAAAGATAATTGGGGTTTAGGTATTTAGTAGGTAATTTATAGGAATCAAGCATATGAATGTATGAATATATTCATGCATACACCCATGAATATATATACATACATAGATACGTAATCACATATGGGACATATACATACATGAAAGATATGAAATAAAACTTCTATTAAATATATTATTACTGGTACAATTTTAATGATCTTTGGATTTTTGATTTGAACTCAGTCATGAACTGACCCAACTCATGTAAGGAATTTCTCATTAGAAATCATTCCTGCATAATTTTCACAAGGGATATGGTCTGAAAGGCATACCCCACTTCAGGCAATATGGCCATAGAAATATAGGTAGGCACAGAATATGTGGTGTAGAAAAGCAGCTCTTTTGAAACAAGGTTAGGGTAATATAGTTGTCATTTGTTTAATTTTGTTTCATTAATATTTGTTAATTACTCAATTATTATGTAGAATGAAATACGTTGGACATTTTACCTTAATATAAAAATGGCTTTACATATAATACTGCTATAAAATTAGGAATAATCTTTAAGAAGTTTTTCAAATATTGCTTATTTTTATGGATAAAACAAGAAGGGAAAAATAATGAGCAGCATGTTTTAGAATATCTTATAGGCAAAAACTTGTATTTGGTTATTATTATTTGACCCATATTGAATGTCATTTAACTACTCACATAAGAGTACATGTCTTACTGCTCATAGCCAGATTGAAGTGAGGATACAATGTCTTCTGATAATTTCAAAATTACGCCTTTTCAGATGAGGCTTCACAAGATGTACATTATAGAAAACATTCATTTTGCCATAGTGAATAATGTTATAGAACTCTTTCCACATGGTAATTTCACATACTGAATGAATTATTCTACATATGGGAAGATTTCTCTACATATTGTAAAGAAAAACTCTAGTCCTTAGTTATACATAAGCAGATATCTAAAGGAACAATTAATCCAAAACAATAAGGATAG
Organism: Homo sapiens; assembly: GCF_000001405.40. Lineage (NCBI taxonomy): Eukaryota > Metazoa > Chordata > Mammalia > Primates > Hominidae > Homo > Homo sapiens. Next base: position 46,731,230 of record NC_000014.9, on the reverse strand, counting down.
CTGTGTGTTTGTTTTATTGCATTATATAACATTTCAAAAATCATTTCAAGTAATATAAATTAGGCTTTGGTTATACGCTAAGTGCTGTATTAAATGTGATAAAATTAAAAGTTGTAGAAGCCATAGTACCCTTTCCATAAGAAGCTCTTGGCCTACACTCATTTTTAATTCAGGATCTAAATACTGCCATGAAATAAGAAAAATACCCATATTATAGGGAGACAATTGAAATTGAAAGGCATGTATTTCCTAAATGATGATGTTCTCCATCAAATGTAGGATTTCTTTCTTAAATTTTGATACAAGTTTTTCCTATGGCTTGTAATAATAGAAATAATAATAATATCCGTGTCAGTAGCATGCAGTAGTAGTGGCAGCGGCAGTAAAGATAGCATTTTTAGGAGTCCTGTAGCTGTTACTATTAATGGTACATTTTAGAGTACAGTTCCAGGTCTTGTTGTCATACATCCTAAATGGCTGAAATGAGTACAAACTCTACTAATCATACCATGTTGACATTTGAAGTTTTGCTGAATGTCAGCTTTGAGGTAAATTTTGAAGTAGTTAAAATTTTTCTTCCCTGTTCTTTTTGTATTCCATATCCATTTATTTATTTTGTATTCCTCCTTTCAGGGTCCCCTGGTTTTGCCCACCAAGATTTATCCCAAATTAGGCCTATCCTTTGATCTCCTGAGTAGAAATTGGTATGAGCTTATGCTAGAGTTATGTCTTACACTGGCCAGAACTATTAACACTCTGAGAGGCTAATATATCAATCAAAGGAATCTCTTTCATGGTGGAATTTTAGACTCTCCTTCCTAGAGTTCTTCCTTTCTCGTGAATCTAAAATAGTCTTCCAGTTAGAATCTATCATATTATAATGTTTTATTTTTTGCATCACATGTCTCATTATCCAAATTCCCTTCCTTATTTTTATAATATTTTGTCTGTGATTTATCCACTAGAAAGTAAGTTTTAATTCTAAGGACTTCATCTAATTCCATCATCATTTCCCCAAAGTCTAAAACAACCTGGCACCCTGGCACGTGTGAATTTCTCAAATGTATTTGGTAAATTAATGAATGAAAAAATAGCACAGACGACGGAAATGCATTTTTGTTTTGTCACTAAAGTACACTACCTAAGAAAAAAAAAGTTATAAATGAAGAAGTTCATGTATGGCAGGGATGGACCAATAAAGACTAAAGGGACACTGAAAGGATGCTAATGTAATTCAGACTTGTAGTGGGTGCTTAATTGCCATTCCAACTCAAATCTTATGCTGAATTACAGCTCCCTCCTTGATATTCATGCCCTTCTCTGTCTCCTGTCTTTTCTAAAGTCTTTTAATTTTGATATAAAACAAAAATATTGTATTATACTAATTAGTATACATTGTTCATGTTATTAAGGATGACACATGGAAAGGGACTTGAAGTATTCAAGAACTTTGAAGCAGCAAAATTTCAGATAATGTAATGGAGGAAATAGTAAGCTTCACTTCAGAAGCTCTGTACACCAGGATATCAGAGTTCTGTTGAGACACTGATTGCTTCTCTTGGAGAAAGAGCCATTGACCTCTATGATCCTTCTACTTTGTTCTTTTTCCTCTCTATGAGGCTAGAAAGACATTTTCATAGAAGGACTGTATCAACTTCTGTAGTAGCATCAAATACGTGTAATGAGCAGTGAATATATTGATCCAAACTCAGTATTTGGAGAAGGGTCTGTGTAAACTAGGAGTACAATAAAACTTCTTCAGTATAAGAATGTTACCTCAGGCAAAGAACCAATTTTCAATGTCATAATGAAATATTACAGTCATTTTCACAAAAAGTAGGACAACAAAAATAATGAGATTAATGATATTCTACATTGTTCTGGAAATACTAGCCTATATAATAAGGCAATAAAAATAAATTATTATAATCAGTATCAGGAACATGATATAAATGTAAAAACTGTGCTTAAGATATAATTATATATATCTAAAAACCCCATGAAAATAGAATACAACTGTGAAAATTAGTAAGAATTCAATATACTAGCAATAACTAGTAGAGAAATTTAACAGAAAACTATTTCACTTATAAAATAGTAAGTACTAAATGATAAACTTCAAAAGAAACATGCAGGACCTATGTGAAGAAAAATGTTGAATTTTAGTCAGAAGTATAAAAGAAGTCTCAAGTAAATATGCGTTCTACTTTCCTGGATGAAAAAAACTAACGTTGAAGGTCGTACATTTTTCTCAAACTAATTTATACATTTAATATTATACCAGGAAAATTGCACTGAGCTTTTAGGAAAGATGCTTAACAAAATAATACTGAAATTTGAAAAATAAATAAGAAAAACAATTTTAAAACCTTACAAAATTTTGAAAGAAAGGCTTATAGAGTCTTTACTTCTCAGATATTAAAATTCAATAATATATTTTATGACTAACTTGCTTCATGTGCTAGCAAAATGCACACTATGGACACAGCAATATGAAGCAGTAGAAAAATACAAAATTACAATACTGTGGGGATAAATAATATGATAGGATAAGTAGCATGCTGCATGAGAGCTTGAAGAAGGAATATATTTAGAGATAATCATACTGGATTTTACGTACAAATGGACCAATGAAATAGACACCCAGAATTAAATGTGAAAAAATTTAATTCAAGATAAATTGGCATTTCAAATAAGGTTGGAAAGAATAGATAATTTAATAAATGGTATAAGGACAAGTAAAATATTTTAGAAACAATTACATGAAAAGACAACCTCACATTTTATACAAAAAAAAGTTCTACACAATTAGTACTTAAATGTTCAAATAAAAGAGACAATCCACAGCATAGTTGCATTACAAGGAAACAAAAACTGTGCTTATCAATTGGTATGTGTAAAAATTAGCATTGCATTGGGAATAAACAATTTGGCAATACATTTAGAAAAGGTTACAACTGCTATTCCCTAGATTATTGACTTCATATGTATAGCAATATATACTTTTAAGAAAATCATGCAGGTACAAAAATTTTTGATATCAAGGATATTCATTAACATTGTTAATATTTTTTAAAAAAGAAATCACTTATTTGTCTAACAAGGGGAATTAAGTTAACTTTATTATAATATATGATTCATTCATAAAATAAACTACTATGCAGTTATCAAATAATATTATTGACAAATATTTCATATCATGAGGACATCAGGAATTTTATAAAATAGTAAGTATATTACGATTCTCTATTTCTAAAGAATGTATATAATCAAATGTATACTTGGATGTGCATATAAAGTATTGATGGATATTTATCAAAATGTAAAGGATGGTTCTCCCTGAAGTAAGATATTACTGAAGTGTTAGTGTAACTTTTATTTTTTCTTTATATTTTTTCAAATTTTCAGAGTAAACATATTACTGTCAGGAAGGGAAAAATGTTTTAAGAAAGAAAATCTTGACTATGTATCTGGGGAGGAGCCAAGATGGCCGAATAGGAACAGCTCCGGTCTACAGCTCCCAGCGTGAGCGACGCAGAAGACGGGTGATTTCTGCATTTCCATCTGAGGTACCGGGTTCATCTCACTAGGGAGTGCCAGACAGTGGGCGCAGGCCAGTGTGTGTGCGCACCGTGCGCGAGCCGAAGCAGGGCGAGGCATTGCCTCACCTGGGAAGCGCAAGGGGTCAGGGAGTTCCCTTTCCGAGTCAAAGAAAGGGGTGACGGACGCACCTGGAAAATGGGATCTAATTAAACTAAAGAGCTTCTGCACAGCAAAAGAAACTACCATCAGAGTGAACAGGCAACCTACAACATGGGAGAAAATTTTCGCAACCTACTCATCTGACAAAGGGCTAATATCCAGAATCTACAATGAACTCAAACAAATTTACAAGAAAAAAACAAACAACCCCATCAAAAAGTGGGCGAAGGACATGAACAGACACTTCTCAAAAGAAGACATTTATGCAGCCAAAAAACACATGAAGAAATGCTCATCATCACTGGCCATCAGAGAAATGCAAATCAAAACCACTATGAGATATCATCTCACACCAGTTAGAATGGCAATCATTAAAAAGTCAGGAAACAACAGGTGCTGGAGAGGATGTGGAGAAATAGGAACACTTTTACACTGTTGGTGGGACTGTAAACTAGTTCAACCATTGTGGAAGTCAGTGTGGCGATTCCTCAGGGATCTAGAACTAGAAATACCATTTGACCCAGCCATCCCATTACTGGGTATATACCCAAATGAGTATAAATCATGCTGCTATAAAGACACATGCACACGTATGTTTATTGCGGCACTATTCACAATAGCAGAGACTTGGAACCAACCCAAATGTCCAACAATGATAGACTGGATTAAGAAAATGTGGCACATATACACCATGGAATACTATGCAGCCATAAAAAATGATGAGTTCATGTCCTTTGTAGGGACATGGATGAAATTGGAAACCATCTTTCTCAGTAAACTATCGCAAGAACAAAAAACCAAACACCGCATATTCTCACTCATAGGTGGGAATTGAACAATGAGATCACATGGACACAGGAAGGGGAATATCACACTCTGGGGACTGTGGTGGGGTCGGGGGAGGGGGGAGGGATAGCATTGGGAGATATACCTAATGCTAGATGACACATTAGTGGGTGCAGCGCACCAGCATGGCACATGTATACATATGTAACTAACCTGCACAATGTGCACATGTACCCTAAAACTTAGAGTATAATAAAAAAAAAAAAAAAGAAAAAAAAAAAAAAAGAAAATCTTAAAATCACAAACATGGATACAATATATGTAATACAACATTTTTTCTAAATGGTTATTTTGAATTAATTTTGCTTTTAGAATTTTTTCTCAGCACATCTCCATGAAGGAATAAATCATAAAATGAATGAATATGCTAAATCATGAGAGCAGAATCATTAATTAAGAGGTAGTGTGATTTAAGAGATGGAAATGGAAAAGTGGCACCAGTTATGCTTTTTATAACCATAAATGATAAGTAATATATGCTTTCTAAGTGTTTGATGTTTGTTTTCAAAGAACATTGGCATGGTGTTTGAATTCAATATTCAGTCGTTCACTTTTAGTGAGATTATGCCCTTTCCAGATGCCTTGTAATTTATTTCAAAAAAGTATAGAACAGTTAATGTTTTTTGTTTCATATAAGTTGTTAAAAAATTATTATTAACTGTATATTTAATCAACATCCTATACCTAATTTAAGTAAATTGATTTTTATTGATGCTTTGTTTCTATTCCTATTTACCTTATTAATATAAACTAACTAAAACAGCTCATATAATTTTGAGTTCTTACACTTAGGAATTTATTAGTCTTTGCTATTATTTTATATAATCATTAGTACATATAAAATATGATCATATTGAGTAATATCTCAGGTATCAACAGTGCATTAATCATATTTATGACTTTCAGCTACAGGGGTCTAATTACAACAAATGCTATAAGGAATATTCTATCGGTTTTTTAATTGTATGGCACGTTTTAGAAAATAGAGACCAAGCTATTTCTTTTAATTTCCTAAAATATCACCTAACATTTAGTAAGCTGTATTACACTTTTTTTTTTGAACCTCAAATAATATTAGTAGTTATTCTAGGAAATAGAACAGGGAAATTGTCTACACTTCAATTTTCACCTTATCAAGTGACCAGTCCTTTGATAAGGGAAAAAGAGAAATATTAGGCAGATGTTATTTGAGATATCAAGTTATTTTGCCTGTATTTCTGTAGAGTTTGGGTAAATTATTCCATATATAATTTTAAAAACTACTAATTATAAAAGGACAAATTTGATATTTCCAATTCTCATCGCATCTTCAGTTATTGCTATTGCTAGGCAATACTTTAGTATACTTACTCTAGAGCCAAAAAATTATGTTTAAAACTATCATTTTGCTCATATGGCTTCTCTTTATAAAGTATTTTTGCTTTTTATTTTTCCAATGCTTAAATTCAATTTTGCTGTTGTATTATGTCTTGTACAAGATACATATACTACTTATCAAAACTTAATGAAAAAATAATGCTAACAATACTTTTCAGTATGTTTAGTATTCTTTTACTTATGATAAACTATTGGTTTAAAATGTATATAATTTAATATATATACACATTTGAAATATAAAATTGTATTCTCCTAACTCATTAAAACTATGTCTGGGATACCAAAATTGTAACTATTATTCTTAGCACTAAAATATTTTTAATTTAAAAAATAATTCGTTATCATTTTATAAATACTTGCGCTGAGTTTACCTTGCAGTGATTTATGCATAATTTAGTAACAAAATATTTCAGATTATAAATTATATTTTTTGAAATTTTAAATTCTCTTAAATGGGATTTTAAAAAATATCAGTTTCCATTTCCACACAGAAATATTGTCATAAATAAATGTATAATATTATGCTGTGCCATTAAATAGTGTCACCATAATTGCTGTGGAAAATATAAGAATTGAGTACTACCGTATAATTTTAATTTATAAAGTCATTATATATCTCATTAGTTTTTTGCAAATGATTATTTTGGCTGAAAGACTTTTTAATGTAAAGTAAATTACCATACCAGAATAATGACTATTTGAAAACCTCAAGAACTCTTAATTTTCACTGTCATTTACACACACACACACACACACACACACACACACACACCCCTTCTCACCTAATCAAGACTATTTTGGAAAATCATCTTACAACTTCTTTCTCATTTGAAGTCTAAATCCTAAAGATGAATCATTAAACCAACTTGTCTCTTTGCTATAGAGACTCTTTTAATACTATGGGAATACATTTTAGAACAAATAGAGTACAACAGGCACGTATGCCATATTAACATGTCCCTAAAATTCAGTGTAGAAAGAAAATATGGCTGTGGGGGTTTATTTTTTTATCTGGTTTTTCTCACTGTCCACAAGGTTCTGAGATTTCTGGTGTGTTTACTTATTATGCCATAGTGAATTTGATTTTAGTCTTATGTGCTAATAACTTCATTTTATCTGTTTCTCATAGTGAAACTGCATAAAATCCAAAAACAAGCTATTTCCATTATAAACATGTAGCTGTCATTTCAAGTGGTACTCCAGGATTCTGGGAGGAAATTCCTAGAATAAACGAACCAAAGTTAAAAGACAAGCACACAGGATGGTAGCAAGGAAAGGATGGAAGAAAGAGGGAGAGGTGATGAAGGAAAATACAATAAAATAAAATAAAAACAGAAGTAAAAGCAGTAAGACATTTAATGTTCCATCTCCACGATGTATACTGCTATCCCAAAGAAAGAAATAGGATTTACTGGAGAAAAAAGGGAAGAGATTGTAGATATAAACTTATCCTCCTCATAAATCTAAAGAAAGAGAAAATTATAATTTCTAATAGGTATAGCTGAATAGCATGCTGGTAGAATTTAAGGAGGATAAAAGTTAAGTGAAAAGACAGGACAAAGAATAGGTTGGTCTGGATTGTGAGACAAGAACATCAAAAGATGACACACCTCCGTGTAACTACCTCTTAGGTCGAGAATTAGAGTATTGCCCCAACCCTAGTTACCCACCACATGCCCCTCCTCATTTGCAATACCTTCGTTTACCCCCCAGAATTATTCTAAATTTTTTGATAATAATTTCCTTTCTTTTTATATTGTTGTAATACCTATGTATTCCTTAAACAATATAGTTTAGTCTGCCCATTTTTGTAGCTTTTTAAACATAAATTGAAACTATATTCTCTGTGTCTTGCTTCCTTATCTTAACATTATGTTTTTGATATTCATCTAGGTTGTTGTGTGTTACTATAGTTTGCTTATTTCCACCGTTATTTATCCATTCTACAATTGAGGACATTTGGGTTGTTTACTGGATTAACTTTTGATTAAAAAAAATCTGTATATGTTCTATGTGTTGGCTTTAACGACACCTAAAATCTCAATAATTTCAAACACTATTGAGATAGCAATATTGTCCTTTTGTTTTTAGGTAAGAATAAAGTGAGAAAAATAAAACAAACAGTAATTTTATTGAGACCTTACAAGTTGCATAAAGCATTAAACTAACAGTAACAAATCATTATTTCTCTAACTTGTTCACTATTGGTGTTCGAAGGAGTCTAATAAATAATTCCCCTTTCCTCCTTCCCAAATTCTGAAGCAATTGAGAAGATGAAAGTGAGTCAGAATGGAGCTCAGTTACTTTTTTATTACTGATAATAAGAGTGATACTGAAAAAGCTGTCTTAGATATACGGAAACAAGAAATTTCTTAATACTGAATCCCCGAATAAGGAAGAATTATTCAGCTTGATATTGGTAGTACCAGTAGACCATGGGCTTCCTCATTTGAGGACTTGCCTGTAAAATATGACATGGGGAAACAGCACAGAATGTCTGATTTCTGATAGAAATGGACACAAAGAGGTGATGCAAGGAAGACACTAGATTTTCTTTCTTTGCTTAATTCCTCATCCAATTCACCAGGAGGATTCACTCTTCTTTAATGTTACATCAATTGCTGTTTTTCACAAAGAAATATAAAACAAGGTGAAGGATACTTCTCCTCAAACCTCTACTCTATAGAAACACTAGATGGATTATTGGGAAATAAATATGAGTAGCTGAGGAAATAATTTATATCAATTTCTCTAATTCTCTCAGTTTCCTCAGAGCAACTATATTTTTAATTCATTTTCCAGGAGAATTCTTGGTTTCTCTGGTGAATAAACAATAGACATTTAGCAGACTTAGTACAATAGTTCTTCAGACATTCTCAGACAGGCCTGAATACTACCGGGCGCACACCTTCAAATCAAACAGAAGGTTCTGTCATGAGAATTTATTAAACAAACTCACCCACCTGCTTCCATTTGGCTCATGCTTTTCATTCAATTTGATGTATCCTCTCCTAAGTTAAAGATATCTAAATCCTATTAATACTTATCCTTCCATATGAATCTCAACTGCAATTCCTTATAGGAAGATTGTCCTAAATCACGTAACTGGAGATCTTAGAAAATAAGGATCATCAAGTTCAGACACACATCTGATGTGTGAGGCTTCTCTATGATTACACAACCAAATATCCTCTTTTATTTACTTCCCTTCCTCCTGAAGAAGTCCATTCCTCTTTTCGATGCTTTTGATTTTCAAAGAGTTATTTCTTATTTTGAGTCAAAGTTTGACTTCCTATTGTTTACATGTATTGGTTCTGTCTTTGGAGATACACAGAACAAGTTCACTCCTACTTTCAAATCATATTACCTCAAGTGTTTAAAGATAGTTATCACAGTCCCTTTTCTTCTTTTTAAGAGTTTTTCAGTTTCATTGTGTTATAATTGATAATTAGAAATTACACACACACACGTATATATATATATATATATAATTTATGTATATTTAAATAAATAAGTCTATCTTAAGTGTAAGTGTTCTCACCAAAATAATTTTTCTAAAGCTAACTATATAAGATGATGGAAATTTAACTAGCTTGATTGTGGTGATCATTTCACAATGTATGCATATATCAAAGCATCAAGCTGTATACCTTAAAAAATATATTTAATATATATTTATATATTTATATTTAAAATATATGTATTTATTATATCTTAAAAAAATATATTTTAAATATACCTTAAAAATATATATTTTAAAAAGTATATTTAAAATATATATATTTAAGGTATACAGCTTGATATATATAACAGATTTATATATAATTTTTATATATTCATATTATATAATATATATAAATTATATATATTTAAGGTATACAGCTTGATGCTTTGATATATGCATACATTGTGAAATGATCACCACAATCAAGCTAGTTAAATTTCCATCACTTTCATAGTTAGCTTTAGAAAAATTATTTTGGTGAGAACGCTTACACTTAAGATTGACCCTATTAGCAAATTTCAAGTACACAATACAGTATTACTAACTATAGTCACTATGCTATGCTACACATTAGAACTTCAGAATTGATTAATCTTGCATAAATGAAACTTTATGTCCTTTGATCAACATCTCCTAATTTCCTTCCATACCCCCAAACCCTGGCAACCACCATTCTACTCTCTGTTCTATGGGTTTGACTATTTTAGATTCCACATGTCAGTAAGACAGATCATGCAGTATTTGTCTTTCTGTGTCTGGCTGAGTTCATTTAGTATAACGTCCTTCAAGTTCATCTGTGTTGTTGCAAATGGCAGGATTTCATTTTTTTAAGGCTAAATAATATTCATACACGTATCAAATATTTTCTTCATCCACTCATTTTCATAGCCTATTTTCTGAGTTAAATATTCCTAGTTCTTTTCATTTTGCCTTCCTTGACTTTTTTCTATTTCTATAACAATTCTTTCTTTTATCTGAACATGCTGCACTCTATACCTTAATATGATTCCGAGAGATAAGGTGTAAATACTCTGGTTGTGAACTGAAAAGTACAAGGTAATTCCTCTTTTGAGTTTCCATAACATATTTCCTGAACCCATAGTAATATTTATCAGTGTCTTCACTGTCTCTCTTTTCTCTTCCATAAACTTCTTAATATAAAATCCAGTTCCTTTTCAATTTTGTGTCACCTACAATGTAAGTGCATATAAATAAATTAGTGGTCAATGAATATCACAAATCAAAGGTGTCGTAGGCTGTGCAGTGTCACTCAGATATGTGCATGTCCTGATCCTGAAACCCATGAACATGTTGCTTTACATTGCAAAAGGGACTTCACAAATGCAATTAACTTAAGCATCTTGAGATGGGGGGATTATTCTGGATTATCTGGGTAGGGACAGTGTAATCATGAAAGAGAAAAGGAAATGTGACAATGGAAGCAAAGGCCAGACTTATTCAGGGCCATGAACCAAGGAATGCTGGCAGCCTCTAATAGCTGGAAAAGGCAAGGAAACAGATTTTCCCATTCCAGAAGGAAAGCATCCCTGTGACCCATTTTAAACAGCTGACATTCAGAACTGTTAAATAAGAAATCTGTGTTGTTTTAAGCCATTAAATTTGTGATAATTTTTTACAAGAGCAAGAGAAAACCAATACAGAATGGAACGATAATTAACTTTAAACATATTTCATTGAATATTGTTCCAAAATAATACCTTTAAAAAGTATTTCTTCCATGGATTAATAAAACACACAATAATCAAGGTGTCCTATACTATACACATGTTATTTGTTATATAATTTTGCTTATGTAACAATTAAACAGAAACCAAGATTTTAAAATATCAGAAATTATATAAATGTTTTTAGGCAGCATTTTCTTTGCTTTATTTTTTAAGAACATTTTATCCAAAATATTTTCATTTTGCAGTAGTGAATAAGCAAAATATGAGCAATGGTGAAACTCTAGAGTTCATCATTCTTATGTGTTAATTGAAAAATAATTGCAAACAAACCGAAACTAAAATCACCAAGGTTTTATATTTAAAATAACTACATTAACAGATTATTGTAATTCCGGAAACCTTTTCACTAATTAGTTTCTCTGGATATACAGACAAAAAGGGACGTGTGAATTTTCTTTAAGCTCATCAAATTCCTCCTGGAGTAATAACTTCTCATTTGTAGTCTGAGTGCTTCATTCAGTGCACCATTTGTCAAATCTGAGACGAGATATGAAATCTAATAGCTTTACACAAGGAACTGAAAGTCAAGAGGAAGCTCCATTCACTAACAGTCTATTATGGAGCCAAAGTCTATAAAATTCCTTTAATTTGCTCATATTCGCAATTAGATTACACTGGAAAATCGATCAAGATTTTATTTTCTAATTTATAGTTCACATTTTGCTACATGTTATATTCAACCATTTCCTTACTGTATGAGAAAATATTCACACAAGATTTTATAGTGATATGTGAAATTAATTTCAAAGTAGATAATCTATATACAGTGAATGGCAAAGATTTACCAGTGATTTTCATATGTTTATGTTTATGCCTGCTCCCGCTTTAACTTAGCAATTGGTTCCCAACTTGACCATATGTTAAGCAGGAAGGAAAAAATGAAAGAATTATCTGGATAATTCAAAACCACTTAGATGTAATATATGAAATTGTGTTGATGATACATAAGTAAAATCACATTCTTAGAAGATTATTATAGCCTGAGATATACTCTGTGACTTAAATGTATCAAGTTCTCACAGGAAAGATTTGTATCAAACATTACAGTGTAGTAATGTTAAAGACTGGAGCTATGCAATGGACCACATAATTACATCCAAAAAATACATGAGGCAATTTTTAGGCAAGTACAATCCAACACTTACTTTAATTTGAAATGTTCAAATATATGAAATTACTAAAAGCTTTAAAGCCAAAGGGGTATGGGTTTAACCATTTGTAAGTTGTGTGAGTTTCAGCAAATTCTTTAGCCTCTGGCTATCGCACCTACCTCATTTTATCATGATGCCTACATAACACATGGACCACATAAGAGCAGGACTTTTGTCTGTGTTGTTCACCTCTCCATTTGCAGTGGCTAGCACAGCAAAAGCAGTAAGTCTTCATTAATTATTGTTGAATAAATGAATAAACTAGTGATCAGCATATAGCTCACTTAAAAGATAGTCATTAATATTAGATTTACAACTTCCTTAATTGTCCCTGATTAAGTTGCATTCTGTCCAGAAATATCTGATATCAGAGATAAGCACTTGAATTACCATGATATTTGCCCCTATTTCCTACATTTATTTGCATGTGAATATAAAGGATGTGTATGTGCTTATATGTATTAAAGTAACATGAAGTGCTATCATTTGTTAGCTGTGACATTTGAAAGATTTAACACCACAGCCTTTCTCTACACCTTCACAGTCTTCTCCATTCTCCCAGGGGTTGGAGAGATGACGTTTATAAATTACACCCACCTTCTTTCTTCACAGTTTAATATACGGGCTACATTGAACCCCAAGAGAAGATAGGAAAAAGATTATGGCTCTGTGCCCAGAAGGAAGAAGAACCCTGTTTGGTGAACAACAAGCTATTCTCTATCACAGTCTGCCCTTATGGTCACCAATTACCTATTCATTTCTCCTCCCACACGTACTCACACAAAACTCACTTCTTTCCCAAGTAAAACAATACGAAGCCCCATCTAGTCAGAGCATTGAGAAAAATTCCAAAATATGACATGCCATTCTTCGTAAGAGGTCATGCAGTCAAGATGTACTTCTGTAAGGTCTAATGACTTATTAAGTAGGAGATAAATTATCTCTTTCCCCTGACACACAATATTAAATAGTGGAACAGGAATAGGAAAATTGCAATAAACACTCCTACTCAGAAAGGACAAAGAGAAACCCAAAGTAGTCCCTGGTCTCTATCAATTCTGATATTCTGCTAGGCCGATGATAGAATTTGGATGTGCCGCTCTCATGGTGAAATGTGACCTCCAGTGTTTGAAGTGGGCCAAGTGGGAGTTGTTTGGGTCATGCGGGCAGATCCCTCATGAATGACCTCCTGCCATCCCCATGGTAATGAGTGAGTTCTTGCTCTGGTTGTTAATGAGAAGGCTGGTTGTTTAAAGGATCCTGGTACCTCCTCCGATTAACCCCTCTCTCGCATGTGGCATGCCTGCTCCCCATTTACCTTCTACCATGAGTAAAATCCTTTTGAGAACCTCACCAGAAGCAGATGCTGGTGCCATGCTTCTTAAACAGTCTGCGGAACCAGGAGCCAAAATACACTTCTTTTCTTTATAAATTATCCAGTCTCCGGTATTCCTTCATAGTAACACATAACAGTGACTAATACATCAGGCACTTTGCAGTTTCCTCTGCTGGGGCTAGTGAGAGTTCCTTGATTATACTACAGCTCTGATCTCCAACAGCCTCTTCCTTGCTCATTGTCCTCCATGTACATATTGGAATAGGTTTTAGAGGATATACTTAGCTGAGAGTATCCCAGTATCCACAGCCGGTTTTCTATTTAAACAACTTTGAGGGTTTGGGAGTTTTACTGAATTTCAAACAATGCAAGATGTTTGCTCTGGGTGTGTGTGTATGTGTGTGCATGTGTGTGTGTGCTTATGCACATGTTACAATTCGCTCAACTATTTGTAATTAGTTTCTGATCTATTCCAATGCATTTGCATGTGCCAGTAACTGCATCTAGATTTCTTCCTTGACACAATTGTCTTTGCTTTATCTCTCAGATTCCTTGCCCTGATGTTATTTCTCTCATTTAATGGGTTAATTTGAGGGAATTGGGTACGGTACTTCAGGGGAATATCATACCCTTAGCTGGTCTTTCCTGTATTGCAGTTTCTTTGTTCCATGGAGAAGTTCTACTGTGTGATATTGTAGCTCAAAACTTCTTTCATTTTATATTCTTACTACTTCAGTTTCAGTAGCAGTTGGCCTTTTCAAGCCTGCAAGGCGTCTGCTCTATCAACTCTTACTAATAGCTTTGATCTCTGAAAACCAGGCAATTTTGCTTAAACATACCTATTTCATGAAATATATTGCCAAAAACAGAAAGTAAAAGCCACACATCACCCTTTGACTATTTCCAACCACTGTTCCTTGATCTGTGGGGTCAGTGGGCTGGGGTCAGTGGGCTGGGCTCAGCGAACTCAATGTTTTGCACCCCATAATGTGGATCTCCCTCTTTATAACTTACCATATCAGCATCTTTATGGTTTGAATTTATAAATTTGTATTAGTCAAGGCAATACCATAAAAGATAACTTCAAAATCTCAGTGTCATAACATAACAAAACTTTATTTCTTGTGTAGATAAAGTGAAATCTGTAGAAGGGAGGGTGAACAGGGCTTACTCAGTTACCCTTGTTCTTTTCCTACTGTGAGTCTGCCCTGCTCTTTATTTTTGGAGTTCTCTTTAAAGGCAGAATATGGTGAGAGGAGAGAGAAGGGAGGATCATGAAGATGATTATTACGGCCAAGCCTAGAGAAATTTACATTACCTACCCCCACATTGCAATAGTCAAAGACCACCTAGACACACCTAGCTGCAAAGTAAGCTGGGAAAGTTTATTTAGCTGTGTACTCAGAAAATGGAAACTGGTTTTGAAGATAACTAGCAATTTTCTGCCACCACAGCATATGTGTAACATGCATTTCTTTACTGCTAAAAGCTATTTGAGGTCTGACAAGATGGGGCACTGTGATAAGTTGTGACCATATGGCTCTCAGTTTAATAACAATTTTTCAAAGTCTGTAGAATAAAAATACAGTCATTATCAGAGTAAAGAAAAACTGTTAAAATATCAAATTTCAGCTCTAAATTCTAACCATCAACTGGAGTAGAAAAAGTTATATTCTTACTTTGTTTCAAATTTCACTCTGAAACAATTTATTACTGTTAGTTCTGGAATATTCTTTGCTGTTGGCAATCTATGATAGCAAAGAATAAGAAAAACATCACTTTTGTGCTGTTGGCTTGGTCTGTAATAATTTGATTCAGGAGTTTAAGAAACATCTTTTGGTGGTGGCTAATTTGGGCAAGGAAAAATATCTTAACATTAATGACACTAACGTTTCCCATATCAATGTCAAATAGAAAGTGTTCCATGCAATAAGTTAATTTATTCTGCAATTTCAAGATGTGGTTATCTAGTTCCAATTCACCCTGAAAGCTCTTTAATATCGTTTATACTGAAAGGCAGACAATCTTAGAGATTTGCTTGTATGACTGACATGTCCTTTGGTAAAATCGAATGTTAAAATTTCTTAAGCCCCAATGCTTAAGTTCCACAATATGCATCCAAACAACAAATTTTATATACATGCTTATATATTTGAAAGAATAATCCTGTTTTTTAAAAAATAAATAAAGAAAATAAAGTTTTAGGACATCTTTGCTGTTACTGCTGACCACTTTTGGGTACAGTTCAGATGATATTCAATATGAAGGAAAAGATGAGCAAGAGCTCATATTTTCAAAACAAAACTGTCAAATCTCCAATATAAGTCTAGCATAAAATAAGTAGATTTATTGTATTAAATCACAAAAATTTTTGCCTTCTCTCACTTATTAAGGAGCGATTGGTAGACTTCTCCTCTCACTGTACACAACTATAAACATTTTTCTGAAAATATGAAACAGTAGTTTTCAATTATTGGGTAATAATCATTGCCCAACTGTGATCCATGAGAGAAGGGAAGTATATGAGAGAAACTTACAAATGTGAATTTTCTACTGAGAAGTAATTTATTATTCTGACATGGAGGGAGAGCCTAGAAAGTCTTGATGAGGTGAAGAACAGAAATCCAAGTATAAGCGAGCTAAGAAAGCTGGAATTTGCAAAGCAAAGTACTAGAGACACAAGAACTCTGACAGAAAAAGCTTCAGAAATTTGTATGAAGTCCCTTGTGAGTCTTCCCTTAAGTACTAATCTGGACAAAGATAAGGAGGACCTCGATGAGGTCAAAGAAAGAACTATTGCCAGGGGACTATAAACTAAACAATTTCCTAAGCTTACATGGGCATTGGAGATGTTCAGATTTTCACCAGCCAAAGTGGAGAGAGATGTTGGATACTTGGAGATATTAACAAAACCCCAAGAAAATCATGCTTCAGTAGGAGGTGTCAATTAGCCTATGGTAAAAGCTATTTTGACCCACCCAAACAAGCTGATCTAAAAGTAACTACCTCCAAAACTAGCTTCAAAACCACTTAAAATAAGCAGAAAATATAACTCATAGCTAGCCAATAAAAATAGATGTAAACATGACAGACGGTAGCCTGGAAACTTAGCTAGATGGTCACACCTAAATTTAGGGATTATTTGTGTCAATTGATTTACTAGAAGTATATCCTTTATCTATCTTTTTCATTTCACTTTTAATTGGTGCTTGGCTCTTGTAAAATTTAGTATTTCATGGTTATAATGTGCCAAATTAAATCAATTGTAATGTTTACAGTCTAAACCATAATAAAATATAAAATAATATATGCTTTTGTGAAGATATATTTCTCAGGAAAAAAATTTTTGAATTCATTAGTTAAAATTTGTTTTTCCTATCATTAAATTCCAGGTTGTATATTTCTGTATTAAAGATAATATTTTTGACATGGGAAATTACCATGTATTTTAAAAGAAAAAATTAATAAAGAAAAAGCAATTTTAAATAGTAATTAACTTTTAATATTAGCAGTCAGGGGTCAGCAAAGCAAGAGCTCTTGACCACAATAGGCCCACCGTCTGTTTTTTTAAATAAAGTTTTATTAGAGCACAGCCATCCCCATGCCTTTACGTATTGTCTATGGCTGTTTTGTCTATGGCTGTTTATAATGGCAGGGATGAGAGATTGTATCAAAGCCTAAAATCCTAAACTTTTTGCTATTTTGACCTTTACAGAAAAATTTGCTGAACCCTTTTCTAGATTACCATAAAAACTTTAAAGTTTGATTAACTATTTTTTCGCTGTACATATTTATTTATTATTCACTTAGTCTTAGACCATGGTTATATGTTGCATGAAAATGCATAACAATTTAAAATTTTAAGTATAATATGAAAAATTATAAAGATTCTTTATTAGATAAACAAGAAAATGAGTAGTAACATGAAATTTTTAATGTTTCTTAAATACAAAGGGAAAATCAAACCACAATCAAGGCATTTCAATTAATTATTCAGTACCAGAACCAGTAATAAATAATGTTGTTATATTTTACCTTTAAGGTAACTGCAATGTAAAAATAATAATTAAGCAATTTTCAGATTTGTCTTTATGGTTTCAAGTAATGTAAGTGCAAAGAAAAGGTAGCACTACTGTAACATTTGACATTTGTATAAGAACATATCATGTATCAAAAAATCAAGTTGAACTTACTCTTCTTAGCATGTGAAGAATTCAATGTGTTCACTAGGTGAAACCAGTTTCACAGAAAGTGAAAACATTTTTATTTTTATAAAGTTTAGAGTATACTTCAATTTAAAAGTATTATAGATTAAAGGAACTATATATTGTAATCAATTATTTTGTAATCAGAAAATTATATTTGACATGGAGGTTTGTATAGAATTATTATGACATTATTTTCATTTTCCTTATACTTAAAGCATTACTTAAAATACTTTAAAGTGAAACGTATATGACTTGAAAAGAAACTATACTGACTTTACAACAGCTGGAAAGTGTTATTCCCTCATTGTTGTCCTATAAGCAGAGGCGAAGATCCTAGTCCTCTCTTACACTAACCCTGTCTGTCAAGGCCTCAACTCATGGTTCCTAATATTCCCAGTCACATTTACCTAAGAGCCTAGCCACATAGTTTGTCTCTGAGGCAGATAGCTAGTTAAAGTTAGATTCATGTAAATAAAACAACTGGACTTTCCAATACTTTTGCAGGGGTGAAAGTAGTGTGACACTAGGCTCAGGAGTAGGAATGGGTTTCAGCTTGCATAATCACAAATGTAAGTCTGACTAAAAAATAGATATTAACATTAATTTACTCTGAGAAAAAGTCAAATGTTTTTAAACTCATATAAATAATACCTCTTGACAAAAGTATATAAAATTCTTTCTGCTGCTATTAAAATAAATAAATGGTCAAAGGGTATAAAGTTTAAGTTAGGATAAATAAATCTTGGAGATCTATTGTACAGACTGGTGGCTGTAGTTAATAATCATGTACTATGTACTTGAAAAATGGCAAATGAGTATTCTTAAATGTTCTCACCACGTACAAAAAAAGTATGTAAGGTGGTAAATATGCTAATTAGTTGTAAATCATTCCACAAAGTATGCGTGTAAACATTGTAGGCAATGTAAACAATGCGTGTAAACAATGTAGGCATCACGTTGTACACTGTAAATATATATAATTTTCATGTCTCAATTATACCTTAATAAAGCTGGAGGAAAGTTTTTCAAAAGTACTGAATATTTTAAAATTAATTAATTTTCCACTGTTGAAAATGAGTACTGTGGGTACTTCCCATATTTAACTCAGTAACTAATGATTCTTGCTATTAATCTATCAGCTGAATAAATGGATATAAATCAGCTAATAATTCTCATAAATCTTACTACCTACAATAAAGTATTATATATTAGTGACCTTATTGAAGAGATTAGTTTTTTTAATATTGGTGTTTCTAGAACTGTTAAGAAGGGTATTCTAGAAAGTCAACTATAATTTGCACACACCATCTTACACTGGTATAATTATTTACAGAAGGCATTTAGGCGTTTGACTCATGTCTATGACTTAATATGATTCAGTTGCCGTATTTTTAATACAAATTTAGGAATGATTTTTCCTAAGTAATTATTGCTTCTAATAAATGCATAAAAAACCCACTGATGAATTTGCTAGGATTAATGGTTATAAACAGGTTTATATCTCAACACATTATTATTTAAAAATATGACATTAAAAAATGAACAGAATGGCCAGGTGTGGTGGCTCACGCCTGTAATCCCAGCACTTTGGGAGGCCAAGGTGGGCAGATCACCTGAGGTCAGGAGTTCGAGATCAGCCTGGCCAACATGGTGAAACCCCGTCTCTACAAAAATACAAAACTTAGCTGGGCATGATGGTGGGTGTCTGTAATCCCAGCCACTGGGGAGGCTAGGGGGGAGAGAATCACTTGAACCCGGGTGATGGAGGTTGCAGTGACTCAAGATCACACCATTGTACTCCAGCCTGGGTGACAGAGTGAGACTCCATTTCAAAAAAAAAAAAAAAAAAAAAGAATGGAACCATTACAAAAATTATTACATAAATTCCATGCAAAGTATTCAGTTATTAGAAGACCACAGACTGCTGGAACATTGATGTGATTTGCACATAGTAAATGAATTTCATAGAAACATATACAAATAAGTGCAATTCATATACACATACGTTCCCTTAGATGCTAGGAAAGAGAACAGGATCAACACTTGTTCTAAAATTGGATGTCACATTAATTCAAGTATCACTTATCACTTTCAGGATACAGTCAGATAATTTTAAGCAATGTGTAATAGTAATGGTTTGAGTTGGTATATAATTTTCTTGAAGGGATCTTTTTCAAGTACTATATTTGCACATTTTTCCTAATATCGTTTTAAAGTATTTCAGGTCAAAATCTGTTTCAGAAAGTAATGTTATACTAAAAATTTATAGGTTAAAAATGCTTTAAACCTTAATAATGGTCCACTTTCCCAGAAGTGTAACAACAATCCAGAGGGGAAAATATCTTTAAATTTTGTTGCAGTAGAATTTAATTTGCACTATTTGTTATCGAGAACAAAGAATGCATGTTCACTCACCCAGGCCCTTTTCAGTTCTAAAGAAATGTAAAAAGATAATAAAAGTCTTGGAAAAACTAGCCTTTTTCTTGTGTAGGGATGAGTTGCTTAGTCCTGTGTGTCACTGTTGTTCTCGTATTGACATGGTAATGACAATAGATTTCTTTTTAAAAAATAATGAACTTATTTAGATTCTAATTCTATAACAAATCATCCACCACTTTTAAAATAACACAAGTTAGCTAGAGAAACTTGCAAAGTATAACTAGCTACTTAGATTTAGAACAAAAATATCTATGAAATCAAATATCTGGTGAAGGTTCTAGACCTGAACCTAAGTCATATCAATGTCAATTTTAATTTTCTAGTTACTTGAAAATATTACACCTGGAAATATATTAGATATAACATTGAGGATTACAGAAAGAATGCAAGACTAAAAATAATTTTTGGTTTCCACTCAGCCATTAATCAGTTGAGGTGATCTGGCACAATCCCAGTAGCGTCCATCTTTTTTCATATGAAATAAGAATTTGATGAATGTAAAAGTCTGTAAATTATATGATAGTATGAAATTCAATTCATATCCTTAATAAAATTGTATGTATGAAAACATTTGTTCTATAAATGTCCATTGTGTACTTTCTCCCCAAGAATGTAACTTTCTTTTTTTTTTTTTTTTTGAGACGGAGTCTCGCTCTGTTGCCCAGGCTGGAGTGCAGTGGCACCATCTCAGCTCACTGCAAGCTCTGCCTCCTGGGTTCATGCCATTCTCCTGCCTCAGTCTCCCAAGTAGCTGGGACTACAGCTGCCCGCCGCCGCGCCCGGCTAATTTTTTGTATTTTTGGTAGAGACGGGGTTTCAGCGTGTTAGCCAGGATGGTCTCGATCTCCTGACCTTGTGATCCGCCCGCCTCGGCCTCCCAAAGTGCAGGGATTACAGGTGTGAGCCACCGCGCCCAGTCAAGAATGTAACTTTCCAAGAAGCAGTTCATTTTTCTAATAACAAATGTCTTCCTAAGTGTTAGTAAACAATAAATGATATATCTAATATTATAGATTTTGGTAATATTTTGATTAAAATAATCCACAATAAAAAATCAATATTTGTTCTATAATCCTCACATGTAAGTAAATAATGTAAAAGTATTTTTTAAAAGTAGGAAGTAGATTGTCTTACATAAACAAGCAGATTGTTCTTCGAAGTCTAAACAAAACAAGAATAATCCTTTATCTGCTAAATGGTAAAATGGCATAGGCAGTGGGAGATTTTCTCAGTTCGTTTGGGCTGCCATATCAAAACACCATAAATTGTGTGGCTTATAAAGAACAGAAATTTATTTCTCTCAGTTCTGGAGGCTGGAAGTCCTAGAAAAGTACCAGCAGATCTCCCTAGTTTAATTAGATCAGAAAGAAAACCAAATGCCACATGTTCTCGCTGGTAAGTGGGAACTAAATGATGAGAAAACATGGACACATAGAGGGGAACAACACACATTGCGGCCTTTGCAGGATGGATTTGGGATGAGGGAGAGGATCAGGAAAAATAACTAATGCATACTAGGCATAATACCTGGGTGACGAAATAATCTGTACAACAAACCGCATGCCACAAGTTTACCTATGGAACAAACCTGCACTTATACCCCTGAACTTAAAAGTTTAAAAAGAAAAGTACCCACAGATTCAGCGTTTGGTGAGGGCCCTCTTCCCAGTTCGTAGACAACCATCTTTCTGCTGTGTCCTCAAATGGGAAAAGAGAAAGGCATCCAGTCTCATTAAGGAGAGCTCTACCTCATGACCTATTCACCTCCCAAAGACTCCACCTCCCAATATCATCAACGTGGGGGTTAGGATTTCAACATGTGTATTCTGGGGTGACAAATATTCAGTCCATAGTGGCAGAAAACTTTGATCTTCTCAACATAATAAAGTTAATCTCAACATACTTGTTTTGAAAGCATCAAACTGGCATTCATTTTCCCAATATTTAGCATTCAGGACTTTACTGTTGAGAATTAAAATGCAACTGCTACATTAGTCCTATCAAAACCATCAAAGACTGTAACTGCATAAACTTAAAGTATAAAAACCTAAAACATAGAAATCATTTCCTTTTTTCCTGTGGTGTTGGTTTAGTCACATAAACCAACATACATGAAACCAACACTACATAAAAATAAGTCATATAAACCAACACTACGTAACATACATCCTTAGTTAAAGCATTTTCTGAGCGAGAATATTTTTACAAGACAGGCTAAAACACCTGTGGATATAATAGAATTGCTTACTCAAAAGTGCCAAAAAAAAAATACCTAAGCATTAGTGTTCCTTACATCCAGAAGAAAAATGCCATTTTCCACAAATCAGTTTTATCTGCAATTTTCTGATAATTTCCAAGAAAACATAAAGGTGAAAGGATGAGGCGAAACACCATCCTATTGGCAACTGTAAGCTCTTTATTTGATGTTTTTGTATTGGGAAAGCTAAATGTCTGTTCTACACCTCCTCCAAAATAATATGAGAAATCAAAAAGTACCTTTTACTTGAAGAAATGGAGGAAAAATGGCTTCAAGAGAGCTAATAACATAGGGTCAGAGCTTGATGTTTGGAGTTCAGCCTCTGGAGTCAGATAGTCCTGGGTTCAAAAAACAGTTTTTCCATTTACTACTTTGTGACCTGGGGGAATTAAGTTATTTATTCATAAATGTACTCATCTATAAAATAAGTAAAAACGTTGCTGGGAAGATTAAATGTGATAATACAGAGAATATGCACTGTACATGCCTTTAAGTGCTTGGTATTATTATTAACAATAATACTGATATAGGTATCCATCCAGTAAGGAAAATCATCTTGATACTGGGCAAGCAGCAGCAGCAGCAGCAGCAAACGAGGCTAAAATATACACTTCGGTGTCAGGAGTACCATTTTCCTCTGTCTACTCAGATATTCCAGTTTCACAAGAAAAAAAATAAAGTCAAACTGAGGGAATAAAAATGGCGAATGAATGTTGTCACTTTTATATACATGAACTATCTGATGTTACTAGAATTCATGTGTGATGGAGGAGGTGATACGATGGGGAAATACAGTTCCCTTAAAGCAGTGCACCATCACTTGAATGTGACCTTGATACCTTCAAATAATTTTTTGCGAAGTAGTGTCAGAGGCACTGGACTTGTAAGAAAACTGGAGGCTGTGCTACCACTAGAGGTTTGTAGGTTGGCTGCAATGTTTACAAGTGTGGTCCTTCTGGAAGTGTTGATGATAAAGAGGAAAGGACAGACCTGACTGTAATGATGTTACGTGTCAACCTGACTGGATTAAGAGATACTCAGACAGCTATTAAAATATTAATTCTTGCTGTGTCTGTGAGAGTGTTTCTGGAAAAGATTGACATTTAAATCAGCAAACTGAATAAAGAAGATTCACCCTCACCAATGTGGGTGGGCATTATCCAGTCTCTTGAGGGCCCTGATTAAAAAAAAAAAAGAAAAAAGGAGAATTTGCTCTTTTCTGAAGCTGAGACATTCATCTTCTCCTGTCCTTAGAGAGCTCCAAATTCTGGGGCCTTTAGAGTCTGGAACTTACACCAACACTCCACCCCTCTATCCCCCAAGTTTTAGGCCTTCTGGCTTACACTAAGAGTTACACCATTGGCTCTCCCAGTTCTTAAGTCTTCAGATTTAGATTGAACTACACCATTTGCCTTCTACCTTATGAACAGTATATTGTGGAACTTCTCATCCTCCATTATCATGTGAGCGAGCCAGTTCTCACAGTAAATCACCTCTTATATATCCTACTGGTTCTGTTTCTCTAGAGAACTCTGACTAATACACTGGTTGTATGCCAAAATTTAATATTCTGAAATGCAGAAGGAAGACAGTACCCTGAGAATCTGTAAGTCTAGCTGTCTGAAGCGGGAGGGAATATGAATAAAGAAGAGAATATCTAAGACACTTAAAATTTCTAAGATTTGCCTGCTCAAAAACTGAATCCCAGTCCCCTTAGCTTGACCTGTATTTAAGGCTCCCTGTATTCTGGTATTCCATATCTTTTCAAGTTTTGTTTTCTCTCCTTTGCCTGTATTACAGCCACCTGAGCTAATTTTAGTCCCTATCTATGCATCTTTACTTATGTTCTCCCTGCCATCAGAAAATGCCTTCTTACAATGCTATATGTTCAAATCCTACCCAAGAATGAAGACTTAGATTAACTTTCACCTTTTCTATGATCTCTCTTTCTTCCTATTTTCTTTCTTCTTTTGTGTAGTGGCCCAGAAGTTATCTGGCAGGAACAATTTATGTCATTCTTTAATTCCATTTCCCCCACCTTGCTTAAGGTACTTTATACCTTTTATTTGTTAAACTCCTTGAAGTCCATTTTTGAAGCATATAAATTGGTAAATTGATGGGTAAGAGAAAGGGAAGATAAATTATTTGGGGAGATCAAAAATGCTCCATGGAGTAGCTGGATTTTGACCCAGGCAGTGAATAATGAGGATAATTTGGACTAATTGAAAGGAAAGAGAAGGTTAGTCCAAGTGACATGAATAGAGTCAATAAAGCAAATGAGTAAGGCCAAGAACAGGAAAATAGTTCAAGAAACATGGAGTACCGGCTGGAAAGCTGTGAGATATAACATTAAAATAAGAATTTAGCGCTAGATCTTGCTCTTTGGTAACAGGGCTGTGTATTTGGTTCATCTTTCTTTGCCCACTGTTTTGCAAACTGTTACTTACTGTTTCTTGTCTGCTCTCTCGGCATCTATTTTTCCATAATTCTTCCCTTTTTTGGTCCATCCGTGATCCATCTAAGAGCGATTTTCTAAAACATAAATCTGATCATACCTTCTCCTGTGTCAAATTCATTATTCTTTGTTTAATGTTTCATTATATCAATTTAAATCCAAAGTCCTAAGCAGGGTGCACATTACGTTATTAGTTCATATGTGATTTTCCAGCTTTCTTAGAGTTTTCCAAACTACCTGCTTTACACATCTCGCTTTTGAACAGTTTCTTCAAACTTCCCTAACATATTTACCATGTAAATTATATTGATTATTTAAAATTTAATTGTTGCTTTTTTCTTTATAAAGGATTTCCTTACACCTTTAACCAATTAATCTAAGAGGCATTAAGTGTTCTGACCTCTCTGCCTTTAACACTCTGCATATCCATCTATCATTAAACTGTTAACACATTTTCGTACTTGTTTACTTATGTTTTTGTCTTCAGTAAATCAATAAGTTGGTTGATGTAGTGTTTATTTTTGATGTTCTAACATGGCACAGAGAAAAGTTTCAATACAACAGTAAATATTTGTAGAATAAAAAATAATTCATAAAATTAACATGATATGAACTGAGTTTGAGGGAGATTTCTCTGGCAGGAGAAACTGGAGGCTGGGAGCCCAGTTATAGTAGAAAGTCTGGGCAAATTGCACTGGCTAACTATTCCTTATGTAATTTTCAGAAGCTGGTCAGCATTGTTAAATATGGTAATTATGAGGCAATAAGAGGAAGGGAAATATTGAAAGATTAAGTGACTTACTATGGGTCTCATGAATTGACATTAAAGTAGTTATTTCTTACAGCTAATTCTTCTCAAGGGCAATGAAAGAAACATTCCAAAAGCCATTTGAAAAAGATCATGTGTTTCACTTTGATATATATGAGTATAAAAATTTAACATTTTATTGGCTTTTTTTATATGGGAGATAGGCAATCTCCTTCGAGGTTCATCAGTCCCACAGAGTGCACAGGTTAGGTCAAATGAACATTATTAAACTTAATAATGCAAATGACAGCACTTAGAATTTGAGCATTTGGGCATATAACCACAAGGATGATATACCAAACTCCTTGCTACCTGATGGAAACCTACCCATTCATACAGAATGATTACTGAAATGATTTTAACCTTTTAAAATATCTCACATTCAAATAGTGGCCCACCACTACAAATCAGTGGAAATACTGGAGTATATCTTTCTTTATCAGATATATGACAGCGTGATGTTCAAGTGAAATACGAAAATCTTGGTGACAGGTTCAAAAATGGCTTTTGAGTGGAATGTAACTGAGGTAGCAATTGATAACATTACCAATAGTGTATCCACTCAGTCAATACAGAATATTTGAAAACATATCATTGCTATTTTCCCAGACATTTAAGAGGATTTTCTAAGTGTAAACTAGAAACATATTAGACCATGTGCTATTTGCTCTAACTAAATGGAGTTGAATCGGCCAAACATATCCCTGCTGGATTTCAGAATTGCTACTATCAGAAAATGGGCATTATTGGTTTTTATAGCTCACTTTAATTAAAAATCTATCTAGTTTCTACTAAAATAGATGATGATACAATAATAAATAAAACATTTTCTGTTCTATGGGAGCTTACTTTAGAGAAGATAAGCATGATACGATACAGTAAACAGAGAATGCGGCTAATTTTCTGGTTTAATCAACTAAAATGCAAAAAAGATTTTCTGTTGAAACTATTAACATAAGGCTTTTTCTATTATGCTTATATTTTATTAAAACAATGGAACACTGAAAGAGATAAACAAAAGACATATTTTTGGTAATATCCAGAGAAAAATCAAACAAGTAGACATTTTGAGTGTGTTTTTTCAAGACTCATGAAATCATATCCAATTGCATTTGACTAGATTTAGAATTGTAATAATCATTGTCATAATGATGGTAAAGAAAAAAAGAAATGTCAAAAAACTTGGCTCACTTACAGAGTGTCACAATGTAATAAGCCCTTATTCTGAGTGGACAGCCCACAATACTTGCTTTTTCTCCTAGTCACGTAGCACTATTAAGAGTCTCAGGTGAAATATACAGAGGAAAAAAATGCATCATATTGTTTTTGTTCCTATGGTTGTTCCCTGATTTCTACACTTACAGGGGTACTTTCAATGTATAGCAGATACTTTTTCAGCCTCTGTTCTTTGTTAACTTTCATTGTGTAATTGACATGCTGGGTTTAGTTAAATGTTTCTACAATAGATAATAAAGTTTAATTTTCAACTCTCCAGATCTGTTGTATAGAAAAAACCCAGAATTTCTATGTGTAGAGTATGATACCTTCTATACTATCACCCTCATGGCTTCAAATGCATTGCAATATCTCAAAAGAATAAAATTTTTGCAGTCTCAGGATTCCTGAAAACCTGTAGCAGATACTTCTTTTCCCAGGTCTAGTCCTCCATTGCTTCTTCCTTGCTGTGCCATGAGCTCAGGGAAGTGACTTCTCCTCAGCCTTACCTTGATTAATCACAGCCAATCATGGTTGTCTTGCTCCCATTGCTAACTCATCGGTTTAGTCATGGTATATCACATAATTCTGGCCAATGCAATATGAAGGTAGGTCTATTGTAGAGTTTCTCATAGATTTTCCTTGCACTTAAATGAAATTCAATATAAGACAATTCCTTTTGAACTCTGAACATGGTGATGAAGTGATGTTAGAATTGTGAAACACAATAATTTTGCTCATGATGTACAACAAATCATGATGAGGAAGATGAGACAAATAGGATTCATCTTCCTATTTCTGAAATTAGCTCTGTATCCACCTTTTTCCTGCATTAACTTTTTTGACTGATCATGCACTATATATTTGAGAAAACTTAACTTGATATGAACAGAATTAAACTTTTTATATCATAAAGAAATTATTTCACAGATATCAGGATTACTATTCACTTAACTCCTGAATCTTCACAGAATTACATTCTCTTGACTTAAGGAGAGATCTATATTGAAATAATCTACATTTTGACTATGCAGCTTTTTGCAGCAACATAACTAGAATACAATTCTTAAAATTTGATTATCTACTTTTACCCTTAATGATACTTCCTGTAAAAATAAAGTTCTTGTATTTAAAGGCAATCCTTTAGATTTATCCTGTATTTATTATTTCTTATTTTACTGTTCAGAGAAGGGGCAAAATTGATCATCATATTTTAAATAGGTTTGCATATTAAGATCATAATTGAATTACTTTTCTGCTTATATTACTGAATGATAACTAGTACAAAATAAATTATTACTATTATTCCCTTTGTATGATTGGTACTTTAAAAAATAATTATGTTCTAAATATGTGCAGAATCAAAAGCTAGAAAATCACTCTTCTGCACACCTCTATAGCCACAATAAAAATTACACAGATCACCTCAGCTTTACTAAAATATCTACACAAGAAGAAGGAAATCCTTTTAATTTGAGGACATTTATAAATTCACTCTAATTTGCAATGCCTTATATTGTATTCCTATATGGAAAATACCTCACAAGGAAAATTCTTCAGGAACTGAAAAACAACTTTAGCAAAAATTTTAATATCATTAGAAATTAAATTAGATAATTGAAAAATTATCTTTTTAAAAATTATTGCATATACTAGAAAGAAAGAATTATACTGGTCATTATAAAACAAACAAACAAAAAATCAGTGTCTCTCAATTAGTTTCATTCAAGTTCCTATGGGGAAAATGTAATTATAATTCAGACTTTTCTATCTAAATACAAAGTAGTTTCCTTAGTCTTCTTTCAGAATATGTAGTATTCAAGTAAAATTACGTTAGTACATTTTCTAACTTTATTGTATACTTTAAAAACTCTGAATTTGCTGCATTGGATTTTTTTTTTTTTTTTGCCTATTCAGTTTTAGTTTTTACTTAGTTTGCCATTATAGACTTAACTTTTGAGGGATAATTATTATATACAGTATAATATACTGTTTTTTTCTAGCAAAAACTTTCTTAGTGAAAAATGCATGCTCTCATTTTGTTGAATTTTAAGAGAAGTAATTTTCTGTCTTTAGTTGCATATTATTCTCTGGTGCATATGAATGTCTTCACATTGTTAAAGAGCAAATTATATTCAAAACATATATAATTAAAATTTTGTTAAATACTTTCTCTGTAGGTGGGGTACAAGAGTAACAGCTACAAGAATTCCCAATAATTTTTTCTCTAATGCCTTTAAGGTGAATATACTACAAATGTACTGTGGAACTTTAAGTTAGGATGAGTAAACTAACATTTAAGGAACAAAAACTACTCAACAGTAAAAAGCTGAGATGCAAATCTTTGCTTGAAGATAAAAATTGTAAGTCTTGTGGAAAATGTTTACAAGAAAAGCTAAATGTCCTTTGTAGGGACATGGACGAAGCTGGAAACCATCATTCTCAGCAAACTATCGCAAGGACAAAAAACCAAACACCGCCTGTTCTCACTCATAGGTGGGAATTGAACAATGAGAACACGTGGACACAGGAAGGGGAACATCACACACCGGGCACTGTTGTGGTGTGGGGGGAGAGGGAAGGGATAGCATTAGGAGATATACCTAATGCTAAATGACAAGTTAATGGGTGCAGCACACCAACATGGCACATGTATACATATGTAACAAACCTGCACGTTGTGCACATGTATCCTAAAGCTTAAAATATAATAATAAAAAAAAGAATCAAGTTGACCCATAATAAACTTAGAATTTTAAAACAATATTTAAAACAAGTAATCCTTGGGGGCCGCACAGATGTACAGACTTCAGAAGTTCCAAAGCTGCTTCTCTTAGCTAAAATACAGAGTGGAGTTAAAAAAATAAATACATAAAATAACCCACCTTAAAAAAAAAAAAAAAGCTAAATAAAAATAGAGACATAATGAAAAATGTAAGAGTACATTGACTAGAGAATAATATTTTAGATATCAATTTTGTCCAGATTTGTTTAATGGGTGACCAAATTTCAATGTGGTTTAGCTACAGAATGATTTCATAATGGGCTAAAAGGTACTTATTACATACTTAAAATTTGCATGGCTGGTATCATCCAAATATACAGCCTATGGATAAGATTACTACCAAACCTCATGGTTAGAAATAAATGAGTGAACTAAGTCTCCCTTCTAGTTCATTTAAACAATTAGTGTGATATAAAGAAAGGCATTGGCTATGGCCTCAGTGTTTATTTTTCCA
This sequence comes from Homo sapiens, assembly GCF_000001405.40. Lineage (NCBI taxonomy): Eukaryota > Metazoa > Chordata > Mammalia > Primates > Hominidae > Homo > Homo sapiens. The sequence continues at coordinate 46,700,944 of NC_000014.9, read as the reverse complement.
ACTTTGGTCTTAGGCACGTTTTTCACCTGGTGGCTATTTTCTTTTGCTTACTTTCATCTCTGACTAGATCCCTAAGAGTAGAGAATACCACCGAAATATTACAAATTCTCCACATTACCTAGGAACCCTTCATAACAGAACTGTAAAATATATTAAATATCTTGATCTCCCAGGCAATTTGCCATTGGTAAAAAACATAAAAATTAATTAACTGGTCCAAATAATACAGCTTCATTAAAAAGTACTAATTAATATGTTGGAAGGACACAACAACCTCTAAAATTATTGAGTATTATGATGACAGATGACGCAGTTAAAACGGGACAAATAGCATGTTTGTAAATATTGGCATATAAGTTTATCATTTTCCCTTTATTCAAAAGAGGATGTTAAGAGTAATTCAAAGGCCATATATATTTTTAAGACAAATATATTTCCATGTCAGCTTCATGCCCATTGTGTTGACTTCAATTATGGTTATAACATCTGTTTTCTTTATCTAGATACAATTGAATCTAGAAGATCATTTCTGTATTTTAAAAATTCTGATATAATAGTTTTATCTTTGCATTGTAGACTTTGGACATAATTACTGGAATTGTTGCTGAATGCCAAAGTTTCAGCCTAGGTCCAGTTGCTCGCTGCACAGAAAGCCAATCACTGAGATGATGAGTATTGCCAAGGAAGAAAGGCTTTATTGTGGGTAACATCAGTTTAACTGTCAAACCTGTCCCTTTCCTAAATGACTAAAGTTAGGGGTTTACATAGCAGAGCAGGGAATTAGGAAAGATTAAAGAAGAGGAGTTTGTCAACAGGCAGCAGGTGCATCTCATTGTCCAGATACAGTGATCCAGAAAGTTTAAGTTCCTCCATACTAGCTGGGAGGCCTGATGGTAGGTTTACTGATAAAGGAACTCATATAAGACAAGTCTAAGTTTCTCAAGCTTCAGTTCTATGCGAAAATTGGGTTGGTTTCAAACTAAATGAAATTCTACTTATGCTTCCTTCAATTATGTCCACATACCAGGAAATATTCTCGGAGGCTTAGTTTGAGTATTTAATTTAATTCCATATTTCTCTGTGGGTCTATATTTTTTCATTCAACAAACAATTATTGATCTCCTGCTCTGTGCCAGGAGTTGGAATAAGAACTATTTTAGTGGGGAAAAAATGTCCTCTTCCCAGAATTATCTCCCAGTCAGAAGGCATACACATTATGAGAAAAGTTACAGGAGAATGAAGTATGTTCTTTTGAACAGTAAAAAAAAAAAAAAAAAAAAATGCGCAAGCTGTGCCTGGAAGACTCATAAATGACACTACTGATATAACAGACTTAAAGGAATTTTCTAGGTAGAGTCCAGAGCATTCTAGACAGAAGAAATCACATCTTGTAATTATAATATATACCTCCTCTATGGCCAGTTCCAGACCTCTGTGTCGTCATATAAATGCCATTCTTCAGCTAACATGCTTGATAATTTTTTCCTAATATTTCAAAGCTTACCTCTATGAAGTCATGCTTTGGTTTACACGCTACCCTCCACCTCATCTGCTGCATCATAAAATTTGTTCCATAGCTTTATTACAGTTCTTATTACATTATACTGTAACTTATGTTTGGGTGTTTATCCCCACATTCTAATACTTATCCCTACTAACAAAGCACCCAATTTAGATCCTGTGTTATAATAGAAAGCCTATGGGCAGTAAATGGATAAATTAATAAATAAGTGAATTATGTTAGACTCCAGGTAAACCTAGAAGAGAAAGAAACATCTTTCTCTAAAGCAAGCGGGAAGGATTCAGAAACCATTCATTAAAAACAGCAACAACAACAACAAAAAGAAGTAACAAAAGTGTCCTTCTCCACAATGCTGTTTTATTTTCCTTAATTAGGAGGCACATTCATTGCCTTAGTGTGAAAAGGAAAGGAGCTGAGGCAGTTGTATAGTGGCAAAGTAAGAACTGCTGAGCAGAAACATGAGCTTAGCAGAAGTTGAAACATGAATTAGCTGTAGCACTATTCTTCATGATTGGATATTTTACTCCATTAATGCTTGAAAATCAACTAATTCATTCATTTATTCAAGAATGTTAATGAGAACTTATCATGGTAACAAAATATTTTAGCTAGTAGAGTATGTTAGTTAAATATTACATAAATTTTAAACAAAAACTAAGTGCTATCAAAGACACTCATTATCCTAAATTTCCTGTTGGGAGTCAGGAATTGGGACTGGCAAACCTCTGGCTGTGTTTGTATGGCTCAGATTCACTGTTGTGGTTGCAGTCAGGATATTGATAGGGATTGGAGAAATTATTTCCAAAATATCTCTGTCTGTGCTAAAGGAAAACTTCCCCTTCAGCCTCTCAAGATTTGCTGAAAATCACTGACAAGAGGCAGATTAATAAAAGAAAAGGCATACAAATGTATTTGGTCATAATTATATGTGACACGAGAGCCTTCAGAATGAAGATCCCAAAATAGAGGAGAAATTGTCCATTTTTGTACTTAAGTTCAACCAAGTATGGCCAGGCATGTAGAAACATGATTGAACAAAAAGAATATGATCCAAAGCTAATAGACTGAGTGGGGAAACCCATCAAGGCCTGTCTGTCTAGAAACTTCTTGGCCTCTCTGAGCATGCATTCCTTCCTTCTGGATATAGGGTAGAACTCTCTGGAATTGGGGTCTCATAACCTACACTCAAAAAAGAAGATCAGATAATTCTTGTATGGCCAGTTTTACACAGAAAGGCCGAAGGAAAGTTAGAGTAATATGTGTAAGTTTTATGGCTGGCTTTGGGGAAAAGGGGGTCTGGTTTCTATGACCTGCCTTGGGGAAGAAGGATTCTAATTTACATGGCTAGGCTCAGGGGAGAGTGCCACTCAGAGGCAGGAGGGAAGAAGAAGACCAGAGAAAATCTTTTGCTTCTGAGGCTTTACTTTGGGGGTATTGTTTTCTAAGTCCCAGCAGCTCCCATATATGGCTTTGGCAAGATGCCTCAGTTCCTCACCACATGGCCTTTCCATAGGCTGCTCAAGTGTTCCCACAATAAGGCAACTAATTTCTCCCATAGCAAACTACAACAGAGAAAGAGAGGGAGAGAGAGAGAGAGCAAGCAAAAAGTTGAAGTTCCTTTTACGATGTTGTCTCAGAAGTCCCACAGTATGTACTATAAGCTGAATGTTGTGTACCCCAAAATTCATCTGTTAAAACCTAATCACCAATGTGATGGTATTTGGAGGTGGGATCTTTGGGAGGTGATTAGGTCATGAGGGTACAGCCCTCATGAATTTATAACAGCCCAATGGGTTCACCATGTCTGCTACCTATAAAGAGCAAATTTATCAAGACGGGAATTGCAATGGAGAAAAAGTAATTCATGCAGAGCTGGCTGTGCGGGAGACTGGAGTTTTATTATTACTCAAATGAGCCTCCCGGAACAGTCAGAGATTCGAATTCTTAAAGATAATTTGGCAGGCAGGGGCTTGGGAAGAGGGGAGTGCTGATTGGTCAGGTTGGAGATGGAATCATAGTGGATCAAAGTGAGGTTTTCTTGCCGTCTTCTGTTCCTGGGTAGGATGGCAAAAATGGTTGAGACAGATTACTGGTCTGGGTGGTGTCAACTGATCCATCCAGTGCAGGGTCTGCAAAATATCTCAAGCACTGATCCTAGGTTTTACAATACTGATGTTTTCCCCAGGAGCAATTTGGGGAGTTTTAGACTCTTGGAACCATAAGTTGCATGACCCCTAAACCATAATTTCTAAACTTGTAGCTAATTTGTTAGTCCTGCAAAAGCAGACTGGATCCCAGGCAAGAAGGAGGTCTTTTTGGGGGAAAGGCTATCATCAATTTTATTTTAGAATGAAACCATGAACTGAATTCCTTCCCAAAGTTAGTTCAGTCTATGCCCAGCAATGAACAAGGACAGGTTTTATGTTCTAAGTGAGATGGAGTCAGTTAGGTCTGATCTTTCACTTTCATAATTTCCTCAGTTATAATTTTTGCAAAGGCAGTTTCAAATGGGATCATTTTTATAAAAGGAACCCCAGAGTGATCCCACACCCCTTCTGCCATGTTCAGTTATAATGAAAAGATGGCCATCTATGAACCAGGAAGGAGGACCTTACCAGGCACTGAACCTTCCTATGCCTTTATCTTGTACTTCCCAACCTCCGGAACTGTAGAAATAGGTTTCTGTTGTTTATGTGCCACCCATTCTGATACTTTATTATAGCAACCTATATGAACTAGGAAGCTATCATTTACACTTTTCTTTTTTATTCATTGGAGCCAAGTTATTATGGAGTTAAGTTCACACTCAAAAGTAAGGGAATTAAGCTCCATTTTTTGAAGGAAGTTTCAAAAAATAGGGACATATTTTTAAACCATTTATGCCTGAGGTTGCAATTTTTTGAATTTTGAAATCAGACCTTAGCGATGACCTTGAGCAGCAAGATATAAATCACTCCCACGTGCTTAGAGTTCCAATAATGGAACCATATACGAGTATAATGGTGAGCAGGGCAGACAAAGCTCTGCCCTTATGGAGATCGTATTCTACTTCAGGAAGATTTAAAAAAATCAATGCATAAAATCTATAAGCAAGACAATTTCAGATTGTTTTAAATCTTATGAAGCAATGAACAGATGTCTGTTGGAGATCTAGGAGGTAAGGATACTAGACAGACTGGTAAGGTAGATTTCTCTGTAAAGGTTAGCTAGGACTAAGAACCTAATACATGCAGAGGGAGAGAAGCCATGTAAGAGCCTGTGAAAGAGCTTTCTAGTTAGAAGAACCTACCAAGGAAACAAAGTTCTGAGGCAATGTGGACCTAGTAGTTTGAAGACTAAAAAGAAGCCATACTGAATGTAATGAATGATTCCGGTTGGCACAAGAGAGGTATGAAAACACAAGATAATACAGATTTTTCTTGATGTCCCAGAGAGGGAATCCTAATTTGATTATGCAAGGAGAAGACATTGAAGAGTTTATACAGGACAGTGAAATGAATGGACAGACATTTTAAAAACCAGACTAGGAGTAGTAATCATATAAACATGTAAAACTCCATTTAGATTAAAATGAAAATATTTTTATAGATTTATGTGCAAATTACAGAGCACGTATTTTCTAACTGAAGTAGCAAGGGAAGGCTTAATCTTTCTTACCTGGGTCTCAAATAATGACAGAGTTTTAGCTTGGGGAAAAAAAGTGGAAGAGCAGTCAAACCAGATATAATGACATATGCAAATATACCAGCTAATCAAAGAGCTTTGGGTGTTTGTCATGTATGTGATGTTTAAATGTGAAACATATTTTATATCAAATTTCTTAAACAAAAATACCATAGTTTCCTTCTTGCAAACTTATGTATATAATCTTTGTAACTTTGCAATTGGATATAATACATTCACACTTGATAAAATATATAAAATCACAGCAGCCATAAAAATTGTCCTCTTCCAGAACGTACAGAATTATATACATGAGTCTGAAGAAACAGCTTTCCCCCAAAACTCACATACCTACATCCTGGAAATTCTCAAAAAGTACTTTCCAAGGGCAAGTTTGACATATTTTGAAAGGCCAAGCTTATGTGTTAACTCTAGAATTCGTAGTTACATGCAGGTGGTAAAAGCAAACATGAAAAAGCATTCAAAATGTGACAACACAACATATACACAAGATTTTTCTTATATTTTAAAAATGAGAATGGAGCTGTGACTCACCATCTATTTGTAAGTTCTCTCTTTTGTTTTACCTTCCTGCTTGCCTGTCTGCCTGCCTGCCCGCCTGCCTTCCTGCCTTCCTTCATTCCTTCCTTCCGTCCTTCCTTCCTGTCTTCCTGCCTTCTACCTTCCCTCCACCCCTCTTTTCCTCTCTTCCTCTCTTCCTCCCTCCTTCCATTCTCCTTCCTTTTTTCCTTTTATCTTTCATTTTTTGTTCATTCTCTTGTTCTTTGGTTCTCTCTTTCACTGTTTCTTCTGTTCCAGCTTATTCCACTTTAAAAAAACAGCACAAAAGTATTTCAAACAAAATAAATAACTCAACGTTTATATACTCAGCAAATATTTCTTGGAGCGTATGAGGGATTTTGGTAGTTATTGGTGCTAATTATGGTGATCAAAAAGAGATCACTTATGAACATTCCAGGGTAGAGGAGAAAACAGGAGTTTGTTAATATTCTGATTAGTTATCTACTAACACATTCATATAATGGTTCCTAAGACAAGGGATCTTGTGTGTCAGAGTATATAAGACGAGAATCTGACCAGACTTCTGAGTTGTATGGTTTATTGAGGAAGAGATACTGACACTAAGATGTAAAAAATAAAGACAATTTCATTAGGTGAAAAGAGATGGGGAAATTATTACAATCAATAAAGCGTATAGTATGTACCAGGCACTGTGCTGCTGGAGAATATGAATGGGGAGATGAGGGAGTGCTTGTGAAGGAGAAACAAGATGAGTTTGAGGAATCAAATAATCCTGCAACTAGATTAGAGAGAAAGATGTGCTCTATGGGATAATGCTGGAGTAGTTAGCACTGTGAACCAAAAAGTGACTGACACAAGTGTCAACCGATTTGAGTTTTATTTACCCAAGGCTGGAGAAGTGCTTGGGAAACACAAAAATCACAGGAGCATCTGTGTCTTAGGTATTTACCAAAAGGGGATTTGTGAACTTTGGTATTTAATGGGGAAAGAGCAAGCAGGAGGGGGGAAAAAGGGAAAGAAGGTAAGCAAGTGAGGCAGATGATTACATTCTTGTGAGGCTTTGACTAGCCTCAGAAAATCTACATTTTACATGTGCAAAGAGGGAGTAGAGGAAAAATTGAATTATTTGTCACCTCCTGCTCAGTATATCTACATCCTACGTAAGAGAAAGTAAACATGTGAAAAGAGGGAGTAGAGGAAACGAGGCTGTAACACAGGGTTGTGAAATTCCAGCTATCTATTTGGGAACAAAAGGAAGACTACTGGTGACCCAGTACCAAAGCTTAACTTTCCCTTTTGTCTAGTGATTCTGTGGTCCTGAGAGTCTATTTTTCTTTCACAGCACCAAAACATAACTTTTGGGCTTCTTTAGGTTTGCTCCTGATGTGCTAATCACACTCCTTCATTCAAAAATGTTGAAACAGTTGAGAAACATGTGCACAAATATAATAGAGATAAGATTAACTTTCTCCTTAAATAAAAACAATTAGAAAGCTTGTTTTAACCAGGTTGAATCATGTCACTCAAAAAGACATGCTAAAGTCCAACCTCTTACAATGTGAATTTGCTTGGAAAAAATGTTATTTCAAATTTAGTTAATTAATTAAATAAAGTCACACTGGAGTAGGGTGGGCCCTGAATCCAATATGACTGGTGTCCTTATAAGAAGAAAAGAAAGATACAGAGAAGAGAATGCCATGTGAAGACACAGAGACCCACAGGAAGAACACCATGTGACCACAGAGGTAGAGATTGGAATGATGCAGTTGAGAGACAAGGAACAATCCGCAACCATCACCAAAATTTAAAAAGAGGCAAGAAATAATGATCTCTCACAGTTTTCAGAGAGAGCATTGACCCACCAAAGCCTTGACTTCAGACTTCTAGCCTCCAGAATTGTGAGGCAATATATTTGTAGGTTCAAGCCACCCATTTTGTGGTACTTTTTTATAGCAGCCGTAGGAAACTAATAGAATCTTGCCTGCCAACTATGCATCATCTTCCTCATGAATCCACAATTTATTTGATGTTTGCAGAACCAAGGAAACTGTGCAGAATATGTGAGATATACATGTTTAATCACTTCTCCAATCTTTCCAACCAGATAAACATTTCATCCATGGTAAAGAGCATGGGAAGGACAAAGAAGGAAGGGAAGAAACCACCTTTTCATCTCCCAGGAAGTTGAAAGTTTCTCTTTTATGGTCTGGGCTAGTAACATAGAGAATGGAAATAGTTTCCCTTTGGTCTTATAATTCTCCAGGATTTGGCAGTTTTACGTAAGGTAATAAGAATTTGAGGAGTGTGTGTGTGTGTGTGTGTGTGTGTGTTGTTCTGGCAGAAGTTTTGTCTTAGAAGTACCCAATCAAATTTTCATGTTGAAAAGATTATTTGCCAACAGTCAACAGAATGAATTAGAGAGGGCCCAAAAGGAATTTGGCGAACTCTCATAGCTTTAAAAGAGAGATTGTAGCAACCTGTCCTAAGGTGATTTTATTGGAAATAAAAAATAGTTTAAGAGAAACTTAAATGTAAAACTCTCAGCATTCTGATGAGCGAAGTGGGGTGGATATGTGGAAGCTGGCAAATTAGTGAGTGAGAAGATTATAGCAAAGGAAAGTAAGCGTGGTAAAAATGTTTTAAAAGTAGAAAAAACAAGAATAGAAAGCAAAAGGTTAGATTGATCCATGAATTTTGCTAGATATGGGCCACATGGGCCTTTGATGTTTTTAGAAAATGACACAAAGAAGTAAATATGTAATTTCTTACAGTACTTAGAGGATAAAAGTGAATCATTCTTTTTAACAGAAGCATAAGAATTCCTGATACCAGGAACCAAAAGACATTTTCTATGTAGTTCTCTATAAAAATAATACGGTATAATCAGTGAATATCATCCCCACCAAAACCTTAGCAACAATTCCATCAATGAGAAGCTGAAGACTAGTTAAATTCAAGGTAAAATTTTACAAGTATGTCAAATATGAATTTTTTGTAATATTTGGCAAGCCTTCATAAGCACTATTCTCTCAATGAAGTATTAAGTTGTGTAGATTGGAGGTGATAGCCCTGTGAAAGAATGGAATATTCTCACCTGTGTTACTAAGTGATTCGTCATACAGCTGAGGTGGATATAACACTGGCATTTGCTTATGAGAGTTGTTGAGACGTTTAATAAGAACATGTGCTGATATACGTAACAAGAACAGTGTCTGGATAGAAACCTGTCCTACCACTGCCCAACAGGTTTCTAAGATAACATCCTTGGCAGGGTAAGAGAGTCTTTAAAAACAGAAAGGAAGGTGATTCTTTAGGACATAGATAAATAGAAAATGGAAGTCTGGAGGTTCTGTTTGATGATTGTAGTCTGAAGATCAATCAATCAATCATCCAGTGTACCTTTATGTAAAAGCAAAAAATGTAATTATCAGGGAAAGTAGCTAATAATGTGACCACAACTTCCTTGAAAAAGTAAACACATCAATGGGACCAACATTTTTGTTAGCTTGAATTCTTAACTAAAGCTGTATGAATAAGTATTATCAGATAATAAAACAATCTGGTTTCCTGGTAAGAAAAATGAAACTCTGCACAATTTGTTCTACATACCAGATGACTTTATTTCATATAGTAACACTCCTATTTGTTAAAGAGGGTTAGTTTATTTTATTTTTGCTATTTTAATGCTCATTATAGGTAGACAAATACGTTTATAAAAATACCTGTATAAGAAAATTGGATTGTCAAATAGGTTTCTTCCAGTTGTAACTGAAGACCCTAGTAAAAGTGGCTTAAAGAATAAGCCTTGTTTTCTTATATAACAGGAAAGGTCTTTCAGGATGAATACTTCAGGAATTAGTGATGTCCTAGTCCATCTTTCTGTCTTGCCATACTTAGCATGACAGTCATGCTAAGTATTACTACATTTACATATGAGGACTCCACAATTTCAGTCATCACATGTAAATGCAACATCATCCAATGGGGAACTGGGCATTTTTTTTTCTTATCTGTCTATATGATCTAGTGAGGAAAACCTTTCTAAGAAGGAAGCTTTCCATCAGATTTCGTTGGCAAAGAATGTGACAAATATTCATACATAAACCAACCAATGGCTAGAGTAATAAGATTTTTATGATTATCTTAGAACATTCATCATTCACTCTAGGGCCTAGAGGTAGGTGAGAATTATAACCACATCTGAGACTGATTGTATGGCAGAAGACTACTCAAACAAAATTACTCTGTGTTTCTAGCAAGGAAGAATAATGGCAGAGGGTGTCTATTGACTGGGCAACCAGAGTAGCTGCCACAATGGGTAAAGCCATTCATTTTAACAAGTGAGATAGAATGACATATTGAGATTTCATACTTGTTTGATTTTATTTTGTTCCTACTGGAGGGAAAAAAATATTCATCTATTCTTGCCAGCTTGGGGAAATAGAGAAGAAAGTGAATCAAAGGAGGAAATAAATGGATTAACTATTATTCTAGGAAAGTAGCCAGGCCTTTGGAAAAAAAAAATAAACAAGCTCTTTGGTAATTTCTATTTTTGTTTTCCAGTAAGGAGATAGGCTTCTTGCTGATGGGAGATCAGACTCTACTATGAAGAGGAAAAATGCACTCTTTGTATTTCTTGGAATTGTTAAAAAGCTACTAAAACCCTAAAATTAATCCTGGAGGGTTAGGAAAAAGGACAAGAATGGTGGGCCTCATTAAAGATTGATTTCTGAGCCTTTTGAATTAGGCTTCTCCATGATCTAAAAACCTTAGAGAGAAATGGTTCCACACTATTCTGTTATACCTTATAGTATTTATTTTCATAGAACTTCTCTCAAAGTTTACTGTATCTCAATGAAACTATATAATTAGACAGTATGGGCTCTTTCCTTTCTATCAACTTTGCAGGCTTAAATCCTGTAGAATAAGATGATACCGATGAGAAAATCAAACTGATAAAAGATTTTTGTTAGTTGTTGGGATACACATATGAAAAAATTTAAAACAGCAAAAATTCTAAGAAAGTCACAGTTTTTCTGAGAATGGTTGTGAGTATAGACTGCTAAAGTTAGAGATAATAAAGCATAGTTATTTGGTTAGTTGATAGAACTGAGAGTATTCTTAATCTTTACTTCTTAAGTAGATAGATTTCAGGATGTACAGTTCTGGAGAGAGGATCAATAACTATCATAAGGTTTTCAAAAGACATGGTAAGACCCCAGATTTTAAGATCAAATTAGATGATTAGGTATAAGGTCAAATTAGATGATTAGGTGAGTCTACATTTAATGGAAATGTTATTTCCAAATTCTTTGTGGGGGTTTGTGTTTTTACATATTGACTATCATGATCTTATTTTTTGCCTATGACTTGCTATGTACTCTAGCTAATTTGTAATTCTTAGCAAATTTCAAGAAGCAATTTTGAGCAGGGTATAGGAATACTTGCTTTTCTCTTTTCTTATAAATAGCTCTCTTTTTCTAGGAATATGGTATTAGGCTTGACAGAGGAAAAAAAATGTCTCTGTAAAACACCAAATTTTAATGGAAGGTGTAAGTTTAATTATGTGAATATATTTGATCAGAAACTACCCAAAAATACCTTGTCAAAAATAAATATGTATAAAATAATTTCTTATATTATCCCTTAATTATATAAATATAATTGCTCCAAAGTTTATTTATAAATAAGTTAAATGTTTATAATGAGATTATATGGAAATAAATATATTAATTAGAAATTTTCCAGAGATGTATCCTCTTAATCTGATTCTAAGAATTTTTAAAGGCTTTTTCTTTAAGTTTCAAAACTTGATTTTCTGCTTTACTAATTCACTGAAATAATAAATGAATATGGAGAATAGAGTTACTTGAAAATACCCTAGAGACATTTCTTTTTGCCTACCTTTGTGGAAGAAGAAATTTAGAATCAATTCAGATTGTATAAGCTGTTTTATAATGAGAAGGAAATGATTCTCATAAAAAGGAAAGAAGTGATCATTTGTAAGCTTGAAATGAAACATTTAGAAAGCTTACCTTTTGTAATGAAAATGTAATCCTAAAATTGAGTTGATAGATTTTTCAAATATCTTGGTGTAAGAGATTCCATCAGAAGAATGACAAAATGATAAAAGAGAATGTTCCACCAGAATATTAGTGAAACCTGAAACTTGTGCTAAAAAAGCCACCCGACTGCTGAGAACATCATTAGAGCTATTAACCAACCAGCATGCAATACCAAACCCAGATACTTGGAGTGATTGATTAGGAAGTAACTCAGTTTGTACTTTGTGCACTTGGCCAAAAGAACAGAAATAATAAAAAAACTGCTGTAAAATAACAAGCTCTTTTTTTAATGCAATAAAATGTAAAATAATGTATTTCCAGAAAAACAAGCGTCATCAAGATGTATAGGAAACAGATAATAAGTTAAAGGAAGACATAAACAGGAATAGAGACCAGTGGTGGGAGGAGAAGACTTGAGCACCTTACACATTTTACTACTTACCATTACTTTCATTACAATACCTAATATTAACTGAGCACTCTCTGTTAGTCATTATTCTAAATATTGCACATACATTAATCGTCAATGCACTGCAATTCCACAAAGCGTTAATGCTTTGTTCATTTTATAAACACAGAATCAGAAGCAAAGAACAGATAATTAACTTTCCTAGGACCCTATGGTCAGTAAATGGTAGAACAAGGATGTGACACCAGTGTAATTACAGGACTTTTTTGTTTTACCACTCTTCAGTGATGGGCCTGATGACTGCAAAATAATCTTGCATAATATAATCGTATTCTAAAAAACAATTATTTCCTAATTTAAGAATGGTACAATGGGAGCATGAGTACAAGATGTACATTATTGGTATATTAAATTAATTGTAGTTTTTAGATGATGTCTTGTATCATATCCTTCTAAAGGATATAGAAAAGAGTGTATTAGAAATGAACAGATGCATTATAAAATATTACATTTTTAGACAAGGTTATAGACATAAGAATATGGTAAACTGCATACTTTTTGTAAAGAAACAGTAAGTTAATTTCTTAGTTACACTAAATAATCAGAGCCCAGGTTCTGAATTAGACGTACTCAAATCCCAATTTTGCCATATAGAAGCTGTGTGAACTTAGATGAGCTGCTTAAGTCTCAATAATCTCATCTGTTCAATGGGAACAATAAATTAATCTATTTAGTAGGTTTACTTTGACAATTGCATGAGTTAATATATGTTGAATGCTTAGCCAAAATGACAAATAGTAAGCTATTAAAACAACCACCACCATAATTAAAAACAAACAATAAAATAGGTACCTGTTTCATTTTTCCATTGTAGTCAAACGTGAACATGCAAATAATTAAAGGTTCAGCAGAGTAGGATGGCAAAATAATGCCCTCCAGCAATTGTCCCCATGCAGGAACATCAAACTGAACAACTACTCATGTAAGAAAACACCTCCACCAGAAGTAAAAATTCAGGTGAGAGATCACAATGCCTAGTTTTAGCACAGTAATAAGAAGATTCATTAAAGAGGGTAAAAAATAAACATTGTCACACTGTTTATATTACTCTTCTCCCCAACCTCAGGCAGCACAGAGAGGAGAGAGCATCTGTGTGCTTGCATGTGGGAGACGGAATTGAGTGTGAGACTTTGCATTAGAATTCAGGGGTGGCTCCCACCACAGTGGAACACAGCACAGGGCAGCATTCCACAGCCCTTGATTCCACAGATAAAACGTTTAGGCCTATGCTAGGCCAGAGGGAAATACACTGCACTGGCAAGAGAAACCTGAGTTCTGACCGGCTTCACCACTAGCTGACTAGAGTAGTCTGTAGCCCTGAATAAATTTCAGTGGCAGCAAAGCAGTAGTAACCACAGCCCTTGGGGAACCCTGGTGCTGCCCTGGTCTGAAAGGCTGTGAACTCAGGGTGAGACCCAGTGTGACACCAGCTATGGCAATGATGGGATGCCTTTGTCACCCCTCACCCAACTCCAGGCAGTGATGGAGAATGAAGATTACAGGGGACTTTGCCTGGGAACTGGTACCAGCCTTGACATAGTAAAACACAGCACTGAGCAGAATCCTGGAGAAGCTGGTTCCGGGCCATTGCCCCTGGATGCTTCTAGAATCCAGCACCCCACAGGACAGACCAGAGTCCCAGAAGCTTCCCAAGTGGCTGACTAAAGTAACCTTGGGCCTTGAATAAGCATCAGTGGCAGTCAGACAGTAGCTGAGTAAGTGAAGCAGCAGTAGTCAGGCCAAGAACTGAAGGTATGACACAACACAGTCACAGTGCCAGCTGTGGTGACCACAGGCGTGCCTTCATTACTCCTCCCCCAAGTGTAGGCAGCTCAGCATGTAGAGACACTTCTTCTACTTCGGCGAAAGAAAGGGAAGTAATAGAGGACTTTGCCTCGGAATCTAGGGAGTTCCCCCTGATCTTTCTCAACCCCATCAGTACTGCATATCTAGGAGTCTGCAAGAGAGTTACAGTGTAACTGGGCTTAGGGTGTCTTCTAGTGCTGAAACAGCTGCAATGACCACAAGCTTAGGGGCCATTTGAATTCTTGGAAGATCTGAAAAAGGACAGATACAAACAAGGCCAGACTACAATAAATACCTAACTCTTCAATGCCCAGATATCAATGAACAACCATAAGAATCAATAACATTAAGGGAAATATGACCTCAGAAAATGGACTCAGTAAGTCACCAGCAACAGACCCTGGAGAGAGAAAGATGTGTGACCTCTCGTACAGGGAATACAAAACAGATGCTTTGCGGAAGCTCAATGAACTTCATGAAAACACAGAAAAGCAATTTAGAAATTTATCAGAGAAAGTTTTTAAAGATGGAAATAACTTTAAAATAAATCAAACAAAAATCCTGGAGCTGAAAAATACAACTGATGAAGGGAAAAATGCATCACAGTGTCTCAAAAGCAGAACTGATCAAGCAGAAGAAAGAATTAATGAGCTCAATCACAGGCTACTTGAAAATACATAGTCAGAAGAGAAAAAAGTTAAGAGAATAAAAAAGAACAAAGAACATGTATGAGATCTAGAAAATACCATAGAAAAGGCAAATATAGTAATCATCAGCCTTAAAGAGAGAGCAGAGAAAGAGACAAGGGTAGAAAGCTTATCTAAAAAATAGGCCGGGCATGGTGGCTCGCACCTGGAATCCCAGCACTTTGGGAGGCTGAGGTGAGCAGATCACCTGAGGTCAGGAGTTTGAGACCAGCCTGGCCAACATTTTGATACCCTGTCTCTATGAAAATACAAAAAGTAGCTGGGCATGATGTCAGGTGCCTGTAATCCCAGCTACTGGGGAGGCTGAGGCGGAAGAATCACTTGAACCCAAGAGGCAGAGGTTGCAGTGAGCTGAGATCGTGCCACTGCACTCCAGCCTGGGCGACAGAGCGAGACTCTGTCTCAAATAATAATAATAATAATAACACAGAAATTTTCAAATCTAAAGAAAGACATGGATAACCAGGTGCAAGGTCAAAGATCACCAAAAGCCATATTATTATTTCAGCAGATGCAGAAAAGCATTTGATAAAATTCAACATCCCTTCATGAAAATAAACTTTCAACAAACTAGGCATAGAAGGATTATACCTTAAAATAATAAAGGCTATATATGACTAACCCACAAGTAACAATATACTAAATGGGGAAAAGTTCAAATCTTTTCCCTAAGAACTGGAACAAGACAATGATTCCCACTTTAACCACTCCTATCCAACATAGTACTTGAAAGCCTTAGCCAGAGCAATCAGGTAAGAGAAAAAAGTAAAAGACATCCAAACTGCAAAAAAAAAAAGGACGTCAAATTGTTGCTCTTTTCTGATGATACGATCTTATGCTAAGAAAAATTTAAAGGCTTCACCAAAAAACTCTTAGATCTGATAAATGAATTTAGGAAAGTTGCAGGATACTAAACCAACATACAAAAATCATTAGTGTTTCTTATACATTAATAATGATCTAGCTGAGAAATAAATCAGAAAGGCAAAAAAACACAAAAACACCTGTAGGAGTCAATTTAACCAAGGAGGTCACCTCCACAGGGAAATCTACAAAACGTTGATTAAAGAAATTGAAGAGGACACGAACTAATGAAAAAACATCCCATGCTTATAGATCAAAAAAATTAACATTGTTAAAATGACCATATTGCTTAAAGCAACCTACAGATTGAATGCCATCCTTATCAAAATACAAATGTCATTCTTCACATAATTAGTAAAAGCATTCTAACATTTGTATGGACAAAAAAAAGCCTGAATAGCCAAAACAACCCTGAACAAAAAGAAAAAAGCTGGAGGTATCACATTACCTGACTTCAAAATGTATTACAAGACTATAGTAACCAAAATAGCATAGTATTGGTATAAAAATAGAAACACAGAGCAATGGAACAGAATAGAGAATCCAGCAATAAAGTCACATATTTATAGCCACCCAATTTTAAACAAAGCCAACAAGAACTTTACACTGAGGGAAAAAACACCCTCTTCAATAAATAGTGCTGGGAAAATTGAATAGCCACATGCAGAGGCATTAAACTGGAACCTTATTTTTCACCATATACAATAATCAACTCAATATGGATTAAAGACTTAAATATAAGATTTGAATCTCTGAAAATAATGAAAGAAAACCTAGGGAAAACTCTCCTGGACATTGATCTGGGCAAAGAATTTATGACTAAGAACTCAAAGGTACAAGCAACAGAAACAAAAATAGGCAAATGAGACAATATTAAACTAAAAAGCTTCTGCACAGCAAAGGGAAAAATCCACAGGGTGAAGAGACACTGTTGAATAGGAGAAACTATTTACAACCTATGGATATGACAGGGGACTCATGTCCAGAATGTACAAGGAACTCAAATAAATAAGTACATAAATAAATAATATCTCATAATGAGTGGGTAAATGACTTTAACAGAGATTTCTCAAAAGAAGACATGCAAATGGTCAACAGGTATATGAGGGTAAAAGGCTCACTAATCATTAGAGAAAGGCAAATCAAAACCACAATGAGATATCATTTCACCTTGGGCAGAATGACTACTATTAAAAAGACAAAAAAATAACAGATATTTGGCTGTGGGGGTCTGTCCTGCAGACCCTGACCCAACAACGAATGAATAAAGAACACTGACACACAGATATTCTGCTTTGACAGTTTGACTGAGCATGCAGGCCACTTAGTTGCAGCCGTGGCCCTAATCAGCCAGCAAGACTCGCATTTATTCAGTAAAGATTAATTGACAAAGGCTTGAGTCAACACCACTAGAGGATAATTGACACTGTGGACTTCCCGAGTAGAAAGCGATTAAACACCCACGGTAGAACAAAGGTTAGTCTTAAGACCACATGAGTAAACAAGTTATTTAGATAAACTCCCCACATTCCTTTATTTCTACTGTAATTTATTTAACTAAAGGTAAGAAAACTAGGCTTCCTTCAGCCAGATTTATGACTGAAGTTATGCAAACTCTCAGGCTTTCCAAGAGGGTGTGTGGCTGTTATAACTAAATTTTTTCCCACCAGCCTGAATGAACCCCCACATTTGGCAATGTTGCAGAGAAAAGGGAACTCTCATACACTGTTTGTAGGAATGTAAACGAGTACATTCACTATAGAAAACATTATGGAGATTTATCAAAAAACTAAAAATAAAACTACCATTAAATCCAGCAGTCCCACTATTGGGTGTCTACACAAAGGAATATCAATTAATATATCAAAGGGATACCTGCACTTGCATGTTTATTGCAACACTATTTACAATAGCAAAGATATGGAATAAACCAAAGTGTTGATCAACAGATGAATGCCAAAAAAATATATTGTATGTATATGCAATAGAATATTATTCAGCCATAAGAAAAAATGAAATCATACTATTTGCAGCAATATATATGGAACTAGAGGTCATGATCATACATGCAATAAGCAAGGCATAAAAAGACAACTATTACATGTTCTCCCACATGTGGGAACCAAAATGTTTGATTACATGGAGGTGGGGAGTGAAGGGATGGATAACAGAGGCTGGGAAGAGTGTGGAAGAGAGAGGAAAATGAGTGAAACTGGGAAGAAAGGTACAAACATTCAGTAAGATAGAAGGAATAAATTCAGTGTTTGATAGCAGAGTATGGTGAATACACTTAACAAAAATGTATTACACTAGGGTGATGGACACCCTAAGTACTCTGACTTCATCACTTACACATTATATACATGTAACAAAATTTCTCCTGTACTACATAAATTTGTACAAAAAAAATTATTCACCATGATCAAGTGACATATCAAACCAATAAACATGATATGTCAAATTAACATAATGAAGGAGAAAAACCATATGATTATTTTAATAGATACTTTAAAAAGCATTTGATAACATTCAACATCCCTTCACGGTAAACCTCTTAACCAGCTTGGTATAGAAGTAGCATACCTCAACATGATTAAGGCTATATATGACAAACTCACAGCTAGCATCATACTGAACAGGGAAAATTTAAAAGCCTTTTCTCTAAGATCTGTACAAGACAAGGATGCTCACTTTCATCATTTTTATTTAACGTAGTACCAGAAGTCCTAGGCTTAGCAGCTAGGTAAAACATAGAAATAAAGGGCATCCAAACTGGAAGGAAGAATTCAAATTAGCCTCTTTTTTTTTTTTTTTCAGATTACAGGATATTATACTTAGAAAAACCTAAAGACTCCACCAAAAAAAAAAAAACTTGTTAGAAATGATAAATAAATTTAGGCAAGTTGCAGGATACAAAATCAACATCCAAAAATTCAGTAGCACTTACATATACCAATCGAGATCATCTGAAGAAGGGATCAAGAAAGCAATCTCATTTACAGAAGTTACCACCCCAAAAAAGAAAAACCTAGGAATCAACTAAAGAAGAGAAAGAGCTCTACAATGAATATCAATAAAACATTATGAGAAAAACGGAAGAAGATACCAAAAATAGAAAGATATCTCATGTTCATGGATTGGAAAACAATATTGTTAATATAATGATACTACCCAAAACTATGTACAGATGTAATGCAATCCCTATCAAAATACCAATGATATACTTTAAAGAAATAGAAAAAAAATTCCAACATGTATGGAATCTAAAAAAGACCACAAATAACCAAAGTAATCCTGAGTTAGAAGAACAAAACTGGAAGTATCACACTACTCAACTTCAAAATACATTACATAGCTATAGTAGTCAATCGAGAATGTTACTGAACTGAATAGAGAACCCAGAAATAAATCCAAGCATTAGAGACAACTCATTTTTAAAATAGGTGCCAAGAACATACATTAGGAAAAGGACAGTTTCTTCATAAGTGGTGCTGAGAAAACTTGATGTCAACTTGTAGGAGAATAAAACCAGATTCCCATCTCTCACTATATACAAAAATCAAATCAAAGTGGTTTAAAGACGTAAATGAAAGATATCAAACAATGACACTACTAGAAGAAAACACTGGGAAAATGCAGGACATGGGTCTGGACAAATATTTCTCAAGTAAGACCTCAAAGCAACCAATGCAAAAAATGAACAAATGGGATCACATCAAAGTAGAAACCTATACAGCAAAGGAAACAATAAAAAAAGTGAAGAGACAACCTACAGAATGGGAAAAAATATTTGTATGCTATTCAACTGACAAAGAATCAATAACCAGAATATATAAGGAAATCAAACAACTCAAAAGCAAAAAATAAATAATCCAATTTAAAGTGGGCAAAAGATCTGAATAGGTATGCCTTGAAAGAAGACATGCAAATGGATCACAGGTATATGACGTAATACTCAACAGCAGGGAAATGCTAATCAAAACCACAGTGAGGAATAATCTCACCCCAGTTAAAATGTTTTTTATCAAAAAGACAGAAAGTCATAGATGTTGGCAAGGATGCAAATAAATGGAACACTTAAGAACTGTTAGTGAAATGTAAACAATGGAAAACAGTATAGAGCTGCTTCAAAAAACTAAAATGAAACTACTATGCAATCCAGCAATCCCACTGCTGGGTATGTGTGTGTATATATATATATATATATATATATATATATATATATATATACAAAAGAAAGGAACTCAGTATATTGAAGAGATTATCTGCACTTTCATGTTTATTGCTGCACTATTCACAATAGCCAAGATATGGAATCAACCTAAGTGTACATCAACAGACAAATAGATAAGGAAAATATGGTATGTACACACAATGGAGTACTATTCAGCCATAAAAGTGAATGAAGTCTTGTAAGTTGCAGCAACATGGATGGAACTGGAGGTCTTTATGTTAAACTAAATATGCCAGATACAGAAAGACAAAGATTGCATGTTGCTACTTGTATATGGGAGTTAAATGTTGATATCAGGACAGTAGTGAGTAGAGTGGTTTCCAGAGGTGTACCAGGCAGAAAAAATTAATATTAGAAGTTCATTTATGAGGCAAAAAGTGTATTGAAATATTATATTCACTGAATTATCATTTCCATTATTTAATATTAAAATTAAGAGTAGTGTAGGTATAAAGAGAATAAAAGAGAAACTACTCTAGACTTTTAAACTATTATTCATATGCATGAAACACACAAAGTATCAGTTTATTCATTTAGGTTTGAGAATAAAATTTTGTACCAGGAAAAAATTATAATTTTGTATTTATCTTTTCTTTTTTTGAGGCGAAGTCTCACTCTTCTCCCCAAGGCTGGAGTGCAATGGCATGATCTTGGCTCACTGCAATCTCCACCTCCCGGGTTCAAGCGATTCTCCTGCCTCAGCCTCCCGAGTAGCTGGGATTACAGGCGCCTGCCACCACGCCTGGTTAATTTTTGTATGTTTAGTAGAGACAGGGTTTCACCATGTTGGCCAGGCTGGCCTTGAACTCCTGACCTCAGGTGATCCACCCTCCTCGGCTTCCCAACATCCTGGGATTACAGGCATGAGCCACTGCACCCGGCAGCTGTATCTTTTAAGTGAATACATCTTTCAGTTCACAACATTGGCAGCTAATATTTTCCCCAGGCGAAGCTTTATCCTTATGCTTAATAAAATATTGAGAACATTTCTCAATATATAACTATTAAGGAAAACTTACATTGAGTATATCCTCAAAAGAAGACATACAAATGGCTAACAAGTATATGACATAATACTCAATGCTCTAGTTTTACCTTGCTCTAAACATTTTAATCTTTGAGTTCTCCTAAAATATTTAAAGTTTTTTCAAATTTTGGCTGGAAAAAACTTTGAATACAAATGCTATACACAGAAAATGCTCACAAGAACATTTTCTTCAGGCTTTTTGCCTAATAGTTTTAGTAGTAGAATAACAGATCAGATTTAACATATAAACCAGTAAGCCAAATCTCATGTTTAGATTGGAATAATTTATTCTAAATAACTAAACCTATTTAATCACTATTTTGTGCCAGGCTATTCTTGAACTGTATTGTATATTTTCACTTTCTTGAAACATGAAGTACTTTGAGTTTCTGCTTAATAACAGCTTGTTTGGTGCTAAAGTTTAGACTACATCTTTGTGAATCTGATTTGAAATTTCAGCAAATATTGTGGATCTACACACAACAGAAAATTCTAAAGCTTTTTATTTTTTATTTTTTTTTCTTTTGTATGTGATTTCCTTTTTTTATTATTATACTTTAAGTTTTAGGGTACATGTGCACAATGTGCAGGTTTGTTACATATGTATACATGTGCCATGTTGGTGTGCTGCACCCATTAACTCGTCATTTAGCATTAGATATATCTCCTAAAGCTATCCCTCCCCCCTACACCCACCCCACAACAGTCCCCAGTATGTGCTGTTCCCCTTCCTGTGTCCATGTGTTCTCATTGTTCAATTCCCACCTATGAGTGAGAACATGCGGTGTTTGGTTTTTCGTCCTTGTGATAGTTTGCTGAGAATGATGGTTTCCAGCTTCATCCATGTCCCTACAAAGTACATGAACTCATCATTTTTTATGGCTGCATAGTATTCCATAGTGTATATGTGCCACATTTTCTTAATCCAGTCTATCTTTGATGGACATTTGGGTTGGTTCCAAGTCTTTGCTATTGTGAATAGTGTCGCAATAAACATACGTATGCATGTGTCTTTATAGCAGCATGATTTATAATCCTTTGGGTATATACCCAGTAATGGGATGGCTGGGTCAAATGGTATTTCTAGTTCTAGATCCCTGAGGAATCACCACACCGATTCCACAAGGGTTGAACTAGTTTACAGTCCCACCAACAGTGTAAATGTGTTCCTATTCCGCCACATCCTCTCCAGCACCTGTTGTTTCCTGACTTTTTAATGATTGCCATTCTAACTGGTGTGAGATGGTATCTCATTGTGGTTTTGATTTCCATTTCTCTGATGGCCAGTGATGATGAGCATTTTTTCATGTCTTTTTTGGCTGCATAAATGTCTTCTTTTGAGAAGTGTCTGTTCATATCCTTTGCCCACTTTTTGATGGGGTTGTTTGTTTTTTTCTTGTAAATTTGTTTGAGTTCATTGTAGATTCTGGATATTAGCCCTTTGTCAGATGAGTAGGTTGCAAAAACTTTCTCCCATTCTGTAGGTTGCCTGTTCACTCTGATGGTGGTTTCTTTTGCTGTGCAGAAGCTCTTTAGTTTAATTAGATCCCATTTGTCAATTTTGGCTTTTGTTGCCATTGCTTTTGGTGTTTTAGACATGAAGTCCTTGCCCATGCCTATGTCCTGAATGGTAATGCCTAGGTTTTCTTCTAGGGTTTTTATGGTTTTAGGTCTAACATATAAGTCTTTAATCCATCTTGAATTAATTTTTGTATAAGGTGTAAGGAAGGGATCCAGTTTCAGCTTTCTACATATGGCTATCCAGTTTTCCCAGCACCATTTATTAAATAGGGAGTCCTTTCCCCATTTCTTGTTTTTGTCAGGTTTGTCAAAGATCAGATAGTTGTAGATATGCGGCATTATTTCTGAGGGCTCTGTTCTGTTCCATTGGTCTATATCTCTGTTTTGGTAACAGTACCATGCTGTTTTGGTTACTGTAGCCTTGTAGTATAGTTTGAGGTCAGGTAGCGTGATGCCTCCAGCTTTCTTCTTTTGGCTTAGGATTGACTTGGCAATGCAGGCTCTTTTTTGATTCCATATGAACTTTAAAGTAGTTTTTTCCAATTCTGTGAAGAAAGTCATTGGTGGCTTGATGGGGATGGCATTGAATCCTTAAATTACCTTGGGCAGTATGGCCATTTTCACGATATTGATTCTTCCTACCTATGAGTATGGAGTGTTCTTCCATTTGTTTGTATCCTCTTTTATTTTACTGAGCAGTGATTTGTAGTTCTCCTTGAAGAGGTCCTTCACATCTCTTGTAAGTTGGATTCCTGGGTATTTTATTCTTTTTGAAGCAATTGTGAATGGGAATTCACTCATGATTTGGCTCTCTGTCTGTTATTGGTGTATAAGAATGCTTGTGATTCTTGCACATTGACTTTGTATCTTGAGACTTTGCTGAAGTTGCTTATCAGCTTAAGGATATTTTGGGCTGAGACAATGGGGTTTTCTAGATATACAATCATGTCATCTGCAAACAGGGACAATTTGACTTCCTCTTTTCCTAATTGAATGCCCTTTATTTCTTTCTCCTGCCTGATTGCCCTGGCCAGAACTTCCAACACTATGTTGAATAGGAATGGTGAGAGAGGGCATCCCTGTCTTGTGCCAGTTTTGAAAGGGAATGCTTCCAGTTTTTGTCCATTCACATTACTTTTTAAATAAAAGTTTTCATTTTTAATGTTTGTGGCTACACTGTAGGTTTATATATTTATGGGTTTATGAGATACTTTGATACAAAGGTACAAAGCATAATAATCACATCAGGGTAAATGGGGTATCCATTATCTCAAGCATGTATTGTTCTTTGTGTTACAAAAAATCTGAATATACTTTTTTAGTTATTTTAAAATGTACAATATATGAGTGTTGACTGGTCAACTTGTGCTGTCAAATACTAGATGTTATTCATTCTGCTTTTTAACCCATTTAGCATCCTCACTTCTTCCCTCCTCACCACTCTGCTACTCTTCTCAGCCTCTGGTAACCATCAATCTAGACCCTATTTCCATGAGTTTAATTGTCTTAACTTTTGGCTTCCACACATAAGTGAGAACATGCAAAGATGGTCTTTCTGTGCCTGGCTAATTCCATTTGACATAATGACCTCTAGTTCTATTCATGTTGTTGCACACAACAGGATCTCATTCTTTTCTTTTTTTATGGCTACACAGTACTCAATGGTATATATGTACCACATTTGTTTACGGCTACATAGTACTGCATTGTAGATATGTATCACATTTTCTTTATACATTAGTCTTTTGATGCACACTTAGTTTATTTCCAAATCTTGGCTATAGTGAATAGTGCTGCAAGAAACATAGGAGTATACATATCTCTTTGATATATTGATTTCCATCCTTTTGGGTATATACCTACCAGTGGGACTCTCAGATCATATGGTAGTTCATTTTTAATTTTTTGAGGAACCTCCAAATTGTTCCCCATATTGATTGCACTAATTTACATTCCCACCAAGAGTGTATGAGGGTTCCATTTGGTCATCATCCTTGCCACCATTTGTTATTGCTTGTCTTTGGATAAAAGCCATTTTAAATGGAGTGAGATGCTATCTCATTGTGGTTTTGATTTGCATTTTCTCTGATAATCAGTGATGTTGAGCACTTTTCAACATACCTGTTTGCCATTTGTGTGTCTTCTTTTGAGAATTATCTATTCGGATATTTTGCCCATTTTTAAATCCGATTATTAGATTTTTTTTCCTGTAGAGTTTTTTGAGCTCCTTATATTTTCTTGTTATTAATCCTTTGTCAGATGGATAGTTTGCATATATGTTTTCCCATTCTATTAGTTGTATCTTTACTGTGCTGAGTGTTTCCTTTGTTGTGCAGAAGCTTTTTAATTTGATGTGACCCAGTTGTCCATTTTTGATTCAGTTGCCTGTGCTTGTGAGGTGTTTCTCAAGAAATCTTTGCCCAGTCTAATATCCTGGAGACTTCCTCAATATTTTTCCATCCAGTGTTCCTAGCACCATTTTTTGAAAAGACTATTCTTTCCCCAAGGTATGTTCTTGGCATTTTTGTTGAAAATGGGTACACTGTAGAAATATAGATTTGTTTCTGGGTTCTCTATTCTGTTCCACTGCTCCATGTGTCTGTTTTCATGCCGGTACTAAGCTGTTTTGATTACTATTGCCCTATAGTATAATTTGATGTCAGGTAATGTGATTCCTTCAGTCATATTGTATTCTTTTTGTTCAAGATAGCTTTGGCTATTCTGAGTCTTTTCTGGTTTGTATATACATTTTGGCATTATTGTTTTCTATCAGTGAAGAATGTCATTGATACTGTGATAGGGATTTCATTGAATCTGTAGATTGCTTTGGGTAGTATGGACATTTTAACAATATTGATTTTTCCAATCCATGAAAATAAAATATTTTTTCATTTTCAATGTCTTTTATCAGTGTTTTATAGTTTTTATTATAGATATATACTTTTTTAAGTTTATGTCTAGGTATGTTGTTATATTTGTAACTATTATAAAGGGATTACTTTCTTTATGTCTTTTTCAAATTGTTTTCAGGTGGCATATAGTAATGCTTTTGATTTTTGTGTGTTGATTTTGTATCCTGCAACTTTACTGATTTTGCTTATCAGTTCTAATAGTTTTTTGGTGGATTCTTTAGATTTTTCTAAATATAAGCTCATATCATTTACAAAGAAGAAGATTCTTTAGATTTTTTTAAATATAAGATCATATTATTTACAAAGAAGGATAATTTGGCTTCTTCCTTTCCAATTTGCCTGCCCTTTATTTCTCCTTCTTATCCGATTGCTCTACTTTAAATAAACCATCTAATGATGCATCTTAAAGAACTAGAAAAACAGGAGAGCAAACCAAAACCACAATTTCTAGAATAAAATAAATAATAAAGATCAGAGCAGAAATAAATAAAATTGAAATAAAGAATACAACACAAAAGATTAATAAAATAAAAAGTTGTTTTTCTGAAAAGTTGACAAACCATTAGCGAGACTTCTCCCTGTAGCCACCACAGCTAAGAATGTGCTGTGTCACTCCTGAAGCCAGTATTTCTCAGGGTCTCACCCAAGGTCCATGGCGAGTACTATGATGTGGCTATCACTGCTGTTTACTCAGGGCCCAAGAGCTCATTAGTTGGCAGATGATGAATGCTGTTAGGACTGGGTTCTTCCCTTCAAGGCAGTGGGTTCCCTTCTGGCCCAGTTTTTCCAGAAACTTTGTCCAGGAGCTAGGGCCTGGAATGAGGGCCATAGGATAGGGCACCTCTGCCTCGTGCCCTATCCTACTATGGCTGAGCTGGTATCCAAGTTGCAAGACAAAATCGTCTTCACTCTTCCTTCCCCTCAGGTGGGGGAATGAATTCTTTCCCACAGATGGGAGCTGTGCTTCCTGGGGTTCAAGGAGGTGTGGCACAAGGACTCCCTGAGCCACCCTGGCTGGTCTCACTAGGTTGCATGTTTCTCCAAGTCTACTGGCTCTGAGCCCAGGGTCAGGACTTACCCAGGAGTTGCAGTCCTTGCGGCTTAGATTGCCTTTCAAGTTTATTTAGGACCCCACAGCACTTTGGCCCACAGGAGAAAGGCTTGCCAGAACTGAAATGGGCAACTCCCCTCTGGCTAGGTCTTGTCTAAATGCTCCCTCATTAGGTGCCAGCTGTTTGCCCACTGCTGCTTTTGATTGTGACAGGGCAGCACTGAGTTCCCATGCAAAATCCTTCAATCACTGTGCTTCCCTCATGCAAGCGCATAGATTCTCTCTCTGTGCCATGTGTCTGCTGCCAGGGGATGGGGGAGGGATAGCACTGGCAATTTAAGACTGTCTTTCCTAGGCTCTTCAGTGCCTCTTTCTGTGATATGAAGTTAAAACCAGGTACTGTGATCCTTCACTTGATTTTTGATTCTTATGAAGGTGCTTTTTTGTGTGAAAAGTTGTTAAATTTGGTGTTCCTTCAGGCAGAAAATCAGTGGAGGCTTCTTCTATTCAGCCACCTTGTTCCACCTCCTCCATTTACTCCCAAAACATTTTTAAATGAATCATGTTTCTTAAACACAACTTTTCCCTGTGGAATTATTCTGTAGTCATGTAGATCAAACTTTCACTTCCCCTTGACTAAATAGAATAGTGCGCTGTAAACACCCTGACAAAGGTAATATAATGTTATTCTGCAGTTAATATTATTTTCCTGTTCCATTATCAAAACACCAAAATTTTTACTGTTATATTTTCTACCTAAATGTCCAAACATTGTCTAATTGACCTAATGTGTATATGGTTTACAGAAGTAATGCAAGAGCAAGTCTGGCTCACCACTAGCCTGTGTTTTCCAGCATTTCTAAATTTTAGAGTAGAACATAATAGATATTAGTATCATATGTAATTTTAGTTAGTAAAAAGTCCAGCCAAATTTGTATTTAATTTAGAATTAAGTGGAATAAACAGGGAATTAGTGCTTAATAAGGTAAAATTACCAATCCATGACATTTGTGACTAATAAATAAAAATACATAATTTTTTCTTTAGTTATTATAATGAGTGAAAATCACATTCTGAGCAATATATATCTAATTTTTATAACAAAAAAGCTCTTCTTTTTAGGGAGTGAGTAGAGAATTATACAGACACATAATATGCATAGAGATATGGTAATAAATCATTGTCTTTCAACATCAAGAAAATTAATGGAGGTTGTCTAAATAATCTGCAGTTCTATTCCTTAAAATTTGTATATATTCAGTGTTGACATTTCTTCATGTGAACCTGCACTGCACTAATGAATATGCCTTTGCCATAGTATGATATTGATATGAATATTCTTACATCTATTTTAATAGACCTCAATTTTTTTTTAAGAATCACATAGTCCTTTTTAAAAGCAATTATGAAAAACAGCAGTCAAGATGATAGAAAGGGTGCTCTAGCAGGAAAAGAATTTACTAAGTAATTCTTACTGTGTGCTAAACTGATATGCTTTAGGAAAGCCAGGAAGCTTGATTTTCTTTTGCTTTCATGACAGATCCACCTCATTTCCTTTACTTCTGCCTGCTCCAGTTCCTCACTGCAGGCCCCCTGAGAGACCACACCTTCAGCCTGTATCCTGCCAAGTTGCAGAACAGAAAGGGCAATCCCACTGTAGGAAGGCAGTATATGAACTGCAAACATCTTCTTTCCCTCATCTGGAGTACATCTCTGCTCAGTCTAAGATGCAGCATACCCAGGAGGCCCAGGGTACTGCCTTTCTTGTCCACAAATCTTCCTTGTGTTGAAAAAGGTAAAATATAACACAGAAAATTAGAAGTATGACTTCTAATTCTATTGCATAGAGATGTACTGTTAACATTTTAGTTTATATTCTTATACTGCCTTATACCACACACAACACACAAACACACACACTCTCACACCCCTACACACCATATAATACACATAAAAATATTGCCTTAGTTTGGATTTTTCCATAAGCAGACCCTAAGTGAGGACTGAAGAGCAAATCATTTTATTTGGAAGGTAAACCAGAAGCATGTATAGAAAAATGGCATGCAAAGAAAAGAAAGCCCACTGGGGGCATTAATGGATAAATTGCCACTATAAGAGACCCAGGATCAGTCCTGCTGGGAACATCTGGGAAACTGCAGAGAACATGGTTCAGAGTTGTCCCACCCAATGTGTGAGGAAGTTGGAATATTTATTCACACATTCCTAACCATTATTGGCTGACAGTGTACGCAAAGGTATTAACTTCCTGGCAATTCAGGTCAGCCATGCATATTTCTGAGGTCAGAGAGGGCCCTCAAGTGCTTGGGGAAATCAGATAGAGAGTGTCTAGCAAAGTAGGATCATATCGAGCACCGACTATACAGAAAGAATTTTTTCCTATCCTGCTTTTGTTTTTTAAGTCTAGTCCAGTAGCTTTCAAGCCAGTGTGGCCTTACCTTTTTTAACATAACTTTGACATCCTCATCAATATACCAGCTTTATAACAGCATGTTGCTATACTATTTGTTTCCTATTTCCTGGGGTGAAACATTTAAATTGTCTACAAATTTACTATTTTAATTAATAATACACAAAATTGTTTATTATTGCTTTAGAATAAAACCTAAGAAATAGAATAATGGAATTGAAGAATTTGCACTTTATAGATTTTGACTAATATCTTTTGATTATGCTCCCTAAAAATTGTACTATTTTATACTCCCACTAATAGAATAATTAAATACTTGCTTCTCTACATCTTTTCCATTGCTGTGTTTTATCAACTTTTGCAAGCTTCATCTAAATTTTTCTTTTAAATCTGTACTATTTACACAGTGAAGGGACAATTGCCCATTTATTTCTTTACCACATAATCTACCAGGATGTTAGATTTAAATTCCTCTGCACAAACCCTGAAGAAACTCTGATGTCGTCATTGAGGGTGTCCTCTGAAAATTCAAAGAACTTAATGCCATAGACAACTCTGATTCTTTAAGTAATTGAGAAAATTTATCTATAATTTAAAAAGTTGCTGCCACACTTTGTCCATCTTGAGTTTTCCAAGGCAAATATTGGGAAATCAGTCTTGCCAGTTGGTCATTCTTGATGAACCCAGAGTACCTTCAAAACTCTTAATTCAAGGTGCCTAGCCTTCCCTCATGCTGTAGCTGGTCCAAAAGATAAAGCTTAGAGGTCATCCTCAGGTAGATGATTACTAAAACACATTTGTTGTTTTTAGCCAGATGCTTTTTTAATGTGAGTGCCTTTTATAATTGTGTACATTAAAAACTCAATGAAAAATGTGTTTTCCTAGCCATTGACCAAAATTTTGCTTTAAGATATTGGTTATGGGTGTGATACAGAAATATTTCTTACTTGCTAGTGTAATAGCATGCCATTGTTTTTACTGTGATGTTTATAAATAGCTTCCAAGCCATAAATTATCCACGTCAAAAATTTTAAAGTCTAACACTCTCCTGTGTTCTAAAAACATTGAGATATTTTAAGTGGAATCTGTTTTCTTAGCATTTCTAGGTATAAAGGCTCTAAATGAATGAGAAAATATTATAAGATTATGTTCTAATAATTATGCTGTCCACCCAAAGAATAATTTTATAATTTTGAGTTGAATAATACAATATATCCTATGACACTAAGCAAGTTCTCTGTAAAAATATTTGATTAACATTCACTGAAAAGTTACAAAGTCTATTAAACTGGTGTAACATTTGATATTGTTACAATTAAGTAGACTTGGTTAGATGTCCTTAGAGGTTAGTTAGTTTCTGTTTGGGGCTCTTTGCCTTTTGTAGCTGCATTCAGTACTATAGCCAGGGAGTTAGCTAAAGCATTGACTTCAGTTAATTAACATGTAGTTAAAAACTTTTACAAATCAACAAGGTAATGTACCACTCCTTATGTATATGCATTCATTAAGTTAGCTAACACATTCCCTGCATAAGCTCTAAATTCAAGAGTACATTTTATAACTTAGATCAAATAGGTGATTCTCTTGTCTTTCCTTTTTTTTTTTTTCCTAAAAAAGACTAAAAAGTTTTCTAGGCTTGGTATTTGAAGCCTTTCCAGTATAAGTTGAAATTTTAAATTGACTTCTCTTTATCCTGAATAAGAACACATTGAAGCCATTTTTCTCTAAAACAGCCAAATGATAGAATAAATACTGCCCACACCAGGGTGGAAGTACTTGACTTTATTAAAAATAGATAACTAGCACCACTAAGTCTCACTCTCCCTGCTAGTGAGGTCTAAATAGCCTGCAGAGTCCTTTCCTGACCCCACTCTTTCTCAAATGGGTCACTCTACCTGTCAGTCCAACTTCTTTTAATAGGGATGACCAAACGCTCATCTGCTCTATGACAGAAGAACCAAGTTCTCCTTCCTTTAGCAGCATGTGCACTGGAGGAAAGTATTGTCTTTTTTAAATTTTGTTTGTGATTTTCTAAACTTGGCCGAAATAAAAGACATCAATTTGACACAAGTGTGAACCTGAGTATGGGAGATTTTTTTCCCTATTAAATGTATGTTGTTTGTATTTTCTTTGTAAAATAGCTCATATAGTTGTATTTTAAAATAAAAGGTATTACAGATAAAATATAGTCAACCTTGGTTACTACACTCTAGCCAGAATAATATTTTGACTTTGTTTTTTTTAGCTATCATAAACTTGTCCCGTCACCCTTGTCTCTACATAAATAAGCTATAGTTGTTGAGACTGTAGCTACTAGACCATATAGACTATGTGTGTTAGTTAAGGTTTTCCAGAGAAACACAACCAATGGAGCTATCTCTCTGTTGAGAGAGAGAGGAGGGGGAAGAGAAGAGAGGATAAGAAATCAGCTTATGCATTTATGAAGGCTGAGAAGTTTCAAGATCTGCAGTTGGCTAGCTGGAGACCCAGGAGAGCTGTTGGTGTAAGTTCCAGTTCAAAAGCCAGTAGGCTCAAGATCAAAAAAGAGCCAATGTTTCCATTATAGTTTGAGGCAGGAAAAGACTTATGTCTTAGTTCAAATGCTCTGGCAGGAGGAGTTCCTTCCTTACTCTTTGGAAGATTAATCTTTTTGTTCTATTCAGGCCGTCAACTGATTAGATAAGGATCACCACATTAGGAAGGAAAATCTGCTCCACTCATTATGTCAGTTCAAATATTCATCTCATCTTAAACACAAACACACCTGGAATAATATTTGACCAGGTATGTCAGCATCCCTTGTCCAGTCAAATTAACACGTACAATTAACTGTCACACTACATCTCATCTTATCTGAAGGAATAAGCTAATGAGAAATAAAGACTTCACTCCTGATATAATAGCATTTTGAAGATAGGATCAATGAGAGCATGATTGTAATGTGAAGCACAAACACTGCGGGAAGAGAGCAGCAATAAAACTCAGATCCTGGTGATAGAGTGCAGCTACTAAGACCCACCTTAAACATTTTAATCATGTGTCCATGATTTAAAACAACCACCATGACCACAAAAGGATCTAGAGGCAAAAGACTATCACTTTCTTTTCAATCAGGGGTTGCAAATATATACTGTTAGCCAAATCTATTTTGAACAAGATGAGCTAGCATTTGAAGATATCCCACCTCAGTACCAGGGGTGGAGACACATCAAAGCCATTGTTGTATTTTGTTTATCCACCCCACTACACAATGATGAAGCTTTCTCCTTATTAGTATTTAATTAGGTGCTAAGACTACTAACATAAGGTGAAGCATAGAGGTGGACTGGAGAGGACCCACAGAGGCTCTCTCAGCGCTGGTCGGCAAGTACAGAGGCCATTCTACAGCACTGGCTCATCTCCCAGCACTTGAGAGGTACCTACCAACCATTCACTCAGGACTGATGCACTGCAGAGGAGAATTTCCTTTTAAATCTACTCGTGTCTTACCTTACCTTTCAAAAAACCCCTTTTTTTAAAATATGGTAACATAAATATTACATTAATATATAAAATATATATAAAACATAACATGAATATATAAATGTTATAGCATTAAATATGCATATAAAGTGCACACCTGGTAAATGTAAAAAATTTTTCACCAACTGAACACACCCCTGTAAGGACATCCAGATTGAAAAACAGAACATTACCACCACCAGAAGTAGCCCATATGCCTCCTCCCAGTCATTAACTGCTCCTTGACAAAGGTCGCCACCATCCTGACTTCTAGATTGAAGATTAGTTTTGCCTATTTTTATACTTAAATAGGAGATATGTTAATTTATTAAGAACAACTTTTTTTAAAAGCAGTATTAAAAGATCGAACCTAGTGTTTTTAAACTGCTCTATATCATCGTTCTTTAACAAGTTCCTCAGCCCATATTTTTCCTTTTGCCTGTACACAGGCCTCTCATCTGTCTGGCTTAAGGTCCCTTTTACTTTGTACTCTGTCTTATCTCAATGACTTCCTTATCATTTACCTTAGAACAAGCCCACTGATGACCCAGCATCTTAACTCTGATTTGTGTCTTTCCTATTTCACTTGCCAGTTGCAAGCTCTGTGCTCCTATATTTCCCAAGTGTCCAGCTGAATCTCCCCAGTCAGTAAAAGTTATCCCACTAACAAGGTTAAAAATGACTTTTCTTCTGATTTGATTTTATATCTACTGAACTATTTATTATTTTTCCAGCACTGAGTCAAGGCAATATTGTTTTCGTACCCCTTTAACCTAATTTGAGTGACAGAAACTTTAACGATATGTAGAGAGTTTTGCTAATGTCTAACTAAACATAAATCACTTATTCCACATCTGATTAGTGTCTATAGAATATATTTATTAGTTATAATAATTAAAATGCTATGATTTGTTAATTACACACCAATATGACAAAATAGTAAATATAGCAATGTTTGGTGCCATAGAAAAGAAAGATCACACTATTATAATATTAGATTCAATTTTTAATAGATTGCCAAGGGAAAGGAATAACATTTGAAGAATAAGATAAAATAAATGTGAAAAGCATCCTGTATGTGGAAAGTTATGGTCAGATAATAACTTACTATGATTATTCATCCAATCTTTTCCTCCTCAGAAAGACTTAAGTGTAATGCCAAACATCTTGAGGGCATAAGACATGCCAGGCAAGACCAAGAGAAACAAGTAGAAGTAGTTTTCAATTCTCCATCAAAAGGTAATATATTAACTGTTCACAGTATCCAAGAAGACATGGAATCTACCTGAGTGCCCATCAGTGAATGAATGGATAAAGAAAAATGTGGTGAAAGATTATTCAACCATTAAAAGAATGGAATCCTTCCATTTGCAGCAACGTAGATGTAACTGGGGGTTATTACCATAAGTGACATAAGCCAAACACAGAAAGACAATAAGTGGGAGCTAAAACAGTCGATCTCATGGAAGTAGAGAGTGGCAGTTACCATAGGCTGAAAAGGGGTGGGTAATTAGGAAAAACTGCTTAATGGGTACAAAAATACAGTTGGAAGGAATAAGTTCTAGTGTTTGATAGTACACTAGGGTGACTATAGTTAACAATAATTTATTGTATATTTCAAAATAGCTAGAACTGGAATGTTTCCAACAGAAAGAAAAAATAGTTAAGGTGATGGACATTTCAATTACACTGATTTGATCATTACATGTTATTTACATGTACCAAAACATCACCTATACCACAAAAACATGTACAGCTATTTTGTATCATTAAAAAAAAGAGGTGATGTGAAATGGAAACAAATTAGCATGGGCTGCAGACCTTCAAGCCTGTCAAACAAAGAAAGTAATATTTATCTAGTTAAGGTAGTTACAGAAACTATAGAAAACACTCAAATAAGACATATGTTTGCTCTTTGAGAGCAAATAAAGGACAAGAAAATCTGACTTCCACTTTCTTCCTATTAGAGCTGCTAAAGCTTGTTAAATGTCTCCAACCTGAGGTTTCAGGAACTACCTGGATAAAAGTCACTATATGTGTGTGCCTCCACATCAGTCATTATTTAATATGTTGAGAGTCTAATTTTGTGCCTCACTGGTGATGGATATAAATATTTCTGTCTAAACTTTGTATTGTAAAGTGGAACTTATCCATTCCAGCAGATTGCAAGGCACTGGAAAAGACAAGTAAAGAAGGGCCACTGTGGAAACAGAAATTAAAAAACAAGTTTCCTGTCAGATATTAGCAGTATCTTAGAAGAAGAAATGAGGATGGCATTTGAATTTATAATTGAAACCTCTTCCGTAAGGTGTGTTTCACCATCTAAATTTAAGGAACTATTACTTTCCTCCAATTTTTTATATCTCTAATTGTGTACACCAATTAAATTATGATTATTATAGTGTCTTGAGTTTTTAGTTATCTTCTAATATGTACACATTTTATCTCCCAAATTAGATTTTCCCACATCTATTCCTGATTATGTCCCCCTACACATCTGGAAAATACTAGAGCAGAACTGAGCATTTGGCATTCAATAGATCTTCGTTCATTAAGTAATTGGATTCCTTTAATTCTATATAAAAATGTATACAGACTTCAATTTGATTCAGATATAGTAAACTGAAATGAAAAAAAAATTTTCCAACATTCAACTTTGGAAATTTTCCAAAATTTCAACTATTATGAAAATAGTTCTATTATGAAGACATATGTACAGTATTAATTTAGTAGCATTGGTCCTCTGCTCTTTCAAAAATTTAAAAGTTATCCTGCCTGTTGGATAATTAACAGGTGAGTAGCATACAAATCACAACCTAAGTTTTACCATAGCTTAAATCTTAATTAAAATTAGACTTTGTTTAAGAAATAGAGAAGAGAATACCAGTCAGAACACTGAGATTTAACAAGTTTGGAGCTGACAGATCCATGCAGCTGTAGTCAAGAGATAGTGTCTGATTCACTGTGCTACTGATTGGATGAGGAACTGCCACTGTTATAATTAGGAGAGGCTGTGTGAATCTTGATGTGTCAGACAAAGTGAAATCCTTTCTGTAAGTCACTTTCCAGGAGGATGAAACTATATCCATCACACAGTAAAGAAGAGTTGGGATTCCAACACTAGATCAATGTTGAAATTAAAAATTAATGTACTATAATATCCTGATCTCTACACATTTTAACTATATTGATATTATTTATCTACAGTAGCTAATTAACTACTTTATAATAATCATTTCAATTGATCATCTCATCCATGAAAATAATTTGTGCAATATACAAATGCTGCGATATTTAGCATATCAGGAATTATATCTTCTGGTAATGATGCTTCATGAAAAACACATGTCCTGAAATGCTTGGTTGGATTTTTGTTTTTCAAAATTAGTAAGAGTTGCATTTGAGAATTAGTTAAGAGTTGCTTAGGAGTACTGTTTCACACTATTCTAAATTAGTCATTAATAACCTATATCTTTAATATTTCATACTTATCTAAAGGATTATTCTTAGGTTTCAATTTATCCCCATTTTATTATTTTAAAAGTACCAAATAAAGCTGAAGTGTTAATGTGTATTTCTGGAAATAATGGGCTTGAACAAAATATGCATCATGCAGAGTTTTTCAAAATACTGTTTTTTTGTGAAATATATGCATTTTATTTGTATTAAATATAGCAAGGCAGAAAAGAAATGCAAAGCATCCAGTTCAGCTCCTACTGTGATATGCTATTAATAAAGGCTATCTGTACACCTTTTACATCGTTTCAACTGGCATAAATATAATAGCTAAAACTACTCCAAAGTACATTTTAAAACATTTCCAACTTATGCTACCATTTGGTTTATGTCTTTTAAAAATACATTAAAGGACAAACTCTAGTTAAATCTATACATGAAGTTAGCTAGGGTATGCTGATCAGTGTGAAAAGATGTATATGTAAGAAATATTTTCCCCCATTCTATGAGTTATCATTACATTTTCCTGCAGGTGTTGTTTGAAGCATTCAAGATTTTTTAAATTGATGCAGTCCAATTTTTCTATTTTTTTCCTTTGTCACTTTTCCTTTTGGTGCTGTATAAAAGGAATCATGAAGTTTTATTACAGTATTTTTTTCTAAGAGTCTTACATTTTTAGTTCTTATATTTAGGTCTATAATCCATTTTGAGTTAAATTTTTATGTGGTTTGAAGTTGAGGTCCAGCCTTGTCCTTTTTTGTATAGCTGTTGTCTCAGAGCCATTTGTTGAAATGACTGTTCTTTCTCCTTTTGAATTGCCTTGACACTTTTGTCAAAAATTGGCTGCCCATAAATAAAAGAGCTTACTTCAGAGCCCTCAATTATATTCAACTGGTGTGTGTGTGTGTGTGTGTGTGTGTGTGTGCACGCATGTGTGTTTATCCTTACTCCAGGACCACATTGTCTTGATTATTGTAACTTTTCAATAAGTTATGAAATTGAGAAGTGTCAGTCCTCCAACTTTGTTTGGCTTTTTCAAGACTTTAATGAATATTCTGGATCTCTTGCAGTTCTACACGAATTTAGGATCAGCTTAATTAACAATTTCCACCAAAAAAAAAAAGCAGCAATGATTTTGATAAAGCCTGTATTGAAATTTTAAATCAATTATCAATTTGGGGAGAATCATCATCTTGGGGCTCATGCCACTGTGGATTTGGGCACATTAGTCCTGACTTGCCCCACCTGGGTGGTCAGCAGTGGGTCTCTACCTGTATCCTCCAGGACCTCCCCACCCCTGCCCCTTAGGGATGAAGACTTGCAGGGGGAACATGCCAGCATCACAGAATTCAGTGCAGTTTACACATTTCCATTCCTTTCATCTCAGCAAAATGGGCACCACAGGACCTAGTTCTGATCATGCCACCATCCTGGACCACGTGACCGGAAGGTAGATAACCAAGTTTACCAGCAATAAAATCCTGGGCCCAGACAGCCTCCAACACCA
Organism: Homo sapiens; assembly: GCF_000001405.40. Taxonomy (NCBI): domain Eukaryota; kingdom Metazoa; phylum Chordata; class Mammalia; order Primates; family Hominidae; genus Homo; species Homo sapiens. Next base: position 46,663,668 of record NC_000014.9, on the reverse strand, counting down.
CAGCTTCCAGGCAGTGAGGGAGTCCCTGGTGCAGGGCAAGCCACAGCAACTGTTTTAGAGGCCATCCACAGCCAAGGCCGTTGAGACTCTGGACAATTTCCTGGGATGACCGCCAGCTTGAGTCTGCATGGTGCTGCTGAGACAGGGTGGAAGAGGGAGCTGGGTGGCCCTTACTTTCCTTTGCTTAAAGGTGGCCCTGACTTTCCTTTTCACAGAGTGGTTTCCTGAATGTGTAAATGTGAAAGTAAAATACAATTTAAAATATGTGCCTATATATATATATATATATATATATATATATATATATATATATATACACACACACATACATACACACACAGACACATAAATCCCTTCAGCCAAGAGTGGAAAGCATATTGGCTCAAAGCAATTAAGAAAATATCTGTCCAGTCATTCCAATCATTAGCAGATCTCTAAGCTAACTGAGCAGTATCTTTTAACCGGTACACACAACAGGGAATAAAACCTGGAAAGAATTACTCCAGAAATGCTATTAGTCAAATAAAGAGCAACAGTAGTAGCAACAATAACAATAACAACAAATGGGAAGACAGAGATCTGATTTCTTGAGCTGCCATATGATATTTAACCCATTTTTCTACTCAAATGTACGGGAACTCAAAGAAACAGGTATTATCCATAGATAGAAGAAAAAAAGAATGTATAGAAACTGTCCCAAAGGAAGTTCACATGTTGCCCTTATTAGACAAAGGCTTAAAATTAACTATTATAAATATCTTCAAAGACGAATAAAAATAATGTCTATAGAATTAAAGGAAGGTATGAGAATCACCAAAGAATACTGATAAAAAGTTCAAAATTATAAAAATAACCTCCAACTTCCAATAGGCCTCTTTACCGTGAAGATCAGAGGCTCACAACACTCTGGAGCCCCTCAGGCAGGGAACGTGCATTTCAAATCTTGACTTTACTCATACTGAAAGGCTGCACATGTTCCTTCTTCCCTGCCTTCTCTCTGTATGCTCCTTGAACCCGAGTGGAACAGTTTCTTCCTCTCTCTGCCGACAATTGCAAATTGAAATTCTCAGCCAAGGATGAAAGAAGTAAATTGTAGGCTTATCCAAGTAGCAATAATTCTGCAGGTCACAACTCCTGCACAAGGACACCTGCTCATTGCATAATTAATGTGAGGAAGTCTCTTCCAGTTAATCCCATGAACTAGGGAGGGCCTCAAGTCACCAAAACACACCAGGATGTGGCCGGGATTTACCTATATATTGAGGCATTCCTTCAATGTTCTCACAGTTTACAACTCTGTCTTAGGCTTTACTTTTACACAGGGACCCAAGGCCAGCCAAAGGCAAGAGATTAGAGCCTTCTCAGGATTTCTGGAGCATGTACACACCCCTTTACATGTGTGTGGTTTTTTATACCCCCAGAATTATGTCAGACCTCTTCAAAGCTCTTTATAGATATCTCATTCCCAAGAGCTTTCTTTTAAGTCTTTTGGCCAGTCTCGTTTTTCCCAATGGGTATTTCCACCTCAGGCAGCTGCAATACTAAACAATTGCTATTTATTGATTGTTTCCAACAAACAACTCAGTAATAGAGCTTTTCCCACTGAGCAAGCTCTGATTTAGATCAAATAACAACAGCCCTGTGTATGAGGTTTTACTGGGGTACCAACAAACAAGTCAAATTGTGACAATTCTCTGGAGATGGAGCTTTAGGAAAAGCTCCTTACCCAGTCAGCCCCCCTAGTGGTTGCTTGCCTGCTTTCACAGCAGCCATGGATCTGAAGAAAAGGAAATGGACATAGGGCAAGTTAACCACAAAGCTCACTGTCCTTGAGGAGAAGCAAGTTTTCTAGAATAAACGTTCCTTGGACTGCTGCAGGTCTTAGTTTAGTTTCCAGAGTATTGAAAAAGTTGATCTTAACAACTTTTGCCAGTGTTCTTACTGCCTTTATGGAGAAACAGATTTTCATAGGTCCTTTCTTCACCATTCCGTAAGTCTCCTCAGTGACTAACTTTTAACAAATAAAATGTGGTGGCAGTGATATTGCAAGCCTTCCAAGGCTAGGTCGCAAAAGGCAACATAAAAACTGTCTGGCTCCACTCTTGAGATGCCATCCCTTGAAATACACAAACAATGCTTCAAGGAAGCCCAGGACACATGGAGAGGCTAAGTGCAGAAAATTTTATTAACAGCACCTGGGGAGACCCCAGCCAAAAGCCAGAGGCAACTAAAGCTATGTATGTGAAAGGCCTTCAAGTTGTTTTCAGTCACCATCTGAAAAAACTGCGTGAAAAACTCCCGAGCAAGGACTTCCTAGCTGAACCTAATAAACTCTCAGAAACCTTAGTGATAATAGTAAAAAACTATTGCTTCATGTCACATAGTCACAGATTATTGACACAGATTTGGGATACTAGAGGTAGGATGCTATGGACCCAAATTTTAAATAGGTGGCAGTGTCTTTCAGATTCAGCAGTGGAAAAATATTGGAAGTACCTTGAGATCATTGATAAAATGCTGAAGGGACTTGAAAGGCTTTTGGTGAGCACCTAATAAAAAGTGAGAAAAATGTGATTGGAAATTAGAGAAAAGAAATCCGTTGTTACTTCCTGGCAGAAAGTTTAGCAATGTTGTGGCCTGTGGTAGCATAGAAAATAGAAAATGTGCTTAATGAACTGGATATCTGGCTAAAGAGATTTCAGGCAAAGTATTGAAAGTGCCACCTGGCTTCTTCTATTTGCATATAATAAAATGAAGAGAGAGATTAGCTAATGAACAGATGGTTGAATATAAAAGAGCCAAAATTTGCTGATTTCAAAATAAAACCGTTTTTCATTCCCAGATTATCCAAATGGCAAACAATTTTCAAATTCAGAAATAGCTTCCAGGCAAAGATCAAATCCAGAGCACTGTTAGGAAAACATTGTCTAAAAATAAAGTAAAAAAAACTATGACTTACATAGTGTGTGTGTGTGAGATTCTGTGTGTCTCAATATTGAGATCTTTATATCCATATACCTGTATGTGTGATTAAAATGTGTGTGTGTATATATATATATAATATATACATTTTAATCTTGCAGATATTTAAATACTTTATGATGTCACAAGTTTCCTTTACAGGTTCTGTTCTTTGTGTCTTGCTTCAGTAAGCCTTTCCCACTTCAAAAATATAATGACTTCCTGTGTCTTTTCTTCTAGTTGTTGCAGGAAGTCAGGGATCCCGAATGGAGGGACCGGCTGAAGCCCTGGCAGAAGAACATAAATTGTGAAGATTTCATGGACATTTATCAGTTTCCAAAATTAATACTTTTATAATTTCTTATGCCTGTCTTTACTGCAATCTTGGAACATAAATTGTGAGTATTTCATGGACATTTATCACTTCCCTAATAATGCTCTTATAATTTCTTATGCCTGTCTTTACTTTAATCTCTTAATCCTGTTATCTTCGTAAGCTGAGAATGTATGTCACCTCAGGACCACTATTGTACAAATTGATTGTAGAATATGTGTGTTTGAACAATATGAAATCTGATTGTAAAACATGTGTGTTTGAACAATATGAAATCAGTGCACCCCTAAAAAGAACAGAATAACAGCGATTTTCAGGGAAGATAACCATAAGGTCTGACTGCCTGCATGGTTGGGCAGAATAGAGCCATATCTTTCTTCTTGCAGAAAGCCTATAAATGGATGTGCAAGTAGAAGAGATATCACTGAATTCTTTTCCCAGCAAGGAATAACCCTGGAAAAGGAATACATTCCTGAGGGGAGGTCTATAGACGGCTGCTCTGGGAGTGTCTGTCTTATGCGGTTGAGATAAGGACTGAAATATGCCCTGGTCTCCTGCAGTACCCTCAGGCTTACTGGGATTGGGAAACTCCACCCTGGTAAATTCTAGTCAGACCGGTTCTCTGCTCTCGAACCCTGTTTCCTGTCAAGATGTTTATGAAAACAATACGTGCACAGCTGGACATAGATCCTCATCAGTAATTCTAATTTTGCCTTTGCCTTGTGATCTTTATGGCCCTTTGAAGCATGTGATCCTTGTGACCTACTCCCTGTTCATACACCCCCTCCCCTTTTAAAATCCCTAGTAAAACTTGCTGGTTTTGCATCTTGGGGTCATCATGATGGTCCCACCAATACATGATGTCACCCCCAGAGGCCCAGCTGTGAAATTCCTCTCTGTACTCTTTCTCTTTATTTATCAGACCAGCCAACACTTAGGGAAAATAGAAAGCACTTACGTTAAAATATTGGGGGCTGGTTCCCCCAATATCTAGTGTTTTATTTTATTTTAATGTTTAAATAATTACTAATACCTCTAGAATCTATTTCATTATAAAAAATTCAGCAAGTATACAGATTCTTTTTCAAATAACAAACCAACATGTATTAAATAGTTTTATTTCTTCAACCAACTAAAATATAAACTATGATTTTAGAAGAATCTGTATAGTCCCATGCACCAAAATATTTGTCTTAATTCATGATTTTGAAATTGTTTACTATTATTACCCATGTTTTTTATTGTAAGGCTTTGATCTTGGAAATCTTAAGAGAGAAACACTTTTAAGTTGAAAACTATAACCTACATTTTAGTAAGTAAAAGGAAATGAGTAAACAATATTTATACCCCATCTGCCCTCAAGTCCTTATTGTGAGTAAAGGACTTAAGGACAGTTAAGGACTTTAGGACAGTAAAGAACTTTAGTGAGTAAAGGACCTGAGGGTAGTTAGGGTATAAATATTTTTTGGAGATTTCTGAAGACATTGGGGCTGTAGAAAGCAAATGGGAGAAGAATACCACTTAGGTAGGCAAAAATGAAAAGGGATTTAAAAAAACGGTAATATCACCTGCTCAGAAATAAAATTAACTTTTAACAAAATTAATAAAGCCTTGGATTCAGGAATCTTCATGTTCACAGGTCCTTTCCCAGGCCCTAGGATGGGCCCTAGCAATGAGCTCATGTATTGTTTTTATAAAATTTGCCCTCCATTTTGCACTCCCACTTTCCTTCACACTTCTCCCTGAGAGTAGGCATCATTGAAGTGATTTTGGCAATTTGGGGATCTTGCTAAAGGAAAAGTTATTAAAGAATGTATTTAGTTCACATTTAATAGGGTGTGTTTATGTGTTCTGTAGTCACATCGATGAATAGATGAGGTATTGCTAGCGTGTCTGGTGTTGGAATTGCTTCTAAAAGTATTCTGACTACCCCTGTGCTGACTCATCTGGCATTCATCAACATTTTGATACAAAGATATATGCCCAAAGAGGTAAATGTTTATTTAAATAATTCAAAGTGATGAAATACATTATTTTCACTGCAATTGAAAAAGACATTTTGGAGCATTTCACTTAAAACAACTGAAATATACAGACTTCTTATTTGGCAGTAATTTCAAATTTATTTATTAAAAAATTGAGAGAAAAATTGGTAAAAAACTAGTAGAATATAAAACAAATGCAATGCAGATGAATAATATCAATAGAAAGTATTTAATGATAAAGAACCAAATTGTTGACAAAACAAATTTCAGATCATATCAATGTCTTTAATTAAGCAAATATTTTAATTGCAGTTAATCGGCTCTAAGATTATTAATATTTTACAATCCAATTAATGAAGAATAATAAATTGTTTGAGCTCATTAGAAAAAGCCTGAAGTTTCTGGCTGACCTGACATTAGTTAGTGAAACCAATAAAGGAAGCATATAACTTGAAAGAAGGTATTAACAGTGGTGTACTGATACATGTTTAATAAGTGGCTCTCCAGGGAGAAAATAAGACTGGATTTGTAGTTTTTCCAATGCTGTAAATACTCCCACTACCACCAATTCAACCTACCGATATTATGTGACTGAACTAGAAAGTTGGGAAGAGATGCACACAATTAGTTCTTCTGAGTACAATTGGTATAAGTGGTTTCCATCCCATCAAATGCTATATTACAAGGAGGATATCAACTGTAAACTAGTTCATGAAGATTTTCCATTAATACTCGAGAGTAGTCAGTGCCCAGAGAAATGAAATTTTTTGAAATACTATAGTTCACATATGAAAGATGTAAGATTTTCTCAATCTGACAATAATCCTAAGTATACATATTATATACACATTGAGTTGTGAGGCCAAAAGAAATTTGTATGTTATCAATACAAATTTCAAATAATTTACTAGAGGACATATTGAATTAAGCTTTCAATCTTTTCATAAATGTATTAGTAATGGTCAAATGCAGCTAGAAAATATAAAGAAGAAAGAATATAAAGATGGATTAGGCAATTAAAAATTTCTTTTAAAGCTTGTGATGTAAATGCTGTTTATTAGCTACTTATAGTTTGCAATTTATTTTCTTTTTCATTCTAAACAAGTATTTGCTTTATCTCTAATTTGTATTCATAATCTATTTCCTTTTTTTTTTGTTAATGAATGAACGAACAATGTGAATGAATGAAAAGGTTGGACAGATGTCTTAGTGAGTTTGGGCTGCTGTAACTAAGTACTATAGGCTGGTGGCTTATAAACAACAGAAATTTATTTCTCATAATTCTGGAGGCTGGAAGTAGTAGATCAAAGTGGTATAGGTTGGGTTCTGGTGAGGATCCTCTTCCAGTTGCAGACTGCCAACTTCACATTATATTTTCATGTAGTAAAAAGAGGGCCAGAGTATTCTCCGGGGTCTCTTTTTATAATGGTATTCACCTACTTATAAGAGTTTCACCTTTATGACCTAGTTATCTCCCAAAGCCCCACCTCCTAATACCATCACCTTGGGGGTTAGAATTTCAACATATGAATTTTGGGAGCACACAAACATTCAGTCTATAACAATAAGTGAAGCAAAGCTTTTTAAAAAGCTTTCCAAAGTGCTTTATCAACTGGAATTAGTAGTTTCATAAATAAATAACCCATAATGTAATTACTAAAGTTGATTGCTCACTTTCGAAATTAAAAAAAAAATCTGTTTAATGGATAAAGGAGTCATCCATTAAAAGTACAAGATGAATTTAACCTGAAATAGAGTTGGCTGTTGTGATATAAATGATTAAATAATCTATATATTTAGCTAAATATGTGCTTCATGCATTTCTGTAAACCTTGTAAACCACACAAACTACTGTTAAGTAAACTGGGCAAAGGAAGTAACAACATTGCTCCCATCATTATGCCTTTTAAATGAATAGACAGGAATTTAGATCTAAAGCACAGGAAATCTATGCATTCAATATGTGGGAGGCAAACTTCATACACAGCACCCTAACCCAGATCAGTGTTTCTCAAATTTGCAGATTGAACTAATCCTTTTTTAGAGAAAAGGGCTTTCAAAAACTGATGTAGAGTCTTATGCTGATTCAAATTGTTTATTATGTATCATATCTTTTTTATAGCATTGCTTAAATATTTATAATTATAAAACTACATTTCAATTACTTACCACACAAAACTAATTAATGGCTTATACATTTTGTACAAGTATGAAACCTAAACAAGTAAATTTAAAATGTATATGGAAAAAAAATCAATGAAATTTTAGCAAGCATATTTTTGTGCCACCTCTCCCTGATTTAATACTTTCCTACTTTTTTCCAGCTTTCTGGAACAATGTCAAAAGTCATTCATTTGGGGGGAACTCATTCTCTACAAGCAAACTACAAAGGTAAGTGTACATGCTCAGTTCCTATATCCAAAGTAAAAAAAGCTTCCCAAAGAAAGAAGAAGAAGAATGTAGAAAACACCAGTCAAAAAGGAAAATGTATTAGGGCGCTGGGCTAAAGAGTTAAAATTATCTGAATATATTTCTGTTCAAAAAATGTGCATTTCTACATGTTTTCTTGTCAATAGATAAGAGACCACTGTGAATCAAGTGCATGAGAGACAGGCAGCATGACCACTCTTTAGCCATGACAATAGGCACAATCCACTGGCTTTGAAGAAAAGGCCAGCCATAACCATGGCTCTTTTATATTCATGATTCAACTCTAGGAATACTGTATATAGACAGTCAAATTGCTCACCTATTCTCAAATACATTCAGATTACAGCCCCCAGTGTGAAGTTACTAAGAAATCCAGATGAAAATGACTGTTAGTCATCAGTGGAGCCTTCACACTTCATTCAGAGTCCAAGTGGAACATGATTTATGAATCGCAGTATATTGTAAAGCACCCAATGATGGTACTCTACATAATGACTGAATGATCAACAATGCAGATGCTTCCTGTAGCAGGAGAGGGCATCCATGGTGTGTGCCACTCAACTCATTAGACTCCAGTGCATGTTCCCCTTTGAAAACAAAGTCAGGTTTAGCTCATTGTGAAACATTTGAAAGATTATATCAAAAAAGGAAAGTAAATGCTGTGTTGAACTAATACACAGAACTGTTCTTTTCCAGCCTTTGCGTGAAGACAGAGGATATCTGGAATTTGATTGTATTTCTCACACTGTCTAGTGCTAATTACAAGTAAGTAATCAATAAGTAAAGTACTTACAATCAATAAGTAAAGAATACCGCAGGCCTCTTAAGGGTTGTGAAACCGGAGGGAGAAACCACAGAGGGAAACTGTTTCACAGTCAAAGCTGAATCAAGTTTAAGTATTCGTACCTGTCTGCTTTCTAAGGGCTCCTAAAAAAGATCTCTCCCTGATCATTCCAAAATGTATTATTATAGGATATGCATTATTAGCATTAACAAAAGACAAGTTTGTCTTTTCTGTCTTGTGTATGCACACCAAATGGCAGCATGCTGGAGCTGGCTAACACTAGCTTACAGAAGCTGATAGTGCACATCTCTCCCCATCTTTGTGCTCAGTAAATCACACTGATGTTTGAAACTGATGACGGGAAAAGTATTTCTACCAAATCAATCAGCAAACACTACAAATCAGGGATTTCTCCTCAAAATCCTGACCTCCACTAAGAGCAGGTTGTTAAATGTTTATTAACACCGCACCGCGCCTCCGAAGTGTGTGTATTCCTTGTGCTACTCGTCACACAATGTGCCAAAAACAGGGGACAAAACAGTGAACCAGGTAGAGATATTTCTGTTCTCATATCTCTTAATGGTTTTATGAAGTTGTGTTGCTTCATTTCTACCATATCCCATATTTCTACTTGTGAATGTTCTACCCATTCTTTAAGCCATCTCTATTATACATGATATTAGTGTCTCCCTTAGCTATATATCTCAAAGCAGACAAGTTTTATATATTTTTGCAAGGTTTGCTTAGCATGATGTACACTGTGGATGGCAAGAGTAGAGAGGTAGGGAAACTCTCAAAATGTTGGAATTGATTAAGAGGAATGCTTGTAATATTTCAACAGAATGGTGGTGCTTCATGCATTTTTCCACAGGATCTCCTCTTATATCTGCAAGGTTAGGAAAAGAAGTATAAACAGAGGATCCCAGTGTGGACCTCCCTTTCCTCTTTCCTCCCTCCTAATCTGCAACTGTGAAGGGCCTCATGCATGAGTGGAGTAGGGTGGCCAACCCTCCCACTTCGCGTGGTATTAAGGGGTTTTGCAGGACCTAGGACTTGAATGTTAAAACTGGTACAGACCCGGACAAACCAGGATTGCTCAAGCTTTGGATTAAAGAAAGAAACTTATGTAGACAGGCCCCCACAGCAAAACAGCATCTGCTGGTCAGATAATTCTAGCATTTTGGCAACATTAGACAGGTGGGAGATCAGACAAGTGGAAGTGAGTGTGTCGTGGCACATAAACTCTGGGCGTCTTCCTTTTGCCTCACAAACACCTCTCCCTGAGGCGCGATCATAGATTCAGAGCATGTAGTAGTATAAAAAAGATACTAACTTGTATATAAAGTCAAATATTTTAAAGTATGTTCAAGTTATAGTGTGTTTTCTGCAGTATTGCGAAGTCTTCCTTTCTGATCTCCTTGCATACCTTTTTTGGGCTGGTTTCAGTCTATTCACCATACCATAACCAGAGTGATGAAACCTAAGTAAAGCTCTTTAATGGCCTCACATTAAAGATCAGGATCCCTAACTTGGTAAAATGGGCCCTGTATGAAAGCATGACCCCTTCTCTCTCACACATACACACACTCTGGGCTCATGTTATGTGACTCATTTTCTCACTCACAGTCACATTGGCCTGACTTTAAGTTCCTTAAAATGTTCCATATTTCTGCCTGCTTCAGGCCTTTTATACATCAGACCCCATGTGCCATGGTCACTACATGAAATTTCTTTTCTGATAAAGATTTTCCTGTCTATTCCTCAGTCTGGATCAAGGTCTCATCCCCAGCCTCATCCCACAGTCTCAGGGCTTACTTTGCTTTTCCTTTTTGGCACATTTTACACTTGGTAATATGATGATATATGAGAAGTATCTATATCCTCTCCTAGGCTTGTAAGCTTGGTGAGAGCAACATGGTATTAGCTACTTTATCTCAATATGTTAAACAGGAACTAGTTGAGAAAAAGGGGAAAGAAGAAATGAAGGAAGAAAAGGGAAGTGAGAAAGCTTTCTTAAAGGTCAGAAAGTTTTCTACATTGGGAGATTTAATTGTTTTATCTTTAGTATTTTGTAAAAATCCACTCACTTTAAGGGCAGGAGTTATTTTTCTCCCTTAAAACAAAGAGTATTGACAGAATATATTCACATTGGGGGGATTTTGTTCCATGATGTAATGGATTTGTGAAACAACATTAAAACAAAAAAGAAAACTAGAAAAATGCAAGTAGGGTTTGTAAACTATTAATTTCTTTTCCTCTCTCTTCTTCCTCCTTTCCTACACTCTGATCCCTGTCATAATATTTTTACAAACTCTGAGAAGAAAAAAAGTTTAAATTTATTCTCAGGGGCAAAAGATTACTAAAACACAAACTGTTACTCTTTTATATAGTTTCAGCAGCTTTAACATTTGAAAATGCAAATAGCCTTAAGTTAAAAAAAATCTAGTTGGTGTTTCAATTTTGTATATATCATTTTGATAATAAAATCATTTCTTTAGGCCAAATAAAGAAAAAACAAAGTTTCATGTTTATAAAACAATTGCCAAGCTACAGATACAACAGATATCTTCTCTTTATCCCTCTCTCTTCTCTTCCTCTCATCTCTTCCTGAGTCTCATCAAAGCACTCATGCCAAGAAACCACTTTATCCAGGGAAGGTGGCCACATAACCCAAGAAACAGCAATTGATCTACAAATGCTGACAGTGAGATACAAGCTCTGGAAAATGAACTGACCAAACTGGAAACAGCATGTTGAATAACTGGAAGGATTTTTCCTCTCAAATTCTAGGATTTCTTTTTTTCTTTTTCTTTAGACAGGGTCTCCCTCTGTCACTCAAGCTGGAGTGCAGTGGTGCTATCTCAGCTCACTGCAGTTTCTGCCTGCAGGGCCCAGGCGATCCTCCCACCTCAGCCTCCTGAGTAGCTGGGACTACAAGCATGTGCCACCATGCCCAGCTATTTGATATATATATATTTTTTTTTTTGTAGAGACAGCATTTCACTATATTGCCCAGGCTGGCCTCGAACTCCTGAGCTCAAGAGATTCTCCTGCCTGGAAATAACCTCTTTTATACTTAAAGCAAAGCTGAAAGCAAGAGTTCCTAGCCCAAGATGGCTAGCAGAAAGGAAGCAGCAGCTGTGCAGTTGGGGCGGGGCCCAATTCCTTCCCTGGCCGCCAGGGGGAGTCTACCCACAGCTGACTCTGCTCACCTTAAGCGCGCCACTTGGCGCAGGCGCTGAGGCGCCAGACGTCCCTGCGTCTCTGGTTGGGACGTCCTGAAAGAGAGTCGTCACATCCTCCTCAGGACTCTATGGTTCCGGCCTCAGGACTCTATGGTTCCCGCGAGGGACGAGGGGCAACGTATATAAATGCGCGCAGGCGTAGTTAAGAGAGCGCATTTTGACTTCGAGGCACCGCCGACGTTACTGTGTCGCCATGGGGCGCCGTCCAGCTCGCTGTTACCGGTATTGTAAGAACAAGCCGTACCCAAAATCTCGTTTCTGCCGAGGGGTTCCTGATGCCAAGATCCGCATCTTTGACCTGGGTAGAAAGAAGGCAAAAGTGGATGAGTTCCCACTCGGTGGCCACATGGTGTCTGATGAATATGAGCAGCTGTCTTCTGAAGCCCTGGAGGCCGCCCGTATTTGTGCCAACAAATACATGGTGAAAAGTTGTGGCAGAGATGGCTTTCACATGCGAGTGCGGCTCCATCCCTTCCATGTCATCCGCATCAACAAGATGTTGTCCTGTGCTGGGGCTGACAGGCTCCAGACAGGTATGCGAGGTGCCTTTGGAAAACCCCAGGGTACTGTAGCCCGGGTCCACATTGGTCAAGTCATCATGTCCATCCGCACCAAGCTTCAGAACGAGGAGCATGTGATTGAAGCCTTGCGCAGGGCCAAGTTCAAGTTCCCTGGACGCCAGAAGATTCATATCTCCAAGAAGTGGGGCTTCACGAAGTTTAATGCTGACGAATTTGAAGACATGGTGGCCAAGAAGTGCCTCATCCCTGATGGTTGTGGAGTCAAGTACGTTCCCAGTCATGGCCCCTTGGACAAGTGGCGGGTTCTGCACTCATGAAGGTTTTGGCAGTACTGTCTCCTTGGGCCATGCTGGTCTGACTTATGCTTACTAATAAATTCTGTTTACTGGCAAAAAATAACTCCTTATTAAGTTTTAATATTTTTTAAATATCCAATGTTTTAGAATATAGACTACTAGAGAATTTTTTTCTATTTATTCAGTTTTAATGGCAAATGTTACCTTCCTTGCTTCAGTAAAACTATACAATTTATAGAGAAAGCTGTTTTAAGCAAACACTTTAAATTTAGGAGAGTATAGAGCAATATGTTGAAAGTTTTGTTTGTAGTAAAGTCATAAGTTATGCAGCTATCATTCCTTGAATAAAAAATAGATTTGAGTGAAAAAATTTGTTTATAGAATATAAACTAAACAGTAGCGATGAAAATAATAGTAGGCATTAGTGATATTTCACCCACAGCCTCTTTGGAAGTAATTTATTTCTAAACTTGGTTGCCTTATGTTTTTCTATAAATTTCTGTACATTGTTTTTAGAATTACCTTACACGTCTGATTATCAGCCTTAGGACAATTGAGTATCACTCTGAAAGGCTTTTCCAGACGAACTTTACATTGTCTCACAGTCAAGAGATAACAGTCTAATCTTTTTTTCATCATAGAAAGGTCATAGGTGACAACAGAGTTCATATTACTTGTATCTGGGCTCCAGTAGAACCAAAAGAAGAGAGAAAATGACACTAAATCGGTTATCTGTGCTATAAAAGGACCCTAAAGAGAGTTTGCAATTGTAGGTGCTTGCCCTGAATTAGAGTTACGTTGATGACACAGGTGCTTTTTGTTTTATTTTTGAAACTACATAAGCTAAAATTCCTGAGTTTGTACTGCATTAAAAAAAATTCTTGTTCTTTACAATTGACTTAGCCTTTTGAATCTCAATCCTGCTAACAGTGCCTTCAGTGTTTTTAGACTAACGGTTCTTTTTCAAAGTCAACACATTTAATGAAAACAACAAAAGAAATAGTAAGAAACACTACTATTTAATTTTCATTTATTTAAAGAAATGCTATGTCAGTCTTAACATATTGTATCTGGCTGGATATTTATTTTAGGCCCTTGCTATAAGATATTTCCTATTTGTATATATTTAAGCTATGTTGCTATTTTAAGACGTTTTTCATGTTTGCGTTTTACCACACTTTCAAAAACGAAAATTCAACCTCTAAATAATAATAATAATCAAAAGAGAAAGGCAATACAAAACACAATAAAATCAGCAACCCCTTAGCTTCTAGTACAACCATGGCCCAGCTTTGAAAATATTTTCCATCTTCATTATTTCCCTTTCTCTTTGGTCTTAAACCTCTCAAAACATCTTGACCTTCAAACTTGGAACTCTGCACTCAACTAAATATATAGGGAGAGAGGTTAAGTATAAGCTCATGAACTTCCTTGCCCTAAGAGATTGGTAACAGTAATTGTTTATGCATATAGATATGGGAGTGAAGAGGAAATGAATGATTAAGAATTAATGCATTAAAAACTGGTAGGTAGCTGTCAATAAATTTTTTATTTGAATTTTCCCACAGTTTCACGTTATAAAGATTATATATAAATTCTTTTTTTAAACGTTGACATACAAGCACTTTTACTTGTTTTTGTTAAAAATCCTTCCTACTAATTTTCCCCAAGTCATTATTTTGTTTTTTCAGCATTTTCTTATTTTAGGGTCATTCTAATTATTTAAAAAAAAAATAGTAAGACAATTGGGCTGAAGGATCATTTAATTATAATTTTGCAGAGTTCGTTATTTTAAAATTTCTGCTCAAAATAGAAAATTGCATTTGGGAACATATTTCTGTTCATCTACTGCTGCAATAAAATGAACTGTTTGCTCGTTTTAAATAAAAGAATACAAGTGTAGTTAATGAAATTCCAGCAAATACTGCCCAATGAAACTTTTTTATTTAATTGATGAAATATATAGGTTTTAATGGAAAATACTGACTGAATAAGATGAAGAAAACTTCAGTAGGACTATGTAGTGTATCAATTTAGTTTCGAAAAGCACATTTCATAAATGATTATTATATAATCCATCATTTCTACTCCCTCAAAATATGCAACTGTATTAAGCATATTTTGCTTGAAAATCTTTAATTTTTTTTTTTTTTTTTTTTTTTTGAGACGGAGTCTTGCTCTGTCACCCAGCCTGGAGGGCAGTGGCGCGATCTCCGCTCACTGCAAGCTCCGCTTCCTGGGTTCACGCCATTCTCCTGCCTCAGCCTCCCGAGTAGCTGGGACTACAGGCGCCCGCCACCACGCCCGGCTAATTTTTTTTTTGTATTTTTAGTAGAGACGGGGTTTCACCATATTAGCCAGGATGGTCTTGATCTCCTGACCTTGTGATCCGCCCGCCTCGGCCTCCCAAAGTGCTGGGATTACAGGCGTGAGCCACCGCGCCCGGCCGAAAATCTTTAATTTTTAAAAAATGTACATTAGCTCTTCCATGAATTGGCTGTCACTAATACTGGCAAGCATTTTACTTCTGCTTTAGCAGCCTTGTACTGCCTACCGTTACATAATTTAAGTAGAGCTTTCTGGTTCTCATAATGTTACTATTAATCTAAGGATTGAGCTAAGACATCATTTCACCTCGTTCATCTTCCTGGCTTTATATTAATGCCCTTTTGTTTTTGTTTGTATTTTAGTGTAATGACTTCATTTTCATAAAAATACCTATGTATTCTTTTTTAACAGCAAATTAGGTAAAAAATAGTAAAGTCAAAATAATTAAATTATACCTGCAATAATAATTCAAAATGAGGTAATTGTCACTTAACAATAGATAAGAAAAGCTGGTGTCAGGATGATTGGATTTGAATCTCAGCCTTTTTACTTTCTTGGGCAAATTACTAAGTATCGCCATTCTTAGTAATTTTGCCTTCTATAAAGTGAGGTGAAGACACTTTAGTTATAGGATTGTTTTGGGGATTAAATGAGATAATGCATTGAGAAATTGATTTTTATTATTATGATAATTATTTATTTTTTTGAGACAGGGTCTTACTCTTTCACCCAGGCTAGAGTGCAGTGGTGTGATCATGGCTTACTGTAGCTTCAACCTTCCCAGGCTTAGGTGATCCTCCCATCTCAGCATCCCAAGTAGCTGGGACTGCAGGCATGCAACACCATGCTCAGATAATGTTTTTGTATTTTTTGTAGAAATGGGATTTTTTCATGATGCCCAGGCTGATCTCAAGCTCCTGGGCTCAAGCAGTCTGCCCAGCTCAGCCTCCCAAAGTGCTAGGATTATAGGTGTGAGCCACTGTACCCGGTAGAGAAATTGAACAGTATTGTAATTTGCACATATTCATTATACAACATTGATATTCAGTTAATATTGATGTTATTATTATTACATTTGCTCTTGCTTCACTCCTCATCTCCTAATTTTTGGTGCTTGTATTACTATTTTTTCTTGATTTATAACCTTAATATTCTGTTTTGCAATCATTATTGCTTCCAGTTATATACTCTTGGTTCTAGATTTAATTGGATTCAATATTCTGTTTCAAGTTTTTTTTTAATCTTTAGTTTTGTAATTCCCAGTTTCATGTCATTGTATTTTGTCATCTCTTTGTGGAATTCTTTTGAAAAAATTTATGCTTTACTGATTATCCTCTACATATGACTCCCTTGTGGGGATTAGCTTACTTTCCTGTCCCCCAACTGGATTTTTTATCTACTTTAACCACTTGTTAAATTCAATATTATTTTTCTTTCTTCTCATTTTTATTTTCCAAAGATGATTATATGGCTATCATGTCATTATTTTTATATGGCTTATATGTGATGTAGACTGTTCTGCTCAGACATTCTATTTACTCGGAAAGGTTGTGGATGCATTTCTCTTGTCACTCTTTCACAAAACTTTTGACTTTTTTCTGTTCATCTAGACTTCTCTCTGGGTGTTACTTTTCCATGGCCTTGGGATGAGAGGGTGGGAAAAAGAAAGAACTTGAAGGTTTAAGTATACCCTTTGATGCTGGCTAGATTCCACTTCTTCTGAGATCCATTAGATATCCTACACCAAAGCACACTCCAGTCAGCCAGGTACACAGTCCACTCTCCAGCTGTGGCATATTCACCTTTGGCCTGCTATGATTCAGTGCACAACCCTGGAAAATGGCAAGCCCTATTGCTGTGCTTCTTTGGTGTTGGTGTGGGCTCCACTTGTCAATGGATTTTTCTACAAATTTTCCTTGTGTAAGTCTATGTTAAGTATGTTTCTCTACATATTAAGGCATTATTGAAACATATTTTTTTTAAGTTCATGTTTCTTTTCAGAAATTTTTTATTCTAAGAAGTTGGAAAGTTCTGAAAAGGTATATTCTATAAATGATTTTTATATAACTCATGATTTCCTGCAATCTCTCAAAATATGGAATTACACTACATGTATTTAGCCAGAAATCTTTAATTTAAAAAAGCAAAATCTGGTTCTGACTTACCACATGAGACTACTGCCTTCATTTTTATATCTCCTCCTAAATTTATGACATATATAACCCTTTCCTTGTCTGCCTTTGGCTATATTTATTTTATCACATTTTATTCATTTCATTAGGTATTGGGGACAGAAATAATCTGATCATGTTTTTCCTCAGGTTATTTACCCAGAATTTTTTTTTAATGTCGGACTAAATAATTATCTACTTTTGGAGACTTTAATATTTCAGACAACTCATATAAAAACTTACTTTCCATGTATGTAACAACTTCCAGTTATTTTTTATCGTTATGGCTCTCAAATAATTATACCTAAAATACTTTGAGTATCAAAATGGTAAACTTTAAATATCAATTCCAAAAAGATCAATTTTGTGTTTGTGTCCATACAGAATCTTAACAACTCTCATTATGTTGTAAATAATAAGCTAATTAATTAGTTTTATATATTTATATAAATTAAATAGACGAGAGTTACTGATTAAGAGATATTTTTGTGCTTCACATATTTAAAGAACAAGACCATATGTACAGTAGAAAATGTATTTTGAGGACCATATTATTAGACACTTCAAGGGTCCTATTCATGAAATTTCCTTTTGTCCTAAGTTTACTGGTCACTGATAAATAGAAATATATGAGGTTGAGGAAGAGGACAGAATGTGTTGGGCAAATGGAGTCTTCTCAAAGGAGTAACTGTTCCATCTGCTTTCAGAGAGGGACAGGACATTGCAATGACAGGAAATGGTGTTTTCTTTTGCCCAAATGTTACGTCACTAAACTGAGACTTAATGGTGATGGTGGAGACAGAAGAGATGGCGGAACTGATGTAGAGATTGTCAGGAAACAGCCCTTATGTTCAGTCTCTGATATAATAAGGATAAGACTTACATTTCCTGTGAGTGTGGGGCCATTATGGTGTTTTAAATATAAGCAATATTGTATGTTCTTTGCCCTATTCTTCAAAAGCATTGTTTATTGGGAGGGGGAAATATGGCAGCAAGAGGCTGTATGGGGGACTTACTCTATTGTTGCAGCTGCAGGCAGCAAGAAAAGAGCCACTGTGCCTCAGCTAGATTTCCTTTGAGAGAATTGAATAGGGAGAGAAACTCCAGTATCCTCTACAAAACTGACAAATAGACCCTATAAAAGACTCAGCACTTGGCCACCAAATATATGGAGAACCAAAGGCATGTGTCTTTATAGTAGAATGATTTATAATCCTTTGGGTATATACTCAGTAATGGGATTGCTGGGTTAAATGATATTTCTGGTTCTAGATCCTTGAGGAATCGCCACACTGTCTTTCACAATGGTTGAACTAATTTACACTCCCATCAACAGTGTGAAAGCATTCCTATTTCTCCACATCCTCTTCAGCATCTGTTGTTTCCTGACTTTTTAATGGTCACCAGCACTTGGCCACCAAATATATGGAGAACCAAGAGTAGTATAAAGAGAACCAGTAACAGCTGAAAGAGAACATGTCTGTCGTGACTTGAAGTCATTTAACAACGAGAATATTGTCTATGTTTACATTCTGTTATCAATAATCTAAATCAAGGGATGGGGGAGAAAAAGAGAGGAATAAGAGAGCATAATTTCCTCTTTCCTGATCTAAGTAGCTGGAACTACTAGTCTATGCTACACTAATGGAACAGATGAGAGATTTTAAAAGGATAAGTAACAATTTTCATAATTGGCAGTGATTGAAAAGTTATGGAAAGAGGCTTAGATATCATTAAGGAAATGTGCTACTTACAAAGTAATAGAACTTCAATGGAGCACAGTTGGTTGTTCCTGAAAAATAAAAATTTCGTGTAATGTACACTTCAGTATTTCTCCTGTCAAACCAGTTACATAACCATTTTGATGAAAAATTTCCACTAAGCGTGCTGGCAAATGTCCAAATTACTAAAACAGCATGAAACCATTGAAATTTCACCAGACAAAAGTAAAACCTCATTCAACACACAGAAAACTTCTATACCGCTTCCTAAATACACTTTTAACTGTGGTCCCTCTACCTCTCTCACTTGTATAAATTGCCTTGAATATAAGCAAACTTTAAATTATCGTCACTGAAACGCATGTTCATGTGGCCGTAGTCAAATTTTATCTCTCAGCTACCTACCTACCTGCCTACTTACTACCTATCTATAGATCTCTTAAATTTCTCATAAATAATGCCTATCAGTCTTATCTTCCATCTACTTAATAGGTATTTGATTTATACATACAATGGACTGCTTCAATTGATGCCAATACTCTGCAATTGTAAGCCATCCATTTTTGAAACAAAACTGCCAAAAATGCCATTAATAAAATGCCATTAATAAAAATGCCATTTTCATAGTTGTGTATATACATTTTTCAAATGATAATTTTAAGTTGTCCAAATATAATAGTCTACAAGGTCAAAACCACAGTATCTAAAAGCAAGATTGAGATTTTTAAAAGTTTTATTCATAAGTACAGTTCATGACATATTTGTAGCAAATACCATTAGGATTTATTGATAGAACTACTGAATTTGAAGTCCATGGACCCTTGAACTTGAGAAAATATTTTATAACATAACTGATTTGAAAAAGCCTCTGTCCTAAGATCCAGTAATAACACTATAGATAACTATTATAGAAAAGCTTTCAATTACATGAACCAGAAGATATATGCAAAGAGCTTTCGTAGCATTGTTCATAGTAGCAAACACTTTTTATCCTTAATTTACATAAAGAGGACAATGAATATATCTATTGTGGTATATTCACAATGGGAGCTACTATACACAGTGAGAATAAATGAATGACATCTACAGCTAAAACATGGATAATTCTCAGAAAATATTGAATGAAAAAAGAAAATAGGACTCTAAATAATATTATGCCATTTTTGTAAAGCTCAAAATGCAGCAAAACCAGAGGTAATACTGTGTTATGTGTAAATAAATATATGATAGATCTAGTTTTTAAAGGTAATGCTAACTATGAAAATTTAGGATAGTGGTTGCATGGGTGGGGCATAACATGGCAGGGGAGGAACAGGGATAGTCTATGGAGGGTACTGTATAATAACTTTTTATCTTTTAAAGTAAGTCCTTCCAGGTCTTTATTCATCAGTATGTCTGGACAATTCTTGGAACTTTTCCCTTCCAATGATTCTAAATTTGAAAGTCAGCTTGTGAAATTACCATTGTCAGTTGCCTTCAAAAACTTTACTAAAGTAAATTTATAAAGTTAAAAATATATTACTTGATATTTTATAATTAATTTATTATGGAGGTCTTGAGAGATGTAAATTTATTATTTGTTGTTTATATTTTTATTCCTATTTCATAGTAGTTTGTGTTGTTTTGTTTTTGTGGGCCTATACTTTGCTTAACTTATCCTCTTGTATACCAAGATCTGTGTTGGGTACTTTTTGCTCATGTTTCTTTCCTCTTTCTTTAATTCTTACATTTTTTTCCACCAGAGAAAATTTGTAGTTGATTCAGCCTGTTCCCTAGGATGCTACCATCCTGAAACCAATTTCTCTTGTCATGAGAGATAAAAAAAATGTGTGGTTCTCAGGTTGAGCTTTCTGACTTTGCTATGCCCTCAGGTTTTGTAATTGTGTGTCCCTGATAAATCCACCACCTTACATGTATTAACCATTCTCAGCCCTCTGCTCCAGTTCCCACTCGTTTGTTTGCTTCTGGTTTAAGTCCTTGAAGGTTTATTTATTTTCTAGTGAACCTAGAAATGTATTAAAAGGTAAGACTGTAGGCAGAATCTAGTTATATCTAGATGGGAGGATCACTTACAGTACTTAGTCTTCCGTACTGCTAAGTGGAAGTTTTGTGATGTATTTTAATTTCATCTCTGTTTCTTGAAAAATACCATGATATCTACAACCTGGAATCATATTAATGTACACAGATTCATACATAGTATAGTCTTTCTAATTTTATTGTCTACTTCAAAAATTTAGACCCAAAATACTTTGTGCAAAGTGGTGGATTTTTATTGCCTTATCTTGCATAAGCTGGAAATATGTTCTCCAGAATTCTCTTCTCCATAGGGTGTTTAATCACAATAGAAATTGACATGAAATTTGGAAGGCAGAAATGAAGCAACAATTATAAAATCGGTGCAGGGCCCCAGGCATCTTTGTGATTCAGAAATGTTGTGGTTGATTTGTTAGCTCACTTAATTGAAGGATGCCAGCAATGTCATTTCCTCCAGCCCTTGCTACATCTTGCCGTTCACCTCTCTGAGACCCAGGCCAGGCATAAGTGCATCTTTGTGCCGAGTGGCACAGACTTCTATTCACAGACATTATTGGAGTTAGAGGCATTGACCTGGATTTTAGATTGTCGTCATGGGTTTCAATTTATCCTTGTGAGTTCCATTTGTCCTGTGAGATGCTGTTTATCTATACTTACCTTTACTTTGCATTTTTTTCTCCCAATTGCCTGCCTTACTTGCTTGTAGCAATTTCGTGCTCACCACCAGAAAAGAGGCAATCACATTCAGGAAATTTCATTGTCCCTGCTTGGTGACTGTATTAGTCTCTTCTCACACTGCTATAACGAAATACCTGAGATTGGGCAATTTATGAAGAAAAGAGGTTCAATTGACTTGCAGTTCTGCAGCCTGTACAGGAAGCATAGCAACATCTGCTTCTGGGGAGGCCTCAGGAAACTCACAATCATGGTGGAAGGCGAAGTGGGAGCAGGTCGTATTCATCACAGGAATAGGACCGAGAGAGAGGTGTCAGGTACTACATATTTTTAAACAACCAGATCTCATGAGTACTCACTCACTATGGCAACACAGTACGAAGGGGAAAATCTGCCCCCATGATCTAATTACCTCCTCCCAAGCCCCACCTCCAACATTGGGGATTACAATTCAACATGAGATTTGGGCAAGGACACAGATACAAACTATATTAGTAACTTAGGTGACTTTTATCTGATCACACTGTCTCCTTCAGTACTGTTATTTTCCCAGCCTTTCTCATTATTATGCAAGGCCTAACACACATAATAAATCTCTTATTCTATATTACACTTAATACTTCTTCCTTGAGCAAACTGTAACTGCTATGGCCATTATGATCATTAAAATCAGGAAAAGATCAAAACTTGGTTCAATGTAGCTATTGAAAAGAGCAAATGTATTGGAATATACAGACGTCTGTTTAGATCCTCATTCTGCTCACTACTTCTCATTTCATCTTGAGCAGTTTATTGAACCTTTCAGGGCCTCAGCTTCATAAACTTCTCAACTGTAAAACATTATAATGGTATTTATGAGAATATGCACTTAGCACAGCTTCTGGGACATAGTACACTCTGAATAATGTTGCATATTATTATTGTCCTTTCTTATTAAATATTAGAACTTAAAAAGAATTCACTATGTATTAAACTAATTTATATCATTACTCTGGTTATGAAATTGAAGTGGCACACATTTTGATTGCAGAATCTCCAAATCTCTTGATGTTATCTTTAAAATTCATGTTTAAAGTATACATTGTATGTATTCTTTTCTCAGTAAATCCAATAATGATGAAGTATTTGAATATAAGTATGAAAGGTATGTAATAGCCATCATATCCAGTATTGCCTGGCATATTAATTCTGATTTTGAACTGAAGACACAAAAAATTTATATGAAATAACTATTGTAGCTTACATAATTCTGCCATATTTTAACTTTTTTGTTGTTATACTTTGTTCTGGGATACATGTGCAGAATATCCAGGTTTGTTACATAGGTATACTTGTGCCATGGTGGTTCGCTGCACCCATCAACCCATCATCTACATCAGGTATTTCTCCTAGTGCTATCCCTCCCCTAGTCCCCCACCCCCTGACAGGCCCCAGTGTGTGATATTCCCCTCCCTGTGTCCATCTGTTCTCATTGGTCACCTCCCACTTATGAGTGAGAACATGTGGTGGTTGCTTTTCTGTTCCTGTATTAGTTTGCTGAGAATGATGGTTTCCAGCTTCATCCATGTCCCTGCAAGGATGAACTCATCCTTTTTTATGGCTGCATAGTATTCCATGGTGTATATGTGCCACATTTTCTGTACCCAGTCTAACATTGATGGGCATTTGGGTTGGTTCCAAGTCTTTGCTATTGTGAATATTACTGCAATAAACATATGTGTACATGTGTCTTTATAGTAGAATGATTAATAATCCTTTGGGTGTATACTCAATAATGGGTTTGCTGGGTCAAATGGTATTTCTGGTTCTAGATCCTTGAGGAATCACGACACTGTCTTTCACAATGGTTGAATTACTTTACACTCCCACCAACAGTGTGAAAGCATTCCTATTTCTCCACATACTCTTCAGCATCTGTCATTTCCTGACTTTTTAATGATTGTCATTCTAACTGGTGTGAGATGGTATCTCATTTAAAGTATATGTTAATATATTTTTAAGGCATTTAATGATAATTTTAATTCCACAAGTGATTATTTGTGTGTTATGAAAAATCATATTATAACATACTTATTTTTATAGCAGTATAAAAATACCAAGATAATTCATTATTTCCAACTTATAAGCTACAGCAGGATATTGATATATATTATATTAGATTTAATGAACCATGAAAAGCTATGATTAAGTTAGAGAAAGCATTTCAATTTGTCTTCATGTATCTTAAGAGATTTATAAAATGAAAGAATGGGCTGTATAAATTAAACTGATTTAAAAAACATTGGACTGCAACTGTAAGATCATAAAGAATGTTGACCTAGGCATTGTCTGTCATTTGGACTTAACCCTACCAATGTATCAAATTCTCACATAATTGCAAAGTCTTCATG
Source organism: Homo sapiens (assembly GCF_000001405.40). Classification (NCBI taxonomy): domain Eukaryota; kingdom Metazoa; phylum Chordata; class Mammalia; order Primates; family Hominidae; genus Homo; species Homo sapiens. The sequence goes on along the minus strand of NC_000014.9, from coordinate 46,639,790 downwards.
CTAGATTCTGATTTGTGCATTTTTTTCTCTCTCTCTTCCCCCACTCACACATACACACACACATACATACACATATGTGTGTATACATTTTTTACATACACATATATTTGAGATGGTCAGTAACTCAGTACTCTAGCAAATTTGGAAGTTTCATATTCAATCCAGTCTAATCACAGGCCAATCAACTAAGGGTGGAAGAAAGGAAAAATCACTTCTGGAATGAAACCTTTTAAATATCAACTGTTTATCAAAAAATGTATTATATTTAAATAAGCATAATATTTTGAACTTTGAGAATAATAATTACTATATTGATCAGATGTTAATATATAAGAAGGAATTAGAAATTATGTATAGAATTCCTAGTTAAGCTTACTCTTTGCAAATTATAATAATGCCCCTAAAGAGTCTTACAACAAAAAGTAGTCTGAGTAATGCAGTAAGGCTCATTATTACCAACCACAAATTAATCCATTATTCATGTAAATATGGAGTAGCTGTGTGAAAGGTAAATAGTATACTTTCTTAATACAGATGTACTATTAGATAAAATATGTTCCACTTATTAGGTTAATCTGAATATTAAATAATTTTAGTGGGATGTGGCAGACTCAGACAGAATTGAACCTGGAAATGGAATCCCTGGAATGAAGTTCCAATTTCATCTGAAAGGTAGAACATTCTAACAAAAATATGGACACAGGTAACAATTGGCAAAGCTGTCATTACAATTGGTGCAATTTCAAGAAGTCTCTGGGCATCTTTACAAGCTGGTATGGAAACATGGAAATTCCAGTCCCAACGAGGTTGGTAATACCAGTGCAAGAAAAAAATCTCAATAACTATTAGGATAAAAGTCGTAAGAATTGGATTTAGCCACAGGATTTTAGTTTCAGATAAAAGTATTATCAAGACTAAGAAAATACTCTCAGGTCTGTAAAAGGGAAAATAGGCTTGTTATTAATATAGTGATTGATCAACTTACCAGAATTGGGATAAAAGATCAAAATGGGATTCATAATTATGGTATGTATAACTTTTTAAACTTGAGTAAAAGTGGTCCCTTTATTACTCCATGTGCTTTAGAGGATTCCATATATTGCATAGGTTTCTTGGTATACAAGTGCAAGAATCTCTTTAGGGAAAACATCACTGAATAGAATTGTAGGTGGTAGAATGCTTCAATTTTGCCAAATAACGCTAAATCCTTTTCTAAAAATACCATGTGAATTTATTCTTCTACCAGCAATGTATGAGATTCCCATTCCCAAATATTTCCCATAACTTTTTTTGACTTTTTATGCTTTTAAACAATTTTATAATGTTGAAATGATATCTAAATGTGATTTTAATTTTCATTTTTCTGAGGAGCTTTTACAGGTTTTTAAACGTGATTTGGCCATTCATTTTTCTTCCTTTGTGAAATGACATATTCTGTCTTTTGGAAATATCCTGCATGGCAGTTTTTATTTTGCCTTTGAATTTAGAGTTTTTCTGAATATTAGACCTTTATGAAATATATTTTATATGTTCCTTATATCTTCTGCTTATCTGTCATTTATCTTTTCAACTTCTGTATGGTGTTTTGATAAGCTGAAATGAAGTTTACTGTATTTATATATATAAATTATTTCCTCTATTATTTGTATTTTTAAAAATTTTTCTTTGAGATAGTTTTTACTGTTTATATTTTCTTTAAATGTTTTTTTCTGGAGAAGAACTAAGGTGGCCAATAGACACAGCAAGGAAGAGTATCTCCCACCCAGAGACAAGACCATCAAGAAGACCGGCACACTCTGAGCAGATCTTAGAAAGGAAGGCATTGAGAATGGATGGAGGGTAGACATAGATCCTGGGCTGAAGTGGGAGGAAGCTGGGAACCCTGCACAGGGATGCTGAGCACCAGGACTCGTTTCTGGCCCACAGTGGCTCTTGGTGAGTTAAATAGGTGAGGACTGGCCTACTCTTGCCACAGACCTCCAGAATTCTAGCTTCAGGAGACTCCACAACCCCCACGGACATTTGTGCCACCTTAGAGATGTGGCAGGGACAGGACTCCAGACTGTGCTGAGCAAAGATTTGGCATGGGAATAGCTGCAATGGAGCACGGCCAGGGATGCCCAGCCTCAAGGCTCACGACACAGCTCTAGATAGCTTTGGCTTTTGTTGACTCTCAGACCTGGACAGATCAGAGCAATCTTGTCTGTGTGAAAGAGCCAGTCTGATCTGAGTGCACCTCTGTCTACCAGCCTCTCCTAGGGTTCCTGCCTGGCCAAGTCTGCTTGAAGCACAGCCCTGGATGCCCAAATGGGGTACTTCCTGGCAGCAGCCACCATAGCTCATTTGCAGGTAGGTCCTGCCTAACTGTTGGAGAGCTTCTGCAGATGGTACCCCACAACATGCACCCATGCATAGCTTCCCACATCATTTTGCTGACAGGCACCCACCCACAGACTCTCAACACTGCTTTGCCACTGCATGAGCAGACCTCACTGCCCCACCGCTAGCAGTGTGCTTGTGCATGCATGGACTTCACTGTAGTCATCTCAACCCTGCCAGTACACACTGCAGATGCCACTGTCACTGCTCTGACAAAGTGCTTTTGCCGGCACTGCCTGTTGGAGTGTTGTTGCCAGCACACCAGGTATACCTAGGTTCCTCAAGTGCAGCAGGTGCTTAACTTTGAGGTGCCAGAGAACAAAGTTTTGGGCCTGGTCTCAGCCCTCCAGGGATAGAGAGCAAAGCGCAGGAATGCTGAGCTGAGTCTTGGCCCCCTAAAATCATCGAGAAACAAAGCCAGATTACTGAATCCAACTTATGCTACAATCAAACCCTCAACAGCAAAAAAAATAAAAGTAAAAAGTCTCATCGAAAGGAGAGCAAGTTCAAAGATTATAAGGAACATCAGCCCACACAGATGAGAAAGAACCAATGCAAAAACTCTGGCAATTCAAAAACCAGTGTGTCCTCTTACCTCCAAGTGACTATACTAACTCCCCTGCAATGATTCTTAATGAGGCTGAAATGGCTGAAATGACAGACATAGAATTCAGAATCTGGTTGGCAACGAAGATCACTGAGATTCAGGAGGTAGTTGAAACCCAATCCAAAGAATCTAAGGAATCAGTAAAACAAATCCAGTCAAATGATACAAGGGCTGAAAGGTGAAAAAGCCACTTTAAGAAAGAACAAAACTGATCTGATAGAGCTGAAAAGTTCACATCAAGAATTTCATAATACAATCGGAAGTATTAATGGAAGACTAGACTAAGCTGAGGAAAGAACTTCAGAGTATGAAGACAAGTTCTTTGAGTTAATTCAGTCAGATAAAAAACTTAATTAAAACCTCTGAGAAATATGGGATTAGGTAAAGAGATCAAACCTACAACTTATTGGCATCCTTGAAAGAGAAGGAGAGAGAACAAGCAATTTGGAAAACATCTTTGAGGATATTATACATGAAAATATCCCAAACATCTCAAAAGATGTCAACATTCAAATATGAGAAATGCAAAGAACCCCTGTGAGATACTATACAAGATGACTATCCCCAAGACACATAGTCATCAGATATTCCAAGGTCAATGCAAAAGACAGAATATTAAAGGCAGCTAGAGAGAAACAGTTGGTCACCTACAAAGGGAAGCACATCGGGCTAACAGCACACCTTTCAGCAGAAACCCTACAAGCCAGAAGAGATTGAAGGCCTATGTTCAGCATTCTTAAACAATAAATTCCAAATAAGAATTTCATATCCAGCCAAACTAAGCTTCATAAGTGAAGGAGAAATAAAATATTTTTCAGACAAGCAGATGCTAAGAGAATTGTTACCACCAGGTCTGCCCTCAGGAGGTACTTAAGGGGGTGCTAAAAAACCAAGACTGTTACCAGCCACCACAAAACACATTTAAGTATATAGACCATTGACATTATAAAGTAATTCCTGCATAACATCCAACTAACAACACAATGACAAAAATCATATCTGCACAAATCAATATAAACTTTGACTATAAATGGGTTAAATGCCCCAATTGAAAGGCCGAGAGTGTCAAATAGGATAAAAAATAAATAAATAAACCAACTGTGTACTATCTTCAAGAGACTCATCTCACATGCAATGACACCCATAATTTCAGAGTAAAGGGATGTTGAAAAATCTACCAAGCAAATGGAAAACAAAAAAAAGAGCAGGTGTTGCCTTCTTATTTCAGACAAAACAAGTAGGATAAAAAAATAAATAAATAAACCAACTGTGTGCTATCTTCAAGAGACCCATCTCACATGCAAAGACACCCATAGGTTCAGAGTAAAGGGATGTTGAAAAATCTACCAAGCAAATGGAAAACAAAAAAAGAGCAGGTGTTGCCATTCTTATTTCAGACAAAGCGGACTTCAAACCTGGAACAATCAAAAAGGATAAAGATGAGAGGCCAAGGTGGGAGGATCGTTTGAGGTGGGAATTTGAGACAAGCCTGGGCAACAAAGCAAGACACAGTCTCTATAAAAAAAAACAAAAAACAAAAAAGAAACAAGAAAATTAGTCAGGTGTTGTGGTGTATGCCTGTAGTCCCATCTACTTGGAAGGCTGAGTTTGGAGGATCATTTGAGCCTAGGAGATCAAGGCTGCAGTGAGCGATAATCACAGCACTACACTCCAGCCTGGGCAACAGACTTAAGACCTTGTCTCAAAAAAAAAAAAAAACTGAAGAAAAGACAAGAAAAAAGGAAAACAAACAAACAAGGGCATTGTGTAACAATAAGAGTTCAATTCAACAAGAAGACTTAAATATTCTACATATATATATATATACACACACACACACATCCCTAACACTGGAGCACTCAGATTCGTAAAACAAGTTGTTACACACCTACAAAGAGACTTAGATGACCACACAAAAGTAAGGAGAGACTCTAATACTCCACTGACAGTCTTAGATGATCATTAAAGCGGAAAACTAACAAAGATATTCAGGACCTAACCTCAATACTTGACTAAATGGACTTAACAGACATCTACAGAACACTCCATTTAACAACAACAGAATATGCATTCTTCTCATCTGCACATGGCACATATGCTAAATTGACCACATGCTCAGCTTTTAGACAATTCTAAATACATTTTAAAACAAACAAATCATACCAACAACACTCCCAGATGACAGTGCAATTAAAGTAGAAATCAATACTAAGAAGATCTCTCAGACTATACATTTACATGAAAATTAACCTAATCCGGAATGAAAATTTGGGGTAAACAGATTAAGGCAGAAATCAAGTAATTATTTGAAACTAATGAAAACAAAAGTACAACATACCAGAATCTTTGGGAAATATCTAAAGCAGTGTTAACAGGAGAGTTTGTAGTACTAACACCTACATAAAAAAGTGAGATACCAAATTAACAACCTAATTTCACACATAGAGGAAATAGAATAACAAGAGCCAACCAAATCCAAGGCTAGCAGAAGAAAAGAAATAACAAAAATCCGAGCTAAAATGAATGAAATTGAGACATGAAAAACCATATGAAAGAGCAATGAAACCAAAAGTTGGTTCTCTGAAAGAATAAATAAGATTGATAGGCCACCACCTAGCTTAATAAAGAAAAAAAGAGAGAAGATTGAAATAAGCACATTACCTCCAATCCTATAAAACTATTAAAAAAAAAAACCCTCAGAGACTATTATGAACATCTCTATGGACACAAACTAGAAAACATAGAAGAAAGAGATAAATTCCTGGAAACATACACTTCCCAAGATTGAACCAGAAAGAAATTAAAACCCTGAACAGACCAATAACAAATTTGGAAATTTAATCAGTAACAAAGCCTACCAACCAGAAAAATCCCTGGACCAGAAGAATTAACAGTCAAATTTTACCAGACATAAAAAGAAGAGCTGAAACCAATCCTACTGAAACTATTCCAAAAAATTGAGGAAGAAGGACTCCTTCCTAATTCATTCCATGAGCCGAATAATTCTGATATCAAAACCTGGCAAAGACATAATGAAAAAGAAAACTACAGGTCAATATCCTTGATGAGCATAGATGGAAGAATCCTCAACAAAGGGTTGAGTGTGGTGGCTCATCCCTGTAATCCCAGCACTTTGAGAAGACGACACAAGAGGATCTCTTGAGACTAAGAACTCTTGCCATCAGCTGCATGTCTGAGTGCTAAATATTCAGCAAAGAAAGAATCTCTTAAAGCCCCATTGAAAAAGACTATGCAAGGTACTCTGTTCTCATCCTGCTCATAAAGACATACCTGAGACTGGGTAATTTATAAAGGAAATGGGTTTAATTGACTCAGTTACGCAGGGCTGGGGAGGCCTGGGGAAACTAACAATCATAGCACAAGGGGAAGCAAACATGTCCTTCTTCACATGGTGGCAGGAGAGAGAGGTGCCAAGCAAAGGGGGAAAAGCCCCTTATTGAAAAGAAAAAAAAAGTAGATTTAGGTATAGTAATGGTGGCTTTGCACGGTGAATACAGACACTAGTGTTACGAGATAATTTTCAAGAAAGGTAAAATTATGACTATCATACAGATATGAATGCGTGCTAGACATTTTATTTAATAATGAGTAAACTAGGAAAATTTTATAATGGCTTCAAAAGAGGATCTAAAGAACAGCCATAATTATAGGAGAGGGACATTAAATTGAATTCATAAATGGAGGTAAAACTAACTTCTTCTACAGTGAGGGAGAGAAGTCAGTTGAGCTACTCCCTGACAAGGCAGAGTTTGTATGTCTAAAAAGAAGAACTTTTTTGCTTTGCCATCAGTAACTTACAATTCATACATTTGTAAAGCAGCTTCAATGAACACAAATTACATAAAGCTAAATATTGTGCTAGAAAAAATGCATAATTTTTCATCAAAACAATCATTTTCCCAATAGTAACATTAGTGTTTTATTCATGTTCATTTAAATGATTAATATTGTCATATTTAACACAATAGTTGACTCTCTTCTTGTGTGTGACAGATGAACATTGCAATGTTATCTTTTCTACCTGTTTGTTATTGTGTCTTCTTTCAAACTATTGAGATGTCCATGTTAGTGTTTTTCTATTACATTTTTATGTTCCACTCATGGTGCATCACGTACAACCTAATTTTATTCTCCTTTCTCATAAATCTCATAAATCACTCTATTCACACTTGAAGTTTCCTCACACATGTGAAGACTTTGTAGTGCTTCGGTAGCACAGAGTGAAAGAAGCAGACAGAGCCCCCCCTTGCTTGACAAGTGATGCACTCCAAGAACAGATATGAGATCCATTATTCTATGATTGCTATGTGATTTGTAACTCTGGGCATTTTGTGTGGTGGTATTTTTGTTTTCAAATGGCAATATATTCTCTTACTTCATTGCATAGCTTCTATTTCAGGACTGCTCTTGTTTATCATTATTTGAAGGCCCTTTTTATAGATGAAGACATTTTAATTTAGTTTCAGGGAAAGGCTTTTGTTTAAGCAATTATGGCCACCTCTGAATTTTTATTTAAGTCAGCATTAACTAAGAATATCAGTTTTACAAATTTGTTTTTGAAATTTATGGCAGAACTCGAGGAAATGGCAGAGTGGTGTGTAGAAGAGGGTTCTACCTTCTAGTCATTATACATCTAATACACTTTTCCTGATTTTGTTGTCTTGTTTTATAGCTATTTTTTGTTTATTTCTTTACTTGCTTTAATAATTAAAAATCCATTCTGTTATTATTGATTCATTTTTGTTTTCTTTCCCATGTGGCATTTGAACTCTTTTGCACAGAGCTCATGAGTTTCTATGGTCATTTAGATAACGAATATATTGAGAGCATGGATTTTGCTTCACATCTCTGCCACTAAGTAGTTGCTTAAATTCATAAAGGGCTAGTTTCTTCTTATGTAAAATTGAAGATAAAACTTAAATGTGATAATCTCTGTAAATTGTTTCATATGATGATCATAAAATCCCAAAATATTAATTATTAGCTGTTATTATATTATCATCTCTTGTTTACCTACCCTTTACCCTTGCTATAGAGCACTTCTGTATCTTTGAGTATAAAATTAGAGCACTAATACTACTGGTGAAATAGTAATAATGATGACAATTATAGGTAATTATTGGGAATTTACTATATATAATCCATATTAATTATTAAACCTATTTTATAAATGAGGTATACTAGTGACAGAGAGCGTTTTCATCATGATTGTCAGCTTCAGCTTTTTTGTTCTTTCTTTTATTTATTCATCTAATATTTATTTAGTATTTGTTCCTCATCCTACCCAATGTGCAGACGTAGCATCCTCAACAAGATAGATGAAGTCTCAGCTCTCAGCTAAACGCTGATAGAAAAAGATGCATCATAAACAATCAAACAAATTAATAATCAGGGAAGGAAATAAGACAGGTATTGTAGTACAGTGAATTATTTGTTGAGGGACACTTTTAGTTTGGGTGCTAGAAAAAAAAAATATCTAAAGAAGTGGCCTTTGAACTGAGACCTAAGTGACAAAAAAGAGCTAACCATGTGAAGATTTGGGAAAGACTGAAGAAGTACATAGGTATAGAAGTAGTAATAAGCTTGCCAAGATCAAGGTGATGTCATAATACCCTTCTTTCTGGAAAGTGATGGAAGTGACCCAGGAAAAGATAAACAGAAGATCACACACAGCCTTGAAGGGCTCAGTAAGGAGTTTGGTTATTTATTCTGTGTAAAGTGGAAAGTTCTTGGTAGGTTTTTACTAGGGAAGTGGCATGATCCAGCGAAGTTTTATGGTTTTATGTTGTATATGGTGATGTCAGCGGATTCAATAGATTGTAAGGGATTACAAATAGAAACAAAGAACAGGTCACAGCCTGTTGCAGTAGTCCAGGTAGATAGTTTAAACTCAATAAAAGGGCAGAATAACATCCCTCCACCATGAAAGACATTCACGACTTAGTTCCAGAAGCATGGGAATATTTCATGTTAAAATGCAAAGGGGAGTTAAGGTGGCAGATAGAATTAAGGTTGCTAATTGTCTGATTTTAAGATTAGATTATCCAGGACTGTTAAAGGGTCCTTAAATGGGGAAGAGGGAGGTAGAAGAGTCACAACCAGAGAGATGGCTCTCTCTCTCCTCTCTCCTCTCTCCTTTCTCCTCTCTCCTCTCTCTCCTCTCTCTCGACGGAGTCTCGCTCTTCCACCCAGGCTGGAGTGCAGTGGCGCAATCTCGGCTCACTGCCAACTCCCCCTCCCTCTCGGCTCACTGCCAACTCCCCGCCCGGGTTCACGCCATTCTCCTGCCTCAGCCAAGAGATGGCACTTTCATGAGAAAAACCCAACTGGCAATTGCTACCTGTTACAATGCAAGGGAACCTCTAAAGGTTGGGAAAATCAAGAAAATGGACTCTCCTTTAGAGCTTCCGGAAATGAACCCAGCTGTGGACACCAATAGTAAAACCCACTTCAGACTTGTGACTGCCAGAGCCATAAGATAATAAGTTTGTGTTGTTTTATGTCACTAAGTGTGTCGCAGTTTGTTGCAGTAGCTATACGAAACCCATACAGATAGCTTGAAGTAGAGTGGGGCAAAGCCATAAAGAGGAGAGATGAGTGTAGGGAAGTATTTTGGGGTCAGGTTCTATGAAACATGCTGGTGGATTAGATACGGTGGGGTGGAAGCAAAAAATAAATTAAAAAATGCGTTAGAAAACTGAGTCGTTAGCTGAGAGGAAAGACTGGGAGAGAAACAATTGTAGATGAGGGATGTGGGGCATTAAGATTTCTGTTTCAGGCATGTTATACTTTGTCTCATTGACATCCTATAGACAGGAAGAATCTGCTAATAATAATAAAACCTTTGAAAAGACTCTGAAATTCCCGTAAAATTACTGAGCTTAAAAAAATCCAGATGTTTAGCATGATATAGACCTGGGGTTGATAAACTTTTCTGTAAAGGGCTGGAGAGTAAATATTCTAGGCTTTGTGGCCCATACAGTGTCTGTAATAACTACTCCACACTGTTGTTGATATTTAAAAGCTGTCAGAGACAATATAAAAACAAATGAGCAGGTTGTCTTCCAAATAAGACTAAAAACTCAGCCTGTGAGTTTGATTTGGCCAATGGGGTATAGTTTATCAACCTCTGATGTAGACTCTCAGAGCATTTATTTCAAAATTTGCATTAAAAATGTGTATACCACTTTATAGAAACAGTTCAAATATCACAAAAAGAGGAAAAATCACTTCATTGTGCTAGTCATTGAAAGGTAAACCAATGTATTATGATTTATTAGCTTAGCTAACATTTGTTGTACACTTACTATGCTAAGAATTTTTCTTGTGCTATGTGACTTAAGCTTCTCAAAACACAATGAGTTACTTATTACTATTATTTCTTATTTTACAAATGAAGTAACTGAAGTTTAAGGAATGAGCAAATAACTAGGGTTTAGGAAAGATGTATATTCCTTGTTAAACAATCCCTTATCAATTATTTAATAACCTTCTTTATATCTAGCAGATCTATAATTTCAATCCAAATCTAGGCTTAATTACTTCATCATTGCACTGGAGTTTGCACAACTATTCTGAGGCCACTTGGTCTGTTATCTCTAACAATTACGTGAATATTTAAAAGAATACAAAAGATAAAAGTTTTGGAATGCTCATAGATGGCTCTGATAAAATCTAATAAGATCTCTTTTTAAAATCATTAATTCTGAACTTACATAAACCCCACATCTGACTGAAGTATGTTTTTAAATAGAACTAATCAGAACATAGTTACTTTCATTTTATATAAAAGATGAGAACACATTTTCTTTCACTTTGAATAAAAGACATGGAGGTCTAAGAAATGTATTAAAATCCTAGACACTGATTGACTGTTAGAAAGAAAGGGAACATATCTCAGCCTTTATTCCCATTTAGTAGCCTCAAATTTTCTTCTCCATCTATTTCAAGAGCTACTCTGATTTAAAACATTTCTCTGCTTACCTCTTGTTAAAAAAATTATGTATTTTTTGACTAAATGTTTCAAATCCCTCTCTGACAAATCAATGTGTGACCCAAACACACTTTTATCATTTAAAGAATGAAACATAATTAAAAGGGCTGATGTTAGAGTCAAGGACAATATTAACTCAACTCTGTTAAAATATGTTTACTTGTAAATATAACAGAAGAGTTGATTCTTCTCTACTCAATTCTTAGAATACAATTGAAAGAACAATGCATTGAAGGCATACAGCATGTTTTTTTTTTCTTTTTGAGGTAGTGTCTCATTCTTTTGCCTAGGCTGGAGTGCACTGGTATGATCATGTCTCACTGCAGCCTCTACCTCCTGGGCTCAAATGATCCTCCCACCTCAGCCCCCGATTAGCTGGGAGAATCAGCTGTTTTTGTTTTGTTTTGTTTTTTACTTTTTGTAGAGACAGGATCTCACTATATTGCCCAGGCTGATCTCAAACTCCTGGCCTCAAGGGATCCTCCTGCCTTGGCCTTCCAAAGTGCTAGGATTACAGGTGTGTGCCACCACTCTCAGTCTATACAGCATTTTTAGGTGGGAAGGATTGTGATTGCTAATATTAAGTAAAGTAGCAGCAAGAGAGACTGCTGCCTCTCTTGCTGGTGAAGGGCTATTGAAGATTATGGAAATCTTCTGGTTAATGATTTTACCTGTAACATTCAATACAAAATCCACTTTCACATGAATTTTGTGTTAGGAAAAAATACGTGAAAATCTAAAGTCCAGTATGTAGTGATTAGCAATGTCAGAACAATTACATAGTTGCCTTTCTTGGGGATTTTCTATTTGAAAACCCTTAAACCCAAAGACTTAACATGTTATTTATTTTATTGAACATGGAAAATCCTGCATCTATCTTTCTTGGCAGAACAAATTTCATTGTATTTGATAAATATAAATAAGTTTCAGAAGTTTTTTTACACAAAGTTATTTCCTTCTGTTAATGCCTAAGTTTTATCTCTGGAAGTTTTTGAGATAACTAGTTTATTAGAGGAAAGCAGTTTTGCTAGCTTTATACAATATTAGTGCTTTTTCTTTAAACAAATTGCTATTTTTAAAAAGACATTTGCTTTGAAGACAAGTGTGACTTTTGTCTATAATGTAATGATAGTAAAAAAACTTTAAATCATTTTTTCCCATTACAGTGTAAAGTTGATTGTCTAAGCGTTATATAAAAACAAGGATATAAAAGTAGGAAAACTCAAAGGTGCAGATAGGTCAGAGTTCTCCATATGTACTTAATTTAAAGGTTAAAAACAAAACAGAAAGCCAGCCTATATTCTTAGCACTCTAAGACTGGAGAGCCTAGGAGGACAAAGCATGATGAAGATGGTACTTGGAGGAGAGTGGGCTTGAGGGGTATGTTAGATTTGAGTTCTAAAAAATCTATGTCAGGGTCATTGTGAGAGTAACTAAGTGAGAAATATAAATCAGACAAAGTGTATTTGCCTGGAAATAGCTAATATGGAGAGAGCAAAAACACTAGATAAGCAGAGGAGGCAAAAACATTGTTCTTGCTCACAGTAATGGCTCAGCAGCTTTCTAGCACACTAAAACTAGCTGTAATCACACATTTTCGTTTGCTACTCTCTATCACCCTGATGGCCAATTTATCCACAGTAGCATATTTACAGGCCTGTTTATGGAATTGAAATTCTTCACCAGAGCTGATGCTACATTGCCTGGGAGCACTATAGGATTTAATTGAACCAGCATGAAAGAACTGATGAATGGCTTTGCTCGCAATGAAGGAAGTGGTGCAGGGCAGAATTTCAATGGAAGATTTTAGCCAATACTTAGTGGCTGGGATACAAAATTGCTGACTATTGAAGTGTTATCTTCTCTCTTTCTCTCAAGCTTACATGTGCCTAATTATTATTTTCTTCGTCACATCCCCTTGTTTTTCTTTCCATTATGTTTCCTGTGCCATCCACCCTCCGCTCAAGTAGATGTAGCATGGCCAAAGCAGATATGATTGCACACGTCAGCCTTTTTACTTTATCATGTCTCACTAAAATATCCCAAAGCGATAGCATTTTCAGATTCCTGCCACTCAAGGAGTTGTTGAGATGGAACATTGTAAATCAGCTGTAACCAAATTATGTATACCTTAGGAATGCACAAAGGTACACAATGCATTTGTGTCCTGTTGCAATCTTTTTTGTGCGGATTTCCTTTAGCTGTTTGCTTATTTAAATTCTTTATTCTTTCTCCTCCCTTATATGGTTTTCCATTTTAAATATTTACTAATTCCTTAGATTTTTCCCTTGTTACTCGTCCTCATGGTCACAGTCTCCCTCTCCTATCCTGATGTTGTTGCTTTTGTTTGTTTCTCTGGGAGATTACAACAAATCCCATAGAAGACATCTTTGTACAAAGCATTTCCTTTACATTGACAATTTTTCAAACATTTGTTTCTAGTCTTGGGATTTCAAAGTTTTATCAACTTTCTGTTTTTTCATTTTGTTTTGTCTCTTTTTCCTATTTGAAGGGATTGTTTTGGTTTGTTACTGTATAATAAAAGCAACCCAGGAGTTTTATTTGTGTGTGTGTGTGTGTGTGTGCATGCATGTGTGTGTGTGTTTCTTTAATGCTTTAATACTACTGCTTCTAACTTTTCCTTCTTAGATATTACTGGATGTTAAAAATTGATTAGTGGAAATTATATATCTCACTTAATTTGGTGAGCTACATAACTAATTCATATTTCTTTGTTTTCTCTATTATCTTACCAAAAGCAGGATTAATTTGTCATTCATATGTTTTCCTTTTCCACTGGATATTGTTTTTTTCACTGTCTTTCTACTTTGATCTTCTTTCTTCCTTTCCTAGTCTCCACACTTCAGCTATAATATTTTGATTTTTTTTGATTTAATGCTTCTAGCCCTTAGTCTTTTGAAAAATTTTCACTCCATTCCACCTTGTTTACCTGCTGCTTTGGACATGCCTTCAAATTTGTCCTCATTAAGTACTGATCTCTCTCTCTTTCTCAATGTCTTCTCTTACCTGAATGTTTTTTGGTCAGTTATGGTTTGGGTCAATCCCTTGACCTTTATATTTGTCCATCACCAGTTATTTCTTCTGGCTTCCCTGATATTTCATTTGTCTGCGTACATTAGTCTTCACAAATTACTACCCTAACTTTTATTGAGCAGTCCTTATACCTCAGTCATTCACATCTTAATTTTTGTGTTCAGCACACAGATATTCAATCAAAACATATTTGCCACTGAAAATATCCTCTGGTCATTTATTTGGCTCAACGGACCTATATGGCCATTCCCTCTTCCACAGTTGTAAAGACTTTGCCTAATTTCTGGCAACTATAGAAGTAGTGGTAAGGATAATGTAAAATTTCTTTTTGTCTTGGAAATTATCAAACCACTTTTGAAGATTGTATTATCTAGTAATCAGAAACTTACTTTGTACATAACTGGGGGGGTGCGTGTTGCTCATAAGTTATCTGATTTCTTCACTGCACGATTCCTTTTCCACCTTCTTACAACTTCCTTTACCTCTTCCTTTTTGTTCTAGGAATGAACCAGAATATGAAGGATGAAAAGCATCAGGGAGAAACACTTCTTCAAATCTCTACTTGAAGAAGACTAAGTGTTCTTGTTTTTCTTTAATAGAAATACATCCAGGAAAAAAAAAAAAAGAGAAAGTGAAGTATGTTTTAACTAAACAAGGAAATATTAAAGATCGCATAGGATATAGGTGAGCAAAATATGTAAGAATTCTAACACGGAAAAAATTGAGGAAAAAATGTCATGCTGATTGAATATGGACAATACTTTCTCTTTATTATTTTGTCCTACCCAAACTCACTTGCTTTTCCTGTAATTAATTTAATTTTAATTTTTGGATTTAATTCCTAGTAAAATTAAGTCAGTGCATATGCTTCCTTCTGAATCTTACTGCTATTAAGAAAATTGTGTGTAATACCTAAAATACCCACCCATGAAAATAGAATACTCAGCACCACAATAACAAAAGTAATAAACTGGCCTTGCCTTAATTTCCAAGTCCCACATCAGTGCATGCGTGCGTGTGTGTGTGTGTGTGTGTGTGTGTGTGTGTACAAAGGGATACGAAAGAACTGGCAAAGATAAGCCAAAGAAAGATTTTTTGAATGAAAGATGAACTTTCATGAAAAGTTTGGGAATGATAGAGAAATACAAAGCACCAAATTCAAGGGGATTTTGAAGGAGAGAGCAGGGACAGCTAGGTGAAGTAAATAAAGCAAATTTCAGTTAAATGGAATGAGTGAGTTCAGGGGAAAAACAGTACATATAGCCAAGAAATATTCCCTTAGGTGTGATGATAGAGAACCAGGTCACCTCTAATTAAGTGGAGTTACTATAGGTGAGAGGAAACTATTAAAGGCACTGTGCTAGTTTGGACATTTTATATGTCATTAAATAATTCAATTCAATAAACATTCCATGAGTATCTGTGAGAAACTCTGCTAGATGAGTGCAAGTTAAAATGAAGCATGTTTTCTATGCTTGAGGATTTTATAGCTTACTGTGTGGAGATTAAGACGTATACAGATAGTTAAGACATGGCATATTTTGACAAATTCTATATTGCTGATAAAGTATAGCAATTAGGTTTTTTTGCTAAGATAGAGAATGAAACTTAAAATATGAAATTGAATGTCAGTTGCCCTTCCAGGATGGGTTACATATTGATATTGGAGATGAAAGGAAGAGTATTCCAACAGGTTAATATAGGTCACAAAACAAGTCTCAACAAATTCAAAAAAGTAGAAATTATATCAAATAATTGGCCCTTCAATAATGGGTTACATATTGATATTGGATATTAAAGGAAGAGTATTCCAAGTTAAAGGTATATAGTCATGACATAAGTGGCCAAGACCTAAGTGGAAGAATAACAGTGCTTAATTGTGTAAATGTAAGTGAAGAGTTTGTTGCAATTATGCAGACATGATAGGGGAAGGTGATTCAGACTAGATTATGATCTGTTATATATTTTATTTTATTCTGTTGGCCATAAAAATCCAGGAAACATTTTTCATCCAGCGTCTGACTACAATCATGGTTATGCCTTAAGAAATTAACTTAGCAATAGAGGAGAAGACAAGTTATATGTAGAAGAAGATTAACAACAGGTTGATACAATCACCCAAACAAGAGGTAAGAAGAACAACAATAATATTAAAAATTGAAAGAAAGAGTTTTAGAGAATGTAGAACTGATAATTAAACATATAGAGGGAGTAAGAGGAAGAGAAAGTAACTCAATGTCTCTAAGATTGAATGGCTGAAAAAATGTAGTTTTCACTATTAGAAATACAGACATAAAGGAGAAAGAATGTGTGGCTGGGATACAGTATATAATGAGATATTTCAATACATCTATAATTAATGTCAGATATTCCCAAGGTCTCATTTAAACAAAATTATCTACTCGAAACCACTTAATTATTATAATTTTTTTGTTTTGAATTTGATACCATATAAAGACCAATAAACATATGATGCAGTTGGCAAAAGTCTGGCCAATTTAATAGGTTAATATAGGTCACAAAGCAAGTCTCAACAAATTCAGAAAAGTAGAAATCATATCAAATAATTTTCTGACTGCAGAGGACTAGAAATCAATAACAAGAAGAAACTCAGAAAATACCCAAGCACTTGGAAATTAAACAACATGCTCCTGAATGACCAATGGCCAATGAAGAAATTAAGAAGGAAATTAAAAAAAAAACATTTTTGAAACAAATGAAAAAGGAAATACAACATACTAAAATCTATAGGATACAGCAAAAGCCATACTAACAGGGAAGTTTATAGCAATAAATGCCCATATCAAAAACAGAAGGACTTCAAATAAACAACAACCTAACAATGCACCTCAAAGAACTAGAAAAACAAGAAAAAACCAAACCCCAAATTAGTAAAAGGAAAGAAAGAATAAAAATTTGAGCAGAAATAAATGAAATTGAGACTAAAAAGAAATACAGAAGGTATAAAAAATGAAAAGTTGTTTTTATGAAAAAATAAAATAAACAAACCTGTAGCTAGACCAGTAATAAAACAAGAGAGAAGGCCCAAAGGAATAAATGTGGAAAAGAAAAAGGAGATGTAATAACTGAAACCACAGAAATACAAAGAAGCATTGGAAACTATTATGAACAACTATGTGTGAAAAAATTTAAAAACCTAGAAGGAATGGATAAACTCCTGAATGTATACCTACCAACCTACCAAGATAGAACCAAGAAGAAATTAAAAAAAAAAAAAACCTCAACAAGTCAGTAAGGGTAACGAAATTGAAACCATAATAAAAAGTCTCCCATCATGAAGCATCGTTGAATGTTGTCAAAGGCCTTTTCTGCATCTATTGAGATAATCGTGTAGTTTTTGTCATTGGTTCTGTTTATATGATGGATTACATTTATTGATTTGTGTACATTAAACCAGCCTTGCATCCCAGGGATGAAGCCCACTTGATCATGGTGGAAAAGCTTTTTGATGTGCTGCTGGATTCGGTTTGCCAGTATTTTATTGAGAATTTCCGTATCGATGTTCATCAGGGATATTGGCCTAAAATTTTCTTTTTGTTGTTGTTGTTGTGTATCTGCCAGGTTTTGGTATCAGAATGATGCCGGCCTCATAAAATGAGTTAGGGAGGACCCCTATTGTTTGAAATAGTTTCAGAAGGAATGGTACCAGCTCCTCCTTATACCTCTGGTAGAATTTGGCTGTGAATCCGTCTGGTCCTGGACTTTTTTTGGTTGGTAGGCTATTAATTACTGCCTGAATTTCAGAACCTGCTATTGGTCTATTCAGGGATTCGACTTCTTCCTGGTTTAGTCTTGGGAGGGTGTATGTGTACAGGAATTTAATGATTTCTTCTAGATTTTCTAGTTTATTTGCATAGAGATGTTTGTATTTCTACGAGATCAGTGGTGATATCCCCTTTATCATTTTTTATTGCCTCTTATTGATTCTTCTCTCTTTTCTTCTTTATTAGTCTGGCTGGTGGTCTATCTATTTTGTTGATCTTTTCAAAAGACCAGCTCCTGAATTCATCAATTTTTGAAGGGTTTTTATGACTCTATCTCTTTCAGTTCTGCTCTGATCTTGGTTATTTCTTGCCTTCTGCTAGCTTTTGAATTTGTTTGCTCTTGCTTCTCTAATTCTCTTAATTGTGATGTTAGGGTGTCGATTTTAGATCTTTCCTGCTTTCTCTTGTGGGCATTTAGTGCTATAAATGTGCTATAAATTTAAAGCAGTGGTACACACTGCTTTAAATGTGCCCCAGAGATTCTAGTATGTTGTGTCTTTGTTCTCATTGGTTTCAAAGAACATCTTTATTTATGACTTCATTTCGTTATTTACCCAGTAGTCATTCAGGAGCAGGTTGTTCAGTTTCCATGTAGGTGTGTGGTTTTGAGTGAGTCTTTTAATCCTGAGGTCTAATTTGATTGCACTGTGATCTGTGGTCTGAGAAACAGTTTGTTATGATTTCTCTTCTTTTGCATTTGCTGAAGAGTGTTTTACTCCCAATTATGTGGTCAGTTTTAGAATAAGTGCGATGTGGTGCTAGGAAAAAATATATATTCTGTTGGTTTGGGGTGAGAGTTGTGTAGATATCTATCAGATCTGCTTGGTCCAGAGCTGAGTTCAAGTTCTGGATATCCTTGTTCATTTTCTATCTCGTTGATCTGTCTAATATTGACAGTGGAGTTTTGAAGTCTCCCACTATTATTGTGTGAGAGTCTAAGTCTCTTTGTAGGTCTCTAAGAACTTGCTTTATGAATCTGGTTGCCCATCAATGATAGACTGGATAAAGAAAATGTGACACATATACCATGGAATACTATGCAGTTGTAAAAAAAAGGATGAGTTAATGTCCTCTGCTGAGTCATGAATGAACCTGGAAACCATCATTCTCACCAAACTAACACAATAGCAGAAAACCAAACACCGCATATTCTCACTCATAAGTGGAAGTCGAACAATGAGAACACATGGACACAGGGAGGGGAACATCACACACTGGGGCTTGTTGGGGAGTGGGCTGCTGGGGGAGGGATAGCATTAGGAGAAATAACTAATGTAGATGATGGGTTGATGGGTGCAGCAAACCACCGTGGCACATGTATACCTATGTAACAAACCACATTCTGCACATGTACCCCAGAACTTAAAGTATAATTTAAAAAGTCTCCCATCAAAGAAAGGCCCAGAGTCTAATGGCTTTATCAATTAATTCCATCAAATATTTGAGAAGAAATAATACCAATTCAACAACTAAAGATGAAGGAATATTTCAAACTCATTCTAGGACACCAGCATTACCCTGTTACCAAAACGTAACAAGGACACAACCAAAAAAGAAAACTATAGGCCAATATCACTGATGAACATAGATGCAAAAATACTAGCAAACTGAATTCAACAACACATTAAAAAGATCATTCATTATGATCAAGTGGGATTCATCCCAGAGATGCAAGGAAGATTTAATATATGCAAATCAATAAACATGATGCATCACATTAACAGAACTAAGAACAAACACCATATGATTATTTCAATGGATTCTGAAAATGCATTTGATAATATTTAACATTTCTTTATGATGAAAACCTTATCAAACTGGGTATAGAAGGAAATATCTCAAAATAATAAAGGCCGTATATGTCAAACCCACAGCTAACATCATATTGAACAAGGACAAATTGAAATCCTTTTCCCTAAGATCTGGAACAAATATATCCACTATCACAGTTTGTATTCATCATATTACAAGAAGTCCTGGCCAGATCAATTAGGCAAAGGAAATTAATATAAGGGACATCCAAATTGGGAAGAAAAAGGTCAAATTAGGTTTGTTCACAAATGACATGATGTTATATGTAGAAGCTCCACCAAAAAGCAGAACTGTTTTAATAAACGTATTCAGTAAAGTCACCAGGAACAAAATCAACATACAAAAATCAGTAGAATTTATGTATGCCAACAGCAAACAATCTGTAAAATAATTCAAGAATGTAATCCCATTTACAGTAGCTACAAAGAACATAAAATACCTAGGAATCAATTTAACCAAAGAATTAAAAGATCTGTACAAGGAAAGCTATGAAACAATGATGAAAGAAATTGAAGAGGAAACACAAAAAATATAAATATAATACATAGTCATTGATTGGAGGAACTAACATTGTTAAAATGGCAATACTACCCAAAGTGATCTAAGATTCAATGCAATTTCTATCAAATGCCAGACATTCTTCCCAAAAATAGAAAAACAACAATTAAACAAATTATATGGTACCACAAAAAAAAAAACCCAAATAGACAAAGCAATCCTGAGCAAAAAGAACAAAGCTGGAGACATCACATTATGTGATCTCAAAATATACTACAAAACTATATTAATCAAAACAGCATGGTGCTGGCATGAAAACAGACACATAGATTAATGGAACACAGAACCCAGAAACAAATCCATGGATTTATAGCCCACACACTTTTGATAAAGTCACCAAGAATATACAATGGGGAAGACAGTCATATGAAGAAAAAGGAATCTAGGCTCCTATCCATCACCATATAAAAAATTCAAATCAAAATGATTTAAAGAATTAAATCTAAGACCTGAAACAACTGAAAGAAAATATTGGGAAAATGATCCAGGACATTTGTCTGGGAAAAGATTTTTAAAGTAAGTCCTCAAAAGCAAAGACACAAAGCAAAGCTAGATATCAGGCTAAAAAGCTTCTGCACAGCAAAGGAAATAATCAACAAAGTGAAGATACAACCCACAGAATGGAAGAAAATGTTTGCAAAATACTCATCTGACAAGGGATTAATAATCAGAATATAGTAGAATATTTTAGAATTGCTTGCTAGTAATCAATACATATATAAAAAATATATATACATACATATACATATATACACACATATATACATATACATATATACACATATATACATATGTATATATATAATATACACAGAAAAGACTTTTACTTGAGTGCCATCTTTGTCCTTATTAGGATATAGAAACTAAAAGCCAGGCCAGGCATTGACATATGGACGAAGATATGCAAAGGACTAAGACAGTATCTATCTCTTACAGTATGGAAAACTGTTTAGAACAGTAGACTGCCTCTAAGAGTAGTGAGAGTTTGCTTTATCTTGGCCTGCGCTCTGAAATCCTAGAGTTTAAGTCGCCTGGAGGCCCAGAAATGACTCCAGGTGGTAAAGGAACAAGGGGCAAACTCTCTCAAATCCTTCCCTCTTTCAATAAGAGAAATTCCAGTTTTCACTCTTTTCTATTTTTGGTTTCTCTAAAGATTTTTTTTGAAGAAAGGCTTCAAATTTTTTTTTTTGAGAGGATTTGTTTAAACAGCATGATATCATGAAACTCAATCATGTATATTAAAATGTAAAGAGCTAATATTTTCTAACTTCTTTACCTTTCACATAACTGGGACTATAAATTCTTTGGATAGACTAATGAGATTGAAGGGTAGAGTAATTTCTGATATCCTTGCACTATACTTTAATAATGTTTCTAATTTTGTATAAAACAATAAAATTTGTTAATTTATAGGGCTTTTTTCCCTTGAAAGATGAAAATTATTTTCAGAATTATAGAAATAAACCTAGGTCACTCAATATTTGTTACTTTGTTAAAAAGTAAGCAAAGGAATCTTGTCAATTTTTACTCCAAGAACACTTCCTAGCTCTTCTTTGTCAATTACAGTTTTTCCTTTGTCTATTGATATGGTTTGGCTCTGTGTCCCCACCCAAATCTCATGCTGAATTGTAATCCCCAGTGTTGGGAGAGGGACCTGGTGGGAGATGACGGGATCATGGGGGCAGATTTCCCCCTTTCTGTTCTTGTGATAGTGAGAGTGTTCTCACAAGATCTAGTTGTTTGAAAGTGTGTAGCACATCTCCATTCACTTGCTCTCTCTCCTGCCCAGCCATGATAAGATGTGTTTGCTTTCTCTTCACCTTCCACCATGATTGTAAGTTTCCTGAGGCCTCCCAGCCATGCTTCCTGTACAGCCTGAGAAACTGTGAGTCAATTAAACCTCTTTTCTTCATAAATTACCCAGTCCTAGGAAGTTTTTTTATAGCAGTGTGAGAATGGACTAAGAAATCTGTCTTGATTTGCTTCTTCCCTAAATAAGCGTGTCTGGCAACCTGTGGCCAAGTACCACAAAAATATAAACCAGAAAAAATATTTGGTCCTGTGAATAGAGACTAAAAAAACAGATTTGGAAATATGAAGCATAAAAGTTTTAGGGAGCATAAAGGGTCACAATGTCTTACCCATTATCTATTTCATTTGTTAGGCAAAGTTACATAGTTTGAGATATATACATATATATGATGTACAATAGGCTGTTTTGGTATACATATACATAGTGAAATGGTTACTACAGTTAACAAATTAACCTATTAATCACTTTCTATAGTTACCTTTGTGTGTGTGTGTGTGTGTGTGTGTGTGTGTGTGTGTCAGTGGTAAGAGCATCTAAGATATACTCAGCAACTTTTCAGTATACAATATTAACTCTAGTGATCATGTTGTATATTAGATCTCTAGACATATTCATTCTAATAACTGCAAATTTGTACCACTTTTCATTTTCTTCCCCTCCCTGTCCCTAGTAGCCAAATTTCTACCCTTTGTTTTTATGCATTTGATTTTTTTTAGGTTGTACAAATATGTGAGATCACAGAGTATTTGTTTCCTTGTGTCTGGCTTATTTCGCCTAGTGTAACATCTTCCAACTTTATCCACGTTGTCACAAATGGTGACATCTCCTTATTTTTAAAAAATATGTATCACAATTCTCTTATCCATCAACTGATGCTTAGATGATTTCCATATCTGGCACTATTGTGAATAGTGCTGCAATAAATATGGAAGCAGAGATATCTTTATGAGATGATGATTTTAATTACTTTGGGTATATACCCGATAGAGGGATTGCTGGGTCATATGGAAGTTCTATTTTTAATTTTTTGAGGAACCTATATACTATTTTCCATAATGGCTGTGCCAATTTATATTTCTACCAACAGCGTACAAGGGTTCCCTTTTCTCCACATCTTCACCAGCACCTGTTATCTCTTTTCTTTTTGATAATAGCTATCCATACATGTGAGGTGATAGTTCATTATGGCTTATAATTGCATTTTCCTGATTATTAGTGATTTTGAGCACTTTATCTTACACCTGTTAGATGTTTTTAATCTTCTTTGGAAAAATGCCTATTTAGATAATTTGCCCATTTTAAAAATCAGGTTTTGTTTTTGCTATTGGGTTGTGTGAGTTCCTTGAATATTTTGGATATTAACCTCTTATCAATATCTCACACATTATCTTACACCATATACAAAAATCAACACAAAATGGATAAAAAATCTAAATGTAAGACCTGAAATCATAAAACTCTTAGAACAAAACACAATGGAAAAGTTTCTTGATGTTGTTGGCACAACACCTAGAAAGCCCAGCAAAAGAAACAATCAACAAAATAAAAGACAACCTACAGATTGAAAGAAAATATTTGCAAACCATAGTTTGATCTTAAACATAGGGAAGAAAATAGGAATCTAGAAGGAGAATTTGAGATGATATCCATCTGTCTTAAGTTTACATGCAAGAGGAGTTTTAGAAGGGGCATAACACAACCCTAGAAGGAAATGCCAAGTAAATGAGGTGTCTTTTGTAATCACTATAATTCCACCACTCCAGTACCTAAGTACCCTTCAAACCCAGTTTTCTGCTAAATTATTTCTGGTACAATAAAATGATTACCATTAAGATGCAAAAAGAGGAGATCATGAAACCTTTTCCAAGAAATACCATTTGACCCAGCCATCCCATTACTGGGTATATACCCAAAGGACTATAAATCATGCTGCTATAAAGACACATGCACACGTATGTTTATTGCGGCACTATTCACAATAGCAAAGACTTGGAACCAACCCAGATGTCCAACAATGATAGACTGGATTAAGAAAATGTGGCACATATACACCATGGAATACTATGCAGCGATAAAAAAGGATGAGTTCATGTCCTTTGTAGGGACATGGATGAAACTGGAAATCATCATTCTCAGCAAACTATCGCAAGGACAAAAAACC
This sequence comes from Homo sapiens, assembly GCF_000001405.40. Taxonomy (NCBI): domain Eukaryota; kingdom Metazoa; phylum Chordata; class Mammalia; order Primates; family Hominidae; genus Homo; species Homo sapiens. Next base: position 46,615,607 of record NC_000014.9, on the reverse strand, counting down.
AAACACCGCATGTTCTCACTCATAGATGGGAATTGAACAATGAGAACACATGGACACAGGAAGGGGAACATCACACTCTGGGGACTGTTGTGGGGTGGGGGAAGGTGGGAGGGATAGCATTAGGAGATATACCTAATGCTAAATGATGAGTTAATGGGTGCAGCACACCAGCATGGCACATGTATACATATGTAACTAACCTGCACATTGTGCACATGTACCCTAAAACTTAAAGTATAATAATAATAATAAAGAAATTATATGTTGAATACATATTTAAACATGTGTAAGGAAAAGAGACAGGAAAAATCTGTTATATACCTACACTATGCTAGACACTTCTCAACTTAGTTCTCTAAGATTCACAATAGTTCTATAAGACATGTCATTGTCTTATTTTTACAGATTAATACAGCAAATCTCAGAGAAATATCTTGTCCACTGTCAAACAGTTGATAAGAAGCCAAACCTGACTTTGAGCCCAGAACTTGGTGAGTAGAAGACTCATGTTTTACATGAATTCCTAGTGCCAATCCAATATAAAATTCAACTAAAACCAAGACTAATTCTAATAGCAGGTAATTCAGGCACTGTTGGTAGCTGGTTTGGTGTTGGAGGTGTCACTTTAATCAATATATATACACAAGTTTATATATGATTTATACATGATTTATATATATGATACATCTATATATAGAGATATATATGTTTCATTTCCCTGACCCATATATCATATCACTTTGAGGGGAGTATGTGTTCACAGTAGAATTAGAAGTGGTATACACTCCCTAGAAACCACCTACCAAAATTGTGTAGTCTCAGGACAGAGAAAAGTTAAAATATATTGTACATACAGTTGCTTTTTTCTTCAATTAAACATATACATGATCGGTAGGTTAAAAAAAAAATAGGAGCATATAAACGTTTTAGGCTTCTTCCAAGACATGACTGTCTAAATCTTAGTAGTTTTCTCTCTGGTGCAAAATTGAGCTGACATACTTTCATTAAATATAATAATTTCCTTAAATTAAAAAAAGAAAAATGTCTTATGCAGTTCCAAATTGCTTTCCTGGGTGTTTTCATCTTGAAAACAGCAGGTGAATATGAACAAGTTCAAACCTATTTTTATTTTCTAGTAAATCCCAAATGCCTTAGCTTTGCAAGCTAATAGCATCCAGAAAACATGCTGATGTTGGCAGTAAAGAGAGCCCTGAGAGACACCAGGCACCAGGCTGAGTGAAAGAACACAGCATTGGGTTTTTAAAAGAAAAATTTAAAGTAATCAATATAAATATTAAAACTTTAAGGTTCATCTCTTCCTAATTCCCAAATTTGAAATAATATATACTAGATGAATTAACCTGAATTTCTTTTTTAGCCTAGATCAAAATGCATTTCAAACTAAAACCAGTTGAAGTGATATAAAAAGCACCAGATATATACAGTGCAATTAACAAATAAAATTTGATCATCCAAATATTTGTTTTATGAATGTATATATAATTATATAAGTATATATATATACATACATTTATATGTATATAAATTTAAAGCAGCCACGACTAATTATGAAACTGGAAATAATCCAATGCCATTACCTCTATAAAGTTGACAATCTAAATTCTAGATTCACACAATTTTTTTAAGAATGTGCTGCTTGAATTTTGTGACCCTTAGTAAAACTTATCTTCCAAAGAAAAATAAATGAAGATTTTACTTATTTTCTGTCTTTTCGATTACGTTCTTAAAAATAGTCTTCACTTTTCCCTCATTTTGATGTTTGCTTTTTTGATTATTTAGGTACAAGAAAATTTCTTGTAATTACAATATAAATAATAGATTTTTAGAATGAACTTAATTTCCCATTGGGCTGTTGAACAAATGATTAATATTGCTGGTTTTTGCACTATATGTAGCTTGAAAGCACTGACATTTTGTACACTTACTATAGTATGAATAATTCTTATATTAAAACAACACACTACTCTTAGATGGCAGAGGAAATATATATGTACGTATTTTTTAATACATAGCTGGGGATCAAAGGAAACTTTATCTTTTGCAAAGATGACAATGATGACAGTAAAAATGAAATTTCCCTGTGGAAGAGCCATATAAGCTTTTAGAAATGGATATATCTTTAATAAGAGAGAAATGGTTAGAGTAAGCAAAACTATAAACACCTATAAGAGTAATGATCATCAAATTCTATATCAAAGAGCAGACACAGCATGGAGATATTTCAAGTACACAACAGAATATCTTTTCTTCAACCTTCATTTGGTACATATTTGGGCAAGGTTACAGAGAAATGTGGGGACCTAATTCAGCTCATAGCAATGTTTCAGAAGTTGAAGTCCCAGCTTTGTTGACAGATAGATGAGTTGGGGATGCTGTTTACTTTTCATGCAGTGGTCAGGGAATGAGTTATAACCTTAGTGGAGTGACCTTAGAAGCCAGGGAAGTCTAAGAGCTTGCAATACTTCTCTAAACAGTTTCTTTTTTTAGTATAATCTCATCTTTGTCAAATAGAAATGGATCTCCCTTTCTATGGTTCCCTGCTATATATTCAAAAATATGCTAAAGATATACTACCCTTGCCTTCAATGACTAATCCATTAATGTTGATGAAAAGATTATTCACAACATATCAATGGAAAAAACTTTCAATATATCAAGCTACATATGAAGCAAAAAATGGCAGTATCAGTCATTCATTCAATATCTCCATACAAAATTAGGTTCACTCCAAAATCTATTATTTAGGCTGTAACTTTAAGAACATTTCTTGGAGAGATTGCAAAGGAAATTTCTTGCACATAAATAAGTGCACAAGCAATGATTCCATGGAAATATATAGAGACCAAAAAAAAAGGTACATAATTTTACTTTCTGGATTTATGCTTCTGGGGCCTTTGGGACATTCAGGTTGATATTTGCAAATGGTTGTGGATATTCACTTATAGAACTCAGATTCAGTTCAATGATCAGTTAACAAACATACCCAAATGTCAGAAATGTGCCTGGCATGCTGAAGGTTATTGTGATACACTGGTGAATTAAACAAAGTGTGAATCCTCTATAGGTTACAGGCTAGTGTGAAAACAGGATAATAAACTTATAATTTGAGAAAAGTACTTCAATTTTCTTAAATAAGTATATATCGTCAAAATGCTAACAGAAATATGAACTATTATGAGACCTACTCCATCTGGGGAATAAAAAAAGGCATCGCTGGGGCTTTGGCATTTATGATAAGACTAGAAAGAGATATAGACTTGCAGTATTTATTTGTATGTTAGATGATGGGGCCACAGTCATAGATGGAATTTCTCAGTAATAATGTTCAGAGTGAGGACAGAAAAACTAATTGCAGAGTCCTTGACTAATACCGGCATTGTATGTTGGAAAGAAAGTGAATGTAGAAAAAAGATGCCTTATAATGTAGGAGGAACAACTAGAGGTATAAAGAAAGCCAAGGGTGGAATTATAAAAAGGAAGAAGAGACTTAATAAGAGCGAGGGGATAACCAAATTTGACCAAGATAAAAACTGAAGAGAGGCCATTGGGTTTTACAAATAGAGGATGAAACAATAATCCTAAGAACATTGAACAGGAAAGTGTTGAGAGAGGAGTGCTAAAGCTAGATAGTATTGGGTCAAGGAGATGAGAAATATGAGACATTTAGTACAACTGTTCCTTCTACAAAACTGATTCTGATGATGATGATGATGATGATGGTAATAGTAATAGATGAAGAATAAGGAAGAGAAGACAGAATCTTATTATATCCCTTAACATAAATAAAAAATTTTAAAGTAATTTACATGTATTAACTTGTTTAATCTCTATAAATGTGGTTTGTTTACACGTGAAGACACTAAGGCATAGAAAGTTTAAGCAATTTGCCCAAAGGTCATAAAGCTAGTAAATCGAGGACCAGGAATTTGATCCAGGAGGTCTAAATCTAAGCTCTATGTCCTGTATCTTTATGCTACTAAAGAAGGAAAGGTACAGAATACTAGTTTACTGAATACTTACTATCCTGAGCACTTTACATACAGTATCTCAGCTAATATTAAAAGAATCCAGTGTGAAAGTTAAAATTGATATCTCCACATTAGAGATGAGGAAACCAAACCTTAGGAAAATTAGATAAGTTAAATAACTATAAAAGTCACATCCAGGTCTGCCTAATGTATTATTTCTTTCATATTTTCTACAACCTTTATTAGGTTTCTATCTGTTTCTGGACTTTAGATTCAAAAGAGTGAGTTAATCTTATTACTCTTTTAAACACATTATTATTATCTGTCCATCAATGCACTTAATTATTAACAATGTTTTAAGTAGAGTTGTACAGATTAACATGATTTACATATAAGTCACAAAATGCCATCAAGTGGCTGAATAACATACAGCAAAAATTTCCAGCTACTACTTTACTAAAATATTAGATGACCCAACTAGGCTTTTCCCTGACTACTTCACTTTATGATTCTTTGGGCAGGTCTGCTTAATTTCTTATCCATTTCCCCTTCCTGGGTATTTGAACTTTCTCTACCTCGTCTTTGGCATATTAACAAGCTCAAGAATTTCTCATATTTAAACACACACACATGCACACTATCCCATAGTGTTCATTTCATTTAGCTCAGTGCTTGCTATTTAACATTCCTAAGCTTCGATTTCCTTGTCTTTAATTGTGAACTGCTGTAAAATACAAATTATGACTCTGAAGGGACATTAAGTCTCTTAGTATAATCACATATCAATTATTCTTGGAAGCTGCAAAACCATTACAGATGTGTAATGGTTATCATATTATCAAACATGTAACTGTAATCCAACATAAATGATGCAATGAGTATGATGAATGAGTATGTAACAAATTTCTGAGCATATGCCCATGAGGTTGTCCCCAGTCCATATTCTCAAACTGCATAATATTAAAATCTTAGAGTTTTCCTCCTTCCTTGCAAATTTGTTATAAAACATAGTAAGTAGGGGAAACTAACTATAAATTCCCAGAGACATTTAATTTGTTCTTTAAAGCCAACTGTCTATGAAAAATGTAAGATAAGACATTGATTTATAGTGAAAGGAAGGGGTTCAATTTCAATCTTCTGTATATGGCTAGCCAGTTATCCCAGCACCATTTATTGAATATGGAGTCCTTTCCCCATTGCTTGTTTCTGCCAGTTTTGTGGAAGATCAGATGTTTATAGGTGTGTGGCCTTATTTTGGGGCTCTGTCTTCTGTTCCATTGCTCTATGTTTCTGCTTTTGTACCAGTGACATGCTCTTTAGGTTGCTGTAGCCTTGTAGTACAGTTTAAATTCAGGTACAGTAATGCCTCCAGGCTTGTTTTTTTTTTTTTTTTTTGGCTTAGGATTGCTTTGGCTATTTGGTATCTTTTTAAATTCCACTTGAATTGTAAAGCAATTTTTCTTTCTAATTCTTTGAAATACATAATTAGTAGTTTGATAGGAATAGCATTAAATCTTTAAACTGTCTTGGGCAGGATGGCCATTTTAACAATATTGATTCTCCTATCTATGAACGTCCACCATTTTTCCACTTGTTTGTGTAATCTCTGATTTATTTGAGCAGTGTTTTGTAATTCTCATTGTCCAGGTCTTTTGCCTCCTTGGTTAGCTATATCCCTAGGTATTTTATTCTTTTTGTGGCTACTGTGAATGAGATTGTGTTCTTGATTTGGTTCTCAGCTTGGGCATTGTTGGTGTACAGGAATGCTAGTGATTTTTATACATTGATTCTGTATCCTGAAACTTTGCTAAAATTGTTTGTCAGATCTAGGAGCCTTTGGGCAGATACTATGGGGTTTTCTAGGTATAGAATCATATCATCTGCAAACAGGGATAGTTTGATTTCTTCTCTTCCTACTTGGATACCTTTATTTCTTTCTCTTGCCTGATTGCTCTGGCTAGGACTGTCAGTCCCAGATACAATAGGAGTGGTGAGAGTAGGCATCTTTGTCTTGTTCTGGTTTTCAAGGTGAATGCTTCCAGCTTTTGCTCCATTCAGGTTGACATTGGCTGTGGGTTTTTCACAGACAGCTCTTATTATTTTGAAGTATATTCCTTCAATGCCTAATTTGTTGAGGGTTTTTAACATAAGGGAATGTCAGATTCTATTGAAAGCATTTTCTGCATCTATGGAGGTGATCACATGGTCTTTTTTTAGTTCTGTTTATGTGGTGAATCACATTTATTGATTTGCATATGTTGAACTAACATTGCATCCCAGAGATAAAGTTGACTTAATTGTGGTGGATTCGTCTTTTGATGTGCTGCTGGATTTGCTTTGCTAGTATTTTGTTGAGTAATTTTGCATCTATGTTCATCAAGGATATTGGCCTGAAGATTTTGTGTGTGTGTGTGTGTGTGTGTGTGTGTGTGTGTGTGTGTCTGCCAGGTGTTGGTATTAGGATGATGCTGGCTTCATATAATTAGTTTGGGAGGAGTCCCTTCTCCTCAATTTTTTTTAATAGTTTCAGTAGGAATGGTACCACCTCTTCTTTATACATTTTGTAGAATTGGCTGTGAATCTGTCTGGTCTTGGGCTTTATGCCCACCAATGGTAGACAGGATAAAGAGAATGTGGTACATATACATCATGGAATACTATGTCCTTTTCAGCAACAATACAGCTGAAGTTTATTATCCCAAGCAAACTAACACAGAAACAGAAAACCAAACACTGCGTGTTCTCACTTGTAAGTGGGAGCTAAACACTGAGTACAAATGGACAGAAAGAAGGGAACAAAAAACACCAGGGCCTACTTGAAGGTAGAGGGTGGGAGGAGAGTGAGGATTGAAAAAGAAACTATCAGGTACTCTGCTTATTACTTGAGTGACAAAATAACCTGTACATAAACTTCCGTAACATGCAGTTTACCTATATAACAAGCCTGCACATTTACCCTTAAGCCTAAAATAAAAATGAAAGAAATAAAACACTGATTTACATGGGATTTTGTTTCATTTTATTACATGAACATTTTATTCATTTGAAAAATTAATCAAGTTCCCAAGTTCAGTATTAAATCTAATAATATAAAGATTTTATATAATTTATATAATTTTAATATAATTTGTATAATTTTCTTTGATATGAAATCATTACTTGACTTTTTTAGATAGCCTGTAAATACATCTGTATCTCTACATGGATAATAAGAAAGACAATATACTTTGTCAAACATCAATGTGCATTAATAGTAAACTTGTCAGAATGGTCATTTAATAACACCATTCATTTCAGGTCAATTAATACAACACTCTTTATTTGCACAAACATATAAATACAGAAATTACAATACTGAGCATAAGGTATATATTTCTCCTAGAGGTTTTGTTTATTTATAGTTATAAGAGAGGAAAGCCTACAAATATGTGGTCTAAGAACGTTTGAGATGCAAGGGTTGTTAAGCAACTGTTCAGTTTTGGTTTATTCCATATATTAATCTGCAAGTTAAGTATAATATATTATGTCATTACAAGAAACGGTGCATATTATGGAATATTTAACTCTATCTTTTTTATGAGCAGGGTGAAATAATACAGTCACATTTGACAGTGTCACTGACTGGTGAGGTAGACAAGATAAGCTCTTCAATCAAAAAACATATTAGAATTCTGTGAAAGGCAGGGATTGTAATGAAATGGCATGGGATTTTGCATTTGCCAGCTGTACTGTCATCCAGAAAAAATCTTTGAGCTTAGGTTTCCTTATCAATGAAATGCTGTGACGACTGACATAAAATTTACACATTTTGGTAAAAACTTAGCACTGGGTCTTGAATAGTAAGGGCACAGAGGTAGCCACTATTGTATTTTAACCCAGTAGGTTAATAACTTTAACATTATTAATTTTCATTTATAAATACATATTTCAATGTAATCTCATACTATCACATAACAACTTTAACATCAATTTTAACCACTGTTCAGAAATTCTAGTTGACTTTTTAAAAATAACTTTTTATTTTGCAATAGTTTGAGACACATAAGAAATTGCAATAGTTCAGAGTTCCCATATACCCAGTACCCAGCTTCCCCCAATGTAGTATCTTACATAAACATAATATATTGTCAAAACCAGTAAACTGACGTTGGTATAATATTATTAACTCAGATACAGACCTTTGAATCGACTTTCAGCATGTATTATTTTGTGTATTATTCTCATTAATATAATATATGCCAAAGGCATGAATACATGTATAAATCAGGCTGTCAGCCAGATTGAACTATTTAAAGCACTCATAGCCATAGCCAAGATGCAGCATGTATCAAGCCTATGGTTTGGAGGAATCATCTAGCTAGACCAAATCATTTTTCTATCATGATCGGAAAATTGTTTGCACTTTAACAGTATTTTGGTATTTTCATTTGAACACATGATATTTGGTAACAAATCTTGGCACTTATCAGCTGAGTAAATTTGGGCAGGTATTTTAATTTTTCTTTGCCTCAGTTTCCTTTTCTAGAAAAAGACCATGATATTATACTACCATATTGTTGTTTTGGTAAAATAAGCTAATATATGAGTGCTGGTAATTTATCTATTGTCTTTTAGCTCCAGGCTTACTATTCTATTCTCTGCCCTGTGATACTGAGACAAGGACTCTGAAAAATAAGTGTCTCAAACTTCTGTGTCAGAGGAAGGCCAAACACATCTATACTAGTTACGTTCTTCCATTGTAAAATCCAAGCAGGAAATTGGAAGATGAAAGGATGGGAGAAGATGCTATCTTCATGTTTTCTTTTTCTTTTTCTTTTTTTTTTTTTTTTTGAGACGGAGTCTCGCTGTCTCCCAGGTTAGAGTGCAGTGGTGTGATCTCGGCTCACTGCAAGCTCGGGCTCCTGGGTTCACGCCATTCTCCTGCCTCAGCCTCCCGAGTAGCTGGGACTACAGGCGCCCGTATCTTCATGTTTTCAAGTGTTGGTCAGTACATTTCATCAGCCAGCTTATAGCATTCTTCCCTTGACCCTGCAGGAGTTCCAACAACATCAGCACTGCACCCCTTTGACAATTAAAGTGCATCTTGGCCCATATTTCCTCTCCTAGAGAGTGACTGACACAACCTCACACTGAGCATTTACTGACTTAGATCCCTTTTTCAGATACATGAGCATCAACTGTGTCATTTTCCCCAGAGAGTCAAGAACCATCCCTGTAGGTCCTACTGAGTCCCAGGTTCTGTTCATGCCACTTCTTCCTTTGTGTTCCCTCAGATCTAGTGGCAGTAGCTGTTTTATGCAATATTCTAGATGAATCCCGCATTGTTTTTGGTTTTTTAGCTTCCTAATACTTTTCTAACCAATTTTGTGTATTAAATTCATTTTTGATACACCTAATGGGGCTTGGTATCCTAATTGGACTTATAGTACTAGGTACTGTACTACCACAATAATACTACACTACTTGGTTTCAGGAGTAGTACCAGGGAGAAAGATACACAAATCTAGGATTTGGTATTGGTTTGTTTGTGTTTGACCTGGAGTCAAAGCCAGTTTTGGCTGCGCTACTGGACAATGGCAATGGGAAGTAGTATTCCAAAAATCTCACATGCAGTAGCATCACCAATAATTAAATTATCACCACAAGTTGTCTGGGGCAAGATAATCAGTTAAAAATCAATGCTTTGAGGCCAGGCGCCGTGGCACATGCCTGTAATCCCAGCACTTTGGGAGGCCGAGGTAGGCGTATCACTTGAGGTCAGGAATTTGAGACCAGCCTGACCAATATGGTGAAACCCTGTCTCTACTAAAAACACAAAAATTAGCCAGGAATGGTGGTGCGCACCTGTAATTTTAGCTGCTTGGGAGGCTGAGGTGGAAGAATTGCCTGAACCGGCAGGCGGAGGTTGCAGTGAGTGAAGATCACACCACTGCACTGCAGGTTGAGAGGCAGAGCAAGACTCCATCTCAAAAAAAAAAAAAAAAAAGATCAGTGCTTTGAGAAAACAAGTGACCACTGAATTTGACTGTGATGGTAGAAATTCTAATGATAAAGACTGTAAGGCACGATTGCAGTTTCTAACTACACTGTAGAGTTTAAGAAAAGAAAATGAAAAACTGAGGGATTTAAATGATCAGTTAATAATATATCAGAGAACCAGAGACCCTTTGTGATAACCTTAAATTAATCTCAAATTTTTATAGCCAAAGTGAATATATAGCTAAAAATCAGACCTATATTTTAAATATATAGGTTACAGAAATTATATGTAAGTCTCTTTTGTGATTATTGAGGCGTTGATTAAGAAGTAGTGGGATCTTGAGGCTTGGAATAGTAACATTAGTTCTATTAGAATAAAACTGAGAATTTTAAACTGCTAAGCCTTTTGACTCACCCTTTCTGACAGAAGCAGCCCAGCCCCTTCTCACTTGAATGTAGATACTTGTCTTCCTGTGCTTAAAGATCTTTATAACCAAACTTGAAGTTGTTGCCTTGCAAGAGGGAAGTTATTTTCCTGAAGACCTAGTGTATTATCTCATTGCTTTTAGATTTGTAGTGTTGGATCTCAGCATGCTCCAGGGAGGATAAGTGCAAAGTCTGACATACAACGAAACATCTTATACTCCAGAAGAATTGTAAAACTGTAATTTTTTATATGTAGAATCCTGAAGAACACATGTATGATTGTCAATTTTAGATGTCAGCTTGACTGGATTAAAGGATACACAGTTGGTGAAGCATTATTCCTGGGTTTGGCTCTAAAAGTTTTTCCTGAAGAAATTGGCATTTGAGTCAGTGGACTGAATAAGGAAGATTCACCCTCACCCGGTGTAGGTGGCACCATCCAATCCTCTGAAGGTCTGGATAGAACAATAAAAGACAGAGGAAAGGCAAATTCTCTTCCCTGACCCTCTCTTTCTCTCCCTATTTAAGCGGAGACATCCATTTTCTCCTGCTCTTGGACATCAGAACTCCAGGTTCTCTGGCCTTTAGACCTTAGGACTTGCACCAGTGGCCCTCAGAGTCTCAGTCTGAGGCCAAAGGCATGAGATTTATACCACTGGCTACCGTGGCTCTCAGTCCTTCTGACTTGGACTGAGCCACACTACTGGCTTCCGTGGTTCTCCAGTTTGCAGATGGCCTATTGTAGGAATTCTCAGATTCCATAATCATGTGAGCCAATTCCCTTATAAAATCTCCTCTAATCTATCTATCTGTCCATCTTTCTTTCATTCTATCATCTATTTATCTGTCTCCTGTTGGTTCTGTTTCTCTGGAGAACCCCTACCAATGCAACATGTGTTAGTTCAAGCAGGAACGAGCATACCTTTGACTGGTCCAATTTATAGGTATAGTAGCACATGAACAGATATTTTGGATTTAATGTATTAGTTTAAGGAGTTTGCTTGAATGTTTGGCTGAAACCCTTGGTCAGTGGTAGCCTAATGTTAATAAGAGTAAGGTGCTAAAACTTCCCTGGGATAATACAGAGAAAAAAATCCAAAGGCTTAAATAAATGAAAATGCAGAGGTAGATTTTATCATCTGCATTCTGCATATTAATTCCCTATTATATACCCTGAGAAAGACCAGAAGGTCTTCTTTCAGTAAAGCAGCGGGAAATAAGGGGGTATGAGCATCCTTGAAAAGCTCTGGGTGGCTGTCTCTGTAGGCTGAGGATAATGATGAGAGTTGCTGCCATTGAGATGAGTTCCCTAATTTCAATCAGAATGATGGGACCCCAACTGATATAATAGGCAAGCTCTCTAGTAGAATACCTGTCATAGAGTAAATAATCTATAAATTTTGACTAACATCAATCATATATTTTTAGTTTCCTGATTGAAGAATATTACCTTCCATTTTGCTAACATGAATGCTGTTATAGTCCAGTACAATTACCAATAGTAAAGATATTCCATTGGATATATAATATACTTTATATATTTAATTTATACTTTATATAAATTAAATTATGCATCTATACATTCTTAGCATTCTCAGTTAAAAGATGAGAAATACTATTGCCAACTACAGGTAAAAGAAATGAATGTTCAATTAGGTTGTTTAAATGCTTTAATATTTATGAAAGGAATGGATATTTTCAATACATAACTGGTAATTATTTATAGGAGTGGCTGAACTTGTTCCTCTAATTTAAGGACAATAGGCCTCTATTTTATTCATCTACATAAGTGGTCATGATAGAGGCATCTTGAAGATTTGTGAAGGTATTCTTAGCTATTACAGTAATAGAGATGAGATGCTACTGGCATTAGTGAATAGGGGCTAGGGATGTTATACTTCCTGTAAATCAGGGAACTATATTCTGTCCAACATTATTTTTAAATATCCTGCCATATTAAACCCACTACAAATATATATCAATAATATCTAATTTTAAAATAAGTTTTATCAAGTTCAATTTTAATAAGAATTCCAAGACTAGACAGAAAGCTTGTCATGAAGAAGAAAGCTTAATTTTTGAGAAGACATTTTCTTAAAATTATTGAATAATGTATTAACTTGTACCATACTGTTTATTCTACTGTATTATGGCATTGGCAACTAAATAAAAATTGAAAATATTTTAGCCTGATTACACACTTAGTACAAAATCAGTAAGTCCTATTGAAAATATTTAACAGAGAAATATGTTTTTAATAAACTTAAAATGAAGTATTTTTAAATTAGCATGGAAACGTCAGACCCAGAGGTTCTTTATATTTCACTAATAGATATTATTATAAAAATCTTACATTATTTCTAGCCTCCTGACTTCTAATTTATTTAGCATTGTAATGGAACATCTACAATAAGATTATTTATTGAGATTATTTTTAAAAGCATACTTGGAGCTTTATGTTTTTAATCATACAGATAGATTATATTACTTATAAATTTTATTTCAGAGTAGTCAAAGGCAGCATTGGGTCTTACACGGTCCAGGCCTACCGCTGTGTATGTAATACTATATTAACATTTTAAGGTTCTTGTTATATGCTATGCACAGGGCTACTAACTATTCATGTGAAACCTCTATTGATTCTCATAACTAACATTTTGAAATCAATGCTTCTATTACTCATTTATGCTGTCGGCCTCAAGTATTTTAATGTAACAAATATTTTAACTTAACACGTTCAAAACTGAACTCCTGAACTTTCTCCCCAAACTGACCATCTCAGTTAATGGGAACACAATGCTTCAAGGAGGAATGAACAAAAACAAAACATCGAAATCAAAAAAACAAATACAAAGAAACAAAACACAAAACAGAACAATAACAACACTTCGATCCATGTTTGACATGTCTTATTCTTATAACTCCATCTGTTAGGAAATGATATTGACTCTCTATTCAAATAACACTCAAAATACAACCAGAATCCTGCCACTTCCTAACATCTCCATGCTACTTTGGCTCAAGAACCATTTTTTCTCTCTCTCTTTCTCTCCTTAATTATAGCAATATGCTTCTAACTGGTTTCCTTGTTTCTCTACTCTTGTCTCTGAATGTCTATTTTTGATACAGCAGTGGCCCCTTTAAAACATAATTCAGATCATGACCTGTTCCTGCTTAAAGTGCTCCATGACAACTTTCAGATCATGACCTGTTCCTGCTCAAAGTCTTCCATGAAATCTTTTTATTCTATCTTGAGGTAAAAGCAGAAATCCTTACAATGGCCTGCAAGGTCCTGTATTACTGGCACCTGTAAACTCCATAATTTTATATTGTATTTCTCTGCCCTTGTCACTTCACTATGAATACACTGACCATCTTGCATATCTTCATTCACATCTTAAGGTCTTTGAATTCACTGTTTCCTCTGTCTGAAGGCTACTTCCACAAGAATTGTTCTTCACCTTCAAGTTTTTGCTCAAATGTTTCCTTTTCCTTGAAGATTATGTTGGCCAGTCTTCTAAAAATTGTGAAGACATATTTCTCAGCACTAGTGCCCTAAACCCTGCTTATTTTTTTCACCCCACAGGTTTTCTTTTGACAAAGGTTTTGCTTTGACAAACCTACATATACTGTTTGTAAAAGCAAAAATTGAAGTAAAGTTAAATAGGTAAGAATGACTTCATTCAAGGCTATTGCAATAAGGTAGAGATACCAAAGCACAGTCTGAACTCAATTATACTGAAACAGAGGACTGGAGAGTTTTTAAGAGCTGGAGTGGGAGAAATCAAAGGCCCTCTGTGTTAGCTAATTGAGCTTACTGTAAGAAAAAGTAAAGTTTTTTAAATTTTCATGCTGTGAGGTAGTATTACAACTTGAACCAAGGCACCCACTTAAGTCAGGCTCCTACGCTCCCAAAGAGAGCAGGAGATAGAGACACTATCTTTCTTGACAATTACATTTGAAAGTGTAAAGAAAAAAATTTTCAAAAAAAGATAGCCCTGGGTTGTAAAACTGGCAAAAGGCTATAAGAATACTTATATCTAAAAGAAGCAGATAAGGAATTTGCAATTATAAGTTTTCTAAAGTAAATGCTCTAAGACAAAGGAGTGGAGGAACCTCAGTGGTTAGGTCATCTGGATTCTGTAAGGACCTGGGAGAAAGGGCAGTTGGGGGCCTTGGTGCAAGAAGAAGACTGTCTAAAGTTTAGTCAAGCTGAGGAGAATGGTAAGGCTGTCTTGGTTATTTTAGGTTGTCTGTTGCCCCTCACCCTCAAATATGAAGCAGGGTAATTTTGTCTGTTTTGTTCACTGCTGTTTAAAAAAATACTGGGAAAAATTCCTTCTGCTGGATGGGACTGAGGTAATGATACAATTTGTGCATTTTAATATGGTACAATATTTAATGTAGAGAAATAATTTGGTCATGAAAAGGTATTAACTTAAAAGACTAATATTGGAAAAGATAAAGTTTGATTAATTTATAATTGTTGAAGACTAGACGTGTAAATACTAGAAAACACTAGTGGACATGTTTTATTTAACATGTTTTTCAATCTGTTTGTCCATCTGGTTCTCTAACCAGCATTTGTTTCCTATCATACTGGGAACTCAAATAGAGAATTTGATTGAATTAAAAGATGCATAATTCTTTGTTTACTATAATATCATTTTGTTTATTTCTTATACTTTTTTTTAAGTCCTGATCATCAGAGCACACTGATCATCAGAGCACACTGATATGGTGATGGAAAGGCTTTTCTATGTACCAGAAGATTTTATTTGTGCAACTAATTTAAACAAATTGAATAACTGCAGTCTTAACCTACCACTTGACTATATTTATGAGCTGTCAAGAATGTAATGATACGACAAAGCAGGCAGTTGTGAAGTTTATACATAAACTCTGACTTAAGATTGACTTTAGAAAAAGGCAGATATAAATATTAGGGAAAAATTATATATTCCCTCAGATGTAAAATTTGCAGGTAAAGAAAGGCATATTTAAATAATATAAACAGTGCTAAATTCAAAGCATACTTATGATCAGGAGATAAGGCATCATGTGGCCCAGCTATTTTAGATTTTCTTTTTCCATCTTGATACTACAGTATGTAGATATTAATAAAAAATAAAGAAATTCTATAATTTATTAAAGTATTGTTTTATTTGTAACATTCATGAGTTTTAGGGTTTATTACAAATATTTCTATTTTGAGAAGCCCAACAGTCCTATGATGATTTGAGCTTAGAATATGTGTAAACCATTCATGTTCACAATAATGTACAATTTTGTATATATTTTAGATATTAAACACAATAGGAAAACTTCATGTATATTACTTCTGAAACAAAGGATGGTATTAAACCGGAACAGAGCTTGTTGGTGAAAGTTCCTGGTATTTTATAAAAATAAAAAAATGAGACTCCAAACTGTTAAGGAGTTTGTGCAAGGTCACATAATTAGTTAAATGAGAGAGGGTCTAGAGTAAAGGTTTCTAGTCTGCTCTGGTGTAGTCATCGCATAGTGCTCTTGGTAAGTGCTGTAATGAAGTACTCATGTGGCTTAAGAAAGCTTATGCCAGTGCTGAGTTCTCATTTATTTTGTGCTCCATATCAGTTTTAAAACTTCTCTTCTGGTCCTCAAAGGAAGGGCATACTTTGTTAAAGGAAATTAATATTACCATCATCATCCAATATTATCTTCAGGAGACAAAGCCACCCCCATTATTCAAATCCTCAGATTCTTATATTCGGAATAGGCATATTCTAATTATCAGCAAATTGTTAACCTTACAGATTCCTCTTTAATTGCTCTTAATTCTTAATTGATGAGCTATAAATACTCAAAAGAGCTTTTAAATGAGACCTACACTTATTTCTCCTTGAGAAAAGAAGGATTACAACACAATTTGACATGTTATGAAATATTCATCAGTAAGGTAGCCTCTTTGCTATTGAAAACAAAAAGAAGAGGAGGCTTGGATTCTGTAGTTTAGCTACAGAAATGAATTTCAAATGCATGTCAAAATGCTTAATTTTAACTCTTCTTCATTCTCTGAAACTCTCTAGAGGAAATCTGTATGAGTTATGAAAAAAACAGTGTTAAAATCGCAAAATTGATCTGAAGTTCAATAGCCAAATAGACCCTCCCCTGATGTCCTCTGATTGTGCAAGCTACTCTCAAATCTTCCACATTTTTTAAAGGACAGACATATGGAATACCTGAGTAATCTATATTTTTTTCTATAAAAATTATTTTAGAAGTGATTTCCACTCTGGATTTTGAGAAACAAAATGATATCTAATAGGTGATAAGAAGACATATGAAAACAAATTAAATAAAACCATTGGAACTGAATGCATTTTTTATTAGATATATAAATCTTCTGTTCTTTTATTAAGTCCTGAAAAGATTTATTAAATTTTCCTTGATTTGAGAAACACTTCAGAATTGTAATAAAAAAGATGGATGGATTTTAATCCAGTTTTCATAATGATACAATGGGTTGATTGCAGCATTTTGATGTGGGGAATATAAAGATATTATAAAGGAAGATTTATTTTTAAATTACAATTTTTGAAAGTTATAATAGATTCTGTAGTACATTCAATTGTCATTAACCACTGGGTTTCCTCTGTAATATTTGTCTATCAAATGATCAATTTTCAATTCAGATGAATTATCAAGAATACATTTTTTTAAAAAACATCAAAAACTATAAAAAATAAAGTATCTTGAAAACATTGCATTCTTGTTACATATAAAACCATAGGCATAATAAATAAAAAGTGATATTGCTATATTTACTGTAATTGTATTTTTGAGGCTGTTTTTTACATAATATCCTCTTTTTTGAGGCCTAAAGAAAAACATTTTCTCCATGTTTAAACCAAAATTTGTTGTGCTTTTCACAAAGCTCTCATATATTTTATCCCCCTGATGTTGTTAATTGTGTGTGTGTGTGTTTGTCCCTGAAAAACATAGATTCACATTTGTAACTCAATTCCAGTAACAGTAAAGGGCTATATTGTATTCCAGTGGGGATGGGGAAGGCACCATTCTGCTCCCATTGGTTACCAATAATTACCCAAATTACTCATGTTTCAGGTTTCATTTAGTAGTACTTCCTTTCCTCCCTTCTGACTTACTGATTCAGTCACATGAACTGAACTAGAACTATCTTCTTTCATCCATCTTCTTCCATTCACTCATCAAATATAAGTAGAGAGCCTACTACATGTCAAGCTCTCTTGGAGGTGTTGTAACTATAGAGGTAAAAAAAGTGGAAAATTCCTTCCCCTCATAAAGCTTAAAATCTAGAGAGGAAAGAAAGACAACAAACAAAGAAAAAATGTATTTTTCAACTGGTATTATGTACAATGACATTTACTAAAGAGGTGAAAGGAATATGGAGAGACGTATTAAAGGAATATTTTATACATGGTATTCATGAAAGTCCTCTCTGATTAGGTGACATGAGTAGGAACCTATAGGAAGAAAAGGTTTGAACTGTGGGGATTTTTGGGAAAATATGCTTGGCTTATTCAAGTAAAGCAAAGAAGTCAATGTGGCTAGAATGAAGTGAAGTAGGTGACAGTAATAGAAGAAAAACTTTCAGATTATGTATAATTTTATGAAGACTTTAGCTTTTCCTCTGAATGCTATAGTAAACTGTTGGAACGTGTTGAATGATAGAATGTTAACATTTGATGTATGTTTCTAAGGATCATTCTCAGTGCTGTTTGGAGAAGAGTCTTTAGAAGTGCAATGGTGGAGAATGGAGATCACTTAAGATACTACTGAAATTCTCCAAGCTGCTAGAAGTAAAGGTGGTAAGATGTAATTGAATCTTAGGTATATTTTGAAATTTGGTGATTGATTCAATGTAGAAAGTGAAAGAAAGATGTTTCAAGGACCACACCAGCTTTGGAGCCTGAATAACTGGTATAATGGAGTTGGCATGTATTGAGTTGGGGAGACTGTGAAAAGAGCACGTTTGGAACGAGTATTGAGAGTTTTTCTTTGGACATGCTAATTCTAAGATGCCTAATAGACTGTCAAGCAATTTTAGTAGTCATTTGGGTAAAAAGTCTAATACAAGGAATAAGTCTCAATTGGAAATATAAATTTGTAATCACCAAATTTACAGATGATTTGTAAAGACATGAGAGTGCATATAATTTATTCAGACAGCATAGATAGAGAAGATGTGGAAACCATACCAAAATTTAAAGTTGGTGAATAAAGGGGGACCAGCATTTTTAAAAAAATTAAAATAATTGATTAGAAGAAAAAATAAGAGAAAACAAATTTCCTGGATAAAATAATTGATAAAGTGATGGCATCTTAGTTTGAGTTCCCTTGAAAGCAGAGCCTGAGATAAGAACTGGGAAAGGATAGTTTATTTGGGACATTATCATGAAGCCAGAATGAGGGAATGGC
This sequence comes from Homo sapiens, assembly GCF_000001405.40. Taxonomy (NCBI): domain Eukaryota; kingdom Metazoa; phylum Chordata; class Mammalia; order Primates; family Hominidae; genus Homo; species Homo sapiens. Next base: position 46,596,771 of record NC_000014.9, on the reverse strand, counting down.
AAGAATGATACAGGGAAAGATCAACATAGAGGTGCATTATTAATCTGGTTACCACTGTGGAAACTAGGGCTTCTCAGAATTATCAAAAGCTCCCCTTCCCCAGTTCCCATTGTCCACTGATGGAGGATTGCTCTCTGGAACATTGACTTCCCTATCTTACCAGGCTTCTTAAGTACATGGGCTCTTATGGCTTCATGAAGGCCCTGAGAATGAAAGCAGAATAACAGCTGGATTTAGGTTGAGGTGAAATAGTTCCAGAATAAGTCTGAACTTTCAAAGCATTGTCTAATGTTGCTGCAGCTGAAATCAGAGCTGGCAAGGGAATGGGATGTGGGGATAGGTCATGTGACACCAGGGGAAATTACTGAAATATCTGACTCAAAGTAGCTAATATTAGCATTTTACCCCCACAGCCACAGTGATGGATTTATGGCTGGCTGTATGACACAACCTGAGCCAGAGTCTTTCTCTAATTTTGTTTTAATTTGTCCTGTAAGGAAATTACCTTTGCTTTCTAGTTGTTTGTTTATGAGTTTGTAAACTCTTGGCCAACTAAAACCATTCCCCTATTACATGGAAATCACTATAGCCATAGGAAAAAAAATCAAGAAAAGAGAATAAAGAGACAACCGCAAATTGGGAGAAAATATTTACAAAGCATACATTTAACAAGGGGCTAATATCTAAAATATATAAGGAACTCAAACAACTCAACAGGAAAGAAACAAATAACCCAACTAAAAAGTTGGCAAAGGAACTGAACAGACATCTCAAAAAATAGAGATATGGCCAACAGCTGTATGAGAAAATGCTCAATATCTCTAATATTCAGGGAAATGTAAATTAAAACCACAATGAGATACCAACTCACATCTGTTAGAATTTCTATTAGAAAAATGACAAATGATAACAAGTGTTGGCAAGGATGTGGAAAATAGGGAACTCTTGTACACTGTTGGTGGAAATGTAACTTAGTACAGCTATTTTGGTATTATGGAGATTTCTCAGAAAACTAAAAATAGGATTACCATATGACCCAGCAATCCCATCTCTGAGTATACAGTGAAAGGAACTGAAATTAGTATGTTGAATAGATATCTGCATTCTTATATTTATTTCAGCATTGTTTACAGTAGCCAAGATATGGAAGTGTCCTAAGTATCCATCAATAGATGAATAAATAAAGAAAATGTGATATGTATACACAATGGAGTATTATACAAACTTAAAACAGAAGGAAATGCCATCATTTGTAACAACATGGATGGAACTGGAGGATGTTATGCTAAATTAAATAAGCCAGGTACAGAAAGAAAAATACTGTATGATTTCATTTACATGTGTCATCTAAGAAAGTCAATCTCATAAAAACAGAATAGAAGGGTGGTTACCAGAGGCTGGTCAGGGAAGAAGGAGGGATGGGGAAAGAGAAAATGTTTTCAAAATGTTCAAAGTCTCAGTTAGACTAGAGGAATAAGTTTGAGTGATATATTGCACCACACAGTGACCACAGTTAATTATAATATATTGTATGTTTCAAAATTACTGAAAGTATAAATTTTTAATATTCTCAACACAAAAAATGACAAATTAGGTGATAGGATATTAATTAGCTTGATTAAACTTCTACAATGAATACATAGAACAAAAATCACATTTTACCCCATAACAATATACAATTATTATTTGTCAATTAAGAATAATTTTTTTTAATGAAGAAGAAAAAATATGAATGTAGATAATCTTAAAACTGTTCCTGTCTCTCGATCCAGTAACTGATGATTTCAGAGTTGCTCTCATCTTCATGTTTCATAATGATGGCTTCTTTATTCTGAGCTACCTTGGTGTTCTATAGCAACTCTCATTTATAAATAACTTAGCTTGAGCTGCTTTTCTGGTAACAATTAAGAGAATCCTGACATATACAAAGAATTCTGTCATACATTACCTTTAAAAATATGTTCTACTTTCTAAGGAAATTTATTCCAATTTCCTTAGCTACTCATTCTTAATTATTTAGTATTGATGTTATAACTTAAGAATGTGCATAAGCTACTTATTTGCAAAATGTAATAGGTTATGAATAAATTTTGTATAAAACAACTGTTTACTTTACAAAAATAACTTTTTTTTTTTTTTTGACAGAGTCTTGCTCTGTCTCCCAGGCTGGAGTGCAATGGCGTGATCTCTGCTCACTGCAACCTCCGCCTCTGTGGTTCAAGCAATTCTCCTGCCTCAGCCTCCTGAGTAGCTGGGACTCTAGGTGTGCGCCACCACGCACAGCTAATTTTTGTATTTTTAGTAGAGACGGGTTTTCACCATGTTGGTCAGGCTGGTCTCCAACTCCTGAACTCGTGATCCGCCCACCTCGGCCTCCCAAAGTGCTGAGATTACAGGTGTGAGCCACTGTGCCCTGCAAAAATAACTTTTAAGATAAAGCAACATATAGTAAAACTCACATATTTTATTAGCTATAGCTTTATATTGAATCAATGAAAATGATAAATAATTGTTCCATTATGAGTGGTGTTTCACTATAGATATAAGTTTACTGTAATAAATATTATAAGGTAGGTCCCTTCTTAAATATACCCAAATGAGATTATTTGGTGGTTGATGTGGTAAAACAAAACATAATAAAATTTATAATGCAGTTTTACAGATTGGACCTGAAAATTGCATAATGTTGAAGTTTCAAGGTTTGGAGAAACAGGGGACTTAATAATTCAATGAGAATTTTTTTTTCATGGATAATCGGTTTGTGTAGTTGGATAAGTAAATTATTTCAAGGTAATGACCATTTTTTCTAGTTTGCCAAACAGAAGTTATATGATATATAGTTTTAATACTAGATTCAGATAATTTTATTTTACTTTAATGTTCCTTTTTTGGGGCACTTATTTATACCCAAGTGATTTTTGACAAATTAAATAATAGCTGACTACTAGATGATATTGAGTCTTTGGCATTAGACTGCCAGTGTTGGTGGCCTGGTCCCTACTTATAGTTTTCCTTGGACAACTTAGTCTCAACTGTATCCAATTTATAGGAATGTGTGTGTATTTAAGGAGTTAGCATATGTTAAACAGCACCTTGAATATAATAAGTGGACAATAAATATTGTACAAATATTTGTACAAATGATTATGATTAATGATAACGGTATTGAAGACCATTTAAATTCCTCTATATAAAACTGGGCTTTGGGACTTTTATTCGCTAGGATGTTAGTGAAGATGCACTGTTTTCTACATCTTATTTTTTTCCTCTGCCTTGATTTCCTTGCTTAATATGCAACATGATATCTGGTAGTAACTTACTTAGAAAAGACATGTGTGTAGTAAATCTTATTGAGACTTGGTATGGCTAAAATGAGTTTAATCTCTTTTCTCACTTTAGTGATTGTTTGCTGGTTTAAAATTCCTCTATTTATTTATATTTCTTCTGATGTGTTCAGACCCCTGTACCAGGCTACCACTCTGTCCCATGAGATTGTTAATTCAGGTTCCAATTTATGTCCCAGGTCTTTATTTTCAACTTTTCTGGGAAATTGTCTAGAATAAAGTTGGCCCACGTCCAGACTTGACCCGTCATTGTTCAGAACCTATATTAGAGAAAGGAACACATGGAAGTATATATAATGAACCTGTCTTCTTGCTACCAGCCCACAATTGACTCACCACAAAAATTAGGGTTTAAATGGGGTGTCTGTATCTTTGCCACAGTGTGCACACATCCCAGATATTGTACCTGGGAGTTTCTGGTGAATACTTTTTCTTTCCTATTTCTTGGAATACTAAAATGCATTCACAAAAGGGAAGCTTTGTGTTGACTTACAATCTACTATTTTTTGGGGTCAAATAATGTTATTTCTGTAGAATTTACAGACTGAAGGTTGGACTTGTTTTAAGGATAGCATAATTAAGGCAATCCTCTCTATTTCTGCTTAGGATACTCATTTATAAAATCACTTCTTATTTTTAAAGAGAATATAGGCTGTTCTAGATGTACTGGTGGATAAAATGAAATGCTGATATAGGTGAAGAGCTATTTACTTGAAAAGTGCTTCAGTCTTCTGCTTAGGGAGGGAATATTTCCATTGGTATTGTGTATTCCATATAGACCATTCTCTAATGTTGTCCCCAGTATGGGCAGAATCCAGGGATGGTGGAGCTAGTTTTTCTAAAAAGGAATGTAAAAAGGAGGGTCAGTTCTTCTGTCTTTCAAAGATGTCTTAGACATCCATTGATCAATTGCTATTGCAAAGTCTGCAAGACAAACCACAGAAATATTTGAGGGGTGTCCATATGCTTTTTGTAAGGGTATTAACAGTTCAGGAACCTTTAAGACTTCTGTTCAAATTTCCTGGACAGGAAGAAAAGTGATTGGTTAAATATAATTGCAGCTCAGGATATGTGCAATAGTACCACTGAGAGAAAAGGTTGGAATGATTATTTGGGAACATGTTTTAGGAGTCCCTTGGCAGAGAGGTTTAAACCAAAACTAGAAATTAGTAAGGAGTTATTAAAGACCTTTGAGCATAAGAGTTGTGAAGTGAAAATGAGATTAACCTGTCATATATCTAGGATGAAATGTAGCACGGAGATTAAAGGAGAATGGAAATTAGTTCAAAATAATTGCTGCAGTCTCTAAATAAGAGTTGACAGTTAAAGTAAACATGAAGGTATATGTGGAAAAACACTGTAAAGAAAGAATCCTTAAGACTTAGCAAATAATTAGCTATATGGAATGTGGACTTAGAACTAAACAAGAAATTTCTAAGAATTTCAACCTAGATGACAAAGAAAATGGTGAGGACAGAGTAGAGAAAATTCAGGTATAAAATATAATGTTCAGAAAAAGTGACATTTCAGTATCACTTTCTGTTTTTGTTTTTTGAGACAGAGTCTCATTCTGTCACCCCGGCTGAAGTGCAGTGGCATGATCTTGGCTTACTACAACCTCCACCTTCTGGGTTCAAGGAGAGTAGCTGGGACTACAGGCCTGCGCCGCCACACCCGAATAATTTTTGTATTTTTACTAGAGACAGGGTTTTGCCATGTTGGCCAGGCTGGTCTTGAACTCTTGACTTCAAGTGATCTGCCTGCCACGACCTCCCAAAGTGCTGGGATTACAGGCTGAGCCACCGCGCCTAGCCTGAAGTTTCACTTTCACTTTTGAAATGAAATTGTCATTTCACTTAGGATGCATTGCAATTAATATGTTAACACTAAAAAGCTTTCAAGCAGTTTATTGGATATAAGCAGTTTATTGGAAAATCTTAAATCCAAGATACATTCCTGATTCAGAAATCGATAAGTAATATTTTATTTTATTTTATTTTATTTTATTTTATTTTATTTTATTTTATTTTATTTTATTTTATTTGAGGCAGAGTCTAGCTCTGTCACCCAGGCAGAAGTGCAGTGGCAGGATCATGGCTCATTGCAGCCTTGACCTCCTGGGCTCAAGCAATCCTAGTTTTAAATTTTTTTTTTTTTTTTTGTAGAGACAAGGTCTCACTATGTTGCCAGGCTGGTCTCAAATTCCTGGGCTCAAGCGATTCATCCTGCCTTGAGCTCCCGAAGTATTGGAATTATAGGCATGAGCTATTGGGCCTGGCCTGTAAGTAATTTTAAATTACACTAATTGATAAATTAAAAATATAAATCTGTATAGTTAGCATAAATACAAGCATAAGGAAAAGAACTAAAAATGGCTTTAGGTAATAAATTAATTAAGCAAGTTTGGAATGTATACCATTAATTGTTAAAAGTCATTTATATTATTGTATGCAAGTAACATGAAACATGAAAATAAAAGGAGCTTTATTTTCAATGGTGAATAGAATTGGTTTGAGACTAATTTAACTTAAGCTAGGCTATTTATTCAAAACCAATTATAAAACACTAATGAAAAAATTAAGAAAGATAAAGACATGAATAATTATAAGATTTTGATCGTTGCTGGGAAGACTAAATATGGTAAGGATGACAGCACCCCTGAGTTAATATATAGACAAGTCCGTTTCTAGTTAACATTCTTGTGATACATTTCATAAAACTTGCATCAAAGAAAGTAAACTCCTGCTGGAAAAGCAAGCAAAAGTTCTTTTCTTTTTTTTAAGGTATTGGCAGTAGACATGCCCTTCAAAATTTTTGAAGTATATTAAAAATTTAACTTCTCTAACATGTGCAGTATTATATTTCAACAGAAAAGACAATAATCTGTTTTCCAAAAATTAATGTTTCAAAAAATTAATTCAAACTTTTATACTAAGCTTAAGCAAAGAGATAAAATCAGCAATGAGAAAGTGTTTCATTAAGCAAATATTAGTATAATTAAATATGAGAATGGGGACAATGTGAAATAGATCCGATACCACATGTCATAATGTATGCTGGATAAATACATAATATATATATTAAAACAAAATAATAAAAAATCATTCTTACAATGAAGATACATACAATATTTTTAATAAATCAGAAGGATGGCTATATATTATATTCTGGTATATGTATACAATAAAATATAATGAAAATAAATATTAAAAGAAAAGCAAATAAATCAGGAAAATACTTACAAATATAACATAACAGAGAATAGCAATTATCCAAATGCAAAGACTGTATTAAGCTATGTTAATCTAATTGACCAATTATACTTGAAAAATAGAAAAAAAAGTTCAATTGAAATGTATAGCTTTTTGTTAGATATTTACATGTTTGTCTACACAAGTATTTTGTAAGCTTTTTGAGTCAGAATTTACAACACACTAGTGTTTTTATCCCAAAACAATTAATAGAATGCCCAAAATATGCTAGTTGAGTTGAGTAAAAAAAGTGGATTAGTTCAAAGTATAAAGGAAACTCATGTTCTCATTAACAAATAAAAAATAAAAAGCAAATAAAAATAATACTGTATAAGAACCAGTAATTTTTTTTCAACAATGGAATTACTCTCAGAAATTTAAGCAAATAAAGAATTGTTTGGATATTATGTGGAGGGGCTCGTATAGTCAAAGAAAAGCTACTGAAGTAGGCTCAGTAAAGGCCAAGAGTAATACAGCTCTGGGGATCTTGCTATTGAAACTAAAACACAATCTTACCGAGTGTGCATCCACCAGCGTAAATCAGTTGGAGTCATTTTTAGTCTTCAGGTCAATGTTTAATGTTTAGGGAAGAGCCTGTGGTAGGTTGGCCTACTCGAACCATGTGGATGTAGAGTAGGGAAATACTGATTTTGCAAAACCTCTGACTATTACTAGAACAGTGAGAAAGATACTGAACAGCCCAAAGCAATAAGGTTATGTATAGATATCGTTATTCACCTATTTAAAATAATAAAGATAAATTGTGTGTAATTTAGATATACTTACATGTTGACAGTAGCACTGTAAATATCATCAATCTTTTAGGAGAGCCAATTTCTTATATGTAATATGTCCTAAAGAAAATTACTCACATACGGTATTTCCCCAATAAAATACTCCTTGGGAAATGTACTCCATGGAACTTGTCCCCTACTTCCTCTGTCCCTTATTTTATCAAAATATTTTGAGAAGTGATATTTATTACTTTGAATATGAAAAAACACTCAAATGGCCCATAAGACATGTCTAAGCAAATTGATTCTGCATAATATGAAACAGTAACTGTGAACAATGAAAATCCCTCAAGACAATGAGGCAGGAAAATGGGGTCCCGAGGCAGGGAACATAAGGCCAATTCACACTTCAGCTATGACAGGAAATATCATCTCTATAGGGTATAGGCCAAGTAAATGACTTTGTAACTTTACTTCATCTTCTTCATTTACATAGGGCTTACCCCAAGTAACCAATGGAATCCTCTAGAGGGTATTTAAGCTCCCCAAAATTCTTTAATGGGGCCCTTGAGCCCCTTTGCTCGGGCTCACTCCCACACTGTGGAGTGTACTTTCATTTTCAATAAATCCCTGCATTCCTTCCTTACTTTGTGCATTTTGTCCAATTCTTTCTTCAAGACACCAAGAACCTGGACACCCTCCCCTGGTCACATGTTTTGGTGATCCAGCCAGGAGGAGGAGGTAAGCCCTAAGTTTGGGACTTAGTTTTCTCCTGTCTCCTTTTCCCTTTTGCTGCATACTGGGGAATCAATCTCTCTCTCTCTCTCTCTCTCTCCTTTCCAACTCAGGACTTTTGGTGGGAAGTACCTAAACGTGGAAGCAACTGCAGGTTTCTGGCCATGGCCAATGAAATTAAGGGGTTTCCATGAGGAGAAGCCTAACTGCCACCACCCAGATAACTTGAGGGACCTGGGTCTTTTTCATTTTTGTCCTCTCTTTCTTTTTCAGCCTTTCAGCAGCTGTTTCCTAGTAGCTCCTTGGAAATTGAGGGCAGTCGGCTGGGGTCCCTACCTGGTATTCCCTAAAGGCCTAGGAATGAATGGAAATAATTGCCCTGCCCAGAGCGGGAAGGACTCTTTTTTTTTTTTTTTTTAATCTTTTCTGCCCTTGGTCACTGATCACTACATGTGGTGCAGCTCATAGCAAACTTGCACATTTTTCAGGCTATTTATACCTTCTTATCTTATGCTAAATTCTTCCTTTCCCCTATTCACCTGGCTAAGGGCAAAAGAAACCCACCCAAACTTCAGTTCCTATCATTAAAGTTCATGGAATGGGAAGCATGGGAAGGTGTGGCTTTATCAAATTATAAGAATGCTGAAAGTTGGGAATTACACCCAGGTACCAAAGGAAAGCTCATTGTAGGCTCTGGAGGGAAAGCATGTAAAGTGGCACCAGTGCCCACCTAAGGTCAGAGACTACTGACACTAAGATTGGACCCCACAGGAGGACACTCTGGGGGATCCAGTGTACCTCAACCCCTCCAAAGAGGATGCTCTTGGCATAGGTTCTGAGGTCTAGTATTAAAAGTATTAAACCCTCCTTAGAATTTTCTCTCATCATTGCAATGCTTTTTGGCCCCAATATTGTTTTGAATCTGGAGTTTACGGTCTACTCGGTAGTGGGATGGCATTGCATGTATCCAGGCTCTTGTGCTGCTGTCCTAAGCAGGGGGCCTAGTTAACATGTGACACCCTCCTTTGGTACTATTTGGCCCGAGTACTCTTTGGAGTCTGGGGAGGTTTGGCCCCTAAAAATGAAACTGCCATGGAGACTGCTTTACCCGAAATTTTGGTTCACAGCCTTCATTGGATTATCTATTGGGGCGAAGTAAAACTGGCAAGCTCATATTGCTGTCTCATGGCTGAGGTTCCAAGCTATTGGATCTTCGTTTATGTGTGTCCATACATGTCTAGATGTGTTTATTTGTATGTACACTTATTGTTATATGTTGTGTCTACCAAACTGGCTTATAAGTAAAATAAGTCTAAGCATTTTTCAAGTTCACGTGACTTAAAGTATAACTTTACTGAACAAGCTAGCTTTAAATTTTTGGTGGAATAAAAATAGAAATGCCTTCGGAATTGTCAGCATACATTTTGTCTGAATTTTATGTTTGTCTTTGCTAGATATTTTTAAATGTCAGTGTTAATTTCAAGCTGAGAACTGCTTGGGGTGAGCTTGCCTCCCATTCTGTTCAAAGTCTCACTGAGATAAATGCATATCTGATTACTTCCTTTGGAAAGGCTAATCAGAAACTCAAAAGAATGCAACTGTTTGTCTCCCACCTACCTGTGATCTGAAAGTCCTCAAACTCCCTCCCCAACTCGATTTGTCCTGCCTTTCCAAACAAATCAATGTTCATTTTACCTATGTGGATTGATGGTTCATGTCTCCCTTGTTAAAAGTGAAAATTAGGGCTAGGCACAGTGGCTTAAGCCTGTAATCCCAGCACTTTGGGAGGCCGAGGCAGGCGGATTGCTTGAGGCCAGGAATTCAAGACCAGTCTGGCCAAGATGGTGAAACCCTGTCTCTACTAAAAATACAAAAAGCCTGGCATGGTGACCCACGCCTGTAATCCCAGCTACTCGGGAGGCTGAGGCAGGAGAATCGCTTTAACCTGGGAGGCAGCGGTTGCAGCGAGTCAAGATCTCACCACTACACTCCAGCCTGGGCCACAGAGTGAGACTCTGTTACAAAAAAAAAAAGTAAAAATTAAGTACAGTGAATGGGATAAATATTTTAGGTTAACTTTTTGTGTAAATTAAAATCTTAAACTTATTTTTGATGCTCATTTAATATCTGGGTCATTTCCAATTAAGAAAGGATTATGATATGGGAAATATGTTTCTAAAATTGTGGAATAGTTCTGATCTATAAATGCTCATATCTGATAGGTCAGGATTTCTTGCTTTTTAGGGTTTCACTAAAGTTTTAGGTTACTAAGGATAAAAATTCTAGTTCTAAGGACAAAAATTCTGTATACAAAATGTGCCATAAAGGGTTATGTTATTAGTGAAAAAAGAATAATTTTGTCTAATTCAGAAGTTATCTAAAAGTTAGTTCAAATTACAGATTTGCAAAGGTTACTTATGAAACAGTGTAGTTAGGAGTTATTAAGTAGGGGAGAAAGATGTGGAAAAAGTTTAAATAATAAAATATATATTTTTTTGAGATGGAGTCTCGCTCTGTCACCCAGGCTGGATTGCAGTGGCGCTATCTCGGCTCACTGCAACCTCCACCTCCTGGGTTCACGCCATTCTCCTGCCTCAGCCTCCCAAGTAGCTGGGACTACAGGCGCCTGCCACCGCGCCCGGCTAATTTTTTCGTATTTTTTAGTAGAGACGGGATTTCACCATGGTCTCGATCTCCTGACCTCATGATCCACCTGCCTTGGCCTCCCAAAGTGCTGGGATTACAGGCGTGAGCCACCTCGCCCAGCCTAATAAAATGTTTTTTAAAACCTGGTAGAGAATTGGAGACATTTGGCTAATTAACACTTTCATAGTTAAAGCTCTTAATCTTGATTAAAGTAAATTAAAGTAAAATAAGAAGTGTCCAGGTGTGGTGGTGTGCACCCATAATCCCAGCTACTCAGGAGGCTGAGGCAGGAGAATCGCTTGAACCTGGGAGATGGAGGTTGCAGTGAGCCAAGATCATGCCACTGCACTCCAGCCTGGGCAACAGAGCGAGACTCCATCTAAAAAAAAAAAAAAGAGAAATGCATTGGCAGTTTGGCAATTCATTTTTTAATATAGTTAAGCATGAAGCTGGATTTAGTGTGAGGCCAAGTTTCATATACGTGCCTGCATTGCTTCACACTATATTTGCCATTTTGTGTGGATAGTGTTAGAGTACTTATTGGTCATGTGCCTAAAGTGAATTTCTTGATTGCACAGGAGATATGACAATATTGGTGAACGTAAGGGTATTTAATTGTGTATTAGGAATAAAATACTTATTATGTGGGTTTTCTGAGACCCTAGGTAACACTGTAGTCTTCAGGGTAAATTAAGTAGAAAAATTTAGGGTTGGTTTCCTGTTTGTTTTAGCTTCTAGTTTTCATTTGTTTGCTGTTTACTCTTCATTTATCTTAAATTCCTAGGCTACCTTTGGCCCACAAGAACTGATAGAGCACATCAGACTTTTAACCTTAAACTAACTTTGGATTTTAGGCTTCCTGATACTTTAAGTGTATTGAGCATACTTTCATAAATGGAATTTGAATCATATTTCTCTCTCTCTGCCTAATTGGTCCAAAATTTGTAAACTGTGAATATTCTTAACTCATGGCAATGTGTTTGTTTGCATACAGTCAAGCAGGGTCACTAGGGCTGCTCAGGGAGAGAGAGCCCAGGAACCTGGCATGCCAGCAAAAGGGTAAGAATTTCTTACCAGCCAGTCTCTGGCCTCTTTCTCTCTATGTAAACTGGTTAAATAAAAGGTATAAGTCACCTGTTTATCTCCTCTGTAAAGTTTTACATTAATTTGTTTAATAATAAGAGCTTAAATCAAATACTTTGTCAGAAAAGTGAAAAACATAATGTCTTTTATTTAGTTCATGTGACTTGAGTAATCTTTTGGGAAATAAACAGTTTTAAAGATTATTGGTAAAATACAAATGTCTTCAAAATGTAAACATGTGGTCTAAATTATGTTCAAATCTTAGGTTTTCTAAATACTTTAAAGTCATAAACTGTTTCTTTGGCTTTTGAAAATTGTTTAACTTGCCTGCTTTCCAGCTAGGTAAGGCCTGGGGACATGTGGAGTTGGCCACATCTCTCTAGCTATGCTGGAGATAGTCAAACCTTTTCAGAACATAACTTTCCAGGTTTTATGTTAAAATTGCTAAGAGTTGCCTTTGTAACATGCAATTATGACTACTAGAAACAATTTTACATGCAAGGTATGTAAGAACAGTAAATTGTGTTTTTTTTCCCTGTAAAAGGTTACAAAAGGTTTTTGCTTCTTTAAAATTTCTGAGTCATCATTTTGGCAAAATATATAATTTATGGGAATCTGGAATTCCAAAGTCAAACTTCAGTTTCAAAATTCTCTTTCTGAATGCCTGGCTTTTTGGATGGATCAGAGAGCCCCTGAAAACATCCAGAAAAGAGGTAAACAGAATTATTTGACATTTTTAGGTACATGGGATTGCTAAAATGATGTTCAGTCTTCTTTAGGTTATATTTTTGTGAATAATGCTAATATATGTTCCAAAATTGCATGGGATTTCTAAAATTCTAATGTCTAAGTATGGTTATTATGTTATTGTAATAACCAAATTAAATAATTAAATTAAATAACCACAGGAATAACTAAATTTCCTTGTCAGTGCTATGCACCTAATTTGGAAAAACTGGTATTCAAGAGCATAGAAGTCTAATGTTGATTAAGTATGGACTCATGGAGAACCAGATGGCCTTCTTGTCCTTCCTGAGTCCTTAAAGCTCTTATTATTAAAAGTTCTGCATTCCATGACTCATCATGGAAAAGATAAAATGATCCAGATTGAATACAATGGTGTAGTGACTTACAAATTACTAAAATAGTTTATTATCAGTGTTTGGTCCTATATGCCTGGGAAAACAATTAAAGCTTCAGGTACATTTGGTCACCTGGTGGGCCATTTAAACCTTTTATAAAGGGATTTCATTCAATTGTTATTTTCCATGCATGTTTTCTGGTTGTATAAAGCTTTCCCATGCGAGAGGGCTGATGTTGTAACAGTAGATTATTATGCAACAGTGTATTTTCAGCAGGTGAAAAAGCTTTTTATGTTTTGGATCTTCCGAAAACATCAGCGAAAGACTGTCCTTGCCATCCAGACTACAACAAAAACTTTAGGACCTTGAAGTTTGGGTTCATAATCTCATAAATGAGAAGGGTCCCTCTACACTCTCAGAACTGTACACCCGTTGGAACCCTTAAGGTAAAACTAACCAGGGAAATGTCTTCCAAGAAAAAGATGGAATCCTTAATGTGAATAGCTTTTCCCAAGTTGGCAGATGAAGACTTCTATCATGAAACTCTTATCTTTGAATATTTTCCCTTGCTTATGCCTTTATAAACAATACAAGTGGAAAAGGGGTCTGTTACGTGCACTTACGGGGTGTACTTTTATTTGTGAAGAAGTTTATAGCCAGCCTTATACATAAACTTATACTTTGATAGATAAAAGATGAAGGCCCAATGTAGGTAAGGAACTTTAATGGTATGTACGTTGCCTCATAATCAGTCAAAAACAAAACATTGGTTGATTCCTCTTAACTCACATCATGGGTTAAAGAGAACATTGCCAGGAGGCCTTCACTCTTCTAAAAGGGATCATTTGTTAGTTCCTTTTTCTGTGGTTTAAAGTAAAAGAGGCAATGATTAGAAATGTATTTCCCATGATAACATCTATAGCAAATTCTACTGTAAAGGCTACAGTTATGCAACAGACTTTAAATTCTTTTGTGAAAGTTATAATAGAATTGGCTAAACAAAGAAGCAGCTGTGCAGCCACTAGCACTTGTGGCCTATGGAAAAATACATCAAATGAAGATTATAGAAATTCAGTGGTAGGGGATTAACAAAGAGACTACTTAGTTAAGTGAGCACACTCTTTATCTAGCTTATTTTTTGATCCATTTGATTTTAGGAGGTTTGGCTTGTGGTGACCTTGGGTAAGCAGCATACTCCAAACTCTTGGTATTATCCTCCCAATAGTCATAATAATAGTCTCCCTGGTGCACTGTATTTTCTCAAAGGTTTTAAATGCTTACATGCAGCCATCTGTAGAATGTCATGTGGTCTGTCTTCAACTGGAATGACAGGAGCTAAAAGAAATGTGCAACCATGAGGACACAGTAACCTAAGAATGACGTGTTAAGACAGGAAACCCAAAACGATGGTAACTGAGAATGGTGCTAAGGCCCTAAGTTTTGGTCACACTCTCACCTGAGTGAGAACCTGACCAAAAAGGGGGAGTTTTTTGTTTTTGTTTTTGTTTTTTTTGAGACGGAGTCTCGCTCTGTCGCCCAGGCTGGAGTGCAGTGGCGGGATCTCGGCTCACTGCAAGCTCCGCCTTCCGGGTTCACACCATTGTCCTGCCTCAGCCTCCCAAGTAGCTGGGACTACAGGCGCCCGCCACTACGCCCGGCTAATTTTTTGTATTTTTAGTAGAGACGGGGTTTCACCGTTTTAGCCGGGATGGTCTCGATCTCCTGACCTCGTGATCCGCCCGCCTCGGCCTCCCAAAGTGCTGGGATTACAGGCGTGAGCCACCGCGCCTGGCCGGGGGAGTTTTTTTTAAACAAAATTCTGGGGACCATTGTTTTGGACTAAGCTCATGCACTAGGCCCCAACAGACCAAACCAAACAAAACGGAGTTGCTTGTGTGTTAAGAAAACACATAGGTTCTAGAACAAACCAGATTTTGTTTTTTTTCCTGCTGCAAATCTTTGTAACAAACATTTTTGATAGCATAGGTATCCACCCCATGAAGTTCACAATCTTTTAACCAAATTCATTTCCTCTTGCCTAGAGACCATCAAGCTTCACATCATCATGCAACAAAGGTTCCAGCCAGTTCCAGGTGAAGACACCACCCCTGGCCATCAAGAAGCTACCTTGCCTTCACCAGACAGAGCAGGGTGAGAGTTCCATGATCCTCAGTAGGTAGGGACTACACCTCAAGCCAGCATGAAGCAGATACAGAAAAAAGATCATCGGTTTCTCTGCCTCCCATAAAGATTTATGGGGTCACATCTCTCATGGGGGAGATGAGGCAGGAAAAGAGGGTCTGAAGGCAGGGAACATAAGGCCAATTCACACTTCAGCTATGACAGGAAATATTGTCTCCATAGGGTGTAGGCCAAGTAAATAACTTTGTAACTTTACTTTATCCCTTCATTTACATGGGGTGTACCCCAAGTAACCAATGGAATCCTCTAGAGGGTATTTAAACACCCCAAAATTATGTAATGAGGCCCTTGAGCCCCTATGCTTGGTCCCACTCCCACACTGTGGAGTGTACTTTTATTTGCAATAAATCCCTTAATTCCTTCCTTCCTTTGTGCATTTTGGCCAATTCTTTGTTCAAGACGCCAAGAACTTGGTCGCCCTCCAGTGGTGACAAGAAGAGACTACAGATTTCTTCCTCGTGAAAATAAGAAAACAACTAGGAACTTTCCGAAATTTCTGTAGTATGTTAAGCAGAGGGAGTCAAGTTGAAAGAAAAGGCCATTAATGCTGAAACACCTATGATGTCATACTTGAAAAGGAAGGACTTTCAGAGAAATATGTAAATAATTTCCTCCCATTCTGTCCCAAGCCAAGGGAAGAAGTTTCTGAAAGTAAGAGCTTTGGGTGGGTAATTGCGTGAAAATTGGAATGGGACAAACAATATTGGTGCACCAAATGCACTTCAAAAGGTAAAGTGAGGAACTTAACATTACAGGTTCCTGATATTGCTAGTATGAAAATGAGATGAGGCAGAATCTCTAACTAGTTTCGTCTTGATAAAACACTCAGGAGTGAAAATCACTAAGGTGATCAGCTTTTAGTCTAACCCTACTTTCAACTGATAACTTATAGCTCTTACCAAATGAAATCACTTCTAAGAAACCACAGCAGGGCCACGGGAGAACCTGGCCACCAAAAGGCCTAGCTGCAGCATTTTACTCCCAAGTTTACTTATTCAGGAAATTCAATTCAATTCGTTCATTGAATGGATTGAACTTTAATACTAAACTGGGCTCATTGCCACTTCCTGAGGATTGGTCAGATGATCATCAAAATCAATGAAATATTGATCTATACAATTGCTGAAGGAGTCCAAGCAAACTACCAATATGTCAATATGACCCACTTGGTTTTTTTTAATCAAGGGTGCATATAATAATTCCCTGAAAAGCTTTCTTAAAATACCCTGGATCATAGGCCTCTCTGGATTTCCTGATTCTGATTTGGGACATGCCAAGATGTGTCAGGTAAGCACATTTTTAGAAAATAAAAATCTCAATATGTAATTATGAAGCATAACACATTTTGAGAACTACTGATGTAGATTATCACCTGCAAGCATAAGTAGATTCGGTACAGAGGTTGATTCAGTACAGAGGTTGAGGTCCTCGGATTCAGTACAGAAGCTGAAGTCCCTAGGGAAAGGGAGTTGATGCCAAATGCAAAAGATTACATTAATAATTTGTCTTAGACAGCTCAGCTACCATAACAGAATACCACAGACTGCAGGACTTAACAGAAATGTATTTTCTCACAATTCTGGAGGCTTGTTCAACTCCAAAATTTGTTTCCTGGTGAGGACCCTCTTCCTGGCTTGCAGGCAGCCATCTTCTCACTTTGTCTTCAAGTGGCAGGTGGGCGAGGGAGAGAGAGAGAAA
The DNA here is from genome assembly GCF_000001405.40 of Homo sapiens. NCBI lineage: Eukaryota > Metazoa > Chordata > Mammalia > Primates > Hominidae > Homo > Homo sapiens. The sequence goes on along the minus strand of NC_000014.9, from coordinate 46,579,996 downwards.
GTGGTGAGAGAAAGTGACAGAGAGATCTTTATTTTTTAAAATAAATCTACTAATTCCATCATGAAGACTCCACCCTCATGACCTCCTATAACACTAATTACTTCTCAATGACTCATCTTCAGATAGCATCATATTGGGGATTATGGCCTCACATATGAATTTGGGAGACAGGGGGACATAATTAAGTTGATAGCATAGTTTAATTTGTATTCTCAGTGTGATTCAAGATGTCGTTAAATTAAACTATCCAGAGCAGGCTCTAGTACAAAATGAACTATCAGAGTAACTTTTAGATAAAAACAGTGCAGGAAATTCTAGCACCATGCTTGAAAATGAGTGCAATACAGAAAAATTATAAAGAGAGAAAAACTATGGAAAAAAATTATCAATTTGGGAAAAAATAGGAAGAAAGAAAAAGTAAGAAAGCAAAATGAATATAAGATATTGAAAATGATAGAAAACTAATACCAATCACACATGTAATTGTAACTAATAAGTATAGGTTAAATAGAAGTGTGTTTTTTGTTTAAAGAAACTCATACTGCATAAAAAAGATTTTAAAAATGAGATAAGTAAAGGTATAAAATTCATCTAACATAAGTAATTTGATGAGTGTTCAAACTTGCTTTATCTTTTTGTTTTTGCAAAATTTTAACAACGGAAGATAGATTAAATAATTAAGTAATTAATAATAGACTATTATGCAGCTATAATTAAGGTCAGGTTATAAATACTTGTATAAACATGAAAAGATTTCCCTGTCATACTGATGAGTTAATAACTGACTATATAACAGTAGTTATAATTGGCTTTCATGGAATAAAACTAAAAATAATGCTATTTGATTGATGAAGAATATGTGGAAAGACTTTTGATGTCCTCTTACATACACATCTATATTCTTTGAATTTTCATGTCATACATGTACTATTTATTTTAGAATCAGTAAACAAAAATATTTTATCACAAAATGTAAAGAATTAATAAAGTATGAAGAGTAAACAACAGATGAATGAAATAAAAATCACCTATGATCCTTCCAGAACTACAAGCATTAATAATATTTCAGTGAACCATACTGTATTAATCTCTGTGTAACCAGTGCCTAACACAAAGTCTGATATACAATACATGTGCAATACATATTTGTTAAATGGAACTGAACTAAGATGCTACCGTGGACACTTATATAAAAGATCATGTTAAATAATAAGGTTCTATATACTGCTTACAATATTTGTAGTGATTGCAATTATGTAGGCAAGTATAGATAATGTATACACTGTTAATAAACACTGAAAGAGAATCAGGAGTAATGGGAATATTTGGAATACTATATTTATTATTTTAATCAAAAAACATTTATACCGTTTTTGTCTGGTCCTATTCTATGTGCTTCCAGTAGTAATAAAGGCAGCCAGGTTCCTGCCTTCCTGGATCCTGCAATCTAATAAAAAGACATAGGAGAAATAAAGAAATAATAAAGGAGATAATTACAGATTGGTGTAAATTCTATAACAAATAACCAAGGAGGGCCATTATCGGACACATGTGCTGGGAGAGGAATTTAAAGGAATAAGTACAAAGGCTTTACAAGTGATGGCATAGTCAAAGAAAATTCACTAGAATTAGCTATCAGTGCTTTGGGGGAGAGGAAAAGGAGCTGCAGTAAAAGAAATGGGAAGATAACAGGTAATCCAGGTATTTGCACTCACAATAAAATATTTGAATTTTGTTCAATATGCAATTAGAAACCACTGAAGGATTTAACACAGTGACATGATTTGGTTTATATTTTGACCTTTTTAAAAAATATACATTTTAATAAGATCATCGTGGCTCTTCTGTGAGTTTAAAATATTTTGAGAGGTAGATGCAAGGATGGAAAATAAGAGATCAGTAAGGAAATTACAATAGTCCAAGTAAAAGATGATGTTTTTGGTCAGATGGAAGCAGTGGAGAAGGAAATACATGGATAAATTAGAGATGTATGTGAGAGAGGCTGGGGTTACACCTGTAATCCCAGCACTTTGGGAGGCCCAGGCGGGTGGATCATGAGGTCAGGAGTTTGAGACCAGCCTGGCCAAGATGGTGAAACCCTGTCTCTACTAAAATTAGCCGGATATGGTGGCCCTCCTGTAGCATGTAGCCATGACTCTCCACAAAAATTAGCCAGATATTGTGGCGAGCCTGTAGTCCCAGCTACTCAGGAGGCTTAGGCTGGAGAATCGCTTGAACCTGGGAGGTGGAGGTTGCAGTGAGCCGAAATTGGCACCACTGCATTCCAGCCTGGGTGACAGAGTGAGACTCAGTCTCAAAAAAAAAAAAAAAAAAGATGTATGTGCGAGGTAGCTAGGGTTATCTAACTGTTGGTTGTAGAATATGAGGGGCAAGAAATGAAATAAACACATAGAAGCATTTACTGGAATATAAAGGCAGGGAAGAAGAGCAAGTTTTAGTTGATAAAATCACAGTTTATTTTAGAAACATTGGGTTTGTGATCCCCATTAGATATTTGAGTGGAAATGCCAAGTAGACTATCTCGATTTCAGCGCCAATGCCTGGCCTGTGAATATGAATTTGGGAACTATGACCACCTAAAGTCGTGAGACTAGATGCTATGCTGTTTTTGTTTGTTTGTTTGTTTTTCCCCCGTGGTTAAAAAAAAAAATCTCTAGCTAATACATATACAGATATGTATATACTTGATATATTTGATGCAGTTAAAAAAACAGATTTGATAATTTTATTCTTTGGCTCTAATACATTGCTTTGCACATATTGGGCTAAAAATAAATAGTTGTTTTATGATAATATGAATAAATTTTACTTTTACAGAGAAGACTTTTTAGGCATACTTGTAACATTTTAAAAATATATTACTCTATCACTGAACAATTCATAAACATGACTCTCTACAAATTATTTTTCTGACACTCATCTGAATACTCTAGCACATTTTTTTTTCAATAAAATAAATACCAAGGGACACCTGTGTAGCTTTGAAAGGCACAGGTAATACCTTTACAGTTGTGGCAGCCTCCTGCTTTGCACTCAGTAAAATCTACTCTTGAGAGCAAAACCCGTAAATGTGTTCATCTGTAATCTCCCTTGTGATTTGAAGGATATCTCCCAAGATGACTTCCCAATGGTCCTCTTCAGTTCTCTATTTGGTCGGCACCCAAACGCCATCACAAATCAGTTTCATATCTCCCTTTCACTTCACTCAGCAATCTGACACAAAATGATTTTGTTGTTGTTATTGTTATTGAAAAATAGACATTAGATTAGTTCCTTGGTATAGAACCACTATGTTGCTGCAGGTTTATCTATTAATTGTTATTCTATGAAAAACAATGACATATTTAGGTATTCCAGTTCTAACAATCTGCAGAAAAAGATTTATTTTTCTTTGTAACAAAAAATGTCAATATCTAATACAAAGTTAAAGCTTTGGAAAAATCTTTAGTGGAAATATTTTGTGGAAAAATCTTTAGTACACAGGCTTATCACTTGTTTAAGCAATAATACCAAAACCTTCCTGAGACATAAATTTGCCTCATGTTTATGAAAATATGCCATGATTTATGAAGAACTTTAAACTAGCTTATCTCCAATATTTTGAGCCATCCTTTTTATTTTAGATTTGCAAACCAAAGCATATATTCCAAATCATGAATGTTCCAATATGCTTCTATTCCACTTTTGGACATGCCAGAGCTTTAGTTCCAAAGAGGAATATTTTCTTTTATTTTTATTTAATAGAAGAGAAGGGAATCTTGTGACTCACATATTTATTACTATAGCAAATTTGGCAAACTGTTTTTCTTAGAGGAAGATTTAAAAATTCATGAATGTAACTTTGGTTATGAAGTTTAATTTTTGCTCTGTGTTGAAAATAATGTTGGCATAAATATAAATAAGATTATCATTGAAAAGCTTTCTAAATTATTCATATATATTTTAAATAATAAAATATTATTATGGTTAAGTTTCAATTGACATACAAGCTTATCCATTATATTAGATTTAACTATTAATGGGCAAGAATACATTATTCAATGATAAGTAATGAAGAATAAGCTATTAAACTGTAATAAGCATAGTAGTTTATAATTTGTTATTTTTTGAAATTTAGAAAAATTGTGCTGTTAACTACTCCAACACTGAATGATTCTTCACCCTCTACAGTGCTCAATGTGCCTGCTGCATGTGTTAGTGATGTGGTTTATCCTGCAGAGTCCCTTATTGAAAAGACCTTGAGTGTCTATAGCTCTATTAAATTTTCACTCTCTGATGGCATAACCATCAATAACTACAACCCACTGATTTTATCACCTTTTTGCTTCCCTCTTAAGCCAGCTTAAATTCCATGGCCAGTTACTATAATATCTTCCTTTCCTGTAATTTCAACTCCCTTGTCTTGCTCTTGCCCTTGTCTTTGCCACATTAGCTTGGCAAAATACAAGCTCTGGTTTGTACCTACAACCCCTAAACTGGAAGTAAAAACAACAAAAATAAACCACAACCATGTGGATTGCTTTTACTTTAAATTCAAAGGCAATAACCTCAAAGAAGCTCTTAAGGCTGCCCAGCAATCACACTCCATTGCACTGGTACAATACTCTCCTGTTGTCATAGACATAGCTTATAGTCTTTCCTTAAACTCTTCACAATTTTTCCCATCCTGTTTTCTGAGAATATAGAGGCAGTCAGAGAAGAGAATGTTCTAAATTCCTACCCTCATAGCTACCAAACAACTAGCATCTGGACCCTTTCCTTCCTTTACAATAGATTAATTATTGTTGCCAAAAATAAAAATCATATCCTCCACTGTGCCCTTTCACCCAGTCAAGGACATTGTTCCGCAGCCTCCTCCTGTTTCTGGACTATTGCTTACTTCCCCCTCTTTACTGGATCATTCCCATCAGCATTCACATGTCTTACAATTTCTCCCATTTAAAAAAACAAAAAAAAAAACCGATTTTCCATTTAACTACACATAGACAGTATGTTTTTGCTCCTATTTATAACAACACTTTGGAAAAAGTGGTCTATATTTACTCTCTGAAACTTTTCCATTCCTTTTCAAACTTATACCAGCCAGGCTTTCATCCTCACAACTCCATAGAAAATGTTCTTTTGAATGTCACCAGTGTCTTCCACATTGAGAAATCCAGTGATTATTTCCCAGTCTTCAACTGGCTTGACCTCAGCCACATTTGACACAGATGATTAATCTGCTTCCTGAAACATTTTTTTCACTTCCTATACAGAAGACAGATTTTCATATGGCTTTTTGTTTTACTTCACGGCCACTTCATAATATTCTCCACTGGTTTCTACCTTAATCAACTTACTTTGTTGTGCTCCTGGGGTCTCAGATTTTGAATCTCTTCTCTTAGCATCTCTAATAAATACAGTAGTCCCCCACTTATCCATGGTTTCACCTTTCACAGTCTCAGTTACCCATGGTCTACAGGGTCTGAAAATATTAAGCAGTTGTGCTGTTCTGGGTAGCATAATGAAATCTCTCACCCTCTCGCTGCATCCCTTCTGGGATATGAATCATCCCTTTGTCCAGTGTATATATAATAACTACGCTACCATTAGTCACTTAGTAGCTGTCTCAGTTATCACATTGAGAAAAACCTCATAGACATATTGTTAGGTTATAGCTGTGAGATGAGGCATCTACTGAGGGTCTTGGAATGTATCCCCCATGGATAAGGGGGTGGGGAACTACTGTAAAATGGTTGTCTTTCATTCCATGGTTTTAAATGTTTGTACAGTGATGACTTCAAAAATTTTAATCCAGACCTTTCCTTTGGACTTCAAATTTTCATAGCTATCTCCTGGCTTAAGGTAATGACTAAAGGTCCAAAAGCCATCTCCAACTTAATATACCAAAGCCCATATGTTGATTGCCCCTTCCCTCACCTTGCTTATCCTGATGTTTTCTCCATCTAAGTAAATCTTTTCTTTCAGTTGCTCAGGCTTAAAAAGCAACTACCTCTCTTCTCTCACTCCCCACATCTAATCTATCAGCAAAGCCTGTCAGCCATTGTGGAGGCAAATAAAAATTTAAAATAAGAGGCTCATTTCTTCCTGTTAAAAATAAAGGGAGAGACTGCTCCCCACCTCCAACCTTTTTTCTTGGGAGTGTTTACTTTAGAAAACTAAACTTGTAATTTTAAGTACTTTCTCCTCTTTTTGAAATGCATGTATATCATTTTGAAAACTAATTAGGATCTTTGTCAGTTTTATGACCCAGGAATGTCTTTTCTCAAGCATCTGGAAGCCATCTCTTTGAAATGTAAACAATAAGGAAGGTAACAACCCCAGATTCCAGCTACTATGGGAAGATAAGGGGCTAACCTAGGTGGACATATTACTCTAAGTAGTGGAGTACTTCCTGTTGTAAAGATATACATTAGTTTTTCCTCTGAATAAGTCCAATTAGCTAATGCAGATTATCACCTCAATTACCAGACTGACTTTAGGATGAACTACGACAAATGATGCCTTCAAATCTACTTTCTGAAAAATTAGTAGTTATCGTTTATTTTGAAAATATGTATGTAATGACTTGGGTCTGCTTGGCTATATAAAAGGCTGAGTTTTTTTGTGTTTGCAATCTCTTAGCAGATTGTCTGTACTGAACATCACATTCTGATTTAAATTTATTCAATAATAAAACTGTTTTCTTTCTCTATTACCTTTGTGGAAAGAATTTTTGAGTTGGGTGGAAGTAGTGACTATATGAAGCAACTACCACTGAAGGACCAGAAAAGAATAACGACAATATTAAAGAAAACAGCCATCTTGGAGTCCAGTTATATTTTAATAAAAGGTAAGGATAGGCAATGTTTTTTCAATGTTGGCTAGAAAGAAGATACGTTGAAGAGTAAACCAAATAATTTAGACATTCCATATAATGTTATGCCAGTCCATCATATTGGTAACATTACCGTGATGAAGTCTCATGAGAAGCAAGTAACAAGTATTTAAATGTTTTAGTGAAACATATGCAAACTAGATGTTGATAACCCAAGCTACTCTATCACATTGAATTTTCTGGGTGTCCAATGCAATAGAGTGCTTGTTTCCTCACAACTTAAGCAACAAATTATGTTTTCTTGCTTTTGAGTTTTGCTTTTCTAAGAAAAATGGTAGAGTACTTTTAATTTGAATTTCTTTTTTCATGACTGAATTTTGGATATCTTCAGGTGTTTAAAAGCCATTTTTATAGCTTTTTCTGTGAATTTTTTATTGTATCTTTTCTCCATTTTTTTCTCAGGCTTTTGGTTGTTTTTGCTTTTTTTTCTCAATTTTAAAGAACAATATAATTTTCCAAACTTTTGAAATTTTATATAGTTCTAATTATACTAAGAAAAGACATATTAAAGAGCTTGCTTTCACACCTGGACCAAAAACCTAAAGGAGAACCATACAATGTCCTTGGCTTATGTGGTAGATATTATAAGGTAAACAAAGAAGTTCATGAGGAAAGAATGAAACTCTTTGATCAACTTCTCCCTTCCACCTGAAAATTCTTCTAATGTCTTTGGGATACTAATTAACACAAGAGAATATTTCCCTTGTAGAGTCCAAACATAGTTTACATACAGCTACTTTGTATGGTAAATGATACAGTCAGTTGTTTGCTAAAGGTATTTTTTTCTGGAGGATTCAGCTATTTTCTGGAGAATATAAGCAACAGTAAAAGTAATATTTATGTGTATCTTTGAGATGACTCACTCCCTCTGAAAAATGCAGTGATGAACTCATCCAGTATTTAAACAGGAGCTAATCGGCAAATTGTGTGAAGCTTAACCCGTATGGTTGAATCCTGGCATGAAGTCATAAGCTTTTGTGGTTTTCATACTCACAATTATCTATATATTAAGAAATACATCAAGAATCTCTATACTTAATAGGCAAACATATGATGTGGTTAGCCTCTAACCACATTTCTAGACCTTATTTTTTTCTTCTATTTCTCAGTGGATTTATTTGAAGGCATATCCTGGAAAAAGAAGTAAAAAGAGGTTAGGCCATATCCAATTAATGTCATACATCTTCTAAGGGTAGGACCAGATATCTAAGCCAAATACTGATTACAAAATCTATGAGACAGTACTGCACAAAAGAGATAATGAAATAAAAGGAAACATGAGCAAAATTCGAGGGTAACACATTTTATGATTCATCACTGAAATGACAATCATTAACATCAACCTAACAAAATTTTGGCAATCTGTTGTACATTGCTTTGTGCTTGATAGTTTGGTAAATAAAGAAATAAACATAGCAGAGTCCTTGCTCTTGCTCTAAAGGATGTAACACGAGGTATATAAAACAACTGAAAAGAACTTTAATGCAAGGCATAGTCTGTAGTAAATTCGTGACCAACACATGACAATTCATAAGAAGGAAATACTACTATTAATAGGGAGAATTATGAAAGTATTATGAAATGGGTAACAGAGACATAGACTCTCAACAGAAAGAGATATGAAGGGAAAGAATGAATAAAGTATACTAGGTAGGAAAATACTAAAATGTGTAGGAAATTGTGAATACTTTGCTTTTACTGGAGTTTTGAATACATGTGAATAGAATATGGTTGTCATAGGTAGTTGTATAATTTTGAAGGGCTTTGAATGTCAAGCTGAAGATTGTATCTTTAAATTGGAAGACAATAGAGAACCAAAGTTTAAAAATGCAAAGACACATGATATGAGATGTGAAATGCCCTAAGCAATGTAGAAACCTGAAGACAATTTAAACTATTATAATCTGTGTAAACAGTAATAGGCACTTTGCCTAGATCACGGATCAAAAATTTTAAAAAGGAGAATGTCTGTTTCACGAACGTTCCTATTTTGAGATTTATGGTTCTTGATCACCAGTAAGACACATAGGTAAGGAAAAGAGACAAGTATCAAGGCTGGAGGATGAAGTGAGGAAAATTATTGACCATTATTTAAGAAGAATATGACCTATTACAGTAGACGAGAAACAGCGAATGGTGTCCCAAGTCAATATTGGTCCTTTGTTGTTGTTGTCCATATTTACCTTAATTTAATAGTATTATTACTATGTATTTTCTTAATTGGTTTGCATTACACTTTAGAATATTTCCTGTGTAATGATAGTGCAAACAATGTCCAATAAATTATGAGTAAGTAGTATAAGAACAATGAAAGGTAATGTAACACTTTGTGGAACAACTAGATTTTGCCATTTTTCCTAAGAGTTTTTTTCACATCATTACAAACTGGTTAAAAATCATATTTTTAAAACAACCATATTTAGATAAAATTGAAATATAAATGAAAAATAACCAACACATAAAATGAACATTTGGTAAATGTTGAGATATATATACATATATATATATGTATATATACTCATTTTACCATAATCACAATCAAGATAATAACCACATCCATCGCTCCCAAGATATTCCTTTTGTCCTTTTGTAGTTGTGATTGAGGCTTTTTTTAAATGCCCCCAAATCTTATCTACCTCTGTAAATATTCTATATATACTGTAGAAATGTGTATTTTGCTGTCCTAGGCTGCAGTGCTGTATAAATGTAAATTAGGTGAAGTGGTATACTTAACTAATTTTTTATTTGTTCTGTCAGTTATTGAGAAAAATGTTAAAATTACTATCTAAAACTGTGGATTTGATTATCTCTACTTGCAGAGCCATCTGATTTTGGTTTATGCATAATGAGATGCATTATTGTTTGGGATTGTTATAGCCTCTTAAAGTGACCCCTTTATCATTATGAAACAAACTTCTTTATTTCTGGTAATGTTCTTTGCTCTTAAAATTACTTTGAAGATAATATAGCCATTGAAAATTCATTTTATTTAGTGTTTTCATAGTATATTGTTTATTATCTTTTTACTTTTAATCATTTTTGTGTTTTTTTATGTTGGAAGTGAATTTCCCAAAGGATCCATATACTCTGGTCTTGCTTTTTATCCAATCTCTCTGAAGGATTTCATTTAGCATTTCTTGCATTTCTTGTAGTGTGAGTCTGATGGTGACAGATTATATCCACTTTCGTGTAACTGAATGTCTTTATTTTACATCCATTTTTGAAAGACATTTTCACTTGGTGTCTTAGTTATCTCAGGCTACCACAGCACAATCCCATAGATTGGGTAGCTTAAATAACAGAAAATTACTTTCTAACATTTCTGGAGGTTGGAAGTCCAAGATAAAGGCACCAGCATGGAGATCTTCTGGTGAGTGGTATCTTCTTGAGTAGTAAGATGGCTTCCTTCTTGCTGGGTTCTCACATGGTAAAGAGAGGGGAGGAGAGAGAGAGAGGGAGAGAGAATGCTCTGGCACTCTTAAAAGAGAACTAATTCCATCATGAGGGCCCCATATTCATGATGTCATCTAAAACTAATTATCTTTCAAAGGCCCCAACATGAATGGATGTTGAATTTTACCAAAAGCCTTTTCTGCATCCATTTAGATAATCATGTGTTTTTTGTCTTTAGTCCTGTTTATGTGATGAATCACATTTATTGATTTGTGTTATGTTGAGCCAACCTTGCATCCCAGGGATAAATCCTACTTGATACCTAGGAATACAGCTAACTAGGGAGGTGAAAGATCTCTGCAAGGAGTACTACAAATGACTACTCTTAAGAAATCAGAGATGACACAAACAAGTGGAAAAACTTTCCATGCTCATATATAGAAAGAATCAGTATTGTGAAAATGGCCATGCTGCCCGAAGCAATGTATAAATTCAGTGCTATTCCTATTGAACTACCATTGGGATTTTTTCACAGAACTAGAAAAAACTATTTAAAAATTCATATGGAATCAAAAAAGAACCCAAATAGCCAAAGTAATCCTCAGCAAAAAGAACAAAGCTGGAGGCATCATGCTGCTCGACTTCAAACTATGCTACAGGCCTACAATAACCAAAACAGCATAGCACTGGTACAAAAGCAGCCACATAGACCAGTGGAACAGAATAGAGAACACATAATTAAGAGTACAAACCTACAACCATCTGATCTTTGACAAACTTGACAAAAACAAGCAATGAGGAAAGGCTTCCCTATTCAATAAATGTGCTGGGATATCATGCTAGCCATATGCAGAAGATTACAACTGGACCCCCTTCTTACATGATATACAAAAATTAACTCAAGGCAGATTAAATACTTAAATATAATACCCAAAATTATAAAAACCCTGGAAGACACCCTGGGAAATACCATTCAGGGCATAGGCATGGGCAAAGATTTCATGAGAAAGACACCAAAAGCAATCACAACCAAAGCAAAAATGGACAAATGGGATCTAATTAAACTAAAGAGCTTCTGCACAGCAAAAGAAACTGTCAACAAGCAGACAACCTATAGAATGGGAGAAGATTTTTGCAAACTATGCATCTGACAAAGCTCTAACATCCAGCATCTATAAGGAATTTAAACAAATTTACATGAAAAAAAACTCATTAAAAACTGGGCAAAGAACACAGATAAGACACTTTTCTAAAGAAGGCATACATGTGGCCAACAATCATATGAAAAAATGCTCAACATCACTGGTCATCGGAGAAATGCAAATAAAAACCACAATGAAATACCATTTCATACCAGTCAGAATGGCTATTATTAAAATGTCCAAAAATAACAGATGTTGGTGAGGTTGTGGAGAAAAAGGAACACTTATACACTGTTGGTGGGAGTGTTAATTATTCAATAATTGTGGAAGATAGTGTGGTGATTCCTCAAAGACCTAAAGACAGAAATACCATTTGAACCAGCAATCCCATTACTTGGTATATACCCAGAGGAATATAAATTGTTCTATTATAAAGACACAAGCACGCATATATTCAATGCAGCACTATTCACAATAGCAAAGACATAGAATCAACCCAAATGCCCATCAATGATAAACCAGATAAAGAAAGTGTGGTACATATACACCATGGAGCACTATGCAGCCATAAAAAAGAACAAAAAATTCCTTTGCAGGAAAATGGATGGGGCTGGCGGCCATTATCTTTAGCAAACTAATGTAGGAACAGAAAACCAAATACTGCATTTTCTCACTTATAAGTGGGAGCTAAATGATGAAACACTGGACACATAGAGGGGAACAACACACACTGGAGCCTATTGAAGGGTGGAGAGTAGGAGGAGGGAGAGGATTAGGAAAAATAACTAATGGGTACTATGCTTAATACCTAGGTGATGAAATAATCTGTACAACAAACTCCCATGACACAAGTTTACTCAAGTAACAAACCCGTACATGTACCCTTGAACTTAAAATGAAAGTTACAAAAAAAAATATTAAGAACTCCATTTTTATAAAATAATAGAATCCTAAAATCAGCTTGGAGGACATTGGAGTCATAATCTAATCTTGCCTCATGGCATGGATGGCAAATTCAGATGCATACGGGTATCATGCATGCAGGTAATATAAATGTCTCCTTATATCTGACCCATTTCATTGAATGAGCTAACCCAACGATAAAGTGATAGTGAATTTGGTGAACTGGAAAAAGCATACCCGGTATAAAATCCAAAGAAGCAGTGAATTGTTGACACGAGGAATATGGGCACAGGATAACCAAGTCTGACTTTTCAAAATTAGCAGGCAATATACTCTGTGTGTGTGTGTGTGTGTGTGTGTGTGTGTGTGTGTGTGTGTATATGTGTGAATTCCCAAGTTTCTAGCTTTGAATCAAAGATTTTTTCCTCTGCACTGTGTGTGGGCCAAACAGCACAACTGTGGGCCGCTAATTTGCAAGCCTTAACTTATATAGAAAAACTAACTTCCTCCATTTTCTGGAACACATGCTGAATAGAGATGGGGCTGAAACATTCAGGCAAAAAGTGGAAGACCAAGCCAATCATCTGTGGAAGGGAAGATTAAACCTACATTGTAATAAAACAACCCCAATTATTTAGACCCAAGAAGAAAAATTTTGAAAGTATTTTCTCCAAATAGCTTCATGTTTGTTAGCCTATAATTGAAAGAGCTGATGATTGGATTGTTTTATCCATAGGCAAATAAATGCAACTCTTTGCTTTTCAGAGATGACATCCTAAAATAAAACTAATCAATTTTAAATAAAAAAAACTTTCTGAATACATTAAAATATTCCTTAATATAATATTACTAGGTGAATGATGTGTCAGTTTACTTATTCCATAGTGAAAATATTGCTTTTCTAGAGATAGTTAATAGAAGAGAATAGAAATTTATTTTGTGAACTGTGAATCTTCCCAAGACACTATGCCTGAAAAGTGTAGTTTTATTTCAAAGCAATTTATAAACCTTGGCCAAAATTAAGTGGTCCCTAATTTACTGAAAGAAATTTTAAATATATCACTATTTTGAACAAGGTTCATCACTTTTTTCAGGATGCACTTTAAGAGAATATGAAAAAGTACATAATAAAAATGAATCATGTTAATTTCTAGCTAAAGAATCATGAAATATTAAATAATTTTCTAGATATTTTTAGTAGAAAATTAATTTGTCTCTTTAATTTCAGCACATATTTTAAGTTTGGTAAGTGATATAGTTTGGACATTTGTCCCCTCCAAATCTCATGTTAAATTTTGATCCTAAATATTAGAGGTGGGGCCTAATGGGAGGTGTTTGGCTCATGGAGGCAGAGTACGTTCTCACTTTATTAGTTCCCAGGAGAACTGATTCTTATAAAGTGCCTGACACCTCTCTCCACATGCTCTTCCTCTATTGCCATATGATCCCTACTCTCTTTCACCTTATGCCATAAGTGGAAGCTTTCTGAAGCCCGAGAAACAGACGCTTACACCATACCTTCTTGTACAGCCTGCAAAAATGGGAGCCAAGGCCTTTATAAGGCCAACTTATCTCAAATTTTATCAGAATTAGTTATAATAACAATTTCTCATTGAGAAATCTTATTTTTTTCCCAGGCTGATTGTGATTATTTGGTATCCAACCCCAGCAGTTGTGTAATGCTTAATTTCTAATGCCACCCCTGTTACAGAGAAAAGAGGCAGTATATATTGTAATTTGTTCTTCACTGATCCCTTCCAATGCTTGTGATGCTTCTGTAGCACTTAAGAGAATTCATACCATAATATGATTTATATAAGCCAAATGCTATGATTCTTATTACTTTTTTTCTCCTCATCTATGTGTACTAACTTCATTTCTCATGTGCATGCTGGCTAAATAGACTACCTGTTTTGCTTTCAGATTTGTTCTCTACCAATGCCCTACACTGCTAACAGGAAACTGCCTTCTGGATTTGTGGGAAGTTCACCAGCAGGAAGCGCCAGTGGAAATTGGGAGGGGTAAGAGTAGGGGAGCAACTTAGGTATCCCACCATTTGCTGTGGCACCTAGCATCTCTTCCTGGGCCTCAACTCTGCCAAATGGCTCCGATTTTTCAACTCTGATAGCAAAATCTGCTTTTTGTCCCTACAGGACTAGCAAGAGTAGTACCTCCTATTATTCATAATTTTGGGTTTGTTTGGTCCCTTGGCTCTTCCATCTTCAGTGTAATCATTTACCTTCATTAAAAATCCTCTATTTCTAAGACTTTAAAGTGAATGATTTCTGCTTCCTTGATTGATACACATGCCCAAATACAGGACTCTACATAGTTCCAATGACATCTATTAATAGCACATATCCGCTAATATATAGTAAGACCCTTTCTAGACAAATAAAAACTAAAATGGTTTCATGGACATTGTGAATGTTGCGAATTGTTGTGAATGTGGTTGTGAATTATCCTGAAGCTCTGTAAGTTGTATGTACAATGTTCTATTGGAAGAAACAGAGCACCTACAGACTAGGGATATTATTCACTTCAATCAATTAGCCACGGACAGAAAATATGTTTCACTTTTTAGCCTAGTCACAAGAACTTTACTTATTGATGAAATCTTAAAAAAAAGTTTTATTGTCAAGCTTCAGGTAGTTTAAAGTGAAAAATATGGAGACATTTCATATGGTGAGTTTTTGTTAACCAGGGGATAGCTTTTATCAAATGATGTGGTTATTTTTCTTTAAATGTATGTATTAGTTACTATGTTTAAAACCTTAATAGCCCCAAAAATACTTGATTAAAGAGTTCTGACTGAGGCTAAAACGTGTGTGTGTTAAATAAGACCTGCAAATATTTTAAAAAATTCTTAACCACTGCAAGATGCCATTTTCTGATGCAAAAACAATGCCACTCATATTTAAAATTATAGAGAAATACCTTATAACCTGTTCTCACTAAAAACCTAGATTATAAGACTTCAAATAAACAATAGGAAAGCTTCTAATCAGCCCAAATCCAACCAAGTACATACTGATTAATACTTCACAGTATTTATCTAAGAAAATGTCAGCAAATGCCGGTTAGTAGAGTTTGTTTTTGCTGAGATATCTTTTTTTTTTTTTTTTACTTTTTTATGTTGGATTTCATATTCTCAGTGGCTATAGCTGATTTCCACTGTTCTTCAGTTAGTTTCCTGGCTGCTCACAAAGATTTTCCTGCATGCCACTGCTCTCCAGGAATCTACCAACATTCACGTAGACTTCTCAATGAATGGCACGGAAAGTTTCTTCTTAAGGTAAGTTCCTAGTTATTACTATTGTATAGGCAGATATTTTTACAAACTCAATCAAAAATTTAGGAAAACACTTAAAAAATCTTGTGTTATTTATTTGAACATAAATTATGAGGAGTATACAATATTATTATGAAAGAAGAAACTATAAATTACACTTTTCTACCCATTTTCTGTGGTGGGAGGAAGGAAAATCAAGCAATTTTCTAAGATGGGTGAGGACTTTTATGGGAAAGTCCTCTCATAAATATTTTAGTCTTATTCCTTTCAAAATATATAAGAAATACTTTTCTTCTAGCAATTTCTAAAAAGGTAGATGATGTATTCTAAAAGGGGCAACAACTGAAAACTTCTATGTCTTGAAGACATGTTTTTTCTGATTACAAAACAACTAAACATCTTCTTTTAAAAAATTCAGAATATGAAGACTGCACACAAAAGCAACTAGAGAATAGACTACTGACAATTCAAGGTATCTGAACATCAATTTGTCTTGGAGGTTTTGCACACGTCAAACTCAGCTCTTACTGAACAGGTCAATGATACCAGTATCACTGAGTGTCCAGTGGACTCTCACTGCATTATTTTAATTCTAAAGTTTATTTTAAACTTTACTGGGGTATAACTGAAATGCAATAAACTACACATACTTAAGGGCCATAATTTGTTGAGTTTTGACATACTTATACACTCTGATATGGTTTGGTTCTATGTCCCCACACAAATCTCATCTCTCATCTTGAATTGTAATCCCTACCTGTCAAAGGGGAGAAGTGATTGGATTATGGGGGTGGTTTCCCCCATGCTATTCTCCTGATAGTGAGATCTGATGGTTTTATAAGCTTCTGGCATTTTCTCTGCTTGCACTCACTTTCTCCTGTTGCCTTGTGAAGAAGGTGCCTGCTTCCCCTTTCACCTTCCACCATGACTGTAAGTTTTCTGAGGCCTCCCCAGTAATGCAGAACTATGAGTCAATTAAACTTCTTTCCTTTATAAATTACCCAGCCTCAGGTAGTGTTCTTTATAGCAGTGTGACAATGGACTAATACAAACTCATAAAACCATTACTGCAATCAGCACCAAAGGTTTTCATACCCTCATTTGTAAGCACTCCTGACCTGTCTTTTTCCACACCAGTTCCAGGACAAATGGTGATTTGTTTTCTGTGGCTATAAATTGGTTTACATTTTGTAGAATTTTATATAAATGGGATGACACAGTACATTTTAATTTTTGCTCTAGTTTGTATCACTTAATAATAATAATTTCAACTTTCATCCATGTTGTTAAATATATGAGTAGTTTATACTTTTCTATTGAAAAGTATTATTCCATTTTATGGATATACCAAAGTTTGCTTGCCCATTCACTTGCTGGTGGACATATGGGTTGTTTCCAGTTTGGGGTTCTTAAAAGTAAAGCATCTGTGAACATGCAAATACAGTCTTTGTGTGGACATATGTTATTGTTTCTTTTCTGCTTCTATTCTGTTTTCTAGAAGCAGAATAGATTGTATGGTAGGTTTATATTTATTTTCCTAAGAAACTGCCAAACTCTCTTTCAAACTGATTGTACCATTTTACAGTCCTACCAATTCCAGTTTTATTTCCTCCATATCTTTACCAACACCTGGAATGGTGTTGTTTTATTTTAGTCATTCTAAAGAAGTAGTGTCTCATTATGATTTTATCTCACATTTCCTTGATTACAAATGTTGTTGAAAATCTTTTCATATACTTTTGGTAATTCATATATCTTCTTTTGTGAAGTGACTCTTCAAATATTTTACCTATGTTTTATTATATGTTTGTCTTATTATGAGTTGTAAGAGTTTTTACATATTATGAATAAAAGTTCATTTATATATGTGAGATGTTTTCTTCTAATATGTGACCTGCCTTTTCATTTTCTTAATAGTGTATTTCAAAGAGAAAATTCTTAGTTTTGATAAAGTCCAATATAGAATTTTCAAGACATTACTCTTTAAGAGCAGTTTTAGGTTCACAGCAAAATTGAGAAGGGAATATATAGGAAATCTCTGTAACTTTCTCTCAATTTTGCCGTGAACCTAAAACTGCTCTTAAAGAGTAATGTCTTTAAAATTCATATTTTGGACTTTACCATAACTAAGAATTTTCTCTTTGAAATACATTATATATATATAGCTATATAGATATAGAAATACACTATATATAGGGTATATATGTATATATATAGTGTATATATAATATATATATGAAATACACTATACACACACACACACACACACACACACACACACACACACACACACACACACATTACTTACTTCCCCAACCAGAGTGGTACATTTATTACAATTGATGAATGTACATCTACATCATAATCACACAAAGTCCATAGTTTACATTAGGGTTTACTCTTGGTGTTGTACCTTCTGTAGGTTTGAACAAATGCCCAGTCACATGTGTTTACTATCATAATGTCATACAGAATATTTTTACTGCACAGAGTAAATCTTCTGTGCATTGCCTAGTCATCGCTCTCCATTCCACCTTTTTTCTGTCTCCATAGTTTTGCCTTTTCCAGAATATCACATAGTTGGAACTATATAGTATGTAAGCTTGTTAAATTGGCTCATTTTGCTTTTCATAGCTTGATCGCTTATTTCTCTTTACTACTGAATAATATTCTATTTTCTGGATGTCTTATAGTTTACTCATTCACCCACTGAAGAACATCTTGGTTGATTCTAAGATTGGCAATTATAAATAAATCTGTGAATATTCGTATTCAGGTTTTTGTGGGAATCAAAGTTTTCAACTCATTCGGGTAGGTAACACAGAGCAATAATTTTTGTATTTTGTGTTTCATGCTTTTTGAGTTTTAAGAAACTTTTTGCCTATCGTATGTTTCCAAGATTTTCTATCCCGTTTTCTTCTAGAAGTTTTCATAGTCTTAGGGTTTACATTTATATTTATGGTCAACTTTTAGGATTTTTTTTTAAGTAACCAGTGTTTTATTTGAAACTCTCAAGCTAATATTTGAACTCTGTTTTATCTCTTTGTCATTTACACAATCAGATAAGTCCCTGAGGTCATATATAAACTCTCTGATTTATATGTTTCTGAGCCTCATATTCCTTATGTAATAACCTACTAATTCTATCCTTCTCAAACTTAATATACTGAAAATAGCAACTGATAATAAGAGTAATATATAATTATTAAAATTATAATATTATCATGGTGGCTATTTGTTGAGTACTAGTTCAGTACCAACAAGTTTTACTTTTTATTTCATTGACTCTTCCCAACAAACTTATATATTATTATATCGTTGCCATTTGTACAGGTGAGAAAATTATGTCTTAGAGAATTTAAGTAACTTATCCATGGTTGTACATTTAGTAATTGGCAAAGCTAAGAACTGGACACTATTCTGACTGCTGCATTGCCAAATTTTAAACACTGCTCCCTTGATCCTTTTGAAATGGCAATTTTCTAAACTCTACTGTATCTTCACTTCACTTTTTAAACACCCCATTACATCATTATCTAAAGTCAAACACATCTCATTTCTTAAAATATGTGGCCTCTCCTGTGGCCTTCCAAAATGGTGCTGCTGATTTTTTCCAAGTTTTGGATACTTAAGAGCATTTTCCTAGGTTCAACTTGTTTGCTCTCTTCCATGTCTAATGGTCTATAGCTAGCTTTATCTTCCCTCTTTTCAGGCCAAACTTGTTTGCTGTCTCATATCTGACTCCATAGAGTTTTTTCTTCCTGTTTCTTGAATATTATATCCCTAAGTCACAAATCATTTTGTCTACAGAAAATATCATAATGACTGGAAAAATATGTACCTTAGTTATTGAGCACTTGCCTTGTCTAGGCACTAGGCTACGTAATTTTTACAATAATATCTTCTAATATGTTACAACCTTATGAAGCAAGTATAATTATTATCTTAACTTTACAAATGAAGAAACTGAATTGACCACTACTTTGGCCATAGTTGAAAGAAATGATAGAACCAGGATTTGATCCAGGGATGGGTCTTTTTTTGTTTCTTACACTTCACTCTCTAACAGTATAACAGAAAAAGTAACAGCTTTTTCCAGCTAGCAAGTCTACTGACAAAGCTTTTTTTTTCTATGGGTGAATGCAGCTGATTCTGTAGTCTTGGGGAGAGTGTTTAGCACCCCAGAAGCATAAATAACATCTTCTGTCAGAAACAAGTTATATAAATTTATAACAGTTAATAAGATTTTGAGGAAAACTTGGGGAAGGAGGACAAATAGATAATGATTTCTATTAAGAGTGACCACTGCTTCAACCTGGCCTCAGGTTACAAACCCCACACCTAGCAAGCTTTCACCTGGCAGGGGTAAATCAATTCTCATTAATAAGAATTTTCATGCTTCACCCTAAACTGTCTTCAGTCAAAAAGAGGAGGAATCTCGTTCTTCAGTATGAATACCATTCACATTCCTTCCACAGAATAACTAACTGAAAATGGAAATGGACATTCTGTTAGAATAACAAGAACCCCAAACTTCCTTAACATACTTTCAAAAATAAAATAAGATGACTCTTATAGTTCAAGATGAATCAATCACAATACTTCACAGTACAATACAGAAATCTGAGTTATTCAGTCTTAATTTGTACAATGTCAAGACTCCATCAGTCCAGTTCAATAACTATAATCCCAGTCCTGTCTAGTTCTTTGTCACATTCTTTCTGTCAGCTGGATACAGAAAGAATATTAAACCAATATATGCCTTTTGTTTTTTCTCAGTTTTACAATTTTTTGAGAACAAATAAATTGAACTGTTTTAACTGAACTACTTTCTTGTTTGTCCTCAAAAGTTATATCCTCAATGTTTATATGGATAATCATTAATATAAGAATTTTAGAGCCAGAAACATCTTAAAATTAATCTAACACATTTTTCAGGCAAGAAAATATGTCGTTCTAGGTAGTTACACGATGTAAGATTACACATCTAGTTAATGGCAGTGCTTTAACTAGAATAAAACATCTTCTATATCTAAATTTGGAGACATATTTCTAGGAAATTTTACACAATTTTGTTTTTTAGCTTACAGCTCTTCCCCTTAAGAAGAGTTAACAGGCATGGGGAAAATTAATTTATATCAGAGAAGAACAGAAGTTATGATATCATTTATATGGCATTCAGAAAAATATCAAAAAATACATAAGCATATATACATGTACTGAAAAGTAAAAATAGTTAAAAGTCTGCATCTGTGATATGATTTTTAGAAAATGAGAATTATAATTATAAATTCTGACTTTTTGTGTGCTAGGACTCTAAAACAGAACGCTTACTCTGTAAAGGTTCAGATAGTAAATATTGTCAGCTCTGTGGGCCATATGGTCTATCATAATTACTCCAATTTGTTGTTGTTGTGAGAAAGTAGCCATAGACAATATGTAAATGAATATGGCTGTATTCCCATAGAACTTTATTTACAAAAGCAGGAGCCAGGCTGTAATTTTCCAACTCCTGCTCTAGACTGATGCATGAATTATTTCGTTGGGTTAATTATTCTTTACATATTGATCGAGTTACTATTTTATGCCAATATCTGTTCTAGGCTTTGAAGCTAGTACAGCAGAAAAACTGCCTGTTCCATGAAGCTCGGAGTCTAGTGACAATAAATTAATAATTACTATGTTGTAGTTAATAACAATAAATTAATAACTGAATGTAGAGTATGTTAGGTGAGGATAAGCACCAACAACAAATATAGAGAAAAATAAGGTGATAGAGTTTGAAATAACAAGGAACGGCTTGCTAATTTAGAAAGTAGGGGCAAGAAATTCTCTTCGATGAGCAGAAAACAGAATCATGTGATTACAGAGACTATTTGAAGTTTGCCAAGTTTATTTACAAGTTCTGTGTAGAAAAGCTATTATATTTCTCTGTTGTTATTGGGGTTTATCCTTCTCTCTCTTGTTTTTCAGTTCTTTTAAATGCTTGCTTTAGGCATTCAGAACACCTGCTTGCATGGACTAGCAACCTGAGGTGCCCCACTCTTTCTGTACAGAGATATTGGTGCAGGGGGGCCTTTACATCCAGGCAGATCTCCAGGTAGTTGGAGAACTTGCTCACCTTGATCAGAAGCCTAATCTGCCCCTCTCTTCCATGTCTGGCCCATCTTCTGTGCATAGATTGTGGTGCAGTGGGGCCCTCTCTGTTTCATGCCCAGGCAGATCTGTAGTCATTCAGAGCACCTACTTGCCTGGTTCAGCAGCCTGAGCCATTCCACTCTTCCTGTGCAGAGAATCTGATGTAGGGCAAGGGCTTCTCCACTCCAAGTCCAGGCAGATCTCCAGGCATTCAAATCACCTCCTTGCCCATATTGGCAGTCTGAGCTGCCCCACTTTTCCTGAACAGATTGTAATGCAGCAGGGCCCTCTCTGCTTCATACTCAAGCAGTCAGAACACCTGTTTGCCTGGATTTCGAGCCTGGGCTGCCTCACCTTTCCTATGCAGAGATTGTGTTGCAGAATGGCCATCTATATTTAATGCATAGGCCAATCTCAAGTCATCTGAATCACACACTATCCTGGACTCAGAGTTTAAGTTGCTCCCATTGCTTGTTCTAAGACCTTGGAGTCAAGAAGTTTTTCTGTCTCCATGCATAGGCACACCTTTGGGTGCTCTGTCATTGCTTACTGGATACTCACTGTGCACTGGTGTGTGTGCCTGCCATTGGGGTACCTGCCATGTCTGGCCCATCTTATGCCCCTCCTGCCCCACCCAAGGGCTGAGCAGGTAGCTCAGACCACTGTACACTCCATGGATCACCCCACTGACTGAGGCAATAGAGAGCTTCTCCCAGTAAACAAAAGTCAAATGTGTATATCTAGTTACATTGGCTGCAACTGGCTCTTACCTATAAGTGCAATCTACTGGCTTATAGATTGAATTGCACAGCCTAATATAAAACCTGCTCAAAGATGTTCATAGGGCTATAGAAGCAATGCCAAAATACCCTACCCAGTATTTTCTACAGTCACACCACCTGGAGAGGGGATGGTGAAAGGGAAAGTAAAAGAAAAAATAATAATATTATAAAAAAAGAAAAATTAAAAATCCTATCCAAACAAAAATTATTACAAAAATCAGAAGTACCAGTGTCTCCAGATGAGAGGAAACCGGCACAAGAATTCTGGCACCATAAAAAGTATGATTGTAGTGATATCTCCAAAGGATCACACTAGCTCTCCAGCAATGGTCCCTAACCAAAAGAGAAATTCAGAAATAACAGATAAAGAACTCAAACCATGAATTGCACGAAGCTGAAAGAGACCAAGACAAGTTTTAGAGTCAACACAAAGGAACTTCTAAATAAATCCAGGAAATAAAGGAAGAGATAAACATCTTAAAAAGAAATGAATCAGAGCTTCTGGAATTGAAAAACTCACTTGAGGAATTTCAAACACAATTGAAAGCTTTATCAATAGACTGGACTAAACTGAAGAATTTCAGCAAAAATTTCAGAGCTTGAAGACTGATCTTTCAAACTAACTTAGACAAAAAAAAAAAAAGAATTGTAAAAAATGAACAAAATCTTCAAGAAATATGTGATTATGTAAAGCAACCAAGCTTAGGAATTATTGGCATTTCCGAGAGAGAAGGAGGAAAAATAAACAACCTGGAAAACACATTTGAGGGAATACTTTTAGAAAATTTTCCTAATCTTGATAGACAGGTAGACATCTGAATACAAGAAATGCATAAAACACCTGCAAGATACTATACAAAACAAACACCAACAAGGCAGAGTCACCAGACTGTTCAAGATCAAAGCTAAAGAAAAAATCTCAAGGGCAACTAAAGAAAAAAAGCCAGATCATGTACAAAGGGAACCCCATCAGACTAACAGCAGACTTCTCAGCAAAAACCTCACAAGCCAAGAAATATTGGGGGTTTATTTTCAACATTCTTAAAGCAAAGAAATTCTAACCAAGAATTTCGTATCCCACCAAGCTAAACTTCATCAGTGAGGGAGAAATAAAACCTTTTCTAGACAAGTAAGTGCTAAGAGAATTCATTACCATAAGACCAGCCTTATAAGAGACCTTAAGAGCAGGGGTCCCCAACTCCTGGACCAGAAAACAGTACCAGTCTATGGCCTATTAGGAACTGAGCTGCACAGCAGGAGGTAGTCACCTTACTGCCTGAGCTCCACCTCCTGTCAGATCAGTAATGACATTAGATTCTTATAGGAGCACAAACCATATTGTGAACTGCACATGCAAGGGATCTAGGTTGTGTGCTCCTTATGAGACTCTAACTAATGCCTGATGATTTGAGGTGGAACAGTTTCATCCCAGAACCATAATCCACCCCACAGCCCCCACAATCCATGGAAAAATTGTCTTCCATGAAACTGGTCCCAGGTATGGTTGGGGACCACTGCTTAAGAAAGTTCAAAACATGGAAACAAAACAACAATACCGACTAACATAGAAACACGCTTATAAACATAATTTCTGGGATGCAAGTTTAGTTCAACAGTCACAAAACAATAAATGTGACTCACCATAAAAACAGAATTAAAAACAAAAATGATGTGATCATCTCCATAGACATGGTAAAAGTCTTTGAAAAAATACAATAAACCTTCATGTTAAAAACTCTCAGCAAACTAGGCCTCAAAGGAACATACCTCAAAATAATAAGAATAATCTCTGACAAACTCACAGCCAACATCATACTGAACCAACAAAAGCTGGAACTATTCCCACTAAGAACTGGAACAAGACAATAATGCCCACACTTATCACTCTCAGTCTTCATAATGCTGGAAGTCATAGCCAGAGCAATCAGGTAAGAGGAAGAAGTAAAAGGAATCCAAACAAGAACAGAAGGAAACAAACTCTCTCTTTGTGGCTAACATGATTCTATACCTGAAAAACCCTAAAGACTCACCCAAAAGGCACCTGGAACTAATAAATTGACTTCAGTAAAGTTTCAGGATACAAAATCATTGTAAAAAAAAAATCAGTAGCATTTCTATATACCAATAACATTCAAGCTGAGAACAAAATCAAGAACACAATCCCATTTACAGTTGCCACAAACAAACTAAATTACCTAGAAATACATCTAATCAAGGAAGTGAAAGATCTCTATAAGAAGAACTGTAAAACACTGCTGAAATAAATCACATATAACACATACAAATGGCAAAATATTCCATGCTCATGGATTGGAAGAATAAATGTCATTAAAATTACCATACTGCTCAAAGCAATCTACAGATTTAATGCTGTTCCTATCAAACAGCTAACATTATTTTTTCACAGAACTAGAAAAACATGATTCCAAAATTCATATGTAATAAGGGGCACAAACAACCAAAGCAATCCTAAGCAAAAAGAACGAAGATAGAGGCATCATAATACCTGACTTCAAACTATACTTATATACTTATATAAATATACTTATAGTAATAAGGCTGCAGTAACCAAAACAACATGGTACTGGTACAAAAACAGACATATAGAACAATAGGTTAGAATACAGAACCCAGAAGTAAATCCACACACCTACAGCCATCTGATCTTTGACAAATTAGATAAAAATAAGCAATCAAGAAAGGACTTCATGTTTAATAAACAGTATTGGGATAATTGGCTAGCTATATGCAGAAGAATGAAACTGGACCCCTACCTTTCACCATATACACAAATTAACTCAAGATGGATCAGACATGTAAATGTAAAACCTGAAGCTATAAAAATTCTGGAAAAAACTCTAGAAAATATCACTCTGGGCATCAGCCTTGGAAAATAATTTACAACTAAATCCTCAAAAGCAATTGTGACAAAAAAGAAATTGAGAGATGGGACCTACATAAACTAAAGAGCTTCTGCACAGTGAGAGAAACTATCAAGAGACTGAACAGAAAACCTACAGAATGGGAGCAAATATTAACAAACTATGCATCTGACAAAGGTCTACTGTAGAGAATCTATAAAGAACTTAATAAGAAAACACAAATAACTCCATTAAAAAGTGGGCAAAAGACACTGAGACTCTGTCTCAAAAAACAAAAACAAAAACAAAACAACTCCATTAAAAAGTGGGCAAAAGACATGAACAAACAGTTCTCAAATAAAACATGCAAGCAGCCAACAAGCATATTACAAAATGCTGAACATTACTAAACATCAGAGAAATTCAAATCAAAACCACAATGAGATACCATCTCACACCAGTCAGAATCGCGATTATTCAAAAGTTAAAAAAAAAAAAAAGAACACCAACAGATCATCTGGCAAGGCTGTGGAGAAAAGGGAACACTTATCCACTTTTGGTGGGAATATATTTAGTTCAGCCACTGTGGAAAGCAGTTTGAAGATTTCTCAAAGAACTTAGAACTACTGTTTGACCCAGAAGTCTCATTACTGGGTATCTATCCAAAAGAAAATAAATCGTTGTACCAAAAAGACACACAATATGCACTCATGTGTTCACTGCAGCACTATTCACATTAAAAAAATCATGGAATCCACCTAGCTGCCTATCAACAATGAACTGGAGAAAGAAAACATGGTATATTTACACCATGGAATACTATGCAGCCATGAAAAAATAACACAATTTTCTTTACAGCAACATGAATGCAGCTGAAAGCCATTAATCCTAAGCAAATTACTACAGAAACAGAAAATTAAATACCATATGTTCTCACTTATAAGTGAGAATCAATCATTTGGTAGTTGTGGATATTAACATGGCAAGAACAGACACTGAGAACTACCAGAGGGAGTAGTGAGGGAGGGACAAGGGCTGGAAAAATAACTCTTGGATACTGTTCTCTCTAACTGGGTGTTTTAGTCCATTCTCACACTGCTATAAAGAACTACCTGAACTGGGTAATTTATGAAGAAAAGAGGTTTAGCTGACTCACAGTTCTGCAGGCTTAGCAGGAAACATGACTGGGAGACCTCAGGAAACTTACAACCTTGGTGGAAGGATGAAGGGGAAGCAAGCACCGTCTTTACCTGGCAGTAGGACAGAGAGAGTGAAGGGGGAAGTGCCACATACTTTTAAACCATCAGATCTCATGAGAACTCACTCATTAGCGTGAGAACAGCAAGGAAGAAATCTGCCCCCATGATCCAATTGCCTTCCACCAGGGCCTTCCTCCAATTTGACATGAGATCTGGGAGGGGGCACAAATTCAAACCATATCACTGGGTGATGGGATCATTTGTAGCCCAAACTTCAGCATCAAGCTATTTGCCCATGTAACTAAACTTCACATGTACCCCTTAATCTAAAATAAAAGTTGAAAATATAAGAAATAAAAAGTACAATATTATATAATGAATATCTCCTTTAAATGTATTCTTTACCCAGGTGTCTGTACACAGTTGTCATTTGATATACTCCCTCATTATCTATTTAACTGCCCCCAATCACCCTGGCAAGGTGTAGGGTTGCTTGCTTCAGAATACTATTGAAATGTCCATATTCAATCCTTGATATTGATAAGCTAAGGTGGCAGCATTGTATTTTTCCTCGTGAGTGAGAGAAAACTTTGATACCATTAAACTCTGAGCCAGATGAAACTACTGTTTTGTGTACTCCAAATTGTTTCTTTTTAAACAGAAAATAATAATCAAATATAATATAATAGCCCATAAATTTGGAGGCCAAAGAAATTTCTATACTGTACTGATTATTAAAAAGATTTATTGAGTGTTTACTATATGCCAGACATTAAGCGAGGTGATAACTATATAATAATTAGAAAGATAATCATATATCTGCTCTAATATCCTGGGAAGGTATAATTCCTATGCCCCATTTATAAATCCCTCAGCCCCACCTTTTATTCATACCATTGCTGTGGCTGTGGTAGAACTTAGGACAGGTGCAAACTAACAGTGCCTTACCTTGGACTTCCACCTTCCCAATTCCCATCCCCAAATTCCCTTACCAGGGAATAGGACCCCATGGGGATCTAGTCAGCATTTTTTTTCTTTGCAAAATAGTATTTAGGCACAGATGTTATGGGCTTACCCTGGACCAAAGAGAATGGAGCCAATAAATAAATGATTTCCTCTGTCATCTGCAAGCCAGACAGTTCAGGGACGCATTTCATCAAGTTTCTTATTAGCCCTAGTGGGAACACATTTAAGTCCATAGTGGTCTTTCTTACTTCCCTGATTTAACTTATTTCAGTCTGGCCTCTCACTCCTATTCCCTGGAATCCATTTTCAATTAAACTACTTGCACACAAGTCTTTTTCTCTTCTGCTCTGGGGAAACCTAGGGCGAGATATGACGGAGACAGACTAAATAATTCAAAAAATAAATTTACAATTATAAAGAACATTTTAGAAAGCTATGTGACCATATTGCAGGTGTAGTTCACCAAGTTGAAAGGGTCCAGGAAGGCATCTGTTATAAAATAGGGTTTGAGCTGAAGATTGCGGTTAACAACGTGAGTGGAAGGAGAAATCTAGGCAGAGGAAACAGTACCTGTAGAGAACGGAGGACACAGGCGGCTTTAGAGTTCTGGAAGAACGAGAAGCCGTCAGTGTAGCTGCGATGCAGGAAGCCAGTGGTTAGAGAGGGGACCAGCTCCTGCATGCAGTATTGTTGCTGGAGGGCTTAGGAGGGTCTCCAGATGCCAATGAGACCCAAGTCCCTGCCTGTGTTCCAGGTTCTTGATACTGCTTCAAGAAAGAATTCAGAGTTTGGGCTTCTAATTTTATGCTGCTCCTAATTAGGGGGTAGAATAATGAGGATTTCAAGAAAAAAAAAAGGTAGAGATTTCTTGGAATTGGGGTGCCACCTTTGTTTTTGTTTGTTTGTTTGTTTCGTTTTGTTTTGTGACGGAGTCTTGCTCTGTCGCCCAGGCTGGAGTGCAGTGGCGCGATCTCGGCTCACTGCGAGCTCCGCCTCCCAGGTTCACGCCATTCTCCTCCCTCGGCCTCCCAAGTAGCGCCTGCCACCACGCCCGGCTAATTTTTTTTTTTTTTTTTTTTTTTTGGCATTTTTAGTAGAGATGGAGTTTCACCTTGTTAGCCAGGATGGTCTCGATCTCCTGACCTCATGATCCACCCACCTCCGCCTCCCAAAGTGCTGGGATTACAGGCGTGAGCCACCGTGCCCGGCTGCCACCTATTTTTATACTACATACGGCCGTGCTCCTATCTGTCGTGGTGCTGGTGGGTGTGTGACTTAGTATGGTAATGAGCATATGATTGGTCTGGGGTAGAACATGGGTTAAACCCAATACTATGTTGGACCCAGCCGGTTTCAACCAGCTTAGCCCCCATCCTGTTTGTTAGGATCTTATCAGCCCAAGTTCGTCCTTGTCCTTGTGGCTAACTGGAACAGCTGCTTTTTTGCTGCTGTGTGAAATTGCTGCTTATTTTCCCACTTCTCCGGTGACTACCCAGCATCCTTATTTTATGGGTGTTTCTTTAATTAGGGGTGTAATAATCATTAGATATTCTGGAAAAGGAGGGGATTTCAGGGACTCCTGGTTACTGACCACTTTCTCCCTTATTTGGGTTTGCCCAGAAGAGTCATGGACATATCACCCTGATGGGGGTTTTAGTCATGTTCTCTCCCTTATTTTGGGTTTTCTGTTATCCTGTAGTTTCTTTGCCTAGTTCTTGTTTTGGCAGCTGTTTGGGTTTTTCCATCCTTCTGCGACCACCTAGATCTATTCCTATTTTAATATGAGCCAAATAAATATTTTGGTTATTCTCTTAAGAGCCATAGAAAACTATTTAACGATTTGAAACAGCTTTAAACACATGTGTGTGTGTATATATATATATTTTAAAGATCACTCTGGCTACCTAATGTGTATAAAGACAATAACCACAAAGTAATAGAAATCAGTTTTAAGACAAAATCAGCCAATCTCTTCCCAAACACTGTAACTGAATCTAAGGTTCTTATTTGCTAACTCTCAGCTACTATTTCTCTATGTGTAAAATGAGGATCTCTAAAAAATTTTCAGTTCTAGCAGTCAGCTTTTTTCTTTTTCTACTTCAATTTAGCAATATTATGATTCAAAATAATGAGTTCCTCATTACATGCATAAACTTATATAAAATTAAATATTAATTTTGAGCTCCGCCCTTCACAGCCCTTAGCAATTGCAGGCACTAATTAAGGTAGAGCTTTATATTTTCTTTTTAGACCAGAGTTTTTGAATGATTTATATCAAGTATTTAGTCAATAATTCTCAGCTGTCATTAACAGTAATTAATTAATATTAAACAATACTAATTTAAGTAGCATTTTTCCACTAGATTTTAAGTTGAAGATAGGTGCTATGCTTGACTCCCGTATATCCTCAGCATTTAACAGTTCCTTATACTTAGAAATCACTCAGCAGGTAAGTTGAATAAATAAGTAAATGAATGAATGAATTGCTGTTCACTTGAATGAGGACAACCTATTTGGACCTCAGTCAAGTGGACAGAAATACATTTTTTTATTTGCTCAATCACTGTCACTACCGGGGAGAAGCTACACATCTCAGTTGACTCTCACCTTAGACTCAGCCTATTATTATTATTTTTTTTGACGGATAAAATTGTATATGTTTACTATGTATGTCATGAAGTTTTGAAGTATATATACACTGTAAAATGACAAAATCCAGCTAATTAACATATGTATTACCTCATATAGTTATTTTCATGCACGTCCGTGTGAAGAGACCACTAAACAGGCTTTGTGTGAGCAGCATAGCTGTTTATTTCACCTGGGTGCAGGCGGGCTGAGTCCAAAAAGAGAGTCAGCAAAGGGTGGTGGATTATCATTAGTTCTTAGAGGTTTTGGGATAGGTGGTGAAGTTAAGAGCAATGTTTTGCAGGCAGGGGTGGATCTCACAAAGTACATTCTCAAGGGTGGGGAGAATAACAAAGAACCTTCTTAAGGGTGGGGGAAATTATAAAGACCCTTCTTAAGGGTGGCAGAGATTACAAAGTACATTGATCAGTGAGGGTGGGGCAGAAACAAATCACAATGGTGGAATGTCATCAGTTAAGGTTATTTTTACTTCTTTTGTGGATCTTCAGTTACTTCAGGCCATCTGGATGTATACTTGCAAGTCACAGGGCATGCGATGGCTTGGCTTGGGCTCAGAGGCCTGACATTTCTGCCTTCTTATATTAATAAGAAAAATAAAACAAAATAATGTTGAAGTGTTGGGGCGGCGAAAATTTTTGGGGGGTGGTATGGAGAGAGAATGGGCGATGTTTCTCAGGGCTGCTTCAAGCGGGATTAGGGGCGGCGTGGGAACCTAGAGTGGGAGAGATTAAGCTGAAGGGAGATCTTGTGGTAAGGGGTGATATTGTGGGGATGTTAGAAGAAACATTTGTCATATGGAATGATTGGTGATGGCCTGGATACAGTTTTGTATGAATTGAAAAACTAAATGGAATAAGAGAAGGAGAAAAACAGGTATAAAAGGTCTAAGAATTGGGAGGACCGAGGACATCTAATTAGAGAGTGCCTAAGGAGGTTCAGCATAGTCCTGCCAGCAAAGATTATTTATTTACTTCAAGAGTTTAGAGTGGCAGTTTGGGGATAGCACCAGGAGATATCAGCTGTGATGGCTTGGAGAAACAGTGTAAACCGGCAGTGTAAACAAGAGCAGGGCATGTATGAGTAGTTGAGAACGGTGAATAGGAGTATGACTAGACAGAAGATAGGGATGACAAGTTTTTTTGGGACACAGTGTAAGTTGGTCTGGTGTCTGGAATGAGACTGGGGCCTAATAAAAAGGAGCGTCTACACAGGAGCTTAAATGGGCTGTACCTTGTAGCATTCTGAGGACAGGTCTGACTTCTGAGAAGCGAAAGTGGTAAAAGTATTGTCCAGTCCTTTTTAAGTTGGTGGCTGAGCTTGGCGAGGTGTGTTTTTAAAAGACCTTTAGTCCGTTCTACTTTTCTTGAAGAAGGAGGACCGTAAGGGATATAAAGGTTTCACTGAATACTAAGAGCCTGAAAAACTGCTTGGCTGATTTGACTAATAAAGGCTGGTCTGTTATCAGACTGTATAGAGGTGGGAAGGCTAAACTGAGGAATTATGTCTGACAGAAGGGAAGAAATGACTGCGGTGGTCTTCTCAGACCCTGTAGGAAAAGCCTTTACTTACTCAGTGAAAGTGTCTATTTAGACTAAGAGGTATTTTAGTTCCCTGACTCGGGGCTTGTTGAGTAAAGCTAATTTGCCAGTCCTGGGTGGGGGCAAATCCTCGAGCTTGATGTGTAGGGAAGGGAGGGGGGCCTGAATAATCCCTGAGGAGTAGTAGAACAGCAGATGGAACACTGAGAAGTTATTTCCTTGAGGATAGAGTTCCAAGATGGAAAGGAAATGAGAGGTTCTGAGAGGTGGGCTGGTGGCTTGTACTATAGCATAGCCTGCCTTTGCTGGTGTGTGGTGATTAGGCCTGGTGGAACTGCCATCAATAAATCAAGCGTGATCAGGGTGAGGAACAGGAAAGAAGGAAATATGGGGAAATGGGGTGAATATCAGGTGGATCAGAGAGATACAGTCATGGGGGTCAGGTGTATCAGGAATAATGTGCAAGGCCAGATTGAAGTCCGGGCCAGGAACAATGGTAATTGTGGGACTTAACAAAGAGTGAGTACAGCTGAAGGAGCTGGGGAGCAGAAAGTATATGCATCAGGTATGAGGAAGAAAATAGATTTTGGAAGTTATGAGAAATGTAGAGAGTGAGTTGAGCGTAGTTTGTGATTTTTAGGGCCTCTAAAAGTATTAAAGCAGCGGCAGCGGCTGCACGCAGACATGAGGGCTAGGCTAAAAGAGTATGATCAAGTTGTTTGGACAGAAAGGCTACAGGGTGTGGTCCTGGCTCTTGTGTAAGAATTCTGACCACCCTAAGCATGCCTAGGAAGGAAAGGAGTTGTTGTTTTGTAAGGGATTGAGGTTTGGGAGATTAATCAGACATGATCAGCAGGGAGAGCACGTGTGTTTGTATGAGAATAATGCCGAGATAGGTAACAGATGAGGATGAAATTTGGGCTTGACTGAAGTAATGGGGGCTGTCTGTGAAGCCTTGCGGCAGTACAGCCCGGGTAATTTGCTGAGCCTAATGGGTGTCAGGGTCAGTCCAAGTGAAAGCGAAGAGAGTCTGGGATGACGGGTGCAAAGGAATAGTAAAGAAAGCATGTTTGAGATCTAGAACAGAATAAAGGGTTGTGGAGGGAGGTATTGAGGATAGGAGAGTATATGGGTTTGGCACCATGGGGTGGATAGGCAAAACAATTTGGTTGATAAGGCATAGATCCTGAACTAACTTGTAAGGCTTGTCTGGTTTTAGGACAGGTAAAATGGGGGAACTCTGAGAGTTTATAGGCTTTAAAAGGCCATGCTGTAGCAGGCGAGTGATAACAGGCTTTAATCCTTTCAAAGTATGCTGTGGGATGGGATATTGGCATTGAGCGGGGTAAGGGTGATTAGGTTTTAATGAGATGGTAAGGGGTGCATGATCGGTCGCCAAGGAGGGAGTAGAGGTATCTTATACTTGTGGGTTAAGGTCGGGGGATAGAAGAGGAGGACACAAAGGAGGCTTTGGATTGGAAAGAAGGGCGGCAATGAGATGTAGCTGTAATCCAGGAATGGTCAGGGAAGCAGATAATTTAGTTAAAGTGTCTCGGCCTAATAAGGGAACTGGGCAGGTGGGGATAACTAAAAAGGAGTGCTTAAAAGAGTATTTTCTAAGTTGGCACCAGAGTTGGGGAGTTTTAAGAGGTTTAGAAGCCTGGCTGTCAATACCTACCACAGTTATGGAGGCAAGGGAAACAGGCCCTTGAAAAGAAGGTAATGTGGAGTTGGTAGCTTCCGTATTGATTAAGAAGGGGACGGACTTGCCCTCCACTGTGAGAGTTACCCAAAGCTCTGCATCTGTGATGGTCTACGGGGCTTCTGAGGCAATCGGGCAGCGTCAGTCTTCAGCCGCTAAGCCAAGGAGTCAGTCAGAGAGCCTTGGGCCAGAGTTCCACGGGCTCTGGGAGTGGCTGCCAGGTGAGTTGAACAGTCTGATTTCCAGTGGGGTCCCACACAGATGGGACATGGCTTAGGAGGAATCCTGGGCTGCAGGCATTCCTTGGCCTGGTGGTCAGATTTCTGGCACTTGTAGCAAGCTCTTGGGGGAGGAGGTTCTGGAGGAACGCCAGGTCAGTGCGGTTCAGGCGTTTGGAAGTTCTTGTGTGCTGGAGATGTGGCTGGGGTTTGTCTCACAGTGGAGGCAAGGAATTGCAACTTTTTTCTATTATTGTACACCTTGAAGGCAAGGTTAATTAAGTCCTGTTGTGGGGTTTGAGGGCCAGAATTTAATTTTTGGAGTTTTATTTAATGTCGGGGGCAGATTGGCTAATAAAATGTATTTTGAGAATAAGACGGCCTTTTGACCTTTTAGGGTCTAGGGCTGTAAAGCGTCTCAGGGTTGCTGCCAAACAAGTCATGAACTGGGCTGGATTTTTATATTTTATGAAAAAGAGCCTAAATGCTATCTGATTTGGGATAAAGAAAAAGGAGCATTAACCTTGACTATGCCTTTAGCTCCAGCCATCTTTTTAAGAGTAAATTGCTGGGCAGGTGGGGGAGGGCTAGTCACGGAACGAAACTGTAAGCGGGACCAGGTGTGAGGAGGGGAGGCGATAAAAAGATAATAGGGTGGAGGAGCCCAGGCTGAGGAAGAATTGAGACCTAGCTCAGCCTGGCGAGGAGGGGAGAGGTCAGATGGGTCTGTAGAAAAGGAAGATTAGAAAGACTCAGGGACACTTGAGGTTGGGACTGGGGGGACAGGAGGGAGGGAAAGAAGGAAGATTTGGGATGAGTTGCAGTGGGCACAGAGACTAGGAAGGGATTGATGTGTAAAAGAATGCCTGGACGTCAGGCACCTCAGATCATTTGCCCATTTTATGACAAGAATTATTTAGATCTTGTAGGATGGAAAAATTGAAAGTGCCGTTTTCCAGCTATTTGGAAGTACTGTTGAGTTTGTATTGGGGTCAAGCGGCATTGCAGAAAAAAATAAGACGATTAGATTTTAGGTCAGGTGAGAGTTGAAAAGGTTTTAAGTTCTTAAGAACACAGGCTAAGGGAGAAGAAGGAGGAATGGAAGGTGGAAGCTTGCCCATAGTGAAGGAGGCAAGCCCAGAGAAAAGAGTAGAGACACGGAGAAGGGGTGGGGGGTTCTTGCCCTCCATAAAAGCAGAGAAGGGGTTGGGGCACGGGAATAAGGGATTGGGGGTTCTTGCCCCCTAGAAAAGTGGGACTTGCTGCTAAGGGTGAAGGAGAAGGGGTTGTGAGGGGTTCTTGCCCCTGCCCCAGAAGAGCAGAGAAGGGGTAGAGACACGGAAAGAAGGGGTTGGGGTACCTGCCCCTCCCTCAGAAAAGTGGGACTTGCCGCTAAGGGTGAAGGACCAAGGCAGGCATCCCTGTGTGGTCTGACACGTCTGAAACGTGGGTGAATAATCAGAGAGGTGCCCCTGCAATGATTAAACACCTAGGGAAGGCTGCCTTCCCAGTCCGTGACCGGCGCCAGAGTTTTGGGTCCACGGATAAAACGTGTCTCCTTTTTCTCTACTAGAAAATGAAAGGAATTGAAATTAAGAGAAGGGAGAGATTGAAGTGTAGTGCCAAGATTGAAAGGAGAAAGAGGTTGAGAAATAGTGAGGGAGGTTGGAGAAGAGAGTAAAAAGAGGCTGCTTACCAGATTTGAAACTGGTGAGATGTTTCTTGGGCTGGTCAGTCTGAGGACCTGAGGTCATACATAGGTGGATCTTTCTCACGGAGCAAAGAGCAGGAGGACGGGGGATTGATCTCCCAAGTGGGGGGTCCCCTGATCCGAGTCATGGCACCAAATTTCATGCGTGTCCGTGTAAAGAGACCACCAAACAGGCTTTGTGTGAGCAACATGGCTGTTTATTTCACCTGGGTGCAGGCGGGCTGAGTCCGAAAAGAGAGTCAGCAAAGGGTGGTGGATTATCATTAGTTCTTAGAGGTTTTGGGATAGGTGGTGAAGTTAAGAGCAATGTTTTGCAGGCAGGGGTGGATCTCACAAAGTACATTCTCAAGGGTGGGGAGAATAACAAAGAACCTTCTTAAGGGTGGGGAAAATTATAAAGAAGCTTCTTAAGGGTGGCAGAGATTACAAAGTACATTGATCAGTGAGGGTGGGGCAGAAACAAATCACAATGGTGGAGTGTCATCAGTTAAGGTTATTTTTACTTCTTTTGTGGATCTTCAGTTACTTCAGGCCATCTGGATGTATACGTGCAAGTCACAGGGGATGTGATGGCTTGGCTTGGGATCAGAGACCTGACAGTTATCATCCTTGTGGTGAGAACACTTTACAACTACTTTCTTAACATTTATATTAACTATAGTCACTATGTTGTATAATAATTTTCCTGATTGTGTTTCTTCTATATAACTGAAGCCTTGTATTCTTTGATTCTGCCTATTTCTTTCTGTCTTCTTTACCCATGTGCTTGTGTTAAAATGCCCTTCCTCCCAAAAATGCACAGATGATCAGAACTCAGGTCAGTTGCAATCTAAAAACTCACATCAGTTGTAATCTACAAACTACGGGCTAC
Organism: Homo sapiens; assembly: GCF_000001405.40. NCBI lineage: Eukaryota > Metazoa > Chordata > Mammalia > Primates > Hominidae > Homo > Homo sapiens. Next base: position 46,543,733 of record NC_000014.9, on the reverse strand, counting down.
TGGGCCATCTTATAAAGTAGAATGCTCATGTTTTGCAACTGTGTGTCTGCTTTTTAAACTGGATTAGTATGCCAGGTAAAAATATAAACCTAAGGATATATGTTTGATTCCATATTAATAAATAATTTTTTCATATGATGTTTCAACATATAGGGATATTTTTTAAAGTTGTATATGATTTGATACATGTTTTATATTTGCACAGTATTAACTCTAATGTAAAAGTAGAATTTACGTTATTTATTTTATGATTAAATTTCCAAAGTCCTTAGACCATCACTTTCTTGCAGATGTTTCCCAGATCTCTGTCTAGTTCTACACTGTAGTCCAATATACTAATTTTCAGCTGGCTGTTTCTGCTTGACTTCTGCTCTTGGGCCATGGCAGTTCTCCTGGGTATAGGTGTATGCTTACCTTACCGACTGGTACAAGTTAAAAAGAATTCAAATATTTTTCTATTACTTTATCTTTCCCAAAGCACATTCTATTTGATCCTCACAAAAATTCTGTGAGCTAACTTATTCCTACTTAGAGGAGGAAATTAACATGAGGAAAATAAAACTTAGGTGGCTTCTTTGAGGTTACATAGATAATCCAATGACTGACGTCCTTATAAGAAGGCTGTGCAAAAACACAGTCACACACAGCAGGAAAACAGCTAGTTGAAGGTGGAAGCAGAGACTGAAATGATGCAGCTACAAACCAAGGAAACCAAAGGATTGCTGGCAATCACCAGCGGCTAGGAAGAGGCAAGAAAGGATTCTTCCCTGGAACTTTCAGAGAAAACATACCGTGTTAAAATCTTAATTTCAGACTCCTTGCTTCTAGAATTATGAAAGAATAAATTTCTATTGTTGTAAGCCACCCAATTTAAGCTAATTTGTTATGTCAGCCCTTTGAAACGAATACAGGCGATTTCTTCTTTCACTTCACAAAAGTATTACATATTCAAAAGAAAGCATCACAACCATACTGAGATGCATACACTGAACAGTAAACTAGGCTCATTCACTATCAGAAGGACGTGATTCAAAACGTTAGGTTCAAAACAAATCTGAATTCATGACTTAAACGTAGGATAACCTTTCACACATCCTAAATATAATTAATTTCTATAGCATGGATGTTAAATCCATAGACCCATTATTTTTCAAAGAATTATAAGCCTTATTATAACTCAATAATCTGTGTGACTTCCATGATTACAGAGAACTGAATCTTTGGTTTCTCAGTGTAGCTTTAGCTCTGAAAATTCTCTAATTATATTATATTATAAAACTAATAATTTTACTACCAATGGGGTATCAGTATCTCTAAGAAAATAAATCAGTCATAATCATGATCATTACTCATATGCTGAATGACAGCATATTTTAATTGTTCTTTTGATAACAAATTATCAGAGTTCACAATAAATGTTTCCCCTTTCAGATAGTCTAATTTTTTTTAAAAACGGTCAAGGCATGATCAATTATTTACTTCATATTTAATTTAGGTTCATGATCTTTAAGGATCATGAACTTTAAATTTAATAATTTTTATTTCAAGTCACATAAATTAAAAATTAAAACGTATTTAAATAGTCATTAAAGAGGTCTCTGAATATAGTCTCATTATTTATATATTTTTTAAAAATAAGGAATACCTTTTTCAAAAATTCTTGAGGATAAATGACCATTAAATTAATTATGTGGTAAAAATTTACTTCTGTTTTTGTAAAAGTTAAAACTGAAGGTCATTATCTCAACAGAACTTTATTACTTTCTTCTAGAAGGAAACAAATGGGCCTACTGAGGACTGACAAGGGCACCATACAAAGTCAAGGGCATTAGAATTGCCAAAGAGTGAAATAATTCTTTCAAAGTATGCATGGGAGACATTAATGTTGCAAAATAACCATAGAAGGAGTTGATTATTTTACAAGTAACTGAGGGTGAGAACCACCTCTGTGATAAAGGAGAAATATGAAGCATATGCATACATACAGGATTTGGGAGGATTTAATCTTGGGATAACAAAACAAAAGAAGAGTGCCTTATCTTCTAACACTATTTTTATTTAAATGAAATCATTACATTCTGGCCAAAAAGTGTTTATGCAAATATTTTGAAAAGAAGAAAGAGAAGTGGTTAATCATGAAATAATACCAATAAAGTAAAAGTAACATAAAAAAATCATTACTATGAAGAAAATTAGATGACACTCAGAAAACATGCCGAGAGAAAACATAAAAGTTAAATATTAGGTTTAAATCATGAGGATAATTAAGTAAATACTGGACTAATGATCAACAAGAGAAGACTACTCTGAAAACAGCCACATGATATTACACTTGTTCCCTTTTTTATTGGATTTGAAAAGCAGTGTGTACTGTTGTGAACATTTCACGCCTGAATTTTCTCAAAGTTGTTGGCAAATACAGTCATGTGTCACTTAATGACAGGTATAAGTTTTATGAAATGCATTTTAGGTGATTTTGATATTGTGCAAACATCATAAAGAGTGCTTGTACAAACCTAGCTATACCATATAGTCTACTACACCCTAGGCTATATGGTATAGCTGTTGTAATCTTATGGAACCACTGTTGTATATGTGGTTCATCATTGACAGAATCATTGTTAAGAAGCATATGACTGTACTTAGGAATAGGTGGAGACTCATAACCTAAATGCTAATATATTACAGAAATCAGTTTTTACTTAACCCGGCCCTAGGGTTCTAATAAAAACAGATAACCTCTACCCTGTTACATTAGCCTTATATTTTTAATGTTTTTTCAAAGTTTTGAATAGCTATATAAAATATATAATTATTAAAATTCAGAAATTCAGATGTCTCAAATATAGAAAAGACCAAGTGTGGAACCAAAGGAAATTTCTTATGACTGTGTCCTAAAAAAGAAAAATCACTAGCCATTTTGGGTCAGAGATTTCTGTGAGCCATTTAAATTGATAGATTTATGTGAGTCACCAAAGAGCAAATGGATTTTTGGACTGCATAATCAAAAGACTATATCTAAAAACGTATATATAATTGCCTCCACTTACCATTGAATACACCACTTTTATATTTCAATACTGAAGAGATGGTCTTACTGTTCTCCTCAGCTTAAATAAACATTACATAGGTTTTCTCCTGACTAAAGGTCTATGGCCTCTCTTTTCTTGGAGCATTTACTTCAAAAAACTTGTATTTGTAAATTTGTTCTTTGCCCCTTTGAGACATAAATCTTTTCATAACCTCTGGACAGTTTTACAACCCAGTAATGTCCTTCTTAAGGATCTGGGAGCCATCCCTTTGAAAGATAATCATCAAGGAAGATACTGCCACTAACTCCCAGTCTTTGGGGTAGCATAGTAGCCTAACTTTGATAAATGCCAATTAGCAAATTCAAATGGACTAATCACATTGACCAACCTCCTACCTAACATCCTATTTTTATACCAGTTCACCTCAGTTCTTAAAGATTCTCCCACCTTTTGTTTAAAGCAGTATTGAGTTCAATCTCTGTCTCCCTTTGAAATAGTCTTGAATAAAGACTTCTTACCTGTTTAACTTGTCTTATGCAAGTTTTCCTTGACAAAAGCTCTAGGAACTACATATCAAAAAATCTATGAACAAACTTTTAAAGATTCAGAAGACAAACAAAAACGTAATGAAAAAGCTAAAACTAAAGTAACATTGAAGAGAATGAGTGTCTCTTCCTAGCTTGTGATAGCCATTTAGTATTGGCTTAACTTGAGGAAGTGCAATCTCATCAGATCAATTCTGACTTGTTTCTAAACATTTATCACCCTCTGGATGCTGAGAGTATAATTTAGAACTGTTATCTTTAACAGCCTTCACACTATCTAGAATAATCATTGGAAACCAATGTGTCCCAAGAGAGGCCTTCATTCTTAATCCACTTATTAAAAAAAAAAAAAAAACAGAAACAAAACAAAATGAAAAACTAAAACAGGAGGCGTTTTTCTTGCTTTTTAGTTTTGTGCTCCAATTGGGAATAATGCTCTGCCTTCAAACTAACTCTGTGTCCTGCCACTCCCTTCCCACACAGGAAGTAAATGTACTCCTTTAGACACCCCACATTCTTCTGAAAATCTACTTATTTCTGACTATTTAGAACCAAAATGTTGTAGGCATGCCTAACGTTCAGTATTATCTGGGGGCTTAATCTTTTATTCTTGGCATATAATCTAATCACTCCCCAGATTACATTATGTTCCAGAAACTGGTAACTTTGTTACTCATTCATCAAAACAAAGTTCCTTTTTCTGTGTTAGGCAACATATTTCAACCTCCATTGCAGTTTGATGTAGTCTTGTGACTAGCTCCTGCCAATGAAATACAAATGAAATGATGTGTACCACCTCTAGGCCAAGGTTTTTAGAACTTGAGTGGTCTTTGTATATCAAGAGATCATAGTTGTGGGTGAGGCCAATAAATTGTTTCTTCATTCAAAGGTCTTTGCACCATGAAGAACCACAGCTGATCTCAATAGAGAAGACTGTATGACCCTGATATGCTGGGGTTTGAACTGAATGGTGTAAAAGGAGAAATTGGATTGTGTCTCTTGTAAAAGGGATATAAGTGTGTTGTATATGCAAGGATGTAACAAGGATCCAATGCAAATGAATCCAAATGGATAATTTCTGAGTAGGAAGTCTTATGGCTAACTGTTCGCTGAAAATATTTCTCTCTTCTCTTAGGCATAGAGCTATGCTATTATTGCAGCTTCTCTTGTAGTTCACTGTGGCCATGCAGTTTATTCTCACCAATGGAAAGTAAATTAGAGTGATGTGCATTATTTCAAGACCAAAGCTTTTATGGCATTTAAGTTCCCCTTCAATGCTCTTTTACCCTTTTGACTGGCTTAGATGGAGAATACAAGACAAAACTGGAAGACTTTATTGAAGATGGCAGTCTCCTTCAGCATGTATCCCTAAAGACTACATGAAAGAGAGATGACTCACTAATCTATTTACCTTCCCAGGAATATTATGAGGGAAATGAACTACTGTTTTCTAAACCTTTATGTGTTTTGGGTCTCTGCTATAGCAATTAGTGTTACTCCAGTGGTTCTCAACAGGGAGCAATTTTGTCCCCCAAAGGGTATTTCACAATATCTGGGGAAATGTTTGGTTGTCACAGCTTGGAGGTGAGGGCTGCTGGCATTTTGTGGGTAGAAGTCAGGGATGCTATACATCCTACAAGGAATAGGAAACTCCTCCCTCATTAAAGAATTCTTCCACCCAACACGTCAATAAAGCTAAAATCTTTCTTAACTAATAACAATCATTGTTTCATAAATTGATGTTATGCTGCATCTGGGGCAAACGTGCTATGTCCCTTTGGAGAAATTTCTTAGACAACTCATCTTACAACAAGATGTCTTATTATGGATATTTGTGTACTTCTGAACATTGTTCAAATTGTGGCACATCAATAATATCTAAATGCCGTAAGGGATGGCATCCATACAATGTCATTTAAAAGGCAAGTGAGTATACTTGAACAATGGAGAAGGTTCACTGTCATTAGAAAAACAGTAGGAAGTTAATATTCTATTGTCCTCAGTTAAATCTCTGAAGGATCTAATCTAATTTAACAGACTAAATATACACTCATGGCTTTGTAAAGCCAATATGAAATAATTTCTTTGAAAGGTAACAGCAGTTTTTTAAGGTAGAGATTGACAAGGATTATCAGTGCAACGATGTAAAAGATATGAGGAAAAAGGAGAGAGAAAGCATGAGGTTGATGGAGCTGTGTAATGCAGTGATTAAAAATGGAAAGATCTAGTTCAAAATATGGGGGGTGGTGTAGTTAGTGGAAAAAAATGAGTTGGGCATTTTTAGGTTCTGTCTGATTCAGATTCATGTAAGTAATAACAGTTGTCAGCCGCTAAAGATACTCAATTTCATTTGGAAACTGACCGCAGAACAAATGATGTACAAAAGTTTAACAGGCATATATGTTGACACTGTGGTGGGAAGGGGAGGATTTTTTTTGCCTATACTGTGACGGAATTAAGGTCCCGTCAGACCTTGAGCAATGCCCCTTCTGAAACAGGAATTCACTGGATTACTGTGACTTGTCCCGACTTCCTTGCAAGGTAGAGAATAGAAAAGAGGCACAGTCTTTTGGGTTTTCACTATTCTTTTTTCCCTTGTGAACTAAGATGTGTTCCTTGTGTTGAGAAGGATCTAGTAAAGTCATAATCCATTTAAATTTATTTCAATTATAAGATGTGTGAAGTTATACATTTATTATAAATAGCAATACAAACTTTCCTCCAAAGAGGAAAAAAACAATATCATTAGGGAATTTGGTGAGCTATAAAAAATCAAATTATAACAATTATTTTTATTATTTTAATTACTTTGTAATTATAGAAAACATTAAAATAAAGTGAAATTTTCAAGCCACTGAAGACTTTTTAAAAATGTGTATATTATACAATCAAGATTTCAACACCTGTTTGATTTCTGATGAAAACACAGCCTTACTAATTTAAATGGCCTATCCTCACTTAGTTTTAAAGCTATGATGGCTTTAAATAAGTTTTAAAACTGACTTATAGTTTTAAAACTTAGTGAGGGTAGGCCAATTAAAACTATAATGGCTTTCAGCCACTAGAAAACTATAATAGCTTTCAGCCACTAGAAATTTTAGCCACACATTAATTATTTTACATAACCCAATTAAATGAACTGAAATACTTAAAGTACTTTCAGAAGAATGCGTGAGGATATATGTGTTTAAAGGCAAGTACTATAGAGAGAGTCTATTGCAGAAAGATGTGAGTATATGTAATCAATGATATATGTCTACAATAATGGAAATATTAGCTAATCATTTTGATGTTTTGTCAGATGATACCAAAAATAAATACTTCTCAACATGTGCATGCTATGAAAAGCAACTGGCTGAATAACTTTCTAAATTTTTCAGTGTCAAATGAAATATTTTATATCCTTTAATGACATGTAGGTAAAATGATACATGCTACTTCTAGGCCAAGGCATGAATGTATGGATGTGTGTGTTTAGGGCAGCAGCTGATTTGTGTTCTAATCACTAGCATATGAGGAATCACATGTAAACCTGGTAGACTGGTCTTGAATCACCCTGAAATCCTGGAGTTTGCCTTTGGATTGTTTCTTTTGGGGAGGAGGGTGAGTGATCATTCTGTAAGAAGAAGGCTATAAAAATAAATGGAGTCACAAGAGCAGACGGTTCCTGTTCCCCAGCCTCCCTTACTGTGGTGCGTGGTGGCCATGTAACTTGTCCTCACTGAAAGAGTCTGACTTGAAGACATGTTTACACTCAAGGCCAAGCTCCTAAGAGATTCATGAATATACTTCCACCAGATCATGTTGCCTTCTTCAGTTTTCTTTGGAATTTGAATACTAGATTTTTATTTATGGCTTTATTGGATGGCGCAGTAATGGAAAGGAAATAATATCACTCTTCTTCCTGCTTCTCAGAAGTTCAACTAACTTCTCAAGAAGAAGCTGGCTTAGAAGAAAATATAATAAGTGAATAGGCATTGAGTATTTTTGGAGAGCAATGAGAAATTGATCTGATTAAATACAAAAGGTTTCTTATAAATACAAACTCTAGATACAAAATAAAACATTAATTTAAAAAAGACATTTATAATGGCAAAAAGATTAATCATGAAGTGAAGTATTTGTCATTTTTCCTCAGGCAGTTTCTGTCTTGACACATACCATAGTGATAAAATGTTACACGAGGTGGAAGAAAAGCTGCATGATTTATCCTAACCTATTTTATTTATAGTCTGATTACATATGTATCTTTAATAACTCATAAAGGCTAGAGCATTTTAGAGGACGAAAAATTGTTTGGGAGTAGCACAAACTTAATGCATCTTGATAATTATAGAGGAGGTTTTGCAGAAATACTTATTCAAACATTCATTTAAATATATCCTGTGCACCACACAGACTTGCACTCTAATCTCCAGTGGAGAGCGGATCATCATTTTTAACATCATATCATTCAATTCAAACAACTTTTCTGAAAATATTTTAGAGGAGTTCATTTTTATTCTTTTTATGTTGCATGCATTATATTCTCAGCCAACAAGAGTTGGTTGAGCAGTCTTGGAATGCACAGTTTAAGAATGTCTTTAAAAATATAAAAATCAGGTAGCTGGCTGAATAGGAACAGCTCTGGTCTGTAGCTCCCAGTGAGATCAATGCAGAAGGCGGGTGATTTCTGCATTTCCAATTGAGGTGCCCAGCTCACCTCATTGGGACTGGTTAGACAGTGGGTGCAGCCCACAGATGGAGAGCAGAAGCTGGGTGGGGTGTTGCCTCACCTGGGAAGCACAAGGCGTCAGGGAACTCCTTTCCCTAGCCAAGAGAAGCCATGAGGCACTGTGCCGTGAGGAATGGTGCATTGTGGGCAACATACTATGCTTTTCCCATGGTCTTTGCAATCCACAGACCAGGAGATTCCCTCGGGTGCCTACACCACCAGGATCCTGGGTTTAAAGCACAAAACTGGGTGGCTATTTGAGCAGACACCAAGCTAGCTGCAAGAGTTTTTTTTTCATACCCCATGTGCGCCTGGAATGCCAGCAAGACAGAACCGTTCACTGCCCTGGAAAGGGGGCTGACACCAGGGGCCAAATGGTCTATCAGCAGATCCCACCCCACCCCCCCTCCAACGGAACCGCAGCAAGCTTAGATCCACTGGCTTGAAATTCTCACTGCCAGCACAGCACCTGGGATGCTTCGTGCGGGGAGGGGTGTTCATCATTACTGAGGCTTAAGTAGGTGGTTTTCCCCTCACATTGTAAATAAAGCTGCAGGGAAGTTCAAACTGGGCAGAGCCCACCACAGCTCTGCAAAGTTCCCGTAGCCAGCCTTCCTCTCTAGATTCTTCCTCCCTGGGGAGGGCATCTCTGAAAGAAAGGCAGCAGCCCCAGTTAGGGACTTATAAATAAAACTCCCATCTCCCTGGGGAGTTTTATTTATAACACTGAGCACCTGGGGGAAGGGACGGCTCAGTGGGCACAGCTACAGCAGACTTAAACATTCCTGCCTGCCAGCTCTGAAGAGAGCAGCAGATTTCCCAGCACAGTGCTCAAGCTCTGCTAAGGGACAGACTGCCTCCTCAAGTGGGTCCCTGACCCCCGTGCCTCCTGACTGGGAGACATCTCCCAGCAGGGGTCGACAAACACCTTATACAGGAGAGCTCTGGCTGGCATCTGGCAGGTGCCCCTCTGGGATAAAGCTTCCAGAGGAAGGAACAGGCAGCAATCATTGCTGTTCTGCAGCCTCCGCTGGTGAGATACTCAGGCAAACAGGGTCTGAAGTGGACCTCCAACAAACTCCAGCCGACCTGCACCAGAGGGGACTGACTGTTAGAAGGAAAACTAACAAATAGGAATAGCATCAACATCAACAAAAGAGATGTCCACACAAAAACCTCATCCGAAGATCACCAACATCAGAGATCAAAGGTAGATAAATCCATGAAGATGAGGGAAAAAAAAAAACAAAAAAACAGCACAAAAAGGCTGAAAATTGCAAAAACCAGAATGCCTCTTCTCCTCCAAAGGATCACAACTCCTCTCCAGCAAGGAAACAAAACTGGACAGAGAATGAGTTTGACAAATTGACAGTAGTAGGCTTCAGAAGGTGGGTAATAACAATCTTCTCTGAGCTAAAGGAGCATGTTCTAACCCAATTCAGAAAAGCTAAGAACCTTGAAAAAAGGTTAGAGGAAATACTAACTAGAATAACCAGTTTAGAGAAGAACATAAGTGACCTGATGGAGCTGAAAAACACAGCACGAGAACTTCGTGAAGCATACACAAGTATGAATAGCTGAAATGATCAAGTGGAAGAAAGGATATCAGAGATCGAAGATCAACCTAATGAAATAAAGCGTGAAGACAAGATAAGAGAAAAAAGAATGAAAAGGAACAAAAAAAGCCTCCAAGAAATATGGGACTTGAAAAGACCAAACCTATGTTTAATTCGTGTACCTGAAAGTGATGGGGAGAATGGAACCAAGTTGGAAAACACTCTTCAGTAGATTATCCAGGAGAACTTCTGCCAACCTAGCAAGACAGGCCAACATTCAAATTCAGGAAATACAGAGAACACCACAAAGATACTCCTCAAACAACATGAAAAGAATAAACTGTACCAGTCACTGCAAAAATATACTAAATTGTAAAGACCATAGACACTATGAAGAAACTGCATCAACTAATGGGTAAAATAACCAGCTAGCATCATAATGACAGAATCAAATTCACACATATCAATATTAACCTTAAATGTAAACGTGCTAAATGCTCAAATTAAAAGACACAGACTGGCACATTGGATAAAGAGTCAAGACACAACGGTTTGCTGTATTCAGGATACCCATCCCACATGCAAAGACACACATAGGCTCAAATTAAAAGGATGGAGGAATATTTACCAAGCAAATGGAAAGCAAAACAAGAGAAGGAGTTGCAATCCTAGTCTCTGATAAAACAGACTTTAAACCAACAAAGATCTAAAAAGACAAACAAGGGCATTAGATAATAGTAAAGGGATCAATGCAACAAAAAGAGCTAACTGTCCTAAATATATATGCACCCAATACAGGAGCACCCAGATTCATAAAGCAAGTTCTTAGAGACCTACAGAGACTTAGACTCTCACACAATAATAGTGGGAAACTTTAACACCCCAATGTCAATATTAGATGCATCAACGAGACAGAAAATGAACAAGGATATTCAGGGCTTGACCTCAGCTCTGGACCAAGTGGACCTAATAAACATCTACAAAACTCTCCACTCCAAATCAACAGAATATACATTCTTCTCAGCACCACATCACACTTATTCTAAAATTGACCACATAAATAGAAGTAAAATACTCCTCAGCAAATGAAAAGGAATAGAAATCAAAACAAACAATCTCTCAGACCACAGTACAATCAAATTAGAGCTCAGGATTAAGAAACTCGCTCAAAACCACACAACTACATGGAAACTGAACAACTCACTCCTGAATGACAACTGGGTAAATAATGAAATTAAGGCAGAAATAAGTAAGTTCTTTGAAACCAATGAGAACAAAGACACAACGTACCAGAATCTCTGGGACACAGCTAAAGCAGTGTTTAGAAGGAAATTTATAGCACTAAATGCCCACGGGAGAAAGCAGGAAAGATCTAAAATTGACACCCTAACATCACAATTTAAAAGAACTAGAGAAGCAAGAGCAAACAAATTCAAAACCTACCAGAAGACAATAAATAACTAAGATCAAAGCAGAAATGAAGGATATAGAGACACGAAAAGTCCTTCGAAAAATCAATGAATCCAGGAGGTGGTTTTTTGAAAAGACTAACAAAATTAATAGAATGCTAGCCAGACTATAAAAAAAGAAAAGAGAGAAGAATCAAATAGACACTAGAAAGCCAGGTGCGTTGGCTCAACCCTGTAATCCCAGCACTCTGGGAGGCTGAGGCAGGCATATCACCTGAGGTCAAGAGTTTGAGACCAGCCTGGCCAATAAGGTGAAACCTTGTCTCTACTAAAACTACAAAAAAAATTAGCTGAGTGTGGTGGTATATGCTTGTAATCCCAGCTTCTCAGGGAGGCTGAGGCAGGAGAATTGCTTGAACCTAGGAGGCAGAGGTTGCAGTGAGCCAAGATCGCACCACTGCACTCCAGCCTGGCTGAAAGAGGGAGACTCCATCTCAAAAAGAAAAGAGAGAAACAAACAAACAAACATATAGACACAATAAAAAATGATAAAGGGGATATCACCACTGATCCCACAGAAATACAAACTACCATCAGATAATACTGTACACACCTCTACACAAGTAAGCCAGAAAATTTAGAAGAAATGGATCAATTCCAGAACACATACACCCTCCCAAGACAAAACCAGGAAGAAATTGAATCCCTGAATAGACCAATAACAAGTTCTGAAATTGAGGCAGTAATTAACAGCCTATGAACCAAAAAAAGTCCAGGACCAGATGGATTCACAGCTGAATTCTACCAGAGGTACAAAGAGGAGCTGGTACCATTCCTTCTGAAACTATTCCAAACAATAGAAAAAGAGGGACTTCCCACTAACTCATTTTATGAGGCCAGCATCATCCTGATACCAAAACCTGGCAGAGACACAACAAGAAAAGAAAATTTCAGGCTAATATCCATGATGGACATCAATGTGAAAATCCTCAATAAAATACTGGCAAACCAAATCCAGCAGCATATCAAAAAGCATATCCACCACAATCAAGTTGGCTTCATCCCTGGGATGCAAGGCTGGTTCAACATACACAAATCAATAAACATAATCCATCACATAGACAGAACCAATGATAAAAGCCACATGATTATCTCAGTAGATGTAGAGATAGGCCTTTGATAAAATTCAGCACTCTGTTTATGCTAAAAACTCTCAATAAACTAGGTATTGATGAAACGTATCTCAAAATAATAAGAGCTATTTATGACAAACCCACAGCCAACGTCATACTGAATGGGCAAAGGCTGGAAGCATTCCCTTGTAAAATTGGCACAAGACAAGGATGCCCTTTCTCACCACTCCTATTCCACATAGTATTGGGAGTTCTGGCCAGGGCAATCAGGCAAGAGAAAGAAATAATGGCTATTCAAATAGGAAGAGAGAAAATAAAATTGTCTCTGTTTGCAGAACACATGTTTGTATATTTAGAAAACCCCATTATCTCAGACCAAAATCTCCTTAAGCTGATAAGCAACTTCAGCAATGCCTCAGGATACAAAATCAATCTGCAAAAATCACAAGCATTCCTATACACCAATAATAGAGAAACAGAGAGCCAAATCATGAGTGAACTCCCGTTTGCAATTGCTACTAAGAGAATAAAATACCTAGAAATACAACTTCAAAGGATATGAAGGATCTCTTCAAGGAGAACTACAAACACTGCTCAAGGAAATATGAGAGGACACAAACAAATGGAAAAACATTCCATGCTCATGGATGGGAAGACTCAATATCATGAAAATGGCCATACTGCCCAAAGTAATTTATAGATTCAATACTATCCCCATCAAGCTACCGCTGACTATCTTCACAGAATTGGAAAAAAACTACTTTAAAGTTCATATGGAACCAAAAAAGAGCCCACATAGTCAAGACAATACCAAGCAAAAAGAACAAAGCTGGAGGCATCACGCTACCTGACTTCAAACTATACTACAAGGATACGGTAACCAAAACAGCATGGTACCTGTACCAAAACAGATGTATAGACCAATGGAACAGGACAGAGCCCTCAGAAATAATGCCACACATCTACAGCCATCTGATCTTTGACAGACCTGACAAAGACAAGGAATAGGGAAAGGATTTCCTATTTAATAAATGGTGCTGGAAAACTGGCTAGCCATACGCAGAAAACTGAAACTGGACTCCCTTCCTCACACTTTATACAAAAATTAACTCAAAGTGGATTAAAGACTTAAACGTAAGACCTAAAACCATAAAAACCCTAGAAGAAAACCTAAGCAATACCATTCAGGACATAGGCGTGGGCAAAGACTTCATGACTAAAACACCAAAAGCAATGGCAACAAAAGCCAAAATAGACAAATGGGATCTAATTAAACTAAAGAGCTTCTGCACAGCAAAAGAAACTATCATCAGAGTGAACAGGCAACCTACAGAATGGGAGAAAGTTTTCACAATCTTTTCATCTGACAAAGGGCTAATATCCAGAATCTACAAGGAACTTAAACAAATTTACAAGAAACAAACAACCCCATCAAAAAGTGGGTAAAGGATATGAACAGACACTTTTCAAAAGGACATTTATGTAGTCAACAAACGATAGGAAAAAAAGCTCATCATCACTGGTCATTACAGAAATGCAAATCAAAACCACAATGAGACACCATCTCACACCAGTTAGAATGGCAATCATTAAAAAGTCAGGAAACAATAGATGCTGGAGAGAATGTGGAGAAATAGGAACGCTTATACACTGTTGGTGAAAGTGTAAATTAGTTCAACCACTGTGGAAGACAGTGTGGCAATTCCTCAAGGATCTAGGACCAGAAATATCATTTGCCCCAGCAATCCCATTACTGGGTATATACCCAAAGGATTATAAATCATTCTGCTGTAAATACACATGCACACATATGTATATTGCAAAACTGTTCACAATAGCAAAGACTTGGAACCAATGTAAATGCCCATCAATGATAGACTGGATAAAGAAAATGTGGCACATATACACCATGGGATACTATGCAGTCATAAAAAAGATGAGTTCATGTCCTTTACAGGGACATGGATGAAGCTGGAATCCATCATTCTCATCAAACTAACACAGGAACAGAAAACCAACCACCACATGTTCTCACTCATAAGTGGGAGCTGACCAATGAGAACACATGGATACAGGGAGGGGAAGATCACACACTGGGGCCTGTCAGGGGTTGGGGGGCTAGAGGAGGGATAGCATTAGGAGAAATATCTAATGTAGATAACGGGTTGATGGGTGTAGCAAACCACCATGGCATGTATATACCTATGTAACAAACCTTCACGTTGTGCACATGTATCCCAGAACCTTAATTCTGCAACAGAACTGTTTCCTGTAACTATAACTAACAGACTAGTGAACTACCTCTCTCTACCTATTTACTTACTTATTTATAACCTAACTAGTTAACTGTTTGTCTACTTCTCTTTATGCCTCATATACAACACAGATTGTTAGCCTTATTTTCTGATTAGCTCTCCAAGTTTAGTAGTAAACAATCATCAGACATAGATTCCTTTATAAGACAGTACATGTCTAAATTCTTCTTCCTCAAATGATATTTTATATTAAAGAAATATTTAATAATAAATTTAAAATGTTTAACAAACCTTTAAAATCTATTATTTAAAAATAGTGTTAACCATAAGCAAATAAAAAATGAAAACATATAAATCTTGAAACAAAAAATTAAGAAAATATCACAAACCTGAATAGACTGAGATGATCCTGAAGTTGAAATAGGACTTTAAATGAATAATACTGTGGAATATCAGGAAAAAAATTGACGTTATTCCCTTTTCACTCTGAAGTTAAAACTGGATTCATCCTTTTTAGATTTGAGGCTATCACTTTTAGATCTGAGGCTATTAATCATTATCATATGAGTCTGGGATAATTCTCTTCGCACAGTTCTGCATGTAGTTGTTGTTTGTTTGTTTGTTTAAGTCTCAATTCTGTTAAAATAAGCCTCGCCTTAGAGGTTTTAGAGTGCAAATTCAGCAGCTCAGAAATGAAAGTTGTTTCCCTTGTTGATTCCTGTTAAAGTGTTACATGGGCATTATTTCATTCAGAACAAGTTCAACAAACCAGTGAGTCCTTTGCAACTTGTTGTGGTAAAATGAAACTGATTAAGTCAATGAGCTTTAAAAATGTCTAGTCAGTTGTCTGATTAGTCCTGTCTATTTTCTGTCGGTGTTTGCTACACAGCTTTGTTTCTGTAAATATAGTGCTAGGTTTTCACTGGCATGAGAAGAAAAACTATGTAAAAGTCTAATATAAGAAAATAATAAAATATATTTTATATGTAAAATTAACCTTGTAGAAACCCAGTTGATTTAATAATTTTAGTATATTATCTCTATTAGTATATACATTGAATATGTAAGTGTATTTTATACTAGAAGGTACAGTGATCTACATACAGAGATGCAAAGCTAATTTTCAAGGAAATGCTTGATAATCCAGTTGCTGTATTTTTTAACAAGTTTAAGTTAGTATAATGTTCCATTTAATAGAAGGAGAGTCAAAGGAAGCCTCCATGTTGGTCAGAAACTCATACCACTGAAGTCAAAATAAGAAGCACAACACTACACTGATTGATGACAATGTCTGGCAGAATCTGAAACTGTTAGCTTTATAGTACAGAAAAGAAAGCTACAGTATATCCTAAACATCCACACTGCAGGATTTCTGTGGGATTCTTTAACAGCTTCAATTTCCCTGAATTGCTCAACTAAATTTCTGGAATAAAGACAAGGAGCAGATCAAAAAAGGATACTAGATAACAATGTATGACTAACTACAGAAAAGAAGTTTTTAAATTGAAAGAGTAAGATGGAAAAGTGAAAGTTGTATTGTATAATATTAAAAAATTGTGACAGTTAAAGAACAAAAGTCCATGCTCATCAAAGAATACTTGAAGTATTAATTGTTGCCTTTTTCATAATTCTGTCGCTAAAGTCAATCAACAATTTTTTTAAAGGTGATCTTTAATATTTAGTAGAGTCTCATATAAATAACATTGTGCTTTTCTTCATAAGATTTATTTTTAGGAAACTGGTCTTGACTACATTTTCTTATACTGATACACAAATTATAGAATATAACATTTTTGACCAGCCAACTACTTTTAGTCACAGTGTAAGCATAAACTAATATATATGTGTATATACACATACATATATATTAGATACATATATAATAAAAGATTCATATATACACATACATATTATCCACCATAAACAACAGTTTTTATTTGGGCTATAACAGAGGCACATGCAATTAACATCAAGAATTAAAAGTTGAGAATCCAATAACACATATTGAAGACAAACTTAAAACTATGTATGGATAAATAATTTCACTGTTAAAATCTTTAAGATTTTCCTACATAGTATAAAAATTATAAAGATAGAAATTAAGTGGAATACAAAACTTTATAATCTAATAAAGATGTCCTAAAGTAAATAAGTTAAAACATCTCTATCTAATCATCCACATAAACATTAATTGAAACATTATGTGTAGAGAAAAATGTAAAATTTTGAAATGTCACTTCAGATAAAGATGCAAACAAAAAGCAATATTCCAAAGCAAACAATGGAAGCATTAAGACACAGTTCTCACTGGGATGATATAGCTAGAGTATGTTAGATAAGACAATAAAGTGAAGGAAGCTCTTGCAAAGTTCTCTGACAAGGATGAATGTGTTTATCAGTGGTCAGTAATGAACTTTGATGTGCCTGGAATGGGCTAGGAAATCATGTATAAAACATTAGGATCAACAATGCAGTATACGAAATTGGTGTTCTTTTGCTATTATATTGCAACGTTCCTTGAATATACTGAACGAATCTATTAATCATTGCTGCTGAGATGGCCATTCTACTAGATATATGGAAGCCTGAATGACTTCTTCCTCTAACTGTTCCATGCAAATTGAATTGCAGGTTATAGACAAACCAGTTTATTAAGATTTTTACTTAAAATATGGTAAACAGTTATTGAAATATAAACTTAGCAGAATGTTTGCATCATTCTGAATAGATAAAAATATCATCTCATATATTTAACTGAGCATCCAGTCTGAGCAATTCTTAAGTAAAATAGATGGGTGTGAAATAGATGCTTTGTAAAATACAAAGTTTTATTCAAGCATTAGTCATGTATTTAATAAAGCTTTAATGGACACCAAGCACTGAGCATTAGAAAGTATATTTGGCCCTAGGGACATATAGGTAAATGTGATATGGTCTGTACTATCAAAAGCCTTAAAGAAGTGTCAAAGACACAAGTAAGCAATGCTTGAGAGACCTTGTGAAAAGTGTCTTGATGGAGGTGTGCATAATGTGCTCTGGGGATATGGAGAAGTGTCTGCACTGGGCATGGGAATGAGGAAACTCTTCTTTGGAGAGGGGTGGGTGGTTTGGATGTTACAAGAATCAGTCATAGATAATCAGTAGGAGCATTATGTGTCAAGACCAGAATTTCTGACCTTAATGTTTTCCATGTCATAGCAATATTTACCTAGCCATGAGTATGGGAACCTGTTGCTTCTTACATGTTTTCTATAGTATCTTTTTAAAATCATGAAGATTCATTGCCTCATTCAAATGTTACACAATGATATGGCACTGGTGGCTGAACTAGGTATGAATTGAGAGAGTATACAACTTAGGAAACATATCTGTGCTGCGCTACCTTGTTCAGGGAACTTTTATATTCAACTTTGTTTAGAGCTTAGACTACAATTTTGCCTACCACAAGTAGTAACACACTTCTGCCCCCCTCCAACTGATGCCCCACCAGTCACACCACTTAGGTCTAAATTTCCCTTCAAAGGACACCTTGTAACTAAGGTGACCCTATTTCCAGTTTGCCTAGAGGAGTCCTAGCTAACTTCTGATGTCACAGCAAAATTATTAACACCCCATTTCATCTTCAAGAATGTCCTAGTTTAGTCAAAACCATTATATGGGCACTCTACTTGAATTAACTTGAGTTTCCTGCCCATGATGTAGTCACCCAGGATTTTAGAAAGAACAATGTATCATCACCCTCTCTGGTTTTTGCCCCCTCCATACTATTAAACCTCCCAGGAACAATTTATTGTTGAGAAGCCTGACATTGGTATTTTATTTTCTTCTAATTTAATGCCAATGACCTAGTCCCCACAATAGCCATAAATGATATATAATATGCTAACAGCACCTGGTTTTGCCTTAGGATAACAAACCAGTCAATTGTTTACAAGTAGTAAAGATGGATTTTGTAATGATGATATGGCTTAATCCTCCAGTTACATGAATTAAAAATGACACAACATTATCCTTTAGGCTGTTATATAGAATTTAGTGTTATGCCTGAAAAAGGAAATAAAGGGCGCTATTGCAATGTCTGTTTCTCATAACGCTGTCATAAACTACATTTTAGTACCAGATTTTTATGGACTTGACTGCAAGAGAGAAATAAGGCAATAAAAGATAAGATTTTGAGTTATTAGGATGAACAGAAAAGGAGGAACTGCCATGGATATAAATAAAACATACATGATATCATATATATGTACATATGCATGTGTGCTCACCTAAAAACATGAATATGCACATATTGATCAATATTATGATAACAACAGATAAATTTGTGCACCTTCTGTTTCTTAATATTTTACATGCACTTTCACTGTTTTCCCCCCAACAGCCTTAAATGGTAGGTAGTATTAGTATCCCCAGTCTTACTATGGGGAATCTGAAAAGGAGAAGGATAAATGATTTGCCAAAGGTCAAATCTCCCATAAATAAAATGTGGAACAGGTCATTTGACTCCCAGAACCTGTGTTCTTAGCTACCATGTAAGCATAATAATTTTTAAAATAAATACATAGAGAAAAGTTCACAGCTCAATATTTTTTTAAAACAAATTGAACCAGACTAAATTCATCTTTGAATCCAGCACCTGGAATAAGAATGAACATTATCAGCACCTTAGAAATCCTGCTTGTACTCATCCCTGGTTATACCCCTCCTCAAAAGTATAATAACTAGATTAGATTTGCCAGTTTTGGGATTTTATATATATATATATATATATATATATATATATATATAGAGAGAGAGAGAGAGAGAGAGAGAGAGAGAGAGAGAGAGAGAAGCATATCAAATATAACTCATTTATTTTTGCCTAATTTTGTTTGTGTGATTCATCTACTTTGTATATAACAAGTTTTTAAAACTCTTTCAGCTTGGAGTAGTTTATTGAGTGATTCTGCTATAGTGTATATTGTGTCCATTCCCTGTTGAAATATATTTGGATTGGTTACCGTTTGGAGTTTATAAGTTGTATTGTTTTGAACTATTTTGTACATGCTTTTTAGTATTTACATGTAATTATTTCTACCACTTGTAGACCTAAGTAGAATTACTGGGTCATCGGGAATCACAGGGCTTGTGTTCAATCAACTTTAGTACGTAAGTCCCACCTTTCCAAGGTGCTTGTATCAAGCCGAGTAAGAGTTCTCACAACTATCAGTCTAACAGAATTCTACTTCCTTCACATTCTCCCCAGTCATGGGTATTTTCTGTCTTTTTCATTTTAGTCTTTTTGGCAGATGAGGTTTTGTGGTTTTAATTTTCATTTATCTGATGACTAATGAAGTTGAGCTGTTTTTATATGTTTATTGGCTATTTCTATATCCACTTTTGTGAAGTGCATATGTTGTTGTATGCCTTTTTAAATTATTTGAAGGAGTTCTTTATACATTATGGATACAAATTTTTTGTGGACTGCAATGTCAGCTCACGCCTTGTATTCTAGCTTGCCCTTCCTTATGACCTTCCCAAAGATTTTGAATTTGCCTAGCAGGCCCCATAATCACATAAGCCAATTTCTTGCAATAAATCTCAAATATATATCTTCTGCTGGAGTGTTTCTGCAGTTGAACCCTGCCTAATACAATATCATTCATCAGATTTTAAAATTGCTCATCTATTTTTAGTTTGCTGAAAGTTCTTTTTTTATCATGAATAAGTATCGACTTTTATAAATGCTTTTCTGCATCTATTGAGATGATTACCTGGCTTCATTCCACTAATCTGTTAATGTGATAAACTACATTGAATGATTTCTTAATATTAATCCAAACTTGCATTCCTGGAATAAACCCTACTTGATCATGATGAGTTATTCTTTTTATATATCTCTGGATTCAATTTCCAAATGTCATTTTCAGGATTTTAGTGCCTATGTTCATGAGAAATATTGGCCAGTAATTTTCCTTTCTTATTAGTGTCCTTGTTAGGTTTGATTAAAAAATTCTGGGGCCTCATAAATGAGGTGGAAGGGTACACTCTTTTTTTTCATTTTGGGAAATAATATATGGAAGTTTGTATCATTTCCTTTTTAAGATTTGCAAGAATTTGCCAATATAATTATCTGGGCCTGGAATTGTATTTCTCCTGGGCCAGTATAATCATCTGGGATTGTATGTTCTGTATTTTGCAATAAAGATAAACTCATTCAGGTTTGTTTTTCTTCTTATTTCAGTTATGGCAAGTTGTGTTTTTCAAAGGATTTTGTCCATTTTCTCCAAACTGTTATATTTATTGACAAAAATTTGTTTGTATTTTAGACTTACTATCATAGTAGTATTCCATTTTTTTCATTGACAGTATTGATCATTTATCTTCTCTCTTTGTTCTGATTAACTTGAAGGAGGCTTTTTTATTTTTGTTAACCTGACAAAAGAATCTTCTGTCTCTTGATTATTTTGATCATATATTTGCAATTAGATTTTATCTCTATATTTTGTTTTTATTTTTATTATTTCATTCTTTCTACTTCCTCTGGTTTAAGTTTGCTCTTCTATTACCATCTTCTTAAGACAGAAATCTATATCTTTGGGGTCTACCTTTTTGTCAATGTATACAATTAGCATCATAAATTTCTCTCTGAGCAATGCCTCAGCTCCTCAGCTGCATCCCTGCAAGTGGAATAATGCCCTTGTATTATGAGGGTTAATTTTACTAGGCCTTGAATTGGTGTGGGCTATTTTGTCGAAGTAATAAATGTGCTTAAATGGTAGTCATTCCTGGTCAAGAGATGAATATACTGATTAGTGTTTTTTTGTAACCATGTGTCCAAGGTGAGGTTTGGGGTGCTTTATAACTGCTTGTCAGCATTGTTTATTGATAACAGTGAGACTGATTATTTGTGCCTGATCTTAGGTAAAACCTTGGAGGGGTCTACCATTGAGGTGTCTATGCAGCATGAAAATGCCTACATGATCAGAAGGAAATAGGTTTTACACTCTATTTTGGGCTCCCTGGATTCAAGGGTGTTCCATCCACATATTGGTGCTTTAAGATCTGAGAGAGAAGAATGTCAATGATGACCCTACATAGGGAGAAGAATGGGAGATTGTGCCTATCCTCTATAGACTTCTAACTGTGAGGCAGCCTTTGGCTACTGTCCTAAGTTTTACTTGTTCCAATTTTGTATTATTTCCCTACAATAAATCATAGATTTATAAGCATTGTCATTTGGGGTCCTGTGAATCTTTAACAGTCAAATCCTGTTTAACTGCTACCGTTAGTGAAGACCTGTTTTCATTAACATTCAGTTCAATATATTTTCTCAATTCCATTGTGATTTCTTCTTTGACCCCTAAGTTTTTTTTAGCATAGTGTTGTCCAAATATTTAGGAGTTGTCTATCTTCACAACTTAATTTCTATTTTAAGTTTACATAGAGAGAACATCATTTAAAATTTTATTACATTTCAACATATGGTCTATTTTAATAAATTTCTATGTCTACTTGAATGTGTTATATATTTGTTGGAAGTAATGTTTTATGTATTCCAACAGGATCAAGTTGCTAATAATAATAATAATAATAATACATAATCCTTATTTCTTTGATCAGCTCATTGTACCAGATACTGAGAACATTGTGTTAAAATATCAAATACAACTGTGGATTTGTTTGTACTTCCTTTTATTGTTTCATATTTGGTTCTTTTGTTTTTCAGGTGCATCCATATTTAGCACTGTTATGTCTTCCTTTTGAATCAATACATTCATCATCATAAAATGTTCCTCTTTTTTGCTAATTATATTTCTCATCTCAAAGTACTCTCTTATTTTAGTAGACTAGCTTTCCTTTTATTTAGTGTTTGTGTGGTATTTTTTTTTCTGTCCTTTTATTTTCAATATTTCTGTGTCCTTAATATTTATAGTATGGTATATATATATGTAACTGCATAAATTTCTTATTTTTTCTTATCCAGACTAAAAATATTTGTTATAGGGTTTAGCAAACACATACACACACAAAATATGTTTTAGTCATATGTTGTATTATTCTTTAACGGTTAGCCTATGAACTACAAATATACACTCTTCATTTACCATAGCACTGTTACTATTTTACTATTAGGTTGGTGCAAAAGTTATTGCGGTTTCTTGCCATTACTTTCAATGGCAAGAAACCGCAATTGAAAGTAATGGCAAGAAACCGCAAAAACTTTTGCACCAACCTAATATTTTTCTAAAGATTCTAGAATCATACAACAATTTAATTCCATTTATTCATGACTGTACACTGTATGTTTTTTCATATATTTTACTTTCTCATATGTTTAAATTTTATATCATTTGCTATTGTTTTTAAAAGTCAATACAAATTAAAGAATCTTTGCTATCAATGTAATATTAAATTTTCTTTTTCAACTCACTCATCTTACTCATCACGAAATTGAATATCAACAAAAATAAATAATTTATTCAAAGTCACGTATCTTATTTTTAGCAGAGCCATACTTGAAGTCTATTCTGACTATTAGGCCAATCCTCATATCTTTACAAAAAGTGTCTTCAAATATTTTGAAACTGACTCAGAGGTTTTGAAGCTATGGATATATATATAGCTATGGATATACATAGAGACTAAAATTCACTTTAATATTTACAAGCAAAATACTTACTGAGCAACTTCTATGGGGCCAGGAACCATACTTTGCACAAAAGTTATAGTAATTAGTGAAACAACAAAATTCTTGCCAAAATAAGGCATTTTTCTAATTCAGTTTTAAAGTGAAGGAGTTAAGAATATGCCATCCACAATATGTAATTCTGGCATATTAATTATTTAAGTTAAAGGCAATTGAAAAATAACAATTATAAGAAGATCACTTTGACCTTTGTGCCTTCTTAAAAGCAAGAGATGAAAGTCTCATGTGAAAGATGTTCTCCCTATCTTAGAAGAAAAATCGCATTATTATCATCAAAGATGTAAAATTGAAGCCAAAGAAAATTTGTACAAACCTTGTTACACTTAATTCATATCTTCCTGGCCACTTTTCTACCCAATTAACTGTCCTGGCTCAAGCCCCTTTGCCTTATCACATTTTCATAATTTATTATTCTTTGTCAAATTTGTTACATAAGTGATTGATTCTAATTCCTTCTTTGGGTCTTTATTTTCTTGTGAGGGCTTGCATGACCTGTAAAACTTGTATTAAGTACATTTGTATGCTCTTATTCATTTTAATCTATCTTATGTAAATTTATTTCTTGAGCTGGATCCCTAAATGAATGGAGGTGGAATTTTGCCTTCCCTATAACAATTGTTTCAACGTTTGCTACAACCTGCTTTATACTAGGCAATATGTTGTATCTGGCAATATTTATCACCAGCAACTAGATATCTAATGTGACAAGGTATATAATTCTATTGTTCTTGTCCTGGATACTTTGTGGAAAATAGAACCGGAAATTTTAACCTAAATACTAGATCTGTACTCCTAACTTTTTCAAACTTAATGCCATATGAAAGAAAATAGCTTCCAACAGAGTAAGCTCAGGGAACCAGAGTCTAGTGTTAGCACTTTATAATTCACTATTTGTTCTTCTCCTGCCAAGAGGAATTCAACCAATCACTAAATGAGTTTTATGAAATAGTTCACCAAGTATAACCTGAGAAAAAGTTCCCACACTTCACTTGTCAAATGCCTCATTCCTAGAGTGACTTTGGGATCTTTAAGAGAAATTTATTTGTAGCTCACAGATGCTCAGTATTGCTTAGAATATGGACATACATATGCTAGACTTGTTATATATAAAGATCTTATAATTAAATGTCATATGTGGCAATTTCATGTTGGCTCCCCACCATGGGTGTTAAATGTAGCTCTATTTGAAAACCAGGTTTCTTAACTTCAAGAATCAATTTAAAAAATCAAGTGGTCAGGAAACCACTTCAAGGTATAACAGACTATATAGATGCTACTCTATCTTAATATTATATTATTTATAACAATCACTAATCTAATGTGCAACTAAATCACCACCAAGGCAGCAACTTCTCAAAGGGAAAATAAAATTCTACTTTCTGAAGAGATGTGCAATATCTGAAAATAGAATTTGAAAGATGAAGAAAATAAAAGAGTAAAAAGTTATTTATAAGAAAGACCAACAAGGCAATATAGTAAAGTGCAGTTTATTTGAAAAGTATTAGGAGCTCATCTAGACACTAATCAAAAGCCAGGTAAGCAAATGCCTTGCTTCAAGGCAGAAAAGCTGACTTAGAATTAAAGATTCATGGCAAGTAATGGTAATGGTAAAAAATGATGAACTGTAACATTAAAAAAGGAGGGAGGAAAAACATTTTCTTTTTAAAAGTTACCATATTTTCAAAAATAAAATAAATGGGGGAAATATAAATGTGAGATATGTTTAGAAGGTGCAACTCAAAATCTTAGATTATATAGACAGGTATTCCTAAAACACAAAGAAATTTATAATTTTAGGGATAAATCGACTATATTTTTAAAACGTTTTATTTTTAGTTATTATGGATACATAGTAGTTTTACATATTTATGGGGTACATGTGATATTTTAATGCAAGCATACAATGTACAATGATCAAACCAGGGTAATTAGATTTTCCTTAACCTCAAACATTTATCATTTCTTTGTGTTACGAACATTCCAATTCCACTCTTTTACTATCTTGAAATATACCGTAAATTATTGTGAACCATAGTAGACATATTGTGCTACTGAACACTAGCTCTTCCTTCTAACTGTATTTTTGTACCCATTAACCAACCTCTTTTCATCTCTCCCTCCCCACTACCCTTTCAAGCCTCTGTAATCATCATTCTACTCTCTATCTCCATTAGTCCAATATTTTTTAGCTCCCACATGTAAGTGAGAACATGTGATATTTGCCTTTCTGTGCCAGGCTTATTTCACTCAACATAATCTCCAGTTCCAACTATGCTGTTGCAAATGACAGGATTTTTACTTTTTTTATGGCTAAACTATTCCATCGTGCATATGCATGACATTTTCTTTATTCCTTCATTCACTGATGGACACCTGGGTTGATTCCATATTTTGGCTATAGTGAATATTGCTTTAATAAACATGGGAGTGCAGATATCTCTTCAATAAATTGATTTTTAAAATATATACCAGCAGTGGGATTGCTGGATCATATGGAAGTTCTATTTTTAGTTTTTTTGAGGAACTTCCATACTGTTTTTTATAGTGTCTGCACTAATTTACATTCCTACCAACAGTGTACAAGGGTTCCCTTTTCTCTGTATCCTTGCCAGCCTCCTTTATTTCCTGACTTTTGATAAAAGCCATTTTAAAGGGTGTGAGATGATATCACAATGTAGTTTCAATTTGCAGTTTCCTGATGATTCGTGATATTGAACTTTTTTAATATGCTTCTTGGTCATTTTTATATCGTCTTTGGAGAAATGTCTATTCAGATCTTTTGCTCATTTTTAATTTGCATTATTTTTATTGTTATTGAGTTGTTTGAGCTCTTTATATATGCTGGTTATTAATTCCTTGTCATCACATGGGTAGTTTGCAAATGTTTTCTCCCATTCTGTGAGTTGTCTTTTTATTGAGTTGATTGTTTCCTTTGCTGTGCAGAAGCTTTTTTTGCTTGAAGTGATCCCATTTGTCCTTTTTAACTTTGGTTGCCTAGATCTTACTCAAGAAATCTTTAGCAGTCTTAAGAAATCTTTGCCCAGACCAATATCCTGGGGTGTTTCCCCAATGTTTTCTTATAGTAGTTTCATATTTTCAAGTCTTAGATTTAAGTCTTTAATCCATTTTAATATGTCTTTTTATATGGTGAGAGATAGGGGTCTAATTTCATTCTTCTGTATATGGATCTCCAGTTTTCTCAGCACCATTTATTGAAGAGACCATCCTTTCCCCAATATATGTTCTTGGCACGTTTGATAAAAATGAGTTGACTGTAAATGTGTGGATTTATTTCTGGGTTTTCTTTTCTGTCTCATTGGTCTGTGTGTCTGTTTTTATGCCAATACCATGCTGTCTTAGTTACTATTGCTCTATAGTATAATTTGAAGTCAGGTAATGTGATTCCTTTGGTTTTGTTCTTTTTGCTCAAGATAGCTTTTGTTATTCTGGGTCTTTTGTGGTTCCATGTAAATGTTAGCATTATTATTTTCTATTTCTGTGAAAAATATCATTGGTATTTTGATAGGAGTTCTATTGAATCAGTAGATTGCTTTGGATAGTATGGGAATTTTAACAATATTGATTCATCTAATCCATGAACACTGAATAACTTTCCATTTTTTGTGTGTCCTCTTTTCAATTTCTTTCATCAGTGTTTCATGGTGTTCATTATAGAGATCTTTCATTTTTTCAATTAAGTTTATTTCTAAGTATTTTATTTGTAGCTGTTGTAAGTGGGATTATATTCTTGGTTTCTTTTTAAGACTGTTGGCTGTTTTAATATATAAATGCTACTGATTTTTGTATGTTTATTTTGTATCCTAAAACTTTTATTTTGTATCCTAAAACTTTACAGAATTTGTCAGTTCTAATAGTTTTTGGTGGAGTCTTTAGGTTTTCCCACATTTAAGATCATATCATTTGCAAACAAGGAAAATTTGATTTCTTCCTTTCCAATTTTGGTGTCCTTTATTTCCTTCTCTTGTTTAGTTGTTCTGGCTAGAACTTATAGAACTATGTTGAATAAAGATGGTGAAAGTGAGCAGCATCCTTGTCTTATTTCAGATCTTAGAGAAAAGGCTTTCCATTTTTTTCTGTTCAATGTACTAGGTGTGGGTTGGTCATATATGGTTATATTGACTTTAGATATAGTCTGCTCCGATCTCTTTATTTTACAGATAAAGGCAACAAATCTTCGAGAGAGTAACTCACTCCCTGAAGCCCTAGAACTAAAATATAATAAAACCAAGTCTAGAACCCAGATGAATCTTGTAATATTGTGTTATTCCTGTCATACTTTTCAACATAGAACATTTGTAATTATCCTTTTTGAGAAATATTAGGCATCTTCCCTTCTTTGAGAACTAGATAAACCCTTCATTTTGGCACGACTAAGTAGAATATTTTTGTTTTTTGGCTTCTAATATTGTTTGGAACTAGGTTGATTAGATGTCTTTCATTTTCAAAAGGCTGTAAGCTTATTGAGTTCCATTTGATGTTATTTATCTTTGATTTTGCCAGAGTCCAATATCATATCTTACACATAGTAAGTGGGCAAGATGTTTGAGGTATATTATGCATTTGTTCACTTAGTGATTGGTTGAATTTCCTCTTAGCAGGAGAAAAACAAACACTGAATCATGAAGTGCTACCACTAGATTCTGGTTCCCTGAGTTTACTCTCTCTGAAACTATTTGCTTCCATGTAGCATTTACTTTTGAAAATTGGAGTAGGGATCTAGGATTAGATAAAGATGTCTAAATTGCTACATCTGTAATTATTTAAATTAACTTATGTGTCAGATTCAGTTCATAAACCATTCCAGATCTGCTCAATCTGTTTTCTTCCTCAGCCCTAGCAGCTTCTTCACTGGAGACATGGGGCCACTGTCCTTATTGTCTTATCTCCTCTCACTGCTGGCACTCAGCCCTTTCCGAGTGAGAGACGGGCATCAGCAGGAAGTCTAACCACACTGGACTCACTGGCTTATTATTTTTTAACCACTTCTGACCCCTGATGAATTGCCCCAACATGGGGAATAAAAAATGGGATACTGCAGTATGTGTCCAAAGATACCAGATAATACCAACTGCAAATGTCTTTGAAGGATAAGACTACTGCCTCTCAGAGTAAACTATGAAGATAGGAAGGAACTGACAGATATGCTTTCCTTCCTTCTCTGTCAGGGACTGTTCCAAAAAACAACAGTTACATATAAACTGATGGGAAGAAGCCATATGTTTGAGGATGCAACTGCATTTTCTTGTGATACTCTGGCCAGCTTAGGAATTCAGCACCTTGTATTTGCTTTCTGTTCTCTACCTCAGCATGTATGTTTTTCACAGACTCTGTTTCCCAGGGAATATAGTCTAAAAGAATTTCAATATGTAGTGGTTATTGGTTCTTATCAGTTGAGCTTCATGAATCTTTTTTTTTTTTTTTTGAGATGGAGTCTCCCTCTGTCACCCAGGCTGGAGTGGAGCTTCATGAAATTTATAAAGAGATTAGTGACAAGTCATAATTCAGAGACCCTTTTGTATTTCCTTATAAGATATAAAGTGAATTTTACATTTAAAGTTTGCTTAAAATAAAGGTAAACAGCCTCTTTTTAATTTACTATGAGTTTTTATTTACAACTAGACATCTAAAAGATTATTTTTTATTATACTTTAAGTTTTAGTGTACGTGTGCACAATGTGCAGGTTAGTTACATATGTATACATGTGCCATGCTGGTGTGCTGCACCCATTAATTCGTCATTTAGCATTAGGTATATTTCCTAAAGCTATCCCTCCCCCCTTCCCCCACCCCACAACAGTCCCCAGAGTGTGATGTTCCCCTTCCTGTGTCCATGTGTTCTCATTGTTCAATTCCCACCTATGAGTGAGAATATGCGGTGTTTGGTTTTTTGTTCTTGTGATAGTTTACTGAGAATGATGACTTCCAATTTCATCCATGTCCCTACAAAGGACATGAACTCATTTTTTATGGCTGCATGGTATTCCATGGTGTATATGTGCCACATTTTCTTAATCCAGTCTATCATTGTTGGACATTTGGGTTGGTTGCAAGTCTTTGCTATTGTGAATAGTGCCACAATAAACATACGTGTGCATGTGTCTTTATAGCAGCATGATTTATAGTCCTTTGGGTATATACCTAGTAATGGGATGGCTGGGTCAAATGGTATTTCTAGTTCTAGATCCCTGAGGAATCGCCACACTGACTTCCACAATGGTTGAACTAGTTTACAGTCCCACCAACAGTGTAAAAGTGTTCCTATTTCTCCACATCCTGTCCAGCACCTGTTGTTTCCTGACTTTTTAATGATTGCCATTCTAACTGGTGTGAGATGGTATCTCATTGTGGTTTTGATTTGCATTTCGCTGATGGCCAGTGATGGTGAGCATTTTTTCATGTGTTTTTGGCTGCATAAATGTCTTCTTTTGAGAAGTGTCTGTTCATATCCTTTGCCCACTTTTTGATGGTGTTGTTTGTTTTTTCTTGTAAATTTGTTTGAGTTCATTGTAGATTCTGGATATTAGCCCTTTGTCAGATGAGTAGATTGTGAAAATCTTCTCCCATTTTGTAGGTTGCCTGTTCACTCTGATGGTGGTTTCTTTTGCTGTGCAGAAGCTCTTTAGCTTAATTAGATCCCATTCATCAATTTTGGCTTTTGTTGCCATTGCTTTTGGTGTTTTAGACATGAAGTCGTTGCCCATGCCTATGTCCTGAATGGTAATGCCTAGGTTTTCTTCTAGGGTTTTTATGGTTTTAGGTCTAACGTTTAAGTCTTTAATCCATCTTGAATTGATTTTTGTATAAGGTGTAAGGAAGGGATCCAGTTTCAGCTTTCAACATATGGCTAGCCAGTTTTCCCAGCACCATTTATTAAATAGGGAATCCTTTCCCCATTGCTTGTTTTTCTCAGGTTTGTCAAAGATCAGATAGTTGTAGATAGGCAGTGTTATTTCTGAGGGCTCTGTTCTGTTCCATTGATCTATATCTGTGTTTTGGTACCAGTACCATGCTGTTTTGGTACCAGTACCATGCTGTTTTGGTTACTGTAGCCTTGTAGTATAGTTTGAAGTCAGGTAGCGTGATGCCTCCAGCTTTGTTCTTTTGGCTTAGGATTGACTTGGCGATGCGGGCTCTTTTTTGGTTCCATATGAACTTTAAAGTAGTTTTTTCCAACTCTGTGAAGAAAGTCATTGGTAGCTTGATGGGGATGGCATTGAATCTATAAATTACCTTGGGCAGTATGGCCATTTTCATGATATTGATTCTTCCTACCCATGAGCATGGAATGTTCTTCCATTTGTTTGTATCCTCTTTTATTTCATTGAGCAGTGGTTTGTAGTTCTCCTTGAAGAGGTCCTTCACGTCCCTTGTAAGTTGGATTCTTAAGTATTTTATTCTCTTTGGAGCAATTGTGAATGGGAGTTCACTCATGATTTGGCTCTCTGTCTGTTATTGGTGTATAAGAATGCTTGTGATTTTTGCACATTGATTTTGTATCCTGAGACTTTGCTGAAGTTGCTTATCAGCTTAAGGAGATTTTGGGCTGAGACAATGGGATTTTCTAGATATACAATCATGTCACCTGCAAACAGGGACAATTTGACTTCCTCTTTTCCTAATTGAATACCCTTTATTTCCTTCTCCTTCCTAATTGCCCTGGCCAGAACTTCCAACACTATGTTGAATAGGAGTGGTAAGAGAGGGCATCCCTGTCTTGTGCCGGTTTTCAAAGGGAATGATTCCAGTTTTTGCCCATTCAGTATGATATTGGCTATGAGTTTGTCATAGATAGCTCTTATTATTTTGAGATACGTCCCATCAATACCTAATTTATTGAGAGTTTTTAGCATGAAGGGTTGTTGAATTTTGTCAAAGGTCTTTTCTGCATCTATTGAGATAATCATGTGGTTTTTGTCTTTGGTTCTGTTTATATGCTGAATTACATTTATTGATTTGCGTATATTGAACCAGCCTTGCATCCCAGGGATGAAGCCCACTTCATCATGGTGGATAAGCTTTTTGATGTGCTGCTGGATTTGGTTTGCCAGTATTTTATTGAGGATTTTTGCATCAATGTTCTTCAAGGATATTGGTCTAAAATTCTCTTTTTTGGTTGTGTCTCTGCCTGGCTTTGGTATCAGGATGATGCTGGCCTCATAAAATGAGTTAGGGAGGATTCCCTCCTTTTCTATTGATTGGAATAGTTTCAGAAGGAATGGTACCAGTTCCTTCTTGTACCTCTGGTAGAATTCGGCTGTGAATCCATCTGGTCCTGGACTCTTTTTGGTTGGTAAGCTATTGATTATTGCCACAATTTCAGATCCTGTTATTGGTCTGTTCAGAGATTCAACTTCTTCCTGGTTTAGTGTTGGGAGAGTGTACGTGTCAAGGAATTTACCCATTTCTTCTAGATTTTCTAGTTTATTTGCATAGAGGTGTTTGTAGTATTCTCTGATGGTAGTTTGTATTTCTGTGGGATTGGTGGTGACATCCCCTTTATCATTTTTTATTGCGTCTATTTGATTCTCTCTTTTTTTCTTTCTTGGTCTTGCTAGCGGATCAATTGCTAGCAGTCTTGCTAAAGGATCAATTTTGTTGATCCTTTCAAAAAACCAGGTCCTGGATTCATTAATTTTTTGAAGGGTTTTTTGTGTCTCTATTTCCTTCAGTTCTGCTCTGATTTTAGTTATTTCTTGCCTTCTGCTAGCTTTTGAATGTGTTTGCTCTTGCTTTTCTAGTTCTTTTAATTGTGATGTTAGGGTATCAGTTTTGGATCTTTCCTGCTTTCTCTTGTGGGCATTTAGTGCTATAAATTTCCCTCTACACACTGCTTTGAATGTGACCCAGAGATTCTGGTATGCTGTGTCTTTGTTCTCATTGGTTTCAAAGAACATCTTTATTTCTGCCTTCATTTCTTTATGTACCCAGTAGTCATTCAGGAGCAGGGTGTTCAGGTTCCATGTAGTTGAGCGGTTTTGAGTGAGTTTCTTAATCCTGAGTCTAGTTTGATTGCACTGTGGTCTTAGAGACAGTTTGTTATAATTTCTGTTCTTTTACATTTGCTGAGGAGAGGTTTACTTCCAGCTATGTGGTCAATTTTGGAATAGGTGTGGTGCTGAAAAAAATGTATATTCTGTTGATTTGGGGTGGAGAGTTCTGTAGATGTCTATTAGGTCCGCTTGGTGTAGGGCTGAGTTCAATTCCTGGGTATACTTGTTAACTTTTTGTCTCGTTGTTCTGTCTAATATTGACAGTGGGGTGTTAAAGTCTCCCATTATTATTGTGTGGGAGTCTTAAGTCTCTTTGTAGGTCACTCAGGACTTGCTTTATGAATCTGGGTGCTCCTGTATTGGGTGCATATATATTTAGGATAGTTAGCTCTTCTTGTTGAATTGATCCCTTTACCATTATGTAATGGCCTTCTTTGTCTCTTTTTATCTTTGTTGGTTTAAAGTCTGTTTTATCAGAAACTAGGATTGCAACCCCTGCCTTTTTTTGTTTTCCATTTGCTTGGTAGATCTTCCTCCATCCTTTTATTTTGAGCCTATGTGTGTCTCTGCACATTAGATGGGTTTCCTGAATACAGCACACTGATGGGTCTTGACTCTTCATCCAAATTGCCAGTCTGTGTCTTTTAATTGGAGCATTTAGTCCATTTACATTTAAAGTTAATATTGTTTTGTGTGAATTTGATCCTGTGATTATGATGTTAGCTGGTTATTTTGCTCGTTAGTTGATGCAGTTTCTTCCTAGCCTCGATGGTCTTTACATTTTGGCATGATTTTGCAGCAGCTGGTACCGGTTGTTCCTTTCCATGTCTAGTGCTTCCTTCAGGAGCTCTTTTAGGGCAGGCCTGGTGGTGACAAAATCTCTCAGCATTTGCTTGTCTGTAAAGTATTTTATTTCTCCTTCACTTATGAAGCTTAGTTTGGCTGGATATGAAATTCTGGGTTGAAAATTCTTTTCTTTAAGAATGTTGAATATTGGCCCCCACTCTCTTCTGGCTTGTAGAGTTTCTGCCGAGAGATCCACTATTAGTCTGATGGGCTTCCCTTTGTGGGGAACCTGACCTTTCTCTCTGGCTGCCCTTAACATTTTTTCCTTCATTTCAACTTTGGTGAATCTGACAATTATGTGTCTTGGAGTTGCTCTTCTTGAGGAGTATCTTTGTGGTATTCTCTGTATTTCCTGAATCTGAATGTTGGCCTGCCTTGCTAGATTGGGGAAGTTCTCCTGGATAATATCCTGCAGAGTGTTTTCCAACTTGGTTCCATTCTCCCCGTCACTTTCAGGTACACCAATCAGATGCAGATTTGGTCTTTTCACATAGTCCCATATTTCTTGGAGGCTTTGTTCGTTTCTTTTTATTCTTTTTTCTCTAAACTTCCCTTCTCGCTTCATTTCATTCATTTCATCTTCCATCACTGATACCCTTTCTTCCAGTTGATTGCATCGGCTCCTGAGGCTTCTGCATTTTTCACATAGTTCTCGAGCCTTGGCTTTCAGCTCCAACAGCTCCTTTAAGCACTTCTTTGTATTGGTTATTCTAGTTATACATTCGTCTAAATTTTTTTCAAAGTTTTTAACTTCTTCGCCTTTGGTTTGAATTTCCTCCTGTAGCTCGGAGTAGTTTGATCATCTGAAGCCTTCTTCTCTTAACTCATCAAAGTCATTCTCCATCTATCTTTGTT
The DNA here is from genome assembly GCF_000001405.40 of Homo sapiens. Classification (NCBI taxonomy): domain Eukaryota; kingdom Metazoa; phylum Chordata; class Mammalia; order Primates; family Hominidae; genus Homo; species Homo sapiens. The sequence continues at coordinate 46,509,688 of NC_000014.9, read as the reverse complement.
CCATTGCTGGTGAGGAACTGCGTTCCTTTGGAGGAGGATTGGCGCTCTGCTTTTTAGAGTTTCCAGTTTTTCTGCTCTGTTTCTTCCCCATGATTGTGGTTTTATCTACTTTTGGTCTTTGATGATGGTGATGTACAGATGGGTTTTTGGTGTGGATGTCCTTTCTGTTTGTTAGAAGGAAAACTAACAGACAGGACCCTCAGCTGCAGGTCTGTTGGAGTTTGCTAGAGGTCCACTCCAGACCCAGTTTGCCTGGGTATCAGCAGTGGTGTCTGCAGAACACGGATTTTCGTGAACCGCGAATGCTGCTGTCTGATCGTTCCTCTGGAAGTTTTGTCTCAGAGGAGTACCCGGCCATGTAAGGTGTCAGTCTGCCCCTACTGGGGGGTGCCTCCCAGTTAGGCTGCTCGGGGGTCAGGGGTCAGGGACCCACTTGAGGAGGCAGTCTGCCCGTTCTCAGATCTCCAGCTGTGTGCTGGGAGAACCACTGCTCTCTTCAAAGCTGTCAGACAGGGACATTTAAGTCTGCAGAGGTTACTGCTGTCTTTTTGTTTGTCTGTGCCCTGCCCCCAGAGGTGGAGCCTACAGAGGCAGGCAGGCCTCCTTGAGCTGTGGTGGGCTCTACCCAGTTTGAGCTTCCCTTCCGGGCAGCTTTGTTTACCTACTCACAGCTTGGCAATGGCAGGCGCCCCTCCCCCAGCCTGGCTGCCGCCTTGCAGTTTGATCTCAGACTGCCCTGCTAGCAATCAGCGAGACTCCGTGGGCGTAGGACCCTCCGAGCCAGGTGCGGGATATAGTCTCCTGGTGCGCCGTTTCCTAAGCCCGTCGGAAAAGTGCAGTATTAGGTTGGGAGTGACCAGATTTTCCAGGTGCCGTCTGTCACCCCTTTCCTTGACCAGGAAAGGGAACTCCCTGACCCCTTGCACTTCCTGAGTGAGGCAATGCCTCGCCCTGCTTGGGCTCATGCACAGTGCGCGGCACCCACTGTCCTGCGCCCACTGTCTGGCACTCCCTAGTGAGATGAACCTGGTACCTCAGAGGGAAATGCAGAAATCACCCATCTTCTGTGTCACTCACGCTGGGAGCTGTAGACCGGAGCTGTTCCTATTCGGCCATCTTGGCTCCCTTAAACTGATCCTCTTAAACACAGGTATGTATCACCTCTTTGCAGAAAACTATGTTGCAATTAATGAAAAATCTTACATAGTGTTTAACATATGCTAGGGGCTGTTCTAAGCTCCTTAAATATCATAATTCATTTAGCCCTCACGATAAATTATGGAAGTTTCCTCCCCATCTTCTTCCTTCTTCCTCCTCTTCTTCTTCCCACTGAGCATACTCATTTATTTAGCACATGTGCTAAATAATGTGTCCAAGGACGCAGAGCAAGAAAAGTGAACAAAATTAGGATTCCACGTCAAACTTGGAATCTATACTTGCACTGTCCAAAACAGTAGTCACTTAACACATGTGGCTATTGAGGATGTGTGTGTGTGTGTGTGTGTGCAAATTTTGTCATTAGCAGCCACTTACACACACACACACACACAAACATATATATATATATCATGGCTCATGGCAATAATTTTTTTATATTACGCCATATATTTACATGTCATACTATTTTATCTAATCTATTCTTACTAAGTATGTCAAAATGAGTTTTTACCCTTTCACTGTATATATTGCTGTCAATTACTAATTTAAAGTTCAGCACTTTCACAAAGGTTATATTACGAACTCCTGTCCAAGATAATGTCATGATCTGTGTTCAGTATCTCAGACAATTCTCATAATCCTGATAAAATGGCACTTTCATTTCCACAGGTGAGGAATCTGAGGGAAGAAAACATAACTTCCTACAGTTAACAGAAAAAATGTTGAAATAAAGATTCAAAACTATGATTTCAAAGTTTGTACTTCATTTTGCTCTATGTGCTATACATCGTTCTTAACTTTATTTGAGAAAACTTTGGTTTCTATTTTATATTTTAATATATTAAAAAACTCAAGCCAGGTGTGGTGGCTCATGCCTGTAATCCCAGCACTTTGGGAGGCCGAGGTGGGTGGATCATTTGAGATCAGGAGTTTGAGACTAGTTTGGCCAACATGGTGAAACCCCGGCTCTACTACAAATACAAAAATGTCCCTAGTGGTAGTGGGGGTGTGCCTGTAATCCCAGCTACTTAGAAGGCTGAGGCAGCAGAATCACTTGAGACTGGGAGGCGGAGGTTGTGGTGAGCAGAGATCGCGCCAGTGCACTCCAGCTTGGGCAACAGAATGAGACCCTGTTTCAAAAAATAAATACATAAAAAACTCTGTATTACACTTTTAACAAGTAGTTATTTACAATTCTGCTTTCTAGTACAATAAATTTAAAGTTGGGTGCTTGCATTACTCTGTAAGTTACTTCATTACTATTATTATAACTTTAGAGCTTTTCGATTTTTTAACAAATAATAAATACTTTGTAGTCATCGGCAATAAAATATACTATTTGAAAAAGAGTAAAAAAAGTATCATACTGCATTGGTCTACAAAAGAAAAGATTATTCATATCTGTGCTATGATTTCCACTAGTCAATATGATAGCCACCATCAACATGTAGCTCTTGATCATTTGAATTGTGGCTAGTTCAACTGGTGTTCTCTGTAAGTCCAAAATACATCCACACTGTAAAGTCTTAGTATGACAAAAGTATATTAACTATATGATAAATTGTGTTTGTACTGATAACATGTTAAAATGATAATAATTTGAATATATTAAGTAAAATATATTATAAAAAATATTTTCAGTTGTTTGTTTTTACCATTTTTAATGTGGCTACTAGAAAACTTTAAATCACAAATGTGGGTGACATTTTTGGCTTACATTCCCCTTCTATTGATAGTGCTACATACAGTCAGAAAGCTAAACTGATACATCATTATTTATCAGCAGCCATTTTTAGAGGATAAAGGGAAACTGGAAATCATTTTAGTCTAATTCCTCATTTAATACCTTAATTAAAATCTAATTCCCCCAAAATTAGCTTTACCTAGGATGCCATTGACAATTAATAGAAGAATCATTTTAATGAAACTCAAAGCAATCTCTTTGGTGGAAAATATCTGTCTTCTGGTTATTTGTCACCTCTCAGGCTACTGCATCTGTATTCTGATTATATATCTGTAAGACTAGAAGGCAATAAACTATATTTCTCAGATTCCATTGCCAAATGATTTCTTATTATCTAATATCAATGGGAAGGACTTTGGGGTGAAGAGAGTTTGAGGAAAAGGAAAACATTTTACTTCTTCTCTTTGCTATAGTACTGTCACACAGTAATGGTAAGGATGTGTGACCATCAGTGATTATGGCCCTCGGCCCTTTGGCTGTTCTAACACTTACAGTGGCAGTGGCTACAGCTGTACCACAGCTGGTTTGGGTTTCTGGGTCCTAACCTAGAGATGTTAGTAGACTTCTGACAGCTGGATGTAACCACATGCAAGGCTTTTGGAAACCAAGTATCTGTTGAATATTACCATCAAATAAGTAATCATAACTTTAACATTATGGGATGGGGATGGCTGTTTCTGACTTAAATTGCAAAATTATAAAGTAAAATATCAGCCTCAAGGATTTAACCTTTCAGCTCAAGGCACAGAAAATAGTTTCTCATCTCTATAAGTCTAATCTTTATAGACACAGGTGTAATATGACTGGAAAATCAGACACCAAAGTTAATTTTGTAAGTTTGGGAATTGAAACATTTATGCAGTATAGATTCTTGCTAGGTATCTTTGATGAAAATTAATACTTTGCCTGGGAAATAGTAGAACTCTTAGAGTAGAAATGTAAATATTTGTGGGGATTCTGGTGAATCTGATCATCTTGGAAAGCTAAATATCCCCATGACTTTTTTTGCCAGCAAAAGCAATCTTTCTTCTCTTTTCTGATAGTAGATTTTCTTGACTGAAAATGCTGTGTATCTGTCATCTTTTGGTACACAATAAATAATCCCCAAATTAGTAATCAAAACTACTATGATTTATTATTTTTCATAGCTCAGTGGGATGGGATTCTGGGGAGTTCTGCTGGTCTTGACAGTGATCACTTATGCAACTACAATCATTTGATGATTGACTAAAAGCTAGGGGGCCCAAGTTGGCCTCACTGACTTGTCTGGCAGTTGATGGTGAATGCCATTTGGGGAAATGAGGTATTTCCATGTTTCTCTTTCCTAAATGGGGTTAGCATGATGGTTTTAGTATTCCAACAGAGGGAAAGCATAAGTCACAAGGCTTCTTAAGGCCTAGGCTGTGAAATTAACACAAGGCCAGTGCTGCTGCATTATAGTTATTAAAAAGAGACACAATGCCAGTCCAGTTTTAAGGAGGGCATCTGAGATTCTTTTGACACTGAAACTAATAGGCAAAAAAGGGAATACTATACTGACTAGCGTGATTAATAGACACCATACAGGAAAAACTGGTCGCAAGGGGATATGGGGAATTCATGAGATTCCTTTGGACAGCTCTTCACTGTCATCTTCAGCATGGTAGACTAAACAATCCAAAAAAGCAGGACCAGTGTTGGAGGAAGAAAATTATGTATAATTACTGAGGAGGCCTTATGACCAGTTACAGAAGTAAGGATTTTGACAGCTCTGCATAATTGTTTTCTTTATTGTTATATATGACATAACCATTTTTCTTTTATTTTATGCAAACAGTCAGGGTGACAGTTAATTTTGACTTCTCAACCTAGCCATTATTTGTGTTAACGAATATCTTAGTAAAATGATGACTGAACTATAAGAGATACTGACATTACCAAGATTGATAATATTATATGTATATATAAATATATATTCAGCAACTGCAGACTACTGCAGAAATATATATATATATTTTTTTTTCCTGAGGATATCTTGTAACCTGTTAGGTGGAATCATGACCTTTTGATTGTTATTGTATTATGTATAAAGGTTAAAAATGGGAATGGATATATATATATATTGCATTATGTTTACATATATGTGTGTGTGTGTGTGTCTGTGTATATATCTCCAATATATGTTTAAATTGGATAGAAGTATAGATATGAATGCAAGTAGCCAAAGGTATTAATTGTGCTTTTGTACTGGTCCTTTTGCAGTCTGAACTGCTATGGCTGTGAGCCTGCAAGTTACATTTCCCAGACTCCCTTAAACACTTGCTTTCTGTTATGATCAGACAATGTGAGGTTCTGAAAGGTAATCTGTTTTTGTTTTTTCTTTTAAATTTTAAAAGAATTTTAAATCTTTTTTCTTTTAAATTTTCATAATGCTAATTAAAAAGAAAATAATTAAAAACACCTTTCTTGTTAGTTATTAGAGTAGCTTTAATTCTTAAAACAAGATCTAAAAGAGAGAAATCAGCATGTTCATGGTTGTTTCCTCTAGAGAAAGCAGTAGTATTTATGGCCAAAAAGTGACAGGGAAGTTTAGTCCACATAATTTTGTGTTGTTTGCACAGTTGAAGACTGAGAATTTATTCATGTGTTACTTCAGTAAAAAAGTAAAACCCAAAGGACTGCATGAAATGCATTTTAGAAAAAGGTCTGCTAGTCTTCACATAGCTGGCTGCAGTTATTACTAGAAACGGGAATAAGTGGGGAAAGTGTTAGTATTTCACTTTTGTCTCCATGTTTTTATATATATGCCAATTATTTGAATAATTTAAAATTTTAATGCAAAAGAGCAGTAATTTCTGTAAGATTTTGGATGGGACCAAAATGGGGGAGGGGACCCCATAAACTCAAAAACAGGCATTTCATAAAATTTTATGCTTGATTTTTTTTTCTTTTCTTTCTTTCTTTCTTTCTTTTTTTTTTTTTTGAGACAAGATTGTGCTCTGTTGCCCAGGATGAAGTGTGATCACAGCTCACTGCAGCTTCACTTCCAAAATGTGATTTTCCTGCCTTAGCCTTCTGAGTAGCTGGGATTACAGGCACGCCATGCCCAGCTAATTGTTTTATTTTTTATTTGTAGAGATGAGGTCTCCCTATGTTGCTCAGGCTGGTCTTGAACTCCTAGGCTCAAGCAATCCTCCTGCCTTAGCCTCCCAAAGTGTTGGGATTATAAGCATGAGTGACCCTGCCAGCTCTTATGTGTGATTTTTAATGGCTACAAATAATTTCATCCTGTGAATGTGCTACAATTTGTTTAACAAATCCCCAAAGGCATATTTAGGCTACTTCCCCATTTTTCACTATTATAAACAACATATTGATAAATGCCTTGCCCTTTATCCATAATTACTTAATTTAAGATATATTATTAGAAAAGATGATGCATCCATTTACGAGTTTTGATATTCACTAGCAGAAAGTTTGTAAGGAGACACCCTAATTTTGCACATCTGGTTGACAAAGGTGAACACATTTGAAAACATAGCTGGTTTGTAAATGTGAAAAACTGGGCATCTTGGACACATCAATGGATTGGTATTAATTTGGTAATACCAAGCACAACAAATTTTGGTCAGGCTCCTCTGAGCCTTCTTCTCAACCAAGCCTTGACCTTGGCCTGTGATAAAGTTTGGATCTGTGTCACCACCCAAATCGCATGTTGAACTATAATCCCCAGTGTTGGAGGTGGGGCCTAGTGGGCGGTGACTGGATTATGGGGGGCGGTTTCTCATGAATGGTTTAGTATCATCCTGTTGGTACTGTCCTTGTGATAGTGAGATCTGCTTGTTTAAAAATGTGTGGCTGCTCTCTCCTCTCTCTTGCTCTTGCTTTCACCATGCTGCCTCTTGCCTCTGGAAGGTAATTTGAAGGCTGTTAGAACTGAGAAGCTTTTAGTATAGACAGCAGTGGCAATTGCTGGTAGCTGCTGGAAATTGCTGGTGTTGCTATAGCTTGGATGAGATTAGGTGAATGAGAATTCCAGCAGTTCCATCAGTGGCTAGACTTCCTTAGTGTTGGTTTGGTAAGCAAGTACCGGCATAGCTCTGGTATCCATTTTTAGCAGTTTCAGCCCCTGAACAGCTGCCCTACTGCAGACCAGCAGTAGGCACTAGTTACTGGATTCTAGTCCAGTGGCATTTGTAGTTTTCTGGAAAACACACTTATTCTCTGTGTTCTGCTAACAATTCTCCCTTTTGTTACACCAGTCCTTCTAACAAACACTTTTTAATCAATTCCCTGTTTGATATCGCCTTTGAAAAGTTAGCATATTTCTATTTATTTATTTTCTAGGTTGTACCCTGAAGATACAATTTCTCAACCATAAAGCCATGTTTATTTCTATGAAAGAAAAGAACACTTTTATAATCAGTACACTTGTAGTTGACAAAATCAAGATTTTGTAATTTTAAGAATGCCAAAAAATACCCACAGAAAGTAAATTTATAATTTTTTCTATAGGCAGGCACAGGCAATATAAAGTTTTTTCTCAAGTACATGGTTTTAAAGAGAGTATTAGAATTCTCTATAGCAATGCTATAGACCTCAAAATGGGGTCTGTGAACCAGTGCCAGCCTACAGACTGTTACCAGTATTTTAGGCAATAGAGAGCTTATTCTAGAATGGAAATAAATACACTGTATCTTTGATAGAAAATGTCTTTCTACAAAAAAAAAAAAAACACATAATTAATCTACATATTTTTGTGAGCGCCTTACCTCCCATACCAGTTACAATCAATCAGTTCACAAACTAGTGCATAAACCACTATATAAAAAGGGATTATAGATTACAAGAATTAGACTAAAAGTAATTCCTCTGAAATATCAAAATGTAGCACATTAGGCAGGTTTTCTTTTAGATGCAATTTCTTTTAGGTCAATATGTATTTTATTTTTGGAAAAAAATATGTTCACAATGATATATGAAATAACAATCATATGAAAGTAAACTAATACCTAAAAGTTACAATGCTGATGTAAAGGGACCAGTCAATACACTAAGAACAGTCACATTCACTATTCTATAAGGAACAGAAATGACTTAGTAAAGAAGTTAGTTAGATTTTAAGGAAAGATTGAGAAAAATGGCATCTCCTTATAAGGATAATGAAAAACTGATTCTATAAGGATAATGAAAAACTGATTCCACAGAAAAGGAAACAAAAATATACAGAGCATTAAAAACAGAGAACAGGGCTATATACTTCCACCTTTCTGTGCTCAACACAGAATGGTGTAAATAAAATAATAAGGAGGAAAAAGAATGAAACACCTAATTTATGTGAGAGAAAAGTGGGAAAAAAAGTAGAAAATTTAGGGTCAGAGCGAATCTTCTTTATAGTGGATTGTGAAGCAATTAAAAGAAATCAGAATGATGTAAATAAATGATCATTTTTTCATCCTATTAGAGTGGAAGTCTTCTTTTCCAACATCCTATTGAAGTACCTGATGAAAAATGATAAAGGTTTATATTAGTTTCACATATGCAAATAATAACTTCAATATTATAGTACTCATAATTTCAACCAATATTCTTGAGCTCGTATTGGAATAATTTTTTGGAAAAAAAATAAATACAAATATACTTCATATAAGTTAAGTTGTTGGAAATTTAATATCAAGGTAGTGAATAAGCCAAATTTATCATCATATTTGATGTTTGTGTTGTCCCTTTGTACTCATGACTTCTTTTTCTCAAAATCTGTACCAGCTGCTGAGTACAGAAGAAGCCTGTGATTTTTAAATAATTGCAGCACATTCTATAGCTCAAACAAATAAAGCTTTGATTTAAGATTGTTTAATCTCAAAGAGATCAGTATAGAAAACAGATTAGAAACATGGATGAAGTAGAATTCAAAAAGAAAGAATCTCTATTCAGCTCCAAAGCTAAGCAATAGCATTTCTCAAAAGATGGCTTCATGATGTGAACTGGAATCAAAGAAATTACTACATTCCTTTGAATTTCAGTGAGCTTTTAAACCAGAGGGTGAGTGTATCAATAACTGTTCTTTGTGAAAGATTGAATATGAGCCAATGCTAATTTTATATCTCTACCCTCTCAGAAAACTCTAATGTTTAGAGTAAAAAGAAAATGAAACTTTCCTTATATTTTTAAATCAAAATCTATACTGGCAAAAATGTTTTATTGTTAAACCTATGTTTCACCACCAAGCCATCTTCATTCACAAGAATAACAACTACAATAATCACAGCAACAATTGTCAACATTTACTGGGTGCATACCATGTGCCGGGTACTCTTTTTAACTATTTTGCATATATTAATTTAATCCTCATAACAACACTGAACAATTGTCTCCATTTTACACAAAAGAGATAGAGCAATGGACATTAATCCTAGAAATTTCTGAGCTATAATCTTTTGGTAAGTTACTGCCAAAAATTCCGTTCTTCAGAATTAGAATGTTATGATATGTAACACATAATTCAATATGCCTCTAAAAGCCTTTCACACAATAGGGCTGTTAAACAATAAAAAAACTAAATCATAAAAAGAAGTATGTACGTTTTGAAAGTAATACCAGAAAATATTTTCTTCATATAATCTGGCCTTCCACAGATAAATAGATTTGTTATGTGCATGAAAATATAAAAAAGGCTTTCAATGACACTGTTAGACTAGAAATAGAAATTTAATATACATTATAAATAATAATTTAACCTATTCCCAGTGAAAAACCATTAAGTGGTGAAAATTACTTAAAAAAACACAAAGAAACATTCAAAGTCCCTGAAAATTGCCACAAGGGAATAGAGCAAACCAAGAAACGTTTAGTCATGGAAATTTACTAAATCTCTGTAAGAACAGCTAGTCTGTCAGACTTGAGTTACAGCCTAATCCTTCTGCCCCCACCCCTCCCCCTCAGCATGACAGACTTTCCACTAGGCAGGTGTGGACACCAAGACAGGAATTCTTTTTGTCCCAGCTCCCCATCAATGGCTACTATATGTCACCAGAAAAAGCAGATTGCCATCATTTTTCATCTCTTTGAGCTCTGTTTTGCAGAGGCTAAATTCCAAATGAGGTTAGCCAAGATATCTCAAGCCCCAATCTTCCACCTGGCACCCATCCTTAGAGCAGAGGCTCTAACTCCAGGCATCACAGACCAAGAACACTAATACCGCAATAGCCATTGACCCAACTCTGTCATAATATGGAAGTTCCACAGAGGAGAGGCAAGCTGGGAAGACGAGAGGATTATGCTGAAAACTCTGCTCATAAAACAGGTATGTAACTCCAAGAGGATCTGGTCATTGTCTTGATCATAACTCTGAAGCAATAAATCAGAATTTTTCCTTGGGGAAAGAATACAGGAACAGAATGCACTGCAGCTCACCCCAAAGGAACTGACTTTATTTAGGACAGAGAATGAGGAAGTTCAACCCTAAGTGTATGCTCCAACAAAATGGGATGCAAGGCTGGTTCAACATATGCAGTCAATAAATGTAGTCCATCACATAAACAGAACCAATCACAAAAACCACATGATTATCTCAATAGATGGAGAAAAGCCCTTTGACAAAATTCAACACCCCTTCATGCTAACAATTCTCAATAAACTAGGTATCGATGTAACGTATCTTAAAATAATAAGAGTTATTTATGACAAATCCACAGCCAATATCATACTGAATGGGCAAAAGCTGGAAGCATTCCCTTGGAAAACTGGCACAAGACAAGGATGCCCTCTCTCACCACTCCTATTCAACATAGTATTGGAAGTTCTGGCCAGGGCAATCGGGCAAGAGAAATAAATAAAAGGTATTCAAATAGGAAGAGAGGAAGTCAAATTGTCTCTGCAGATGACATGATTGTGTATTTAGAAAATCACATCATCTCAGCCCAAAATCTCCTTAAGCTGATAAGCAACTTCAGTAGAGTCTCAGGATACAAAATCAATGTGCAGAAATCACAAGCATTCCTATACACCAATAATAGACAAACAGAAAGCCAAATCATGAGTGAACTCCCATTCACAATTGCTACTAAGAGAATAAAATACCTAGGAATACAACTTACAAGGGATGTGAAGGACCTCTACAAGGAGAACTACAAACCACTGCTCAAAGAAGTAAGAGAGGAAACAAACAAATGGAAAAATATTCCATGCTCATGGATAGGAAGAATCAATATCTTGAAAATGGCCATACTGCTCAAAGTAATTTATAGATTCAATGCCATCTCCATCAAGCTACCAATGACTTTCTTCACAGAATTGGAAAAAACTACTTTAAACTTCATATGGAACCAAAAAAGAGCCCGCATAGCCAAGACAATCCTGGGCAAGAAGAACAAAGCTGGAGGCATCACGCTACCTGACTTCAAACTATACTACAAGGCTACAGAAACAAAACAGCTCAGTACTAGTACCAAAACAGATATATAGACCAACGGAACCGAGCAGAGGCCTCAGAAATAACACCACACATCTACAACCATCTGATCTTTGACAAACCTGACACAAAAAAGCAATGGGGAAAAGATTCCCTATTTAATAAACGTTATTGGATAAACTGGCTAGCCATATGCAGAAAACTGAAACTGGACACCTTCCTTACACCTTATGCAAAAATCAACTCAAGATGGATCAAAGACTTAAACATAAGACCTAGGACCATAAAAATCCTAGAAGAAAATCTGGGCCATACCATTCAGTTTGTAGGCATGGGCAAAGACTTCATTACTAAAGCACCAATTTTGGCAACAAAAGCCAAAATTGACAAATAGGGTCTAATTAAACTAAAGAACTTCTGCACAGCAAAAGAAACTATCAGCAGAGTGAACAGGCAACCTACAGAATGGGAGAAAATGTTTGCAATCTATCACCTGACAAAGGGCTAATATCCAGAATCTACAAAGAACTTAAACAAATTTATAAGAAAAAAAACATCAAAAATTGGGCAAAGGATATGAACAGACACTTCTCGAAAGTAAACATTTATGCAGCCAACAGACATATGAAAAAATGCTCATCATCACTGGTCATTAGAGAAATGCAAATTGAAACCACAATGAGATACCATCTCATGCCAGTTAGAATGGCCATCATTCAAGAGTCAGGAAACAACAGATGCTGGAGATGATATGGAGAAATAGGAATGCTTTTACACCGTTGGTAGGAGTGTAAACTAGTTCAACCATTCTGGAAGACAGTGTGGCGATTCCTCAAGGATCTAGAACTAGAAATACCATTTGATCCAGCAATCCCATTACTGGGTATATACCCAAAGGATTAGAAATCATTCTACTATAAAGACACATGCACACGTGTGTATATTGCAGCACTATTCACAATAGCAAAGACTTGGAACCTACCCAAATGTCCATCAATAATAGACTGGATAAAGAAAATGTGGCACATATACACAATAGAATACTATGTAGCCATAAAAAAGAATGAGTTCATGACTTTTGCAGGGACATGGATGAAGCTATAAACCATATTTTTAAGCAAACTTTCACAAGAACAGAAAACCAAAGACCACATGTTTCTCACTCATAAGTAGAAGTTGATCAGTGAGAACACATGGACATTGGGAGGGGAACATCACACACCAGGGCCTGTCAGGGAGTGGGGGGCTAGGGGAGGGATAACATTAGGAGAAATACCTAATGTAGGTTATGGGTTGATGGGTGCAACAAACCACCATAGCACGTATATACCTATGTAACAAAACTCCACGTTCTGCACATGCACCCCAGAACTTAAAGTACAATTAAAAAAAGAAGCAATAAAAACAATCTAAATATCTAAAAAAGAAAAAAGAATGAGGAGCAAATATGAATATATGGAAAGAATTTTGTGTAAGAGAACTTAATTTTTTTTAGATTTAAGATTTAAATACAGAAAATTGAAAACTAAAAACCATGATTTGGCAGTAATCCACAGCTGCTAGCATTGAGCACCATTGGTGGATACCACACTGCTTAGGCCAGCCACTGTGAGTGCATATTTGCTCCATTATTCTTTCCTCCACTCAGGCCAGATTCAGCATCCCAGCTCCCATGCTTATGCCCTAGGTGTCATATGGTGGGAATAGGGCATAAGTGGCTCCTCTCAGTGGACGTACTTGGAGTCTTGTCCTAAACTATGACTCACAGATATAGAAAGCAGGGGTGGATGCTGAGTAGGCAAATATGGGACAAACATCCATGGCAGAGTGAAATGGTTAGATGGTAACATGCCTTACTTGGCTGAAATCATGATTGAGAGATAATGTACAGCACCATCAATTCCTTCAATATTTAACTAATGGGAGAATTTACTGTGAGTTTGAATCCAAACAAAAACTATCTCCAGCCTAGGATCATTTAAAGTCACCATAAAAAAAACAGAATATTTGTATTTGAAAAAGATGTATTTGATTATGAAAATGAAGTTCACAAATTATTGAGAAAGATCAAGAGAGAGGAGCTGAAAGGTTTTACAGCTGTTCTTGCACTATCAGTGAAAGCAGATTGTATTTTGAATATTATGCTGGATGGGACAGTCTACTTAACTAGACAGTACTAAGGTTCTGATTAAAAGCACAGGCTGGGGATAAAGATATGTTGGCAAATGTGAGCACTGGGTCAAAACCTGTGAGACAAAGGATAAGAATAACAAAAGTGGAAGAAGAGGAATCTACAGAGAACCGCGAAAGATACTAGTTTCTAAATATCTTTACTGGACTAAATAATGTCACCTGCTACTTACTGACAAAGAATTGGAAGTTCATTTTTCTAATACCTCATGTAGTCTTTATGTTTTATTATGTAAAATTTAGTATTAGATTAAATTTATAGAAAATAAAAATAAGGGGAGCAGTATTTTGGATCTTAAATTAATTAATTAATTTGACAGCCTCATGTATCTCTACCTGTTGTAGACATCCTCATCTACCTCTACCTATTGCCCTGCCCTGGTGCCAATCATAACTAGAAAATATCAAAATGGGCATGGAGGATTCCAAGAACAGCGGGCTAGTGGCCTGCTTCCTCTGGCCTTGCCTGAGGGAGACAGCAGGATGCTAAGAGGAGGCTGCATCCACATGAGTGTCCTACTCATTACTGAGGGAGGAGGATAGCACTACATTAGCAGAAGGAACATCCCAGTTAGATTAACCCAAGAGAGACTCCCATGAGTAGTGAGTTGTCTAGATTGTGTCCAAAAATTCATGTGTGCCTTGTCAGTGCTGCAAAGAAGATGAAATGATAGCATCTGGGTTTCAGTGATATGTAGATACTTTTTAACTGAAAAAAAGGACCAAGACTACAGTGTTGTGTGCCAGTACAGTGATTCAAAAGGGCAACTGAGTCTGTTCACACCCCGGGTATTATCAATTTGATGATTGAACAACATCTGTTACTGCCGTAAAAATCACCTACATACTCAGACAAACTTTTGGAAAGGAATGAAAAAGTGAAGGAAAGCTGAAGGGCAAGGATGTAAAAAAGAACATGACTAAGAATTATCTAAAATAAAGAGCCATTTAAATTAGATTATTTATACTCAAGACTCTGATACCAGTAATTGGCAAATTTAAAATAAATATTTTTCTCTTATTTGTCCTAGTAATTAAAATGGAATATTTGAAGGAAAAGTTTAGTTCCATCATAGGAAATAAAGTATATTATTTTATTTGTACTTACTTATGAGCATAGATGCCATAAATTTGCCATGTCATTACATTTAAATGTTTTCATTCCTTAGTGCAGATTAAAAGATAATAAATCCTACTGTAGCTTTAGAAGGAATTAGATAAACCCTGTGGTTATTTCCAGATACCTGGACTGGGGATATCCTCTCTGATTATTGAAACCCCTAGCAGTGCTGAGCTGAATTTTCATACTTGCCAAGTCAAATTGTTTCTTTCTCCCATTCTGAAGAATCTTTTTTTTCAACCTCACAATATGCAGCACCTACAATAGCCTGATAATTCTCAGAGAAAAGATCCATTTGTAAGGAGCATCAGAATTCCAGATCTACCGAATTTATTGCATTTACATAAATGTTTGCCTTCCTCTCAAATACTAAAATGGCAACGCCTTTATCCTAAAATTATACATAAAATCATATTGAATCTCATTCACTTGGAATCTCATTACATCAAATTTCTCTTATTTCCTGTCACAAAAATGACCTTGCCATTAAGTTTCTCATGAATGTTTTAACATACTCAAGTATCTGTCATTTGCAAAGTAAAACCGCTTCCAAAAATTTAAATTAAAAAAAATAACATTTATACTGTAGTGACTATCTTCTCCCTTCACAGTAAAATTCTTTAAAAAAAAATCCTCCAGAAACAAAAAACAGTAAAACTGACTATGTTTCCTCTCATTCACCTCATTTACCCCTCAACAATGATAATCAACTTTCTGTTCTCACCACCAATAGCTGAAATTGCTTTCATCCAAACCATTGACAGCTTACGTGTTCTTAAATAAAATAGAAACTTTGACCTCTCTACAGCATTTGACATTATTTACATTGACTCTTTGGAAAGCTTCTCTCCCTCACTTTTTCTCCCTCTCTTATGACCTTTCAAGTTTTGGATTTCTCTATTCCTTTTGGCTCCTACTTTGCATTTTATTTTAAGTTTTTCATTGATCATCTCGCTCCATAAAGAGATTGTAACTATTTAGTATTAATGATGATGCAGAGGGGGAAGTGAGCAGTCACAAGCATTTCTTGTCAGACTTTAAAATTAGTTTAACTGTTTGGAAGGGCTATTTGGCAGTATTTATCAAGATGTAACATGAGTAAAGGTCATGAGTGAAGTATCTGGATATCTAGGGCATCTAGCAGTTTGAAATTTCTGGGCTACAACCATCAAACAGTAGTATTTTTCTTTACTACTTCTAATCACACTGCACTCAATTTCTTTTGCCAGCTGAGTAGCAGTCCCTTTCATTACAACCAGGACATGTCCAGAACTTTCCAGTTAATTACAGTTTAAATTTTATCTCAAATCTACATTTTTATATTACTCGATTGAACTATATTTTATGTACAATAAACTATATATGTCAAGTACATAATTGGGTAAGTTTTGGAATATGCGATACACTTGTGAAATAACTGCAATCAAGACAGTACACACTTCTTTCACTCCCCCGAATTTTCCATGTTCTTCTTTGCAATCAACCTGATCTTCCCATCACTCCTGTCCCCAGCCAATTACTGATCTACATAGGTCAGATTGCATTTTCTAGAAATTCTTGTAAATGCAATCATATATTATGTGTGCTTTCTGTATCCGACTTATTTCATTTAGCGTAATTATTTTGTGATTCATCCATGTTGTTACATGTGTTGATAATTCATTTTTTATTGCCAAGTAGTATTTCATTCTATGGAAAACATTTTGATACATTTATTTGTGGATAGATGTTTGGGCTATTTCCAGTTTTGAGCTTTTACAAATAATGTAGCTGTAAACATTTATCTACAAAAATTGATAGAGACATATGATTTCATCTCTCTTGGATAAATATGCCTGGGTTTCATATAAACATGTAATAAGCATATGTTTAAATTTTTATAAAATTGCCAAGCTGTTTTTCAAAGTAGCTGGGCTCTTTTACATTCCCACCAGCAATATATGAGAGTTCCAGTTGCTCTACATCTTTACCAACACTTGGCACAGGCAGACTTTTTCAGTATTCTATTGAACATACTTTGATTTTATGTTCTTACATTGATAGATGTTTGGGTTATCTCCAATTTTTTTGTTATTGTAAATGAAAGGCCTATAAACACGTTTCCAAATCTTTGTCATGACATATACTTTCATTTTGTTTTAACGTTGATAATTTTGGACTATGGCACTGTGGATAGTATGTTGTATTCAATCCAGGATCTTTTATATTCCTCTAAGTTGATGCTTTTGTTTTAGCTAATAATTCATCTTTTCAAGTCATTCTGTTAGCTCAGTCTCATCTTCTGTGGATGCTTGTTCGAATCTCCATCCTATTATTTAAGCCTTTGCTGAAGTGATTGATTTGAGTTCGTCCCCAATGATGTGGTTTATGGATCAATTTGAGATTGTGTGCATATGCAGAATCATGGGATCTCATCCTCCATTTTTTCTCTCCTGTGAGAATTCCCCTCACTTTCTGACAGCTGGCCATGGTTGTCCAGGATCCTTTTCCTTTTTTCTATGTCCAGAAAGTAAGTGAGGTTTTTAGCAAAATTAGCTGCCTGTGATGAGCTGCTCTGTGTCTGTGGTCAGCCTGCAGGGAAAAACTGCAAGAAAATGGGAAATTGACTACTTTTTTGTCATTTATCTAAGTTTGACTCCACTGAATCACTGAATACTTAGCTAGTTGTTTTTGTTTTGTTTTGTCTGGAGTTTGTAGTTGCTCTCAGTGGGAAAGATGATCTGAATGAGGGGTTATATTATCGCACTGAATGCCAGTATCTCAAATCCAATTATAAGACTATGTCCTACCCTTTCTCAGAACAGGTTAAAGTATGGCTTGAGGTACTCAGATGGTGGAGGGGCATTATCTACTCTTTAAGTCCCCTTTACATTCTTCTTTTCTGGTAATGGAGCAGGGTAGAGTACTGAAAAATACAAAATATTGATAAAATATTTGTATCTTATTGGCATTTACTTATCCCTCTTTACTGGTTACTTTCTTTCTTATCCTGGATGGTCCATTGGCATTTTTAAATCAACCACCGTTGACAAGTATGTTTGTCAGGGCAAACTCTTTTTACATCGTGGTTTATAAAGAAGGCTGGTGCTGGCAAGGAGTGGGCTTGAGGACCTGAATGTTTGCAGATGTACAGCTGTGAATGGGATGCTCATTTTCCCTTCCTCAGGCATCTTCAAATTCAGAGAATCCTTCTGGATTTTTGGACTTTTTTCTCCCTCAACGTGGATTAAATGTTGGACTTTTCTCACTCAACTTGGATTGAATGTTGTCATAGAGATCTAACAGCAAGTGAACTAATGCTGATTCAAAGACACCAAGAGAGGGGGCGAAATGGAAGGTGTGAAATCACAGAAACCAAGGGTAAGCAAAATCATATGAGCATACTCCCAATTTATGAAGGAAAAGTTTCAGTATTCTTTGGCAGGCTGACAACTCACAATTACAATGTTCTTTCTTTCTCCTCCTATTTAGTACTCATTCTAAGGAAGGATTGGGCCACCTCTAAATCATTTTAAGAGAAAGACTAGTCCCAGATTTCTATAGTATAGTTTTCCATAGATTGTGAATTTGTATCTAGGCATGAGAAAAGTCTCACTTGATATCATGCTACATTTCCAGGAATGAAAAACTGCAAATAAATAAGCCATCACTTGATATCCTGCTACATCTCCAGGAATAAAAAGCTGGAAATAAATAAGCCGTAAGTAGAGAAATGGTTAAACAAATTCCAGTGTTTCAATGCTATGAAATACTATTCAACAGTTAACAAGTCTGAGGAAGAAACATGTATACTTACATGGAAGAATAACTATATAACATAATTGGTAAAATAGCAATTTATGGAACAAATTGAGGAGTATGTTCTCATTTTTTGCAAAAATCATATGCACTTATATTCATGCATTTACCCTTCTTCTCCATTTACTTGCCAGAGATATTTGGGCAAGGTATTCAACCTCTCTATCTCTGTTATCTCATCTATGAAAGAAATATAAAAATTTTCACAAGACAGAATAATAATAAAACAATTGAAACATAAATGTTCTGACTTGTTATAATCAAGAATGAATGAGTATAATTACAATAATTTATCATGAAATAAACGACTACTCAAAAGCATTCTAGCCATTTGTGTTAGAATTGTCAGATGGGTTCTGAGTAAAAGAGATGTGTGTACATAATTGCAGCTAATGAGGCATTGTTTTAAAGCCACCTCCGCACCACCAGAGAAGTAAGAGAGAACTTTAGAGTCTCAATGGCTGCATGACTTCATGTGTAATGAAGTTATATAATTCTTTCCAGGTTGTATTCAGTTCTAGCTACCTAGTAATCATGTTCTCACCTCACCAGCAGGTGTTCAATGCCTAGAGCTCTATAGTTTCCTTTGCAGTGATTCAATTATTCTGTTTCTGCTTTTATGTCTACTGACAATTTCAGTGATCACCTACTCTCTCTCCCCTATTGCTCCCCCTTGTGGCTTTTGCTTACCCATGGTTTCTGTGGTTTCACAGCTTCCATTTTTACCCTCTCTTGGTTTCTTAAGTCTGTGTTAGTTCACTTCTGGTTAGATCTCTATGTCAACATTCAATCCTTGACCCTCAACAGACACAATTTAGTTCATTCAGTCACTAGGTAGTATAGAATCTTTGTTCACCTGTCAGAGCAGGTTTGGCTGCCCATACCAATGAGATGTGGCAATATCACATTGTGAAATACCAGGTAATTTATATATAAGAACTCCTTCCAAACAGAAAGTGGAAGTGACAGAGATTACGTGGTTTCTAGGGAGAACTCCCTTACCTGAACTTTTTTTTCCCTTGCATTACATGGGAAGAAGTGTCTTGTATGCCGGAAGGTCATTCTTGTGGCTGATGTGGAAAATTCATTCTGATAGTTCTGTAATTTTTATCAGCAAGACAATAAGAATTTTGAAAAATATAAATTGTTAATATTTAACTTAGCTTTAAACTGTTGATAAAGTTAAGTTCACTTCTTGTTAAATCTCTGACCCCCAACCAAGAGTTATAATTGTTCAGTCAGTATGTTAGTAGTACAGAATCTCTATTTTAATCCAAGAACTCTCCCATAACTCACAAATGTATTCCTATAATTAGCTGAATGACAATCTACTAGGCTAAATTTGGATTCAAATAAAAATTCTTGTAGTTTCCACATAAAACAAAATAAATTATTTTTAAGTAAATTTCTTAATTTTTAAAAATTTTACTTACAAAATCATCAGAGATTGGCTGAAGTTCAAATATTGCTAACATGCCTATTTTTATCACATTCAAATTTTAATTTTATCACATTCAAATTTTAAAGTTATTATTCCAAAATTATATTTTATGCCACCCTTGGTTTTTTAACATAGATAAATCTCTTAAACAAATGTCTTATTTTTTTAATTTAGTTTAAAAATAACCCTACATTTATTTTACCTGGCCAATTATTTTTACATTTTATTGTTAGAATATGCTCTTAACTATAATGATTGGTAATTCACAGTGCCAATATATCACAATATATTCCTGCTTATTTATAAGAATTCCAGGAAACGAAGTTTACTGAGAAGCAGTGCAAAGGTAAATTGATGCAAAAGTATTGCTTTCTTCATTTGGAGATCTCTGTTGATTTAGGGTTGGGTTATTTTCAAATACAAAAAAAAAATTATCATTCAATAAGACAGAGCTAAAAACTGTGTTATGCAGCCTGGGCATGCGCAATAGCAAAAGCTTTTACTTCTAACAACACCTGGAATAAATGATTCTTCCCCTCAGAGCCAAGAAGATTGATACATGACTGGAGCCTGAATGGTAGAACTTTTTCAGAAGTGAGGAGTCTGTTGGCCCAGAAGATCTGCGGTAAGATCTGCCTCAACATACCTTACTGTAAGTGGTCAAATTTGAAGCCCTCTAATCAGACCCTGCCAAGCCAACATTCCTAAATCCTTTCTCTTGACCTCTGATCTCTTAAAATGTGCCCCACACTTCAAATTGGGTACATATATTTAAGCTCAACATTAGCCTTTCAACTGGCTGTTTTTGCAATACAGCTTTTCTTGAAAGCCAGAACCATAGGTATTAATTTCTGTGAGCATTGGGCTATAAGCCTATTTGCTCTGTAACAGGAGCCTGCTATAAAAAGGTAAAAAAAAAAAAAAAAAAAAAAGTTCTACTACGCTCAACACAAAGTCATCTAATACGGCTTTAAGCTTGGAACTCTAACAAACATGAATGGAGAAAACAAGACAGTAGAGATCATCGAGGAGGTTTTTATGGGACAGATTGCCTACATTCTGTTACCCACGCCTTACTCCCACAGCTGTATCTACCTGTTAAAGAGGCTCAAAAATGTAATTTTGTTCCAGATTAGAAGAAAAGAGAAATAGCTTACATTTCCATTTCATTCTCCCAGCTATACTTAAAAACCACTCATTTCCTTCCCAAGTGAGCCAATGCAGAGAACCAGTAGTAGTCACTGGCCCAGCTCAGTCAATGCTCAGGAATTTCGGATTGTAGACATATCCTCTTTAACAGGTCAAGGCATGGCTCCACGCAGCCCAGCAATTACGAACTAGAAAGAAGTTATCTGATCCCCATATACAAAACCCAATAATACTATTCGATTATTTAAATATTTCCACTTTGGATGAATATTTAGCAACGTGGAGAAATGCTCATGACCTCATAAGCAACAATGAGTAACAACAAATGATATATATAACCCTACCTAAAATATTAATTCAATTGTGTTTGTATTAAAGGAGAGAAAAAGAATGAAAAATAAGTAACATTTGTATTTGGATAGTAATTTTTGTGGTTTTCTTTATGCAATTGGATACTAAATGTGAATTTTCTTCTTTGTTCAGCATTTTTTTCAAAGAGACTCTAGAGTCTAAAATGAACAACCAATCAATTCTACAAACATTGCATCATGAGGAGTTGCTGCACCTCTTCTCCAGGATTTGCAAAACGTGTAGTCCAAATCGAGTTCGGCTAGAACTGGTCTGTCATCAAGATATGGCTCATGAAAGAGATTGGTGTTTAGGAGGCTGGGAAAAGGAAATATTTTGAGAGACTTCATGTGCTCCGCACATGGAGGTGGCTTCCTTTTGCCTCAGGTGAAGGGAGCTTCAACAAGATCACTCAGAGTTTGATCAATGATCTTAGAATTTGCAGAACATAGGGACTGCCATTTGACTCACCCTTTAGAAGTCAGGAGGAAAGGTTACGTGGCTGGCACTTCTCATGTCTGGGAAGGAACAACTGTGAAGTGCTGACCTAGACGAATGTTGCACTTCCGCTGATGAGTAGGCAATGGCGAATGTTTTCCAGGGTCCAAATGTGGACCCGGCAACAGAGAGGCTGTCTGTAATCACTTTATAAGAGACACTAACAACAATGACCACTGGGACTAAAGAGAGCACAACGGAAGTAGTTCTGCCAGAAGGGCTGAGGAGAGGGCTGAGCAACCACCCTCAGGGGAGGCAGACCCACATCAAAGACATCTCAGCAGTCCCTTTCCCATGAAAGAAAGAGCTAGAAATTGTCCATTTGACACACACACAAACCAGATCCCAGATTGCAATTGATTCAGATAATGAAAAGCTTGTTCTTTTCACTTGCTGTTCTAGCCTAACCATGTAGGTGTCAGAAGCAGTTGTAGGCTAGGAGAGAAGTCGGAGCAATACAGAAGCCAGTTCTGCCTTTGCCTCAAGATCCACTGTCCACTCAGAGGCAGGCTGGCACATGGGGGATGAGAACATTCCAAGAAAGATGTGAATCTGGAATTTTCATTTATGCAGTAGATGGGGATTTACTACTGAAAGGAACATGTTTTGGCAACTAATAGTGACCAAAAGAATTTGTACTTACTAAAAATTATCTTAAAAGCATGGGATTACCCTAGCATTTTGTTTCAGAAACTGAAATTAACAGAAAACTATAAAATTACTTTCTGCCTGAAACCTAAGAAGGTGAACTCATGCCAGAAACCAGTTACATTCACAATTACCTGGATTTTGTTATTTCCTACAATGAATAAAACTTATTATAAAGCAGAAAAGCCATCGCTGTTTGTGTACATGTTTGTGCGTGTGTGCACATGCATGTGTGTATCAGACGTGTATCAGTGTAACCACCTGATGTCAAGACAAATGATCAATTCTGACAATTCAGTACCAAATGTCAAACTAGATGTTTGGCATGAGGTAGGTATAAACAAACAACTTCAGCATTGACTGAATTTTTAACATTTCAACCAGTTATCTGAATGTCATGGAGATCAAAATATGGAATGTGGTGACCTAAAATCTTTAGCCAAAAGGTTGAGCTTTGCAGAAGCTTGCATTTTATGCATTATAGATTAATTT